>NC_000016.10:13621351-14825134 GCF_000001405.40 Homo sapiens | reverse complement strand
GGTGGTCCCCGGGATTGGACGCTTAGGCGGTCACCAGGCCTCCTTGTTACTAACGTGTGCACACCTTTCAGTTCTCTCATCAGGATGAACTCCTGGAAATTGCTGGGTCCAAAGTGTTTGGGAAGTTTGGAGTGATTCTTGTTGCAGGGGGAAGAGGGAACTCTGGAGGTGTCACTGAACTTTCAGGGGTTCCGGGACCCCCCAACCCGGTGCCCGTCCCAGCTCCCCGAGCGCCTCTCTTCCCCCATCCCCCACCTCGCCTGTTTTCACCTCCCGTGGCCTCACTCCCGCCGCGCAGCTGGACCTTGCCCGGGGCCTCCCGATCCTGGAGCTCGAATCCCAGCCGGACCAGCCCAGCCCGACCAGCCCAGCCCCGCCTCTTCTCCGGCAGGATCGCGGCCGAGCAGTCTGCCCAGAGACTTAGCGACAGACAGACGCTGGGACCCACGACGACAGAAGGCGCCGATGGCCGCGCCTGCTGAGCCCTGCGCGGGGCAGGGGGTGAGTGCCCCCCATCGCGCCCCACTCTCCTTTTCCAGGCTTGGTTTGGCTGCAGATCTCTCGGGCTGCGATACTGGGGAGAGGAGAGACCCCCAAATTCCTGGACCCGGGAAGCGAGGAGACTTACTCCGGCCCCCTCACTGCAGCGGGTTGGATTTCTTTCACCAAGCCAGCAGCCGAGAGCCCAGCTCTATTTAAGGGGCCACCAGACCTCCCAGCTACTAGGGGCTTTGACCCTTCTTTGCATAAAGCTAGTGGGTCCCCCAAGCCCTCCTACCCCCGGAGAGCCCTTACCTCTCTGGTTTCTTTTTCCATTGCTCTTAGCAAAGGACTCCAGGGAGTGGAGTTCATGGAGTGGGGGTGGGGGTTGCAAACTGCCAGCATTTCGAGGGCCAGGGAGTTGAAGCAATAAACTGGCAATGAACTGAGGGCTTTCTCTGTGCCTAGCCTTGTGCCCAACCTTGTGCCATGCTGCTATGAACTTTGCTGCTATTCATCCATTTAATACAACTCATAGAGGTAGAGTCTCGTTATCCCCCTTTTGCAGGGAAGGAAACTGAGATACAGAGAGGTTAAAGTTTGCACAGCCGGTGAGTTGTGAAACCAGGAGGAGTAAAAAGACAGCGGAGAGAGAATTGAAGAGGCCACGTCCACTAAACTTCAAATTTCTTCTAGGGTTAGATAGGACCAGCAGACCTGCTGAGATGAAAATAACAGATCAAGCTGGGCCGGTGGCTCTTGCCTGTAATCCCAGTACCTAGGAGGCTGAGGCAGGAGGATTGCTTGAGGCCAGGAGATCGAGACCAGCATAGAGAGACCCCCATCTCTACAAAACATAAAAAAAAAATTAGCCAGGCCTGGTGAGGCGGCTTATGCCTGTAATCCCAGCACTCTGGGAGGCCGAGGTGGGAGGATTGCTTGAGCCCAGGAAATTCGAAGCTTTGTTGAGCTTTGATTGTGCCACTTCAGCCTGGGCAACAGAGTGAGACCCTGTCTCTAAAACATAAATTAATTAATAATAAAAAATAAAAATAAATCATACATCAAGACCACCAGTTGAACGAGGTTTGGGGTCAGATAAGCCTGGGTCAGAGTCAGCTTTGCCACTTCCCATTTGTGTGTCCCTGGGGGAGGCAGTTCCCTGATTGGTGCCTCAGTCTGCTGGTTTCTGAAATGGAGACAGTACTGTCTGCATCCTGGAGTTGTTATAAGGATTAACTGACAGTCCATGCCTAGCAATGATTATGGAGCCCAGGTCTCCTAGACCACATGGCCCAGTTCCCTGGGTTCAAATCCCAGCCCTTCCACTCCTCAGCTGGGTAAAGTCAGCAAAGTTACTCAACCTCTCTGGTCCTCAGCTTCTTCATCTGCATATCAATATAATTGCAACTACCTAGGGTTAATGTCAGGATGAAAGGAATTGAGAATTAGTAGGTATTCCAAAGAGTACTTGGCACATTTTTGTGTAAATGTTAAAGATCCAAAAAGTTGCCTGGCCCCCCAGGCAGGTGAGCTGGGGACCCCTGCCTTGTACCATCCTAAGGGTCCTCTTTGTGTTCCCTCAGGTCTGGAACCAGACAGAGCCTGAACCTGCCGCCACCAGCCTGCTGAGCCTGTGCTTCCTGAGAACAGCAGGGGTCTGGGTGCCCCCCATGTACCTCTGGGTCCTTGGTCCCATCTACCTCCTCTTCATCCACCACCATGGCCGGGGCTACCTCCAGATGTCCCCACTCTTCAAAGCCAAGATGGTAGCTGCCATCCCTGGGAGCCTGGAACCAGGCAATGGTGGGGGGAGGCAGGGGACAGGCTGGAACCTGGTGAAGTCTTAAAGTAGACTCCTCCTATCGGGGTGTAGAAGGGAATCTGTTAATCAAACAGAGCAATATTAGAAAGGCTACAGAGGTCAACTCAGTGGAACACGGTTCTCCCAAACAGATTTTGTAATTCCGAAAATCCACGCATGCGCAAACATACGCATACACTCCCATGTTCCTGGACAGTTTATAGCTACCATAACCTGGCATTTTCCAAAACATACCATGTAGACTCTTGGATACACAAGGTAATTTTAGGGCCACATTAGGATGAACCTTTTAAAAAGTTATGCATTTATTTTTATGTTTCCCCACTAGCTGTATTATAGGACAATTTTTATATGTGATATGTATTTACCTTAGTGTGTTAAATAAACACTGGCATTCCAAGTGTGAGCCTTTCTGCTCATCCATCCTCTTCTACTCCATTCTTGTAGACTTCCAAAGAATGTTCTTCAGAGTTCATTCATTCTTCTGCCATTGTATTAATTTTTACATTATCACCCACCACCAACCCAGGGGTTGGCAAACTTAAAGAGCCAAGTGGCACACAGTATTTGAGACTTTGTGAGCCAGGTAATCTTCCTTCCGAACACTGAACTCTGCCATTCCAGAATGAACGCAATAGTCATAACCATAGACAATAGTCATGACTGTGTTACTTTTTTGTTTTGTTTTGTTTTTGAGATGCAGTTTTGCTCTTGTTACCCAGGCTGGAGTGCAATGGTGCGATCTCGGCTCACTGCAACCTCCGCCTCCTGGGTTCAAGTGATTCTCCTGCCTCAGCTTCCCGAGTAGCTGGGATTACAGGTGCCCACCCCCACACCTCGCTATTTTTTTGTATCTTTAGTAGAAACAGGGTTTCGCCATGTTGGCCAGGCTGGTCTCCAACTCCTGACCTCAGGTGATCTGCCTGCCTCGGCCTGCCAAAGTGCTGGGATTACAGGTGTGAGCCACCACCCCCGGCCGACTGCGTTTCAATAAAACTTTATTTGTAGTCACTGAAATTTGGATTTCATGTAATTTTCACCTGTCATGACATATGCTTTTTGTTTTTCTTTGATGATTGATAGTTTGCCAACTTCTGCTTTAAACTGAGGTTCTTTGAGCAGTTACTCCAACGTAACCTAGCTCTGGCCTTCCCTCTGGTGTGCCCACGTTCTCTCATTTTCTTCCTTTCTTTTATTCAATAGAGAAACCAAAATATATTAGAGAGACCCTAGAGACTTACTGGCCCAACAGAGAGTTGCTCCTTGATTTCATAGCAGGGATTGAAAAATGACTTGGAGAAAGGATAGTTTTTTACCTGGTGAGTACATTTCATTTCCTGCTGTTTCTCCATACCCAGAGTCATCTCATATGTGCACGATTGGAGCACTTCCTGCATTTTGGAAAACACTCGGTTGGCTCAAGCCCTTCCTGTGCATTATTTATATGACAGTTACAGGTCAGGAGTGATCTGCAATGCCCTTTACACATTGTTCACATTGGCACGTTGCTAGCTGGTGACCCTGGTATACTCAGTATCAGCCAGGATGTTGCAGAACCAGCTCCCAGTTGGACATGGGGCTGCTTACCAGTTTGCTGTGACCTCTCTTATTGCCCCCCAAGCTTATCTAAGCCTGTATCCTCAGGTGCTTGGATTCACCCTCATAGTCCTGTGTACCTCCAGCGTGGCTGTCGCTCTTTGGAAAATCCAACAGGGAACGCCTGAGGCCCCAGAATTCCTCATTCATCCTACTGTGTGGCTCACCACGATGGTAATGATGCCTTCAGTCTGGAGCCCGGCTTCCTCCCAGCTGCTGCTTTGCCTGCCACAGTGGAGAACAAGGGGAAGAGAAGAGGCTCCCCTCAGCCTCCCACCCTCCCCTAAGGGGCCTCCCTGACTTTCCCGTCCAGAGCTTCGCAGTGTTCCTGATTCACACCGAGAGGAAAAAGGGAGTCCAGTCATCTGGAGTGCTGTTTGGTTACTGGCTTCTCTGCTTTGTCTTGCCAGCTACCAACGCTGCCCAGCAGGCCTCCGGAGTGGTAAGTCGGGGCGTGGGCCACCCTGGGAAACCAAAATGGTGGCTCATGCCTTGGGTCCCTTCCTTTCTCCTCCTGTTTCCACATACAACTTATTCTCTATACAGTGACACACACAAGCCAGTCACTTACACTCTAGAGACACAAAATCCACTCCCGCACCTGTCAGTACCCATCATCCCATACATTGCTTATCCACACAATTTCCTGTCTTACACGCCCACATCACACGTGCCACTTGCACACGATGCACACACTTATAGGCACTGATTCATACATCGCACAAGTACATGCATGCACGCACACACACACAACCTGGGCACAGACACACCTGTGTGCACACATACCCCTCCGTGCACACCTCCCCTCATGTCATGGATTCACCCTCCCCATGTTCCTATGCACCTATATTTACACACTCATTCTGCACACCACTCGTATTTCTGTTGCCCAATCTGGGAAGCAGCTTTTTTTTTTTTTTTTTTTTTTTGAGAGGCTTGCTCTGTGGCCCAGACTGGAATGAAGTGGCATGATCTCAGCTCACTGCAATTTCTGCCTCTCGGGTTCAAGCACTTCTCCTGCCTCTGCTTCCTGTGTAGCTGGGATTACAGGTGTGTGCCACTACACCTGGCTTATTCTAAATTTCTACTAAATTTCTACTAAAAATTTCTACTAAATTTCTACTAAAAATTTTTGTATTTTTAGTAGAGACGAGGTTTCACCATGTTGGCCAGGCTGGTCTCGAGCTCCTGACCTCAAGTGATCCACCTGCCTTGGCCTCCCAAAGTGTCGGGATTACAGGCGTGAGCTCTTGTCATTCGGCCGGAAGCAGCGTTTCTCTATTAGGAGACATGATGGGTCATTTTCTCTGTAAAGAGAAAAACATGTAGCCTAGACCAACTTCCCTCAGCCTCAGCTTTAGTAATGTTGTGGCCAGACAATTCTTTGTTGGGTGGACAGGGCTGTCTTGTTTGCTGCAGGGTGTGAAACAGCATCCCTGGCTTCTGCCCATAGGTGCCAGTAGCATACCATCCAATTGCAGTAACCCAAAATGTCTCCAGATATTACCAAGTGTCCCTGGGGGTGAGGAGGACAAAGTCACCCACCTATTGAGAAGCACTGGCCTCGACAGTGTGCTTAGCCAAGGCTTCTGGGAGAGGGAGTTATCTTAACACCAATGAACAGGCTGCAGCAGGTTTCAGATATTTTACTTCATTATTTTATTTTTGTGGAGACAACATCATGCTTTGTTGCCCAGGCTGATCTTGAACTCCTCGGCTCGAGCAATTCTCTGACCTCAGCCTCCTAAAATGCTGGGATTAGAGGCATGAGCCACCACGTCTGGACTCACAGATCATTTCTTCAGTCCAGTGGTTACTCCATCCTGCCCCTAAAGGAGAAGGTAGAGAAGCATCACCCTGTCCTTAAGGACAGAGTTTTTATTTTTTGTTTGTTCATTCTGAGACAGAGTCTTTCTCTATTGCCCAGGCTGGAGTGCAGTGGCACGATCTTGGCTCACTACAACCTCCACCTCCCGGGTTCAATTGATTCCCATACCTCAGCCTCCCAAGTAGCTGGGATTACAGGCATGTGCCACCATGCCCGGCTAATTTTTGTATTTTTAGTAGAGACAAGGTTTCAATATGTTGGCCAGGCTCATCTCAAATGCCTGACCTCAAGTGACTCACCCGCCTCGACCTCCCAAAGTGCTGGGATTACAGGCGTGAGCCACAGCGCCTGACCGAGGACAGAGTTTTTAAAAGAGTAACCTTTGTAACTAAGGGGAAATTCCACAGGTTATTCAGTAATTTCTGAAATGGTGGGCTCCCACAGTTGACATAAGTCAGCCTTTTGGGACACAGCATAGAAACAATAATACTGGGACCATATACACTCTGGGGTTCCAACCATGTGCCAGGCACTGTGGCAGGCACTTACACACGTCTCCTCACTGGATTCTCACAAGAGTTCACAGTGATGGGTTCTTCTTTATTTTTTTAAATAGAAATAGAAACAAAGTCTCATTATGTTCCCAAGGCTGGTCTCAAACTCCTGGGCTCAAGCGATCTTTCCACCTAAGCCTCCCAAAGTGCTGGGATTACAGGCTTGAGCCAATGTACCCCAGCCAATGATGAATTCTAGCCGTCCCATTTTAAAGATGAGGGAGACTAAGGCTAGGAGAAGGGAATGACGGCCTCAGGGCCACAAAGCTTGGGAGTGCAGAGCCCGAGTTCATCTCAGGCAAATTCAGAACAAACTTTCTGAGAGAAACAGTGGGGAAACAGTGGGAGTTTAGGGAAGATGGGCCATATTGTCATTGGAATATCCAATTGTCTGCTATCTGCCAAAAAACAAACAAACAAAAAAAACCCAAAACTAGAAGAGTATAAAATCCAGTAGAGGAATCATGATTTAAAACTAGGGCTCTGGTTTAAAGCCATAAAACCTCAGTTCACACTAGCTTAATGAAAAGGGTAAGTCAAGGGGGTTCATTAGCTCATGCATTCATTAGCTCATACCCATGGGATCTCCCAGGCATGACTGATCCAGGCCTGGGACCAGGTACCATCACCAGATCTCCACTTCTGCCTCTTGGCTCTGCCATGTTAGCTTGATTCTCCAATGGAGTGGCAAGAAGAGCCACCAATACCTTCACACTTACATTCTAGCATGTAGCAAAGCCAGCAGAATCTCCCGATGGTTCCAGCTCTCAAGTACCCAGCATGGGGTGCTATGTGCATTCCTAACCCTGCCATGGTAGCCAAAAGACCAGAACGTATTCGTTGGCCAGGCCTCATTCACCCACCCAGCCTCGGAGTAGAGTCAGTTCTGCACAAATCACACGCCCGAACACAAGCAAAAAACTTAGGAAGAAAGAAAATCAGTACATGGAAGAGATCTCTGCACTCCCATGATTATTACAGCACTGTTCACAATAAACAAGATTTGGAAGCAACCTAAGTGTCCATCAACAGATGAATTGATAAAGAAAATGTGGTATATATACACAATGAAGTACTATGCAGCCATAAAAAAGAATGAGGTACTGTCATTTTCAACAACATGGATGTTAAGTGAAATAAGCCAGGCACAGAAAGACAAACTTTACATATTCTCACTTATTTGTGAAAGCTAAAAATTAAAACAATGTAACTCATGAACATATAGAGTAGATGGAAGGTTACTAGAGGCTAGGAAGGACAGTGGGTGGGGGAAATGGGGATGGTTAATGGGTACAAAAAAACAGAAAGAATAATATCTATTTGATAGCACAACAGGGTGACTATAGTCAATAATAATTTAATTGTACATTTTAAAATAACTAAAAGATGCTGGACACAGTGGCTCACACCTGTAATTCCAGCACTTTGGGAGGCCAAGGCAGGAGGATCATCTGAGGTCAGGAGTTCAAGACCAGCGTGGGCAACATGGTGAAACCCTGTCTCTACTAAAAATACAAAAAAAGTAGCCAGGCGTGCTGGCACACATCTGTAATCTCAGATACTCAGGAGGCTAAGGCAGGAGAATCACTTGAATCCAGGAGACGGCGGTTGCAGTGAGCCAAAATCAAGCCACTGCACTCCAGCCTGGGCAACAGAGTGAGACTCCAACTCAATAATAAACTAAAAAATAAAATAACTACAAGAGTAGACTGGATCATTTGTAACAGAAAGGATAAATGATTGCGGGGATGGAGACCTCATTTACCTTGATGTGATTATTATGCATTGCATGCCTGTATCAAAATATCTCACGTCATCCAGAAATATATATATCAGGCCGGGCGCGGTGGCTCATGCCTGTAATCCCAGCACTTTGGGAGGCCAAGGCAGGCGGATCACCTGAGGTCAGGAGTTCAAGACCAGCCTGGCCTACATGGTAAAACTCCATCTCTACTAAAAATACAAAAATTAGCCAGGGGTCATGGCACATGCCTGTAATCCCAGCTACTCAGGAGGCTGAGGCAGGAGAATCGCTTGAACCCAGGAGGCGGAGGGTGCAGTGAGCCAAGATCATGCCACTGCACATCAGCCTGGGTGACAAAGCACGACTCCGTCTCAAAAAAAAAAAAAGTATACACACACACACACATATACCTAAAATTAAAAAATAAAAAATGCTTTAAATTAAAAAAAGAAAGAAAATTAGGGTGTTTCTGACCAGATGACAGGGCAGCAGATGCAAAAATCATTGTGGTGTGGCAGCAGGAGCATCACAATTTGGACCAGATCATCTGCGTGTCCTTGAACAAGGTGCTGTCACTTCTCTGAGCCTTGGTTTCCCCATGAGTCAAAGGAAGCAAGTAAACTCCAGCTGATGAGACTGTGTATGGCAAGAATGTCGCATGTGCTCAGGGCAGGGTCAGTGCTCAATAAAACCAGCTCTCATCTCTGCAAACCAGAGAACCCTGGCCAAGGGGGACTATGAACATTCCAAATGAAGAAAAACAGTGGCTCCTAGACTCATTGCCCAGAGGAGGACTATGAACATCTTAGCAAGTCTCCCCCGAGGTTTTCCTAGAATAGATGTCTCTACGTAGTTAATAAAAACATACATTCAAGTTTTGCAGCTTTTTGCTCCACTTTACACTTTAAGTTGAACGTTTACACTTCCCATTCCAAGATCTTCAGAAACATGTTTAGAAAGAGAAGAATATCCCAACAACAGTCTGTTTAACCTCTTCCCCTAATGCTGAACTATTGTTGCTTTAAGCATACATTTTCTGTGTGTGTTTCAGATGTAGTTTCCTTAGGAAAGATTCTCTATGCTGTGCAACAATTCCCCATGTGTCTCTTACATTTCTGCACATCTTGTGTCAGCGTTTGTTCTAGACCGTCTTCATAAGGATGTTTGTATAGCTAATAGCATTGGAAGATAGGGCTAATATAGTAGAAGACAGATTTATTTGCTGATTAGGATTATAACGATAATATCTCCAGACCAGGCACAGTGGCTCATGCCTGTAATCCCACCAATTTGTGAGGCTGAGGCAGGCAGATGACCTGAGGTTGGGAGTTTGAGACCAGCCTGGCCAATATGGTGAAACCGCCGTCTCTACTACAAACACTTAAAAAATTAGCTGGGTGTGGTGGTGGGTGCCTGTAATCCCAGCTACTTGGGAGACAGGTGGGAGAATTGCTTGAACCCAAGAGGCAGGGGTTGCAATGAGCTAAGATCATTCCACTGCACTCCAACATTGGTGTGACAGAGCAAGACTCTACCTCAAAAAAACAAAAAACAAAAAAAGAAGAAGAAAAAGAAAAAGAAAAAGAAAGGATTATAATGACAATGTCTCCCTCCATCCAGGGTAAAGGTTGAAAAGACCAAGATTCCTAAACTTGGGGTTCCTCAGGTGTGATGCAAATCCACTGCAGGCACAGATTCTACCTGGATCCATCCGTGTATTACTCATTTCTCACACTGCTAATAAAAACATACCCAAGGCTGGGTGTGGTGTCTCACACCTGTAATCCTAACACCTTGGGAGGCCGAGGTGGGCAGATTGCCTGAGCTCAGGAGTTTGAGACCAGCCTGGGCAACATGGTGAAACCTCATCTCTACTAAAATACAAAAAATTAGCCAGGTATTGTGGTGCACACCTATAATCCTAGCTACTCAGGAGGCTGAGGTGGGAGAATCGCTTGAACCCGGGAGGTGGAGGTTGCAGTGAGCCAAGAATGAGCCACTGCACTCCAGCCTGGGCGACAGAGTGAGATTCTGTCTCAAAAAAAGAAAAAAAAAAGGCTAGGCATGGCTGTAATCTCAGCACTTTGGGATGCTGAGGTGGGCAGATCACCTGAGGTCAGGAGTTCAAGACCAGCCTGACCAACATGGAGAAACCCCATCTCTACTAAATATACAAAATTAGCTGGGTGTGTTGGTACATGGCTGTAATCCCAGCTACTCAGGAGGCTGAGGCAGGACAATTGCTTGAACCTGTGAGGCAGAGGTTGGGGTGAGCTGAGATCCTGCCATTGCACTCCAGCCTGGGTGACAAGAGTGAAACTCTGTCTCAAAAAAACCAAAAAAACAAACAAACAAAAAACATACCCTAGACTGAGTAATTTATAAAGGAAAGAGATTTAATTGACTCAGGGAGGCCTCGGGAAACTTACAATCATGGCAGAAGGGAAAGCAAACATGTCCTTCTTCACATGGCGGCAGCAAGGGGAAGAATGAGCAAAAGAAGAAAAAGCCCCTTATAAAACCATCAGATTTTGTGAGAACTCATTCACTATCATAAGAACAGCATGAAGATAACTGCCCCCATGATTAAATTACCTCCCACTGGGTCCCTTCCATGACACATGGGGATTGTGGGAACTACAATTCAAGATGAGATTTGGGTGGGGACACAGCCAAACCATGTCAACCTGTGTCACCCTTGAGGGACTTGGGGGTCAAAGGGAACTGGTGCAGACATGAAGCTCAAGCTTCCTGTTGTACCATGAAAAATAAAGTCCTTTATCTCTCAATCCAGAGTCTCATGTCTTCTGCCCACATCCATAAAACTCGCTAGCCTCCATGTAGGATAATATCTTAGACCAGCACAGTTCTTGACACTCTAGAAGTGAATTTGTTGGATCAAAAAGCATGAACAATTGCTAAAACTCTTAATATGTCTTGTCAATTAGCTCTCCAAACAAATATGAGTCATTGCCTGAAATCTCTTTTGTCCTCAGGAAGGGATAGAGCTGCTTGACTCAGATCTCCCAGGTGGCCTTAGACCGTAATGTCTTCCTTTCGTGCAGAGCTCTTACCATCCTAAGCCACTACTCCTACCTAATATTCTATAAAAAGCTTTTTCTCCCTACCCAGTGTCTCCAATGAGCTGACTTTCTTTTCTGGATTACTCTTTTATGTAATAAAAAGTAGACATGAGGGTCAAACAGAAAGGGAAAAAGGGGAATTTGTTTAATTTCTACCAAGTGCCAGGCATAGTACAAAGAACATTTAGATAAGGCAGAAGGCATTAATTATTTTTATCTACCCAGAACCCCCTGCCCCACCTAAGCACCCCAGCCCCTGACCTGGCCACGTGGGTGGCTATGTGACCCGAGCTGAACCAATCAGAGTCCTTCCCTGGGATCTTTTTCACATCATAACCACATGAGAAGGTCTCCCATTATGAAACAGAGAAGCTTGTTGGCAGCCATGGTTCTAGCCAAGGATGGAAAAAACAACCAAAAAAAGAAAAGAAACAAAAAAAACCCACCATGGTAAAAATATATATATATAAAAATGAAAAAGATATGACAGACAGACAGACATGGGGAATGGTCTCTTTCCAGTTGCCCCTGCCACTCAACTGCTCTCCTACCTTCCTGGATTTGGTTATGAGAGTCAATAAATTATCCCCTTTTATTGCCTAAATGACTTCCATATGAGTTTCTGCTCCTTGCAACCAACATAATCTTGACAATTAATAGTAGCTAGCATTTTGTGAGTGTTTACTGTGCCATGCCCATTAATACACCTAATCCTCTCTACAATTGGACAGGTAAGGTGCTTTTAGTAACCTCCAATGTACAAAAAGGAAAACAAGTTGGGTGAAGTGAAATGACTTGCTCACAGTCGCTGGGCTAACAAGGGGGCAGAGTCAAAGTTTAAAGCCAGAGCCCATACTCTTCCCTATTGTATAACACAGACATGCTGTCTCTGTTCCCAGTGCTGGGGAATGCAGAGAACTGGGGACTGAAGGAAGAGCAGGCGTTCAGGTAAGCATTAATCAGGGGACCTTCCACAAGGGAAAAGGGAGTACTGGCCCAGTTGAAGTCCAGCCAGCACTCAGCGTGGTCAAGGATGGGGTGGTGCTCTCTCCAGCCATTCAAGGTGCTGAGAAAAGAACAGAACTTTCATCTGAGGAATACAAGCCTTTTAAATTATTAGGCCCAGAGAGGCAATAGAACGAGATAGCAATCATGTCCTACATACCCCCTTTGAGCTCGGTATTCATTTCTTAAAACTGCTTGCCATTGCCACAAGTAGCTATAAATTAATCTAATAATGCCCCCACTGGATGCTATAACCCACACCTTATAGCTTAACAATGTATAGCCAATCACTCATCAATGTTATTTCTGAAAACCAGTGAGAATTCCTGACAACCAACTGTGTACCAGCCCACTCCATGTCCCCCTTTTTTGCCTTTATAAATCCACTTGTAACTGCTGCTAATTGGAGTGTATATTCAGGGAAACTTGAATCTACGCTCCCTGGCTACAGTCCTCAAGCTTGGCCCAAACAGAGTCTTTACTTATATTAATTTTGCCTCAGCTTCTTCCTTTTAGGTTGACAGTGCTACAGGCTGAATTATGTCCCCCTAAAATTCAAATTTGAATAAATGTTCAAATATGAATTTGAGGCCAGGCACAGTGGCTCATGCCTGTATCCCAGTACTCTGGGAGGCCGAGGTGGGCAGATCATCTTAGGTCAGCAGTTTGAGACCAGCCTGGCCAACATGGCGAAACCCCATCTCTACTAAAAATACAAAAATTAGCCAGGTGTGGTGACGCATGCCTATCATCCCAGCTACTTGGGAGGCCAGGATAGGAGAATCACTTGAACCTGGGAGGTGGAAGTGGCAGTGAGCCAAGATCGCACCACTGCACTCCAGCCTAGGCGACAGAACGAGACTGTCTCTCTCTCCCTCTCTCTCTCTCTCTCTCTCTCTCTCTCTCTCTCTCTATATATATATATATATGTATATATATATACATATATATATATATATACATATATATATATACATACATATATATATATATATATACATATATATATATATATATGAATTTGAAGCCCTTCAACCATATGGATCATATGTTGAAGCCCTAACCCCCTAGCACCTCAGAATATCACTGTATTTGGAGATAGGGGCTTTAAATAGGTGATTAAGTTTAAACCTATTTAGCTCATTTAGGGTGAGCTCTAATCCAATCAGACTCATGTTGTTATAGGAAGAGGAGATTAGGACACACAGAGAGACACCAGGGATGGACAGGCACAGAGGAAAGACCATCTGAGGACACACCAGAATCGACCATCTGCAAGCCAAGAGGAGGTCTTTGGAGGAACCAACCCTGCTGACACCCTGATCTCAGACTTCCAGCCTCCAGAATTGTGAGAAAATTAATCTCTGTCATTTAAGCCACCCAGTCTGTAGTACTTTGTTATGGCAGCTCCAGCAAACTATATCTACAGTAATCCATCACCACTTATGACAGGCTCTGCCACATAGTAGGTGTGTGTGCACACACCACACACAAACATGTTTAGAATATGAAATCCGTGAACCCTACTCCCACACTGATAACAGTTCAGGAACAGTTGATTTTCCCTCAGGGAATCTGGTTTGTTTTCCTAGTTTCCATCCCATCAAGACCCCTTCCCACCCGCTGGGAAATACTTGCCTGAACCCCTCGTTCCTTTCACAACACACACCTGATGGTAGGAAGAAGCTTCCAACTCTGATATTGACAGGGTGCTTGTAACCTAGCACCCTTTCTCCTACCTTGTTATGGAAAAATAAATCCTTTATCCTATTTCAACTACAGTCTTGGCAAAGGAAAAAACAAAACAAAAAAGGAAACCAGCCTAGAAATGGAAACCAAAGATCATGAACAGTGCTATGCTGAGTTACAGCTAAGGGTTGGCCTTTCTGGAGCTGGCTGCCTTCAGATGGCAGGGCTCTGAGAGTGTGTGTGTGTGTGTGTGTGTGTGTGTGTGTGTGTGTGTGTGCCAGAAGCACAAGATGACACACCCTGTGGTGGGGTCAGGCAAGCTGATTGTGGGAAAGGTGGGAACAGAATATTTTACAACAATGTTGGAAAAATGGGTTTACGTTCTCTGAGAGGAAGATACCCAAAGCTTCAAGCTCACCTCAGGGGAAAATTGAGCTAGGTTCCCATGCTCTCCACTTGGATCTCACGCACATGAACACACATACAACCTTCTCCTCAATATTCACAAGAGGCCTCTGTTGTCTGCTTCTCCAGAGAGCGGAGGTGAATTTACCTGAAGCTAATGAGGCTTGGGCTTCAGGGTCTTTTCCTTGTACCTGTCTCTTTAAATGCTGGACTTGGGGAAGGCTTTAGGTGAGAAGGGAAAGCTGGGTTTCAATAATGAAGCACCTCTATGTTCACATTTCTGATTAATTGCCTACACAGATCCCAGAAGAATGGAATGGAAATAGCTAAAGGCTCCAGAATTTTCTCTTTTTATTTTTTTGAGACAACATCTCACTCTGTTACCCCCAGGCTGGAGGCTGGAGTGTGGTGGCAAGATCATCGCTCACTGCAGCCTCTAACTCCCTGGCTCAAGCGATCCTCCCACCTCGGCCTCCTGAGTAGCTGGGACTACAGGCACACACCACCACACCTGGCTAATTTTTTGAATTTTTTTTTTTGTAGAGATGGGGGTCTTGCCATGTTGCTTAGGCTGGTCTTGAACTCCTGGGCTCAAGAAATCCTCCTACCTTGGCGTCTCAAAAAGCTGGGATTACAGGCATGAGCTACCATGTCCAGGCAGCTACAGGAATATTATACTTAATTTCTCATTCCAAAATAACATTCTCTTTTGTGCCTAATTTTAAATTCATAATTTTGTATTCTTTTTCTTAAACAGAGATCCCCATATTATATAAGCTTCAGTCCCCACAAAAACTGGATCTGGTTCTGCCAAAATGATATATCCTTTATGATATTTATAGAGACGTTCTGATTATTTCTGAACATCTCAGACTTTCTGGAACCAAGACAGGTTCGATTATGAACATCTGTTGTCTAATTTTAAAGACCAAGGGGGAAGCCGGGTCCTTATGAGGGCCATAAAGGCTCCAAGCTAGATGGATATTGGGCGAGTGGGTTAGCAGAGATGTCCTAAAGCAATGAATTACACTAATGGGAAGAACAAAAGGTAAGTCTAATCACAGATGTCTTGGTTTTCAAGCTAGTCAGACTTCAGATAACTGTCAAATCTTCAGCCATAAATCGAAAGTGGAGGAGAATTAAAGACCCATCCTTGTTTGCTTACAGAATTTACTTAATTTAGCCACTCTATCCTTAATTGATAGCAACAGGTTTTTTCAAAATAGCCAAAGTAATCTATGCTTTGCTACATAATAGCAAAAGTAATATCCAACATTCATCAACACCTACTATGTTATACCCTTGACAGGGTTTCCTATTTTAGTAGTCAAAGCAATTTCATGGAGTAGCAATTACAGTTGTAATTTCACTAGTGAGAATGCAGAGTGAGGCTCAGAGAGGTTAAGGAACTTACCCAAGGTCACACAGCTAGTGAGTGGAGAGTTGGAATTTCATCTCTCTGATTTTAAAGTCTGGGCCCTTTCCTCTACTGCCTCTCTCTGAACTCAATGACACATCCTAAGTAAGTAAGGGCTTCTACACAGGATGGGTTAGACTATGCTGCAGTAACAAACAACCCCTGGATCTCAGGAACTTAAAACAAAATTTCAGGCTGGGTGTGGTGTCTCACACCTGTAATCCCAGCACATTGGGAGGCCAAGGCCAGTGGATCACTTGAGGTCAGGAGTTCGACACCAGCCTGGTCAACATGGAGAAACCCCATCTCTACTAAAAATACAAAAATTAGCCAAGCATGGTGGTGGGTACCTGTAATCCCAGCTACTTGGGAGGCTGAGGCATGAGAATCACTTGAACCTGGGAGGCAGAGGTTGCAGTGAGCCGAGATCACACCATTGCACTCCAGCCTGGGTGACAGAGCGAGACTCTGTCTCAAAAAAAAAAAAAAAATCTAGAAATAACTCCAACCTTATTTTCTTGAACACGACTCATCCTGACCCTCCAGCACTCCATTGATCTGGGCTAAATATATGGAATCCTGCAGATGAAGACACCAGCACCCAAAGCTAATGGGACACAGAAAACAGAGGCCACTCAAATAAATGTCAGCACTCCTAGTTACTGAATACTCTGTGTCTGGCAAGTTTCATCATTAGTCAGTTATTCATTCACTCAATCAACAACTACTTACTGAGTTAATATGGCAGCATGGTTATGAGCACAGACTCTGGAGCAAGAGGTCCTAGGTTCAAATCCCAGTTACCCTGCTTATCAGCTAAATGACTTCTCAGTGCCTTGGTTTCTCCATCCAGAAAAATGGGGATTATAATTAATAATTGCCTACCTCATTGGGTTAAGTGGATAAACTAAGAACAGTGGCATGCCCATATGACATGCTCTATAATTTTTATTATCACTGTGTGCCAGGCATTATTCTATATGATGGAGGATGCAGCTATGAATAGGGCAGACAAGGTGCCTGTCTTTACAGAGCTTCTATTCTAGTGAAGGAGAGAGGCTTTATTAGCGAGTAATCCTTGATCGAGCCATACCTGAAGCTAATGCCACATCCTTCAACCTTCCAATTTCCCCAGGCATTAAGTTCTTTTTTCTTTTCTGCCTAGGCTAGCTTGCACTGAGTTTCTCTCCCTTGTGAACCAAAGTGTCCTGACCAGTACAGAGGTCTAAAGCCTAAGCTCTTTCCAGTCTGCCCCTTGCCCCTTTCCAGCTGAAGCCCTATTCATTTGCACCCAACATCATCATTGCGTCCAGTGCCTCACCACTTGGTGAGACCCTTGAATATTCAAACCAGCGTGTAAGCAGAGAGTTAGGAACTATAAACAGTAAATTATAACAAGCATGAAATGGAAGCCTGATGCTGATCATTCACAAGAGAGCAATCAAATCTGTCTTGGTGCCTACATGTTTTATGGAAAACATGTCTATGTTTTAAAAGTGTTTTTGAAATAAAAAATAATTTACTAACTAAATTAGATTTCCACATGTTTTATCTAGTTAACCCATCCCTTATCATAAGAAACGTAACTTCTTTTTTTTTTTTTTTTTTTTTTTTTGCGATGGAGTCTCACTCTATCACCCAGGCTGGAGTGCAGTGGTGTGATCCCGGCTCACTGCAACCTCTGCCTCCTGAATTCAAGTGATGCTCCTGCCTCAGCCTCTCAAGTAGCTGAGATTACAGGTGTGCATCACCATGCCCAGCTAATTTTTATAATTTTAGTAGAGATGGGGTTTCACCATGTTGACCAGGCTGGTCTTGAACTCCTGACCTCAAGTGATCCTCCTGCCCCGGCCTCCCAATCATGGTGGGATTATAGGCTTGAGCCCCTGTGCCTGGCCTAGAAAGCTAACTTCTTAATTGCAAGCTACTTTCATCAATATAATGCATTTGTCTCACTCCTTAAAGGACTCCTGTCACAGTGGATTGGCAATGAACTGGTCAGACACAAGAGGCAGTGGAGTATTAGTAAAATACACGTGGATTTGGAGTCAGACCTACCTAGGTTTAAATGCTGGTTTTATCGCATACTAGTTGTATGCCTTCATTGGGGTTTCCCAAGAATCAGACCCTGAGACAAGACTCCAAGAGTAAGTCATCTATGTGGGAGGTAAATGAAACATGACACAGGAAATGAAATAGGTCAGGGAGGCAGCCAGTAAAGGGCATATTATAAAACAAGTTACCACTTGGGACAATAACTGGAGCTTAAACTTGCTGGAAAACTCTAGGATACACTGTAGAACATCTCTAGCAATGTGCTGGTAGATGTTTAACAACCAACACTGCAGAAAAATATTAAAAGCCCAGATTTGTAGTGTCTGCCCATATCCATGGTGTAAATCCTCCCACCATGGCTGATTTCACACTACCTTGTCCCTGAACAAGGACTTGGGGAAAGATGCACATACCAGCTCTTGCTTCATAGTTATCTGACCTAAGGGGTGAGGGAGATGGGGTACTTATCCACATACACCAACTCTCATCAGTTCCTGGTGGAGGGATGCTCCCAGGGCAGGTGTTGATTCCTCCAAGACTTCCAAGCCATCATATGGGTGGGCAAAGACAGTACAACCAGAAAAAGACCTCAGAAAGAGGGCCAGGCATGGTGGCTCACGCCTGTAATCCCAGCACTTTGGGAGGCCAAGACAGGTGGATCACCTGAGGTCAGGAGTTCGAGACAGCCTGGCCAACATGGCAAAGCCCCACATCTACTAAAAAAAAAAAAAATAGCTGGGCATGGTGGTGCATGCCTGTAATTCCAGCTACTCAGGAGGCTGAGGCAGGAGAATTGCTTGAACCTGGGAGGCGGAGATTGCTGTGAGCTGAGATCACGCCACTGCACTTCAGCCTGGGCGACAGAGTGAGACTCCATCTCAAAAAAAAAAAAAAGAAAAGAAGAAGAAAAAGTCCTCAGAAAGAGAATGCAACTACATTTGGATGGGTCAGTGGATGCTTAAGAGGTAAAGGGTTAGAAGATACAAGGGAAGCACTGAAAGCATCTGTTACTCTGTGCAATTGTGAAAACGTTATTTCATTTCTCTAGGCTTCCAATATTGCATTGGTAAGATATGATTCATTGAATCTTCCAACAAATATTCATGGAGCACTTAGTATATACCCGGCAATCTTCAGGCCACAGGAAACAGAATGTTGAGTTACCATGACAAAGTCACTGTCACAGAGCCAGTGGGGAAAGCAGCCTCTAAACATGCCACCCAGTAAGTAACAAAGATCATTTCAGGAATGGTGAGGACTATGATGTTAGAGAGGGTGATGGGAGGGAGAATAATGTAGCGGAGAGGACATGAACGGGAAAATCTTTCTGAAAGGGTAACGTGTAAGGTGAGGTTCAAGAGATGAGAGGAAATGTGTTGTAAAAAGATCTGGGAGCAGCATTCCAGGTGGAGGAAACTGCATGTGCAAAGGCCCAGAGGTGGGAAGGAGCTTGGCTTGTTCATGGAAAAGAATGGAAGCCAGTGTGTCTAGATCAAAATGAATCAGGCAGAAGGTAACCAGGAAACAGAGTGGAGGGGCAGGCAGGAATCAGTGTCTGCAGTGCGTGCTCAGCATCATAAAGGGTTTGGGTAGTAACACAACCCTGAAGAGTTGTTAAATGAGCTCCCATGCATGTAACTGGCATTACTCATGTTATTAACCTGGGAAACTGTCACGTCTCTTACTTTTCCATTTAATCTCATGCCCATCCTCTTTGCTCACAGGAGCCAAGAAGTCCAGTATCTCACTCCACATCTGCCTTCTCGTGGTCCAACACTCTGCCGACTCAGTTAATCCAAAGATCACTTCCAAACTTCAGGCTGGTGGAAACCTGAGGAGTCGGATCCATTCATAGGCAGCCCCATTTTCACCTTCCCTTGTCCCCGAGGCTGCCATTAGGTTGAAAACCAGTCTGGTACTGTCAGCGTGTCTTTGTCTACAGCTATGAAAAAGTCCACATAGTCCAGTCTCTACATAGGGCACAATGATTCTCCTCTACATCTCAGCTACCAGGTACCAGCTTGTCGAACACACATGCAAACATTCAAACCCTTCTCAGGTTCCCCTCTAGGGCCTTCAGGGACTTATCTGGCATACCTGAGGTTGGGGCCATTGCAATCTATTCTTAGTCTAGTGTTAAGCCGGGTCAACAGCGGAGATGCTCCTTCTCCTTGAACTAATTTTATTTCCAGAGTTTCATTTTCCTTCCCTGCAACATTAGACACCATTTGGGGATATTTTTATCCATCCATATGGATTTCAAAATCTCATAAAGAAGGAGCTGGGAGAAGAATGAGGAATCACTGATTTTAATGACTGTATTTGTTGATCTCTTACTCCATTCCTGGACCCATGTTGAATAACATAAATATATATGCATGTACACATGCTATACATGGTATCTAGATGCTATATGTGTTATATATAACATACATGTTATAATATATGTTAGATATGTATGTCATACATATTATAATATATAATTATACATTGTATATTGTATATTATACTGTTACATATAATATATAATTATACATTGTATAATTATATATTATGCTATTACATAGTATAATATATACTTATGTTTATATAATAAAATATAATGTATATGAAATATACATAATACATATATGATATATTATATAATTATATCATATAATATATAATTATGTATATTTCATATACCATATATTTTATCATACATAAATGTATAAGTTATATATAATATATAATGTCATATAGTATATAAATTATAATTATTATATATTATATAAAACATATATTATATATAATACATGGTTTATATGTTATATAACATATATAACAAATTATATATTATATAACGTGTTATATAACAAATTATATATTATATAACGTGTTATATAACAAATTATATATTATATAACGTGTTATATAACAAGTTATATAATATACAATATATGTTATTAAAATAGATATTACAGAATATATTAAATAATATATGTTTTATATATTATATTATATATGTTTTTTATATATTATATAATATATATGTTTTATTTATATTATTTTTGTTTTTTTTGTTTTTTGGGGGTTTTCTTGAGACAGAGTCTTGCTCTATTGTCCAGGCTGCAGTGCAGTGGTATGATCTTGGCTCACTGCAACCTCCGTCTCCCGGGTTCAAGCAATTCTCCTGTCTCAGCCTCCCAAGTAGCTGGGACTACAGGTGCCCACAACCAGGCCTGGCTCATTTTTGTATTTTCTTTAGAGGCAAGGTTTCACCATGTTGGCCGGACTGGTTCTCAACTCCTGACCCCAAGTGCCCCGCCCACCCCATCCTCCTAAAATGCCGGGATTACAGGCATGAGCCACTGCATCCAGCCTATATATGTTCTTTCATCATCACCACATCATCTAATTTTACAGATGAGAACACTGAGGCTTGGGGAGATATTAAATGTCTTATCCAGATTGCATGCATGTAAGTGACATAAGCACGATTTGAAACTAAGCAATCCAACATGAGAGTCCTAGGTCTAGAGCCTCTCTGACCTGCTTTCTACCTAGAAATTATCTGAGTTCTTTATGCAAATTGATGCACTTTTTCATCCCTTTGGTCTCTTGAAGTGGCAGCTTTTGCTGCACCCAGTTCTCACAACAACTTGCAAAGAGGATCAACACACACGACTGATCACGAGATAAAGGAAGTCTGAAGCAGTCCCCACCAAACATGCAAATTCAATGAATGAAGATCCATTTCTTGCAGCTTTCTGCTTTGTATAATAACATTTGGCTGTGATGATCTATTATGACACTAATCCTTGCACAGCCCAGAGAAGATGGGCAATAGTTTTCTGGATGTCAGTGGGACTCTGGCACAAGGGCCAGCCAATTTTGGTGAGCGCAACAGGAAATTCTTTGCAATGTCCTTGTGAATCTGAGGTTACAAAGACTGGCTCAATCTGTCACAGGAAGCATGCTGGAATGCCTTTGTCCTTCTTTCTAGTTTTTCTTTCTTTCTTTCTAATAATTCTCAGTGTGGGAGAATATTATTCTTTCTAATAATTCTCGGTGTGGGCTTACATCCTTTGCTTTGGGAAAGGTTTCTATCATTAGACCTCTCTTTTCCCCCAACCAGCCAGCTGTGAAGCGGTTCACTGCGGACCCAACCTCTGGCATGACTGTGGATCAGCAGCACCAATGCCATGAAGACTGCAGACACACTGGAGAACCAAGGCTAATTCCCTTAGCCATTGAGCCTCCGCTTTCCATCCATGAAATGACTCTCAAAATGCCAGCTTGGGCTATTGCTTGCTTCAGAGCACCTAAGAGCATCTGAACAAAAGGAATATCTTTTTCACAGATGTAAATGAGGAAAGCGAGGATTATACAGTAGAAGAAGTGCTCTATAAGGCTGCTGAAGATCACAATTTTTTTTTTTTTTTGAGACAGTCTTGCTCTGTGTCCCAGGCTGGAGTGCAGTGGCGCAATCTCGGCTTACTGCAACCTCCGCCTCCCAGGTTCAAACGATTCTCCTACCTCAGCCTCCCAAGAAGCTGGGATAACAGGTGTGCGCCACCACACCTGGCTAATTTTTGTATTTTTTAGTAGAAACAGAATTTCACCATGTTGGCCAGACTTGAGGTCAGGTCTTGAACTCCTGACATCAAGTGATCCACCCTCCTTGGCCTCCCAAAGTGCTGGGATTATAGGTGTGA
The DNA here is from genome assembly GCF_000001405.40 of Homo sapiens. NCBI lineage: Eukaryota > Metazoa > Chordata > Mammalia > Primates > Hominidae > Homo > Homo sapiens. The sequence goes on along the minus strand of NC_000016.10, from coordinate 14,802,756 downwards.
GCCACCGTGCCCGGCCTGAAGATCACAATTCTTATCTAACTCTGCTATTCATTGGCTGGGCCACCTTCGGCATGTCCATTAGCTTTCTGGTTCTTAGGACCCTCATGTCTAATAACAAGGTCTTTCCTACCTGCCCCACAGGGCTGTTGGGAGGACCAAATGAGATCAAGAATGCAAAAGCTCTCTGTCAACTGTGAAACACTACCAGGAGTAAAGATTCACAAGGCATGAGTTGCCACAAGGCAGTATAGCATGGTGGTTAGGAGGTTAAGCTCTTAAACCAGATTACTTGGATTCCAGTATAACCCCAGGATACTTAACTTTGTTTTGTGGTGGTGTTGTTTTGTTGGTGTTGTTGCTTGGTATTTTGTTTAATTTTTAGAAACAGGGTCTTGCTCTGTTGCCCAGGCTAGAGTACAGTGGGCATGATCATAGTTCACTGCAGCCTTGAACTCCTGGGCTTAAGCTATCCTCCTGCCTCAGCCTGTGGAGTAGCTGGGACTACAGGTGTGCACCACCACACCTGGCTAATTTATTTAATTTTTGTGGAGACAGGGTCTTGCTTTCTTGCCTCGGCTTGTCTCGAACTCCTGACCTCAAGCAATCCTCCCATCTTGGCCTCCAAAAGAGCTGGGATTATAGGTGTGAGTCACTGTGCCCAGCCAATTTAAATTCTTTAAGTCTCAGTTTTTCCATTTGTAAAATGGGCATAGTAATAGTACATTTGTCACAGAGTTGGTTTGTGATAGGATAAGGTGATGCATGTTCACTAGAAATGAAGAGAGAAGGGTTATGATTCATTGAAAAGAAAGAAAAACCTAGGCTGGGTGTAGTGGCTCACACCTGTAATCCCAGCACTTTGGGAGGCTGAGGCAGGAGGATGAATTGAGGACAGAAGTTCTAGACCAGACTAGGCAACATAGTGAGACCCTGTTTCTACTAAATAAATAAATAAATAAGCCAGGCATGGTGGCATGAACCCTGCAGTCCAAGCTACTCAGAAGGCTAAGGCAGGAGGATCACCTGAGCTCAGGAACTTGAGGCTGCAGTGAGTTATAATTGTGCCACTACACTCCAGTATGGGTGACAGACTGAGATCTTGTCTCTATAAAGAAAAAAAGAAGAAGAGGAGGTAGAAGAAGAAAGTCTGAACTACTCCCTGCAGGAAGAGTAGACAAGGTAAAGAGCCCTAGAAAAGATTCGTCCCCGTGCTTTCCTCTAGAATGAGGACTCCAGTAATTTATACCAGTGCTGGAGCACAGGCTTGACAATGGCTGGAGCTCAGCCTCCACAGTATCTGTTGTGATTAGTGCTCAAAAGCATAAAGCATAACTGGAACTAAGAAGAAACAAGATGCTCAAGGTCTCCCCTTCAGCCTTCCTTCCAAGTAACAGAATCATGATTTGATGATTTGACCCCTTCTTCTACCACCTCAATATTGAAATCTGTTTCCAATTCCCGTTACCTTAGAGAACACCATCAGATGTCCATTGTATATCTCAGATTCATTTCTTTCCAAAAACGAATTTAACTTGCCTTCCAAATAATTTTACTCCTAATTTTTAGCTCACTTTCTCCATGAATATCATCGCCATTCACCCAGTTACCCAAACCAAGAGCCTGAACAACATCTTTGAGTCCTTCTCCATCACACCCTACATTCAACCAATTGCCACCTTCTCTTTTATATACCTCCTTAAGTCACGGCCTTAATTTGGGAATGATCGTTTCTCATTTGGACTTGACTTCATGGTCAAATATGGCATCCAGAGATCTAGCCATTGCATCCTAATTCAAGACCAACAACAGGAAAAATGGGCAAAGAAATATGTGGTCCTCATTCTGAGAAAATGTCCATATTACTCTTCTCTTTGCATTCCTTGGCCAAAGCTAAATCACATGGCTTGGGTAGCCTCATGAGAGACTGGGAAATTAGAGGGTTTTGGTTTTGTTGTTGTTGTTTAAAGCAGAGTCTATGTCACCCTAATTAAAATCAGTGTTTCATCTTTTATTCTTCCTCAAATATTCAGTGTTAAAGTCACTAAAGGGCACCAACCAAAGTAAGCATCAATGAGAGGGGATAGGACAGAGATCTGGCATGGGGTGTTGAAGCCTAGAATTGGTGCACGACCTAGTTCTAGTCACGAAAAAGCATCAGACAATCCCCAATTGAGAGCTCTTATACAACATAAATGGCCTGTATCTTCAAAAGTATCAAGGTCGAGAAAGTAACAAAGAGACTGATGAATCTGCCGGAATAAGACGTGACAATTAAATGCTATGATAATCTTGCCCTGCAAGATTATAAAGGACATTATTGGGATGGTCAGTGAAACCTGAATGGGGCCTTTGGATTAGATGGTGGTAATGTATCAATGTTATAATAATTTCCTGACTTTAATGGTTGTATTATGGGCATATAGGAGAAGGTCCTTATTGCAAGAAACACACAGTAAAGTATTGGGAAATGATTCGAGGAGAGGGAAAACTTAATTGTACTGTTCTTCCAACTATTGTCTCAGTTTGAAATTTTTCCCCCGAAAATAAGGTGTTATTTCAGAGAAGAAAAGGGAATGTAGATGTTTCAATATGTAAATAGTAGGCTCCACCACAGATGGTATTTAAATAATGTATCAGAAGAGGTCATCCCAAGGGAGTAATATTTAAATCCAGAGCCAAAGAGAGAAAGCCATCCACGTGAAGAGCAAGGAGACAAAGTTTTCAGGCAGAAGGAACATGTGAGAAGTAGCTGAACTTGTTTTCAGAGTTATAACCCTAGCAATATGGTGGAAAATAACAAATAACTAGCAATGTGGTTGAAATAAACAAACTGCTATTCCTTCAGAAACATGAGTAAGCACCACTGTGTGCAGGAACTTGCAGCAGTCAGCTAGATGCTGTAAGACAAACAACCCCAAATCCCAGAAAGAGCTTATTTCTCTGCCATGCCCATATAGCTTGGCTGGAGCAGCTCTGCTGGAGGTTGCAGGTCTGAAGACATGCTGGGGCGGCTCTGCTCTAGATGCATCTCATTTTTCTAGGACCAGTGACCAACTAAGTCATGTTTTTCTCATAGAGAAGGCAAAAGCACAAGAAGGCAAACTCATCACACGAGAGCATTTCAAGCCTTTCATAAGGGTTATGTCCTCTCACATCCCATTAGCCAAAGAAAGTTAAGCTCAACTCAACAGTTGAAGGGTAGGGAAGTACACTATGCCATCTCTCAGGGAAAAGGAAGTCACATAGCCTAGCTGAACATCAATGATGTAATAGGAGAGGGAACAAATATTTACTAAACAATAGTCTCATCTACCGTAAAGCTCAAATACTTCACAAAAGAGCCACCCTTAGAAATAGCTTTTATCTCATCTATTTTATGGGTGAGTGGGGAAGAAGGATGACAAAGCCCCTTTAAGAATTTTATATACCCTAGACACATTCACTTTTGGAGGTCTCACCAGAAAGCATTTGAAACATGCTACAAATTTGCCTGTATCCTACATTAAATGGATTTTTGGCTCTAAACATTTTTTGAGAAAATTTTAAAATTCTGCTCCTGAAATTATCTGGCAATAGGTGATTTATTTAAATTTAGATTGGATGTGATTTCTTGGTAATTGTGCATATTCAGGAGGTCTAGAAAGTGGGAAATTCTAACTATCCACATTTTTCAGATGTAATGAAATCCCTAGGAATGTTAAATTTAACAATTAGTGATATTGACAAAGCAGCACAATTTGTAGGTAATTTTTTTTTTTTTTTTTAGAAGGAGTTTCACTCTTGTTGCCCAGGCTGGAGTGCAATGGCATGATCTCGGCTCACTGCCACCTCCACCTCCCAGGTTCAAGCAATTCTCCTGTCTCAGCCTCCTGAGTACCTGGGATTACAGGTTTACAGGCATGCACCACCATACCAAGCTCATTTTCATATTTTTAGTAGAGACAGGGTTTCACCATGTTGGTCAGCCTGGTCTCGAACTCCTGACCTCAGGTGATCTGCCTGCCTCAGCCTCCCAAAGTGCTGGGATTACAGTCGTGAGCCACCATGCCCAGCGTAGGTAATTTTTAAGATATTCATTAATTTCAATTTTGTCATTTTCTCTTTTGCATTTTTAAGCCAATGTGTGTGTGTGTATGTGTGTTTGTGTGGTGTTTTTTGTTTGTTTGTTTGTTTGTTTGTTTGTTTGTTTTTGGTCTCAAACATTTCTGTAGATCTTGAAAAACGTATAGGTCCCGGGAAGACCCTATGCCTAACGGATTAAAAATGCACATGATGCCTGGAATCAAAGCTAATTATTATTGGTTGGGAAATGGATACCCTCCCACTCCAGACTCCTCAGCACAGGAAAATAAGAGCAGCTAACTCCAACAGAACCCAATTCATTTAGGAGGCTCTCTGCCTCTGCATAAGGGTGAATGGTTTGGGATTGCTGCTCAGCAGAGCCCTTCATCTCATTCACCAAGCCATTCACACTGTATCCAGTCCATTTGTAAGGCAAATAAAAATGTCGTCTTCCAATCTTGGCTCATTTCATCTTATAAGAAAAGTCTCCCGTCCGATGCCTAGCCAACATTTCCCTGTTGTGATTAAAGAAACAGCAGGTAATAAAAGCTGGACTAGCGGTTGGTCCTCTAAGGACCAAAATATGGTTGAAGAAGCAATAACTTACCCCAGTGCCCCCAAGGCAAGTTGTCTCAATAATGTAACAAAGCTATACTTAATGGCAACAGAGCACGTTTCACTGATACTACACCGTAAACTGCCCGCTTTCAATTAGTTGCATATGTATTAAAGGGAGTCAACACATATTTACAGCAATCATTTCTATGTATACAAGATGCCACAAAAATGTAGCTTTCTGCTCCTTCTGGTCATTTGGCCACATAGGAATAATCACCAACCATAGATGCAATTCTGGAAAAGTCATTAATGCTCATCTCTATGGTTGCAAGAGATTATTGGGCTTCTATTTCATGCCAAGGCACTTTACATATGTAAATAATGGTGCATGCTTTGAATGAAGTCATGTTTTTGTGACCTACAATCCCCACTGGCTGCTGCAGCACCTGGCACATATTAGCCACTCAAGAAATTCTCGTTGAGTGAATAAATGAAACATTCAATGGCTCTGAGACCCTACCTTTCAGATTATCAGCACCGTGACCCTGCTTTTGAGACCCCTACTCTCTCTCCCTTCCCTATTATCTCTTGGTGAATATTGGGGAATGGCTCACCTGAACTGCCCCACGATTTCATGCCTCTGTTTTCGCCATTACCTGTCACCTTACCTGGCCACAGTCATTCCTTCCAAAGCCACTATTCACATCTCTATCAGATGCTCTGCAGTTCTGGGGCTCCTGCCTCTTGGGACAAGGCTAGTACTGTCATACCAGGTGTGATGGTTAATATTGAGTGTCAACTTGATTGGATCGAAGGGGGCAAAGTATTGATCCTGGGTGCGTCTGTGAGGATGTTGCTAAAGGAGATTTACACTTGAGTCAGTGGACTGGGAGAGGCAGACCCACCCTCAATCTGGGTGGGTACCATCTAATCAGCTGCCAGCATGGCTAGAATAAAGCAGGCAGAAGTTGGAAAGAACAGACTTACTGAGTCTTCTGGCCTTCATCTTTCTCCTGTGCTGGATGCTTCCTGCCCTGGAACATTGGACTCCAAGTTCTTCAGCTTTTGGACTCTTGGACTTACACCAGTGGTTTGCCAGGGGCTCTCAAGCCTTTGGCCACAGAATGAACGCTGCACTGCTGGCTTCCCTACTTTTGAGGTTTTGGGACTCAGACTGGTTTCCTTGCTCCTCAGCTTGCAGATGGCCTATTGTGGGACTTCACCTTGTGACCGTGTGAGTCAGTACCCCTGAATAAACTCCCCTTCGTATATACATCTATCCTATTAGTTCTGTCCCTCCACAGAACCCTGTGTAATACACCAGGCCAGCAGAAGGGAGACATTTGCTTTCCTGGACATTTTCTGTTCATTTTACATTTGCTCAATGAAAAAAATCAGGTTGCAATACATATATAAATAGAAAACACAGAAAGACATAAATATTTTTTAAAAAGAATCAGAAACATATGCCCCAAAATGCTAATATGATTACATCCGGGTGGTTAATATTTATTTTCTGTTTCTATTCTCTTTGTGTTTCCCCAAATTTGCTTGTTGACAGAACATGTGCATTGCTTTTGGCCAATAAATGTTTGGCTTATTTAAAGAGTTATCTTGATGATAGCCAGGTGTGGTGGCTCACACTTGTAATCCCAGAACTTTGGGATGCCAAGGTGAGCAGATCACCTGAGGTCAGGAGTTCGAGACCAGCCTGGCCAACATGGTGAAACCCCATCTCTATTAAAAATACAAAAATCAGTCTATCTTAAAAAAAAAATTAGCTAGGTGTGGTGGCACGTGCCTGTAATCCCAGCTACTCAGGAGGCTGAGAGATGAGAATTGCTTGAACCTGAGTGGCGGAGGTTGCAGTGAGCCAAGATCATGCCACTGCACTCCAGCCTGAGCAACAGAGCGAGACTCTGTCTCGATTAAACACACAAACACACACACACACACACAGTTATCTTGATGGCAGTTCAGGAACTTGGGAGATGAGGGCTGTTCTCCTAAAACCCTATAAGAACCCTCAGGTGGGTTATGCCACCCATTCACTAATATCCCATTTACGGGTGAAGGGAAAGGTGGAGGAGACCAACCAACCCACCAGCAGTGGCCTCAGTCTCAAATAAAACTTAGTCCCTGAGTTAGAAGCCAACTTAACCATGGAGAGGAAAGAGTTCATCAGATGGGACTAAACCTGCTCACTTCCTTCCAAGAACCACCCCAAGGGTTCATTTCCCAGGCACCAGGAGCCACCCAGCTCCAACATGCTGTTTTCTGTCTTCTGGTGACTTATCACTTGTTGTTTCTTCAAGAATAAGCCTTCGTTGTTCCAAGTAAACATCTCAAATGCACACATTCTTAAAGTAGTAAGTCATGTATCCACCTGTGCATCCAACAAATTATTATGTAGTGAACACCCATGAGGGACGTGCTGCTGTGTTCAATGCTGGGGACACCACAGGGGGCCACCCACGGACTTGGTTCCTGCCATCATGGAGCTCTCGGTCCAGTGGAGGAATTAGACATGAACCAAATAAAACACAGTCATGAATGTAAAACCAGAAACTAGAGTAAGTGCTCTTGAAACTGCCTTAGCAAAATTATGACTGAGACAGTGAAAGAGATTTAACTTGATCAATTCCATCTTGCTTCTAACCTCCAAGCTGTCCTTATTCATTCTTGGGTGTAGGCTGACCTAACTTTGGGAGAAACTGAGTTCATGGTTCATAGTTTGTAGTTTAAAGCAAAGATGATAACAGCCCTTTCCCAAAGCAGACCTCCTTCTTGCCTGGGGACTAGATTGCCTTTGTTAGGACTAAAATGAGCCACAAGATTAGAAACTATGGTTTAGGAGTCAGGCGGCTGGAGGTTACAAGATTCTGACCCTCCCTAAACTGTTCCTAAGATCAGTGCTTGAGATAATTTGCAGACCCTGCACGTGACGGGTCAGGTGGCACCACCCAGATCGATCAACTGGCTCATCTGATCTTGTGGCCCCAACCCAGGAACTGACTCAGCGCAAGAGGACAGCTTCGACTCCCTATGATTTCTTCCCTGACCAATCTGCACTCCTGGCTCACTGGCTTCAACTAACCACCCCTACCAAGCTGTTCTTAAAAACTCTGCTCCCCAAATGCTTGTGGAGACTGATTTGAGTGATAATCAAACTCCAGTCTCCCACAGTGCCCCTCTGCATGAATTACTCTCTCTGTATTCCAATCCCCCTGTCTTGATAAATCAGCTCTGTCTAGGCAGCGGGCAAGGTGGACCCAATGGGCGGTCACACTCTGTCGAGAAGGAACACAGGGGGTTGCGGAAGGCTTCCAGAGGAAGTGCCTGGGCTTTGAAGAATGAGCAGGCATTAAGTGGGCAAAAGAGCATGTGCAAGGGTGCTGTGCAATGTGTCACCACCCAGGGAGAGAGGAGAAGTGGACTATGAGGCTGGGGACATAAACACGGTCCTGGCCATGGAGGGCCTTGTAAACCCCATGAAGGATGTTTGCTCTTTATCCTAATATCGACATGAAGTGATTAGAAGGTAGCAAGCCCTTGATTAACCAACAATTCTAGATCCTTCTCCAAACTTCTCTTTTAGGGAAAGGAAACCTAGAAGTCAAAACATAAGGTGGTGGGATTTCAGTTGAAAAGGTGTCCAGGGTCGGCCTCGGGTCAGTCTATCTTTGGGTCTATCACAAACACTATATTAATTGCCCCTATTAATCTTTCATTATGTGCCAGGCATTGTGATGATGTATACTTTATATCCATTGGCACATGTAAGCCTCACCACAAGATTTAGGGCCTATCATTATGCCCATTTCACAGATGAGGAAACTGAGGTTCAGGGGGGCTTGTAACATGTCCCAAATGGTGTAGCTAGTAAGTGGCAATGCCGAGGCTCAAATCCCTCCAAAGATTCTCTCTCCAAAGGTCATTTTCCTTTCCCTAAGCCATGCTGGTGCATCTGGGGTCCTGGAAACTAGGAGATGATTTTCAGAATTATAAGACTTAGGTCGTGCAAGCTTCTTAATCATCAAAGAAAGTCTGGAAAGAGAAGAAGATGTTTGCAGGAAGCTGCCACAGAAGAGAACATTTTAGACAGAGGAACAGCATGAAGAACCGAACACACGTGGCATCCCCTAGGGGCCATGAATATAGCAGGGAGGCAACCACAGAGTTGGGAAGATCCAGAGAGAGGCGGGACAGATACAGTGGGTCCTGAAAGTATGTTAAATAAAGTCACAGTGACACGGCAATCAGGAGTGGCAAGGGAGCCACAGACACACATGATTAGACACAAAAATCATGTTTTCAAGGCACAGCCCACTTAGAGATCACAGCAAGATGCTTTATCCAACCTCCGCCGGCAATCAGAGCTTGAAAAAGGAGCATTGTCGTCAATCAACTTCCCTTTGGGCAAAAGACACAGGCAAAGGAGAAGATACTTCACCCACCTTTTAATAAATGTGTCTTGAGGAGAGAGTTGGCCCACATAGTACAGTCTCCAAGATCTAAGACTCCACATGGGTAGTGGCAGGGGAGACAATGGGAACCAACAGGACATTGGCTGGAATCACAAGTCACACCTTCAGTAAACCAGAGGAGTCATTTCTCTCTCCCTTATTGACTCTGGGCCCTGGAGAAATGCCACAGAAATTCATGAGAAGAGGAGTTGAAGGTAGACGGCACCTGGACATTATTTCTGCCAGCCCATTTGAGTTCATCTGGTAAACATTTTGCATTTGGAAGTTGACATCGTTTAATAATAACTGTCAATGTCAATGATCAATGCCATCATAATGGCACAAATACCCTTGTGGGCTTGGGGTTGGGAGGGGTACGGTGGGGACTGACTTCTTTGTCTCCTGTCCTTTCAATGGTTATAAATAATGATGATAATAATTTCTATTTGTGTAGCTTTGTGATTGCAGAGAGCTTTAGGCTTCCTGAGAGCTTTCACCTATATTACCTCAGCTGATCCCTCTACAATGTGCAGTATCTATTTTGGTCCCCTCTGGGAACCTGAGGCTTGACAAGGTCAGGAAAGGCCACACCATGGCCTGTTCCTGAAACAGGAACCACAAATGAAAATCCTTGCAGAGAGTCCAGGCAGATAACATAAGTGAAGAAAGGGAGGAATGAGAAGCAGTAGGGAATGGTGGGGTCTGTGGTGAATTGGAGTGCATGCCTCATTGAAAGACGGGGGTAGCTGCCTATCTTGTATCCACCAACTGTCTCCACGTGGGAACATGGGCCCAATGCTGTCAGAGCTTCTAATAAATTAAGAGAAGCTAAAAGCCAGATGCTATGTCAGTCTCCCAGTTTTTAAATGATCGCAACTGGGAGTCTTGCAACTCTGTCTCCCAGGCTGTAAGGCAGTGGCACAATCCTAGCTCACTGCAGCCTCGAAACCCTAGGCTCCAAAGATCCTCCTGCCTCAGACTACCGATTAGCTCGAACTACAGGCATGTGTCACCATGCGTGGCTAGTTTTCACAATGTTTGTAGAAATGGGGCCATCTCACTATGTTGCCCAGGCTGGTCTCAAACTCCTGGGCTCAAGCAATCCTCCCTGCTCAGCTTCCCAATTAGCTAGAACTACAGGTGTGCACCACCACACCTGGCTACAAACTCTCCTTGTCACCCCCTGTTGATAGGTCTCTTTCCTTCACAGGCTGAGACAACTCCAATTCAACTCTGAATCCCCAATACAGGACCTGCCCAGGGAACAGGGCTCAGACATTTATGCTGGGAAATACTCAGCTTTTGGGGCTCAGCGTCCTTTTCTGCAAAAAGAGTTCCCCTCCCAAGAGGAAATCCCCTAAGCCTAAGGACAGGAGGTGATGGAAAGATGGATGGACGGGCAGATAGATGGATGGAAAAAAAATGGACAGTTGGAAACAGACAAACTTGGTGGATGAGCAGAAATAAGCCTCATTCTCGCCTAACAACGGGACAGCCTGGGGGAGGGGTGGGACACACCAAGGCTCCCAGTTGACCCCCAGCAATTGGACAAGAGAGTTTATAAACCAGCATTGGGGTTTTAGGAGCATTGTAAGCTGCAGAGTGCATGGGGTCTTCAGTGGGAAGCATCTCCTTCCCCATCCCTGTTCTCTGTCCTGGGGTTGCCCATCAAGCTAATCACATGTCCACCCCTGGGGTCCCTCTGGCCTCTGCCACTCTTCACCAAAGTACAGTTAAACTCCAGGGGCAAATGATGTGTTGGGGGTGTGGCAGACAGGGATTGTGTCTCAGCAGAGAGGGCACAGCACTCACAAAATAGCTTCAATAGTTCCAGGGTCAGTAGATGTGCCCGAAGAGGAACCCCACATCGCAAGTGGCCTAAGCCTGGGGTAGGGTGAGCACTGCTCACTCCTGCCCAGAGGAGTAGCTGAGGGGCCTAAGCTCTAGCTCTGAGCCCACCAGCCATTCCATCCACCACCCACCTGAAACTGTTCTGTTGACCCACAGCAATTGGTCCTGGTGCCAGGCACAGAACAGATGCTCAAAAGATATGGTTGATCCTGTCTGGGTGCAGTGGCTCACGCCTGTAAACCCAGCACTTTGCGAGGCTGGGATGGGAGGATTGCTGGAGGCCAGGAGTTCAAGACCAGCCTGGGCAACATAGTGAGATCCCCATCTCTATAAAAATAAAAATTAGCTGAGCATGATGGTGTGCGCCTGTAGTTCCAGCTACTCGGGAGACTGAGGTGGAAGGATAGTTTGAGCCAGGAGTTCGAGGCTGCAGTGAGCTACGATCATGACACTACACTCCAGCCTGGGAGACACAGCAAGACCCTATTTAAAAAAAAAAATGGTATGGTTAATCTGCCTTTACTGATTACAAATCAATAAATTTGTATTATCGTAATAAATCTGTCTTTATTGATTACAAGGCACTTTCTCATCCCCCATCACCTAAGACAACTGCATAAAGACCGCATGAGCTATAAAGACCATTTCCTTGCCCCAGGTCACACGGAGGAAAAGAGACAGAGCCAGGATTTAAACCCCTGCCCCTGGCTTTCATTCCTTTGCTGTGTCCCTGCAGACCCGAGGCCCACCTGGGTGAAGAACAGGTGGGTGGACATTGGCAGTGTTCACCAGGGGAAGCATGCCAGGTGCAAGGAAACATGTGAGCACCTGTCCGTGCCCAATGGGTCTCTGTTTGTCTCCCTGCATCTTCACCCAAACCAGCTTCTCACACCCCCACGGCCACCACCACCACTCCAGGCCTCTACCTGGGCCCTTTAATGCCCCTTCCTCATTCCTCAAGAGCCCACTGGCGTCCCTTCCCTGATGGCCTGCTGGCCTCCTGCCTCCCTCCCTGACCTCAGCCTCCTCGGATTTTCAACAGCCTGGGGTTGCAGGCTGAGCTCAGCATCTGGCAGGGGCCTGGAAGAAATGACCTCTAGAGGGCCCACACTCTCTGGGTGTCATATTTTGGGGCTATTATCACAAAATACCTTAGACTGGGTAATTTATAAATGACAGAAGTGCGTTGCTCACAGTTCTGGAGGCTGGGATGTCCCAGATCAAGGCACCTGCAGATTCAGTGCCTGGTGAGGAGGGCTCACTCTGCATCATAGGTGGTACCTTGTTGCCGTGTCCTTATATGGCAAAAGAGGCAAAGGCGCTTGCTCAAGCCCCTTTTATAAAAGGGGGCACTAATCCCATTCATGAAGGTGGATTCCTCATGAATTAGTCACTTCCTAAGGGGCCCCTCTTACTACTATCACATTGGGTATTAAGTTCCAACATATGAATTCAAGGGGAACAATGACATTCAGACCATAGCACCAGACGTCTATCTGGGGAAGCCCCCAAATATTTGTCTTTTTTTTTTTTTTTTTTTTTTGGAGGCAAGGTCTGCCTCTGTCATTCAGGCTGGAGTGCAATGGTACAATCACAGCTCACTGCAGCTTTGAACTCCTGGGCTCAAGTGATCCTCCTATCTCAGCCTCCCCAGTAGCTAGGACCACAGATGTGCACTACCACATCCGACTATTTTTTTATTTTAGTTTTTTTGTAGAGACAGAGTCTCACCATGTTGCCCAGGCTGATCTCGAACTCCTGACCCCAAGCAATCCTCCCACCACCTCAGCCTCCCAAAGTGCTGGGATCACGAGTGTGAGCCATCATGCCCAGCCAGCCCCCTCATATTTGATCCAGGCATTAAGCCTCCTGGCAAGACCAGCAGCTCCCTGCCCCTGAGGCAGGGCTGAGTTTCAGAAGCTGCTTTTCATTCTCAGACTATGCTGAGCCTGGTACTGTGCACACAGCACATCTGAACTTTGTTCAACATATCCCTGCACCAACCTGGCAGGACGGCCTCAGGCCAGGGAGGAACCGGGGAGATGATGTGGGATGAGAAGAGAGATCAGACAGAGGCTGTCTAGACACAGTTTCCTGGCAAAGTCACCAAGAGCCCTGCGAGCAGCTGTCCACACCTCCTGGCACTCTCTGTATCTGCCCCGTCCCTGCCAGCTCCCCACCCGCCCAGTGCTTCACCAGCTCACCCCTCAGACACTGTCCAGGTGGGAATCATTCCCCTCAACTCCCTCCAGAACAACCAGATGGCACCTGCCAGCAGCCCTGGGAGCCAGAATCCCACCCACCTGACCCAAGGGCTCTATCTGATCTCAGCCTAACCCATGAATCAGGCCCTTTGGAGAGCCAAAGGAAAATTGGGCTTCCCTGCCAGCTGACTATGTGACAGTTCAGATGTCCCAGAGCACAGGAAAGAGGCAGAGACAGGGTCGTGAGGAGCCCTTGCTTCTCCTTCAACATCTCCCATAAACAGCTGGAGAGGGGCTCTCACAGGGTCCATGGGAAGAGACCAAGGAGGGGCATGGAGGAGAGGGGAGGGCTGAGAAGACCAGGGTGAAATGGATGAGGAGAAGGAAGCAGATGGCAGGGACCCTCCCATCTCCCACATGGGCCCCCTTAGGTGCTACTGGCCTTGTGCAAATTTGCACACTCACATTCACACATTTCTGTCTGCTTCTCTCCAATCGTTCAGATACCTAGCACACACCCCAGCCTCTAGAATCAGGTAGTCAGTCTAGCAGAGTCTTTAGCATTTGACTTCTGGGTTTAAATCCTGGCTTTAGCACTTCCTAGCTTCACGGCCCTGTTTAGGCAGTTTAGATGCCTCCCTGAGCTTCCCAGGTTTTGGGGAGGAATAAATGGCATAGCAGATGGGGAACATCTAGCACTGTCCTGCTATATCATAGACTGTGAAAGATCACTGTTTTTGTACTATTGGCCTTGCTTTGTAGTAATTATCATTAACTTTTTTTTGAGATAAGGTCTCACTCTGTCTCCCAGCCTAGTGTGATCATAGTTCACTGCCACCTCGATCTCCCGGGCTTAAGTGATCCTCCCACCTCAGCCTCCCAAGTAGCTGGGACTACAGGCACACACCACCACACTTGGCTAATCTCTCTCCTTTTTTTTTTTTTTTTTTTTTTTTTTTAGAGACCGGGTCTCATTATGTTGCCCAGGCTGGCCTCCCAAAGTGCTAGAATTACAGGTGTGAGCCACTGCACACGGCCTACTTTGTAATAATAACAAACAATACAGCCGCTACTTTTTGGTAGTTTCAAACCATGATCCCAGAATTTTTTGATTCATCAAAAGGTAGAACCTATGTCATCTACCGTTGAATCCAGACTGTGCGATTGCTTGACCAATAGAATATAGAAGAAACGTTATGCGACATCCAAGGCTACATCATAAAATGTGACAGAGCTTCCACTGGGTTCTCCTTGTCTTAGAGCCCAGCCACCATACGATGAGGAAGCCCAAGTAGCTGAAGAGAGGAGAGGCCCAAACAAAGGAACCAAGTCCCCTGGACCACAGCCTAGCTGAGCTCCCAGCCAACCAGAAAGCGCCAACTTAGCAACCGCTAGAGGAGCCATCTCAGAAATGAATTCTGCAGCCCCCTGGTGAGCTCCAGCTGATGCCATGTGGAGCAGGAACGAACTGTCCCCTCAACATCCTGCCCAAATTGTGGATGTGTGAGCAAAATAAATGACTGTCATGTTTTAAGCTACTACATGTTGGGTGGTTTGTTGCACAGCCATAGACAACTGGATGACAAACACATATCTGACGCTTTATCCGTCATTGCCATGCTAAGCTGCAGATATTTTTGTAATCTACACGTTTAGACCTTTTCCAGCTTTTAGAGCTCACACTTCCCTTCAGTACACCTGCAAGCTCCCTGAATTCATTTTCATGTAATCCTCCACTTTTTTCCTTCAGCCGGTTCATGTTAGTTTTCTCTCATAGCCCCTAAACACAGTGCTCAAATACCAATAACCTGGATCCCATCTTGCGGCTCTGCAGGAAGCTGTTTTTGCACAAGGTTCTTCCACATTTCTGGGAACCAGGAGATGTCTACTTCAGCTACAATCCCTCCTGCTCGTCCCCTGTCCCCTCGGGAGGGTCTGGCTCAGAACAGATTTCACTGTGGGACCCAAGCCAACCTGTTAGCCACTCCTACCCCAGGACGGGTGAAACACAGTCTTGCAGTAACAAGACTTACTTTTGAAGGATGGAATTACAATATGGAAAAAATACAACTTCACAAGGTACACGTTCAGTTCATAGCAGCAGCCAAGACTTTGAAGGAAGAGTTCAAGTCGCCACAAAAACATAGCAGAGGGAATAGTACGGATTTTAGAGCCAGATAGTACTGGAGACTTGGAGACTGCAGGGCTGGGAGGGTCACAGACAGTCCTGAGTTCAAATCTCCACTCCACCACTCATTGCCCACGTGAACTTGAGCAAGTTATTTAACCTCTCTGAGCCTCCATTTCCTCAAAGGCAAATTGGGGATAATAAACCCAGTGTTTGTGAGGATAGATAGGATGCATATTCTGCTCGTGGTTGTGCCAACCAAGGACACATTCAGAGTAAATTCAAGACTCTTCTTGAAGAGTCACGAGCACAGTGGCCCATGGCAGTAATCCCAGCACTTTGGGAGGGTGAGGCGGGTGGATCACTTGAGGTCAGGAGCTCAAGACCAGCCTGGACAACATGTTGAAACCTTGTCTCTACTAAAAATACAATAAATTAGCAGGGCGTAGGCATGCCTGTAGTCCCAGCTACTCAGAAGTTTGAGGCAGGACAATCCCTTGAACCTGAGAGATGGAGGTTGCAGCCGCTGCAGTCCAGCCAGCCTGGATGACAGAGAGAGACTGTCTCAAAATACAAATAAAATAAAATAAAAAAAGAATGAGACTCTTCTTACTGCAAAAACTGACCTCTGGGGGGTGGAAACAAACAAACAAATGAGCAAAAACCATTGTTCTTGCCTAGCTGTTAAAGAATATTGCGTTTTCTCATAACTTGACACGATACAGAAACATACAATGAAGAATCTGGTGGGTATTGAACTGTCAATTGCAAAATAATTATTCATCACTGCAGGTCCAGCCTGTTCTCCGGGAAGGACTGTTTGAATGTCCTGGGCCTCCAAGCCAAGCTCCCAGAGCCCAGACCGTCTCTTTGGCTAATGCTGGCTCTATCTCCTGAAGAAAATAGTTTGATGCAAGGAAGAACTTTCATTATCTTTTGCCCTGGAGCACCAGTAACTGTCTACAAAGAGCAGAGCAAGGGAAGAAGGGCAGTGAGAAATTAATCTTTGAGTTTCCTCCTTGGTGATTCATCCATTTAGAAATGGGTAGATTCAGAGAAGTGTTTCTTCATCCGGTCCCTCTGTTCCCATGATCTCAAAAATGAAAAGGCAGCCAACCCTGATCACCACCCATCAGTCAGCCTCTTTTCACAAGTGGGAGGCATGGGCTGTGCTGGACCAAGTGCAAATGCAAGACATGTCTCTAACAGGCCTTCTGGAACCAGGGGAAGCTGGTGGCTTGGATGCACCCACTGTGAGGTAGAGTGTTATACTGCAGCCCCCATAACCCTGCACTTCTCCAAGTCTATGATTATTTGACTCTGGAATCTGGTGTAGCACATCTGCTCAGTTGCTCAGTCATTACTTACTGAGCACTTACAATGTGCCAGGACAGGCAGGGTATAAAGGATTGAGAATTGAACAAGGTAGTCAAGGTAGTATGATCCCTGCCCTCAAAGAGCTTGTTTTAGTATATAGGGTTTCTCAACTTTGGCACCATTGTGGGCTGAATAATTCTTTGTTGTGGGGCTGTCCTATGTACTATAATTTTTTTTTTTTTTGAGACAGAGTCTCGCTCTGTCGCCCAGGCTGGAGTGCGGTGGCGCTATCTCAGCTCACTGCAACCTCTGTCTCCCGGGTTCAAGTGATTTTCCTGCCTCAGCCTCCCGAGTAGCTGAGATTACAGGCACCAACCACCACGCCTGGCTAATTTTTGTATTTTTAGTAGAAACGCGGTTTCACCGTGTTGGCCAGGGTGGTCTCGAACTCCTGACCTCAGGTGATCCACCCACCTCGGCCTCCCAAAATATTGGGATTATGGGCATGAGCCACCACGCCCGGCCCACTATAAAAACTTTAGCAGCATCCATGGCCTCTATCCACTAGATTCCAATATCACACCCTTTCTCCCAATTATGACAACCAAAAATGTCTCCAAGCATTTTCAAATTTCACCCGAGGGTCAAAATTCACCCCACCCCACTCCTACCATTCACGATTGAGAACCTCCATTCCAATGAAAGAAGCAGGCAGCTTAGTGGAAAGAGTGTGAGCTTCGGAGCCAGGTGGGCCTGGGTTCTCCCTTCCACTTTATTAGCTGCGTGATCTTTGGGGAATCACTTCTCTCTCTTACGCATACGTAGATTATTTGAAAATTATGGGTAGCAATCATATTTTTACAAGGTTGTTGGGTGAGCTAAAGATCAAATGTGTAAAGAACTGTGGCAGGCTGGGCACGGTGGCTCACACGTGTAATCCCAGCACTTTAGGAGGCCAAGGCGGGTGGATCACCTGAGGTCAGGAGTTCGAGACCAGCCTGGCCAACATGGTGAAATCCCGTCTCTACTAAAAATACAAAAATCAGCCAGGTGTGGTGCCACACGCCTGTAATCCCAGCTACCCGGGAGGCTGAGGCAGGAGAATCGCTTGAACTCAGGAGGCAGAGGTTGCAGTGAGCTGAGATCACGCCACTGCACTCCAGCCTGGGTGACAGAGCGAGACACCATCTCAAAAAAACAAACAAACAAACAAACAAACAAAAAACAGGGGCAGACACTGTCAACACCAAAAGTCATCCTCTTGTCTTAATTCTTCTTGCTAACAGAACCCCAGTTCTTTCAAGGGTCCCTATCTCAGAAGTTGGGCTCAGTCCCTAGAGGGGGTGGGCATGCAAACCAGGTCTAGTTAATGAGCTATTTGAGGGAGGGGGCCCTCTGGGGGTAGAAGGTTAATAAAAAGTTTGGTTATTTTATTTTTATGCTTTTATTTTTTTAGAGACAGGACCTTGCTCTGTTGCCCAGGCTAGAGTACAGTGCCACAATCATAGCTCACTGCAGCCTCGAACTCCTGGGCTAAAGGAAGGTGGGGACTAGAAGATGGATAAGCACTCCACACTTGTTAGCTATCTATTATTGCTGTTAGCACTGTCATTATCAGTATTTTTTTTTTTTTTTTTTGACGGAGTCTCGCTCTGTCACCCAGGCTGGAGTACAGTGGTGCACTCTCGGCTCACTGCAACCTCCACCTCCCAGGTTCAAGCAATTCTCCTGCCTCAGCCTCCCAAGTAGCTGGGAGTACAGGCGCCTGCCACCACGCCCGGCTAATTTTTGTATTTTTAGTAGAGACAGGGTTTCACCATATTGGCCAGGCTGGTCTCAAACTCCTGACCTTGTGATCCGCCCGCCTCGGCCTCCCAAAGTGCTGGGATTACAGGCATGAGCCACCACGCCCAGCCCTTTTTGCTTTTTTTTTTTTTGAAACAGGGTCTTGCTCTGTCACCCAGGCTGGAGTGCAGTGGTGCAATCTTGGCTCACTGCAACCTCCACCTCCCAGGTTCAAGCAATTCTCCTGCCTCAGCCTCTTGAGTAGCTGGGAGTACAGGCATGTGCCACCACGCCCAGCTAATTTTTGCATTTTTAGTAGAGATGGGGTTTCTCCATGTTGGCCAGGCTGGTCTCGAACTCCTGACCTCAGGTGATCTTCCCGCCTCGGCCTCCCAAAGTGCTGGAATTACAGGTGTAAGCCACCACGCACGGCCCTTTATCAGTATTATTATTATTAACTTTTACTAAGGAAAGAGGGAGGCCCTTGGCCAGGCCGTAGGATTGCTGGCCTTCCAGGGAGTGTGTTACCCAGGGAAGTAGCATAAAATTACAGAATTGGGAAGCTAAGAGGTAGCTCTAGACATCACACCTCTAACCTTTTTGATATTCTGTTGCTCCATCTACAAATGGCATTTAGAATTTTTGTTCTTAAAGAGTCACAAATCACGTGCAGGAAGCTTGAAACCAGTCCTGTTACCTTCCTATGCTCTGATGCCACCTGGGAATTTGAGCTGGTGTTTCGGGTAAGAGAACAGCTTATAACCAGGCTTTTCAGGACAATGAAGACTGCCTTTCAGTGGGAAGATGAACAATCTGCCTAAGTCATAAGAATGATACAATGGACTTTGGGGACTTGGGGGAAAGAGTGGAAGGGGGTCGAGGGACAAAAGGCTACAAATATGGGGCAGCGTATAGTGTTCAGATGATGGGTGCACCAATATCTCACAAATCACCACTAAAGAACTTACTCATGTAACCAAATACCACTTGTACCCCAATAACTTATGGGAAAAAAATCTACCCAAGGAATAAAACTAAATCGAGACTTTAAAAGCGAGACATTAAGGAAGTTGACTCTTAGCTGACCTGGACACAGGCCTATCATGGTAAGTGCTGCAGGTGAACAAACAGCAGCAATTTGACCCTTCTTCCTTATACATCAAATTCCTTTTTTTAAAAAATTATTTTTGAGACAGAGTCTCGCTCTGTTGCCCAGGCTGGAGTGCAGTGGCACGATCTCGGCTCACTGCAACCTCTGCCTCCCAGGTTCAAGCCATTCTCCTGCCTCAGCCTCCCGAGCAGCTGGGATTATAGGCACCCACCAGCACGTCCGGCTAATTTTTGTATTTTTAGTAGAGATGGGGTTTTGCCATGTTGGCCAGGCTGGTCTTGAACTCCTGACTTCAGGTGATCCACCCACTTTGGCCTCCCAAAGTGCTGGGATTAGAGACATGAGCCACCGCGCCTGGCCCAATTTCATTTTTTTTTTTTTTAGACAGAGACAGTGTCTTGCTCTGTCACCCAGGCTGCAATCAGTGGCGTGATCATAGCTCACTGCAGCCTCAAACTCCTGGGCTCAAGAGATCCTCCTGCCTCAGCCTCCTGAGTAGCTGGGACTACAGGTACATGCCACCACGTCCGACTATTATTTTTATTTTTTGTAAAGATGGGGTCTCATTATGTTGCCCAGGCTGGCCTCAAATTCCTGGGCTCAAGCCATCCTCCCACCTCAGCCTCCCAAAGTGCTGGGATTACAGATGTGAGCCACCACACCCAGCCCAAATTCCAATTTTCTAAAGAATCTGGGGCTCTCTGTGTTTTAAGACTATTAGGCTCTCCCCAGTTTCAGGGGATGAATCTTGAGCAGTCTGATGGAGGGCTGGCAAGCCATTGCCTAAACCCGGCCCACCACCTGCTTTTGTACGGCTCAGGAGCTGGAAATGGCTTTTACATTTTTAAGTAGTTAGAAAAGATCAAAAGTGTAATAATATCTCCTAACACATAAAAATTAGATGAAATTCAAATCTCAGTCTCCATAAATAAACCCATTCACTTATTTATTATCATCTATAGCTGCTTTCACACTGCAACAGCAGAACAGAGTGGTTGCTACAGAAACTGTGTGGCCACAAGCCTGAAATATTTATTCTCTGGCTCTTCAGAGGAAAAGATCTTAGGAAGCCAGAGGTTCTCAAACTCAGTGTCCATCAGAAACCCCCGGAGGGCACGTTTAAACATAGACTATGGGCCGGGCGCAGTGGCTCACGCCTGTAATTCTAACACTTTGGGAGGCCGAGAGTTTGAGACCAGAGCATTGTTTAAGCCAAGAGTTTGAGACCAGACTGGACAACATAGCAAGACCCTGTCTCTACAAAAAATAAAAAAAATAGCTGGGTGTGGGGGTGCACACCTGTAGTCCTGGCTACATGGGAGGCTGAGGCAGGAGGATCGCTCAAGCCCAGGAGTTGGAGGCTGCAATGCGCTATGATAGTGTCACTGTACTCCTGCCTGGGCAACAGAGACCCCGATTCTAGTAAATAAATAAATAAAAACATAGATCCCACCCCAGAGTTTCTGATTTAGTAGGTCTGAACTGGGGTCTGAGAATTTGCAGTTCTTAAAATTGCCTAGACATGGCAGATGCTGCTGGCCTGGGGATCTCACTTTAAGAAGCACTGGTCTAAGGCAACCTTGGGAATTCCATTCCCTTGCCAGCAACTGGCTTAGAAAAGGGCACGTGATACATTTCTGACCAATGAGATGAAGGAGAAGTCAGCTGGCAGCTTCTGAGAAAATGAGAAAATGATCATAAAAAGGGACAGATGGGCTGGGCGTGGTGGCTCACATCTGTAACCCTAGTGCTTTGGGAGGTTGAGGCAAGAGGATCACTTGAGGCCCAGAGTTCGAGACCAGCCTGGGCAACAGAGGGAGACCTCATCTCTAGAAAAAACTCTAAAGTTAGCTGGGTATGGTAGCATGCACCTATAGTCCCAGCTACTCAGGAAACTGAAGGAGGATCACTTGAGCCTAGAAGTTCAAGGCTGCAGCGAGCTATGATTGCACCACTACACTCCAGTCTGGGTGACAGAGCGAGACCCTGTCTCAAAAACAAGCGGGGAACAAGTGGAAGAAGGCTCTCTTCTCTCTTGTCCATATTATCTTGAGACCATGATGGGGTGTGGCTGAGGGCAAGAGCCAGCTGCTAAGAATGGAATAGTGGAAAAGTGGAAGGAAACAAGGCCCACCATTCCACAATGGAGCCACTGAATCAATTAACCACATGGCCCCCTGCAGAGAAACAATAACTTCCATTAGCATCTACACCACTTCCAGTTGGGTTCTCAGTGATTTGAAGCCAAACACAACCTACCTGGCAACCCTACAACTTCACCCCTCACCACTGTTTGGACACTACCAAACTTAGGCCATGATGATTAAGGCCAGGCATGAGCTCCACCCTCCCTGCCACCCTATGAGGAATAAAGCAGATATGGGGAAGGTGAAAGGGCATGATTTAGGGATCCATAAAGCCCCAGATTGGAGCCTTAGTTCTACAACTCAATAATGGTGGGCTAGAGCTCTATGCACCCCATACTCTAGGATGGGGACTCATACCTGCATGGTTGACTAGTGCAGTCATGTCTGTGCATCTGAGCAGTTATTTTCTTCTCTGGACCATTATTAACCATTAGAGCTAGCATTTGTCCCCAGGTCCCGGGCACTGTGCAAGTCTTCACCTACATTATCCTACTACCTCATAAGATAGTTTGGATGTGTGTCCCCTCCAAACCTCATGTTGAAATGTGATCCCCAATGTTGGAGGCGGGGCTTGGCGAGAGGTATTTGGGTGGTGGGAGCAGATCCCTCATGAATAGCTTGGTGCCCTCCCTGAGTAATGAGTGAGTTCTCACTCTTTTAGTTCACGGCGAGGTCTGATTGTTAAAAAAGTGTTTGGCACCCTTCCTGTCTCTCTCTCACCCCTCTTCTCACCATGTGACACACCTGCTCCCCTTTCACCCTCCACAGTGAAGAAAAGCTTCCTGAGGTCTCACCAGAAGCAGATGCTGGCATCATGCTTCTTGTACAGTCTGCAGAACCGTGAGCTAAACAAACCTCTTTTCTTATAAATTACCCACCCTCAAGTATTCCTTTATGGCAACGCAAAACAGGCTAAGACACCTCAATGGACTAATACATAACAGCCCCATAAGGTGAGTGCCACCATCTCCCCCACCTTACAGATCAGGAAACAGGGGCTCTGAAAAACTGTGGCTCACTCAAGGTCATACCGCTTGTTAAGTGCAGAGATAGGATTCCAACTCAGAGGCATCTGGCTCAAGAACCCACGTGTCTGTGTTTCAGGTTGCAATGCTGAGGTTAAACAAGAGGATGTGTGCTAGGAGCCCCAGCACACCACAGGGGCTGGGAAACGTTATTGCATCGAGTTTGAGTCCAACACACGGTCTCATTCCTCCACCCACCACTCAGCCTAGAAAAAGGGTCGGAAGGTTGACTCCACTTTCAGAAGCTTGCCAGCTCCAGCCAGTCAGCCAGAGTGAAGCTGACAAGAGCAATGAGGGAAATACGGAAAGATAAATCCAGATGTGGACAATGAGACCGTGTCCCCTGAGAACTGTGGTGGCAGAGGGACTCAAAGGTCCAGGCCTGCTCGGCGTGGCTGCGGCTTGGGTTCCTGGGCCACAGGGCTGCCTTACCTGCCAGTTTCCATGCCTGGCTGACTCCCCTCACTGCCCCTCTGGCTTCCACACCAGCCCACTGATGCCACCCCAGAGAACTCGGCTGTTTGCCTTGCTCCTCTAGAGGGCAGGTGGATGCGGTGAAACGGGCAGCGATTCCAGGGCCATCACAACTCCTGGCTGAAACCAAACATGACAGATTTACCATTGGGCAGGCTGCTCCATTTATTATTTAACGCTCACAATAAATATTTGCATGACCCAGTGCTGGAGGGAACGCTCTGTGATAACTCACTGCATTTTCCTGCCAAACACCAGCACAGTCGGATTCCGAAGCTGCAGCAGAGAATATTTTATGCTATTCTAAAAATCCAGGTGATGGCCCCTTGTTAGAAAACCTTTTCTCATCCATTTCCATAGAGGAAAAAAGGAGCAGGGAGACCTTAGCTCTGAGAAGCAACTAGAGGAGGAGGAAGAGGAGGAGGAAGATGCTGACAGGTGACATTTACTTAGCACCTACTGAGTGCCAGGCCCTAAGCTAAGGACTTCACACTCATTCATTCAACACCTCTCTCTAGAGGGTAGGGTTGCCAGACTTAACAAGTAAAAATATACGACACCCAATTCCATTTTAAATCCAGTGAAATAAGGAATGATTTTTTAAATACAAGTTATGTATCTGATGTAATACTGGAAAATTATTCAATGTTTATCTAAGCTTCAAATTTGGGTGCAGTGGCACGCACTTATATTCCCAGCTACTTGGAAGGCTGAGGCAGGGAAATCACTTGAACCCGGGAGGCAGAAGTTGCAGTGAGCCAAGATCATGCCACTGCACTCCAGCCTGGGCGACAGAGTGAGACTCTGTCTCAAAAAAAAAAAAAAAAAAAATAGAACAAACTGGGCTACAAAGTTTTGCCAGGCATGGTGGCTCACGCCTGTCACCCCAGGACTTTGGGAGGCCAAGGTGGGCAGATCACCTGAGATCAGGAGTTCGAGACCAACCTGGCCAACAGGGCAAAAACCCATCTCTACTAAAAATACAAACATTAGCCAGGCCTGGTGGTGCACGTCTGTAATTCCAGCTACTCGGGAGGCTGAGGCATCAGAATCACTTGAACCTGGGAGGCAGAGGTTGCAGTGAGCCAAGATCATGCCACTGCACTCCAGCCTGGGGGATAGAGTGAGACTCTGTCTCAAAAAAAAAAAAAAAAAAAAAATGTAACTGGGCATCCTGTTTGTATCTGGTAACACTCCTTAAGGTTGGACTAACTATGCGAAGACACTGAATTTAAAAGGCTTTTCTTTTCATTTATTTTTTAAGAGACGTATCTGTGTAACTCAGGCTGCAGTGCAATGGCTATTCACAGGGATGATCAGGGCTCACTGCAGCCTCAAACTCCCAGGCTTAAGAGATGGTCCCACCTCAGCCTCCCAAGCAGCCGGGACTACAAGTACATGACACTGCGTCTGGTGTTCAGTGGTGCAATCACGGCTCACTGCAGCCTCGAACTCCTGGGCTCAAGCAATCCTCTTGCCTCAGCCACCAGAGTAGCTAGAACTATGGGTATACAGCACCACGCCTCGCTATTTTTTTTTTTTTTTTTTTTTTTTTTGTAGAGATGGGGTCTCAATGTGTTGCCCAGGCTGATCTCAAACTCCCGGTCTCAAGTGATCCTCCTACCTCAGTCTCCCAAAGCACTGGAATTACAGGCATGAGCCACCACGTCCAGCCTCTTTTTTTCTTTAAGGAGGCTTATTTTTTAGTGTGGGTTAGGGAAGAGCCATGTGTGAAGTTGACTCTGGAGCAGAGATGTCAAAGATGAGAAAGAGCTACCCATAACAAAAAAATGGGGAACAGGATTCCTGGCAAAGACCCCACAAAGACCCTGGGGCTGGAAACCATGCGGGGCATTGGAGGAGTCAAGGGAGGTGACACTTTTGGAGCTGAGTAATGGAGAGGAGAGTGACAGGAGCAGACTGCACAGGGCCTTGGTCACAATGAAGGATTTGGATGCTATTCTAAGTTAAAGGGAAGGCATGGGAAAGCTTTTCAGCTGGAAGTGGCCAAACTGGGGACCGACTCTGGCTGTACGGATTTCTGAGCCTGGAGATGGCACAAAGGACCTGACATTGGCAGGAAAAGAAAAGAGGAGGAACAAGAACACGAGAAATTGCCTTAAAAGGGAGCTGGTCAGGTCTCACCAGAAAAATTCACGCAATAACAAACCAGCCGCCCACAACAGACATCTCCACATTTTCCCAGAGCTGTCCCCCAGCCAGGCGGCCAGAGTGAGGGGATGCCGACGGTGACAATGCTATCAATTTCCATTTTGCTTTTGCCAAATACGGAAAAGGACACTTCAAAGACTTTTAAAAATAACTTCCAAACAACTCAAGGGTGAAAAAAAAGAAAGAGGTAAAAAATTACAGTCTGCCTGCTTGAGAATAGCGATAATGAAAATAAGTGATAGAAATAAGAACAGCTGCTTTTGCACACGTTATGTCATCTGCTCCTTAGCACTCTATGAAGCAGGCAGAACAGGTCATGGTATCCCCATTTCATAGATAAGGAAACTGAGACCCAGAAACATAGGATACAACAGAGAGGAAATGATCAGGTGGGTGAGAAGCTATGTTTGTCTGGCCCCAAAGCCTGGGTTCCCCAAAGCCCTCTGCAGGCTGATATGAGCCTAACCCCAGCCCGGCTCCTGGCTCTCAGCCATCTCATCCTCCCAGCCCAGCTATGGGGAGCAAGATACCTCCTACCATGTCCCTTGCAGCCTTCCTCCCTCGCCTGCAGGGGCTTCCTGCCTGGAAAGCCTGTTCCTTTGCCCTTCTTCTCCAGAGGATTCACGTACCTCAGCACATGTTCGACGACAAAGTCACAGCACTGCAGGGACACCTCCCCTGGAGAGGAACACGATGGTAGAGTGGAAGGGGCACAGCTTTGCCATTAGAATGCCTGAGTTCAAATCCCAGCTCAATCACCAACTGGTTGGGTATCCTTAAGCTCTTCCAAGGAGTGGGGGATAATCCAATCCATCCCCACAGGATCCTGGTGGGGATTAAATGAGATGCTGTATGTAAAACATCAACACAGGGCCAGGTGCCATGGCTCACACCTGTAACACCAGCACATTGGGAGGTGGAGGCAGGAGAATCGCTTGAAGCCAGGAGTTTGAGACTAACCTGGGCAACATAGCCAGACCCCTATCTATACAATAAAATGTCTTTTTAATTAGCTGGGTGTGATAGCCCATGCCTGTAATCCCAGCTACTTGGGAAGCTGAGACAGGAAGATTGCTTAAGCCCAGGAGTTCAAAGCTGTAGTGAGCTATGATCATGCCACTGAACTCCAGCCATGGTGACAGAACTAGACCCCAACTCTAAAAAAATAAAAAACATTAAAAAAAAATCAGCACAGTGCCTGGCATACAGTCAGCACCTAATAAGTAGTAGCTGTTTTTTGTTTTTTGTTTTTTTTTCCATCTCTGAAAAAAAAATCAGCCATTTTTTAAAATTAGCTGAGTGTAATGGTATATCTCTGTAATCCCAGCTACTTGGGAAGCTGAAGCAGGGGGACTGCTTGACCCCAGGAGTTTGAAGCTTCAGCGAGCTATGATTGTGCCACTGAACTCCAGCCATGGTGACAGAACAAGACCCAATCCCTGAAAATAAATAAATCAATTGGCACAGTGCCTGGCATATAGTCAGCACCTAATAAGTAGTAGCTGTTAGAATAATTACAAAAGGCCAGGCGTGGTGGCTCACACCTGTAATCCCAACACTTTCAGAGGCCAAGGAGGGTGGATGGCCTGAGGTCAGGAGTTTAAGACCAGCATGGCCAACACAGTGAAACCCCATCTCTGCTAAAAATACACACACACGCAAAACAAATTACTGGGCATGGTGGCACATGCCTGTAGTTAGTCTCAGCTTCTTGAGAGGCTGAGGCAAGAAAATCACTTGAACCCAGGATGCAGAGATTGCAGTGAGCCAAGATAGTACCACTGCACTCCAGCCTGGGTGATAGAGCAAGACTTTGTCTCAAAACAAACAAACAAACAAAAACAAAAAAAACACTCAAATCATGGGATTGAGTGTTCAATCATTCAATCAATTTTTATTGAATGCCTACTACATGCTAGGTACTTAGGGATATAACAGGAAATAAGACATACGTGATTCTACCTTAATGAAACTTAGAAGAAGGAATATACTTATGGTATAGTGAAAGAAACATATTTATTAGAAATCAAACATAAAAAGCATAAAAAGTGTTGAAGAGTGCTCTAAAAGAACAGAGGTTTCTGTGAATCATCTACTTTATTTATTTATTTATTTATTTATTTATTTATTTATTTATTTTGAGACAGAGTTTTGCTCTGTCACCCAGGCTGGAGTGCAGTGGCGTGATCTCAGCTCACTGCAACCTCCGCCTCCCAGGTTCAAGCGATTCTCCTGCCTCAGCCTCCCAAGTAGCTGGGATTACAGGCACCCGCCAACATGCCTGGCTTATTTTTGTATTTTTAGTAGACACGGGGTTTTACTATGTTGGCCAGGCTGGACTTGAACTCCTGATGTCAGGTGATCTGCCTGCCTCAGCCTCCCAAAGTGCTGGGATTACAGGCGTGAGCCACTGCACCCAGCCCGGAATCATCTACTTTAGACTGAGGCATCTGAGACGCGCTCAAAGGACATTTCAGTGGAGAACCATGGGTGTGAAGGAGGGAGTCACACGGAGACTGGGAAGGGACAGACCTTTGTAGGACAGACGGCAACACGTGCAAAGCTTGTGCTGGGAGGTGAAGGGAGAACAACTCGCTGGAGGAAGCAAGGAAGAGGAGATTTAGTTAGAGCAGACAGCCAGGATCAGAGCATGCAGGGTCTGATCATTTATTTCCAAGTTATTCTGAAATCAAAGAGAAGCAGGCTTTTAAGCTAAGAATGCAGCACATCGGCTAGCATAGAATAAGAGTTCAAAAAAAGTGTAAGCTCCCTTCCCTATCCTGAAACAACCAAAGTAAATAAAAATGGCCCCTCTGTTTTGAATTATTTATTTATTTTTGCTTTCAAACTGTTTTCTTAAAAAAAAAAAAAACTACAGAGTAGTGAGTGGGGGCAGGGGGGTAAGGGGTGGAATACTCAAAACGTGTTCAAAATCAAACGAGCCAGAAACTCCTCGCTGGAAATTTTCTCTCTAGATCTCTGCAGGAATCAGTGGAACCATGAGAGACAGAGTCGAAAGCAGCAGAGCCTGGAATTATTTCTCTAAGCAAGACCCAGACGCCACGCAGGTAGTGAAATTGCTCCTGCCCCACCTCCATCCTTGCTGCCTATCTGAGAACAGAGTCTGCCAACCCCTCCTGATGAGAGACTGACCCCTCATAGCCACTGCAGGCTGGAAGCCATAAGCTTAAACCACTTCCATACCATGAAAGCAAAATGTATGGTTGGCAAAAAGCAAAAAAAAAAAAAAAAAACAAAAAACTGGTTACTGGCGAGTGCAGAATCACAGTCTGGGTCGATGACAAATTATCCAGCATGAATCTTGGTGTGACTTAGGCCCTTCTTAGTCCTCTAAAATTCATCACATTTTGTTTATTCGTTCACTACCCACTTACAGTAGATGCCAAGAAATATATATAACAAGATTATAGATATAAATTTAAAATTAGGACTAAAGAAAGATAATCTAGAATAAGAGGTAAAAGCAGAACAGAGCAGGATGGAAGGTAGAATAAAGATATACAGGCCAGAAGGCCAGTTACTAAACTGGATTTGAGAACATGGCGCTGAGTTCCCTGGTGGCCAAGTCAAAAAGGGCAGTTGGAGATGTTCTCATGGTCCACAAAAAGAAACACACTTAACTTTGCAGAACAAGCACTGTCCTGCCGTGTGACCTCAGATAAGTGATTTAACCTACTTAGACTCAGCTGCCTCATTGCCAAAAAGTTAGTGAAAACTATTGAATGTTTAGGTAAAAAGTTGTAATAAAAAACAAGAATGGGAAAGGATTCCCTATTTAAAATGGTGTTGGGAAAACTGGCTAGCCATATGCAGAAAACTGAAACTGGGCCCCTTCCTTACACCTGATACAAAAATTAACTCAAGATTGATTAAAGTCTTAAATGTTAGACCTAAAACCATAAAAACCCAAGAAGAAAACCTAGGCAATACCATTCAGGACATAGGCATGGGCAAAGGCTTCATGACTGAAACACCAAAAGCAATGGCAACAAAAGCCAAAATTGACAAATGGGATCTAATTAAACTAAAGAGCTTCTGCACAGCAAAACAAACTATCATCAGAGTGAACAGGCAACTTACAGAATGGGAGAAAAGTTTTGCAATCTATCCATCGGGCTAATATCCAGAATCCACAAGGAACTTAAACATATTTACAAGAAAAAAACAACCCCATCCAAAAGTGGCCGGAGGATATGAACAGACACTTCTCAAAAGAAGACATTTATGTGGCCAACAAACATGTGAAGAAAAGCTCATCATCACTGGTCATTAGAGAAATGCAAATCATTGTCAGAGTGCTCAGAGAGGGCATGTTCCCTGGGTCTTGGTGGATTTAGAGGTCAAGGGACCATTTCTGGAAGCTCACTGTGTGCCAGGGCAGCTTATATCAGAGCTCCGCTCTTTTTCTTTCTTTTTTTTTTTTTAAGACAGAGTCTCACTGTTGCCCAGGCTGGAGTGCAGTGGCACCATTTCGGCTCACTGCAACCTCCACCTCCCGGGTCCAAGAGATTCTCCTGCCTCAGCCTCCTGAGTAGCTGGGACTACAGGCATGCACCACCACCACACCCGGCTAATTTTTGTATTTTTAGTAGAGACGGGGTTTCACCATGTTAGCAAGGCTGGTCTCGAACTCCTGACCTCAGGTGATCCACCTGCCTTGGCCTCTGAAAGTGCTGAGATTACAGGCATGAGCCACTGCGCTTGGCCAGAGATCTGCTCTGGAAGACCCCCCAGGCCGGAGGGCACTGCCACAAGCAGACAGTATGGCGAGGGTCCCTATGGCCACCTAGCAGGCGAGGTGGATTCTGGAGGGAGGTGGCCTGGGAGCAGGCTGAGGATGGGGTGAGGGCATTTGAGCAGCAGAGTGTCTGCGTGACCGGGCATAACTGGAGGGACAGTAAATGACTCTTGTGTGAGAGGATGAGGGAGGGGTGAGAGGGGCTGACTACCCCCAGGACTTGGGGTGCAGTGAGACTCCTTAGCTTTATCCAGACTCATGGGAGCCATGGAGGTTTGAGGCAGAGGCGTGGGCTGCTGGGAGAGTGAGGACTCACCATCCAGAGAGGAAGGTGAAGCTTTCAACTCTAAATGCCGTTTTATTTTCGTGTGTTTTTTTTTTTTTTTTTTTTGAGACAGAGTTTCACTCTTATTGCCCAGGCTGGAGTGTGATAGCACGAGCTCGGCTCACTGCAACCTCTGCCTCCCGGGTTCAAGCGATTCTCCTGCCTCACCCTCCCAAGTAGCTGGGATTACAGGCATGCGCCACCATGCGTGGCTAATTTTATATTTTTAGTAGAAACAGGGTTTCTCCGTGTTGGTCAGGCTGGTCTGGAACTCCTGACTTCAGGTGATCCGCCCGCCTTGGCCTCCCAAAGTGCTGGGATTACAGGCATGAGCCACTGTGCCCGGCCCCAAATGTGTTTTACATTTTCTTCCTATTTGATTCATCTTTGTCGTGCAACATAAATATGCTACTTTTCCACTGATAAAAAGACAAAATGAAATTTAAAATTGGCCTGGACTTCTCAAAAAAGTCAGTGTGATGAAAACATGTTCTAGATAAAACAGAAATGAGACTGCGCATGGTGGCTCATGCCTGGAATCCCAGTGCCTTGGGAGGCCAAGGAAGGAGAATCACTTGAGGCCAGGAGTTTGTGACCAGCCTGGGCAACATAGTGAGACCGCAGATCTACTAAAAATTTAAAAATTAGCTGGGCATGGTGGTGCGTGCCCGTATGTCTGGAGGCTGAGGCAGGAGGATCACTTGAGCCCAGGATTTGGAGGCTGCAGTGAGCTATGATTGTGCCACTGCACTCCAGTGTGGGTGACAGAGTGAGACCCTGTCTCTATTTAAAAAAAGAGAGACAAGATGATCAGGATGAGCGCAGTGGCTCACGCCTATAATCCCAGCACTTTGGGAGGCCAAAGCAGGTGGATCACATGAGGTCAGGAGTTTGAGACCGGCCCAGCCTAGATGGTGAAACCCCGTTTCTACTAGAAATACAAAAATCAGCTGGGTGTGGTGGGGCACGCCTGTGATCCCAGCTACTCGGGAGACTGAGGCTGGACAATTGCTTGAACCTGGGAGGCAGAAGTTGCTGTGAGCAAGATGACACCACTGTGCTCCAGCCTGGGCAACAGGAATGAGACACTGTCTCAAAAAAAAAAAAAAAAAAAAAAGGGATGATCAAACACAATGCATCAACCTCCCGGAGCCGTATAAACCCTAAACCTAAACCAGGAAGCAGGCAAGCCTGTGTGTGAGTTTCCACTCTATTGCTGGTACCACTCGGCTCTGGCAACCCGGAAGGCCACCTTCCCCTGTTGTTACTGTGTAAGGAGGAAGGAGCACTGGTTTGCAAGTCAGAAGCCTGGGTTGAAGCCTCTGCTTGAGTTCCTGCTGGCTGTGGGAATGTGGGGTTACCTTTCCCGGCTGGCCTCGTTTCCTACATGTCCAATGCAGGGGTTCCAGTCACATGCATTGGGCACCATTACATGTCCAAGCTGTGCCAGGATCTAGAAAAATGGCTGGGCTCAGGCCAAGGGGCCTTCCTGTCTGGCAGTGAAAATAAGAGGAGATACCAAGGGCCCTGAGCCTGAGTCTGGAGGAAAAGTCATGAGCACAGGGCAGTGCCAGGGCCTGGGAGCTGCCACAGAGGAGCCCACCTTGGTGACAGACACCTGTAGGCTCATATGATGCCGAGTGCCCAACACAGGGAACTGGACAAAGGTTTCATGCACGACTCTTTTCCCTCCTTGGCTACCTTGAGGACCTTGATTATAATAGTTAGCCTTTTTTTTTTTTCTTTTTTTGAGACTCTTGCTCTGTCGCCCAGGTTGGAATGCAGTGGCAAAATCTTGGCTCACTGCAATCTTCGCCTCTCAGGTTCAAGTGACTCTCCTTCCTCAGCCTCCCTAGTAGCTGGGATTACAGGCGTGCACCACTATGCTCGGCTAATTTTTGTATTTTTACTATAGATGGGGTTTCACCATGTTGGCCAGGCTGATCTTGAACTGCTGACCTCAGGTGATCTGCCCGCCTGGGCCTCCCAAAATCTTGGGATTACAGGTGTAAGCCACTGAGCCCAGCCGGATTATAATAGCCTTTTCATGCACCAGGGGCTTTATACTCATTATCTCATTTCATTCATATGAGTTGAAGTCAGCTTATCCCCCATTTCACAGATGAGGAAACCAAGGCCCAGAGAGGTTAGGAATTTGTCCAAGGTCACACAGCCAGGAAGTAGGATTCAAACCCAGACAGCCAGGCTGTAACACCTAGGCTCTTCTCAGGCTCATGCCCTTCCCAGGGGTCTGGGAAGCCCTGACCTGCAGCCTGTCACCTTTGTTTACCCCCCAGCCTCCAGGATATTACGTGTGCACCGGCGTGGGATCCTGGAACTGGCAGGAATTGTGGGTTGTGTTGGTCCCTGAACTCCCATCGCCT
Organism: Homo sapiens; assembly: GCF_000001405.40. Taxonomy (NCBI): domain Eukaryota; kingdom Metazoa; phylum Chordata; class Mammalia; order Primates; family Hominidae; genus Homo; species Homo sapiens. The sequence goes on along the minus strand of NC_000016.10, from coordinate 14,769,988 downwards.
ATGTGAAATATGGTTGCTTTTGTGGCTTGGGAGGCCATGGCCAGCCCCGCGATGCCATTGACTGGTGAGTGCATGCCTGGGACCAGGCCACAAAATCCCTCACACTCTGGGGTAGTCAAGGCTTATGAGGAAGTACCCAAAACTGAAGCTGGGGTTTGGTCCAGGGAGATCCCAGTGTGCAGTACTACTTTGCAGGCAGGCAGAGGCCTCTTGGATAACATGGCCAGTGAAGCCAGATCTTGGTACTAGCTGTGCCTTACCCTGGCCATGGGCTGAAAACGTTGCCTTAAAAAATTGGCCAGGAGCGCTGGCTCACTCCTGTAATCCCAGCACTTTGGGAGGCCGAGGCGGGCAGATCACTTGAGGTCAGGAGTTCAAGACCAGCCTGGCCAATATGGTGAAACCCCATCTCTACTAAAAATGCAAAAATTAGCTGTGTGTGGTGGCAGGCATCTGTAATCTCAGCTACTCGGGAGACTGAGGCAGGAGAATTGCTTGAACCCGGGAGGCAGAGTTTGCAGTGAGTTGAGATTGCACCGCTGTATTCCAACCTGGACAACAGTGCCAAACCCTGTCTCAAAAGAAAAAAAAAAATAATATAAAGTGACCAGGTGTGTTGACTCATGCCTGTAATCCCACCACTTTGGGTCGAGGCAGGAGGATCACTGGAGCCCAGGAGTTTGAAACGAGCCTAGGCAACAGAGTGAGACCCTGTCTCTATATTAAACACACACACACACGCACACACACACACACACACACATACAAAGGCAGCCAGACTATGCACTAGGAACTGCCCTGGGAATCCCTTTGTGTTCTCACAACAATCCCATTTCACATGAAGAAACCTAGGCACAGAAATATTCAGTAACGTGTCCAGGTGCGGTGGCTCACGCCTGTAATCCCAGTACTTTGGGAGGCTGAGGCAGGCAGATCACGAGGTCAGGAGTTCGAGACCATCCTGGCCAACATGGTGAAACCCCGTCTCTACTAAAAATACAAAAATTAGCTGTGTGTGGTGGCAGGTGCCTGTAATTCCAGCTACTCAGGAAGCTGAGGCAGGAGAATTGCTTGAACCCGGGAGGCAGAGGTTGCAATGAGCCGAGATCACACCACTGCACTCCAACCTGGGTGACAGAGCAAAACTCCGTCTGAAAAAAAAAAAAAAGAAATATTAAGTAACTTGTCTGAGGCCACATAGTTACCAAGACGTGGGAGCTGGGACTTGAACCCAGGCAGTCTGGCTGGATTCATGCCTGCAGCCTCTGCACTCCTGCTACTTACTGTGTGAGAAGCGTCTGTTCTGTGGAAGGTTGTGGGCTGAGATCTTTCCATGACTTCCACTCATTTACCCCCAAGGCTGTTCTTAAAGACGGGCATGACAGTTATGCCCATTTTACAGATGGGGCCCTGAGGCTCACAAGGGCACGCCACTCACCCATTTCCACAAAGCTATAGTTAGTTAGCAGAGGGCAGAATTCGGCCGCCTCTCCCCTAGCTTGTAGGCTGTGATTGACACAGAGGTTTTTTTGTTGTCGTTGCTGTTGTTTGTTCCTTTTTCTTTTTTTTGAGACAGGGTCTTGCTCTGTCATCCCGGCTGGAGCGCAGTGGTGCGATGTCAGCTCACTGCAAATTCTGCCTCCAAGATGCAAATGATTCTCGTGCCTCAGCCTCCCAAGTAGCTAGAATTACAGGTGTGCACTACCACGCCCAGCTGTTTTTTGTAGAGATGGGGTTAGTAGAGATTTGTTTAATAGAGACGGGGTTTCACCATGGTCTCTACTAAACCCTGTCTCTACTAAAAATACAAAAATTACCCAGGCGTGGTGGCACATGCCTGTAGTCCCAGGTACTCAAGAGGCTGAGGCAGGGGAATCACTTGAACCTGGGAGGTGGAGGTTGCAGTGACCCAAAATCATGCACTCTAGCCTGGGGTCTCGCTTTTGCCCAGGTTAGAGTGCAGTGGCACAATCATAGTGGCTCACTGCAGCCTCAAACTCCTGGGCTGAAGGGAATCCTCCCACCTCAGCCTCCCAAGTAGCTAGGACTATAGGCATGTGCCATCATGGCGAGTTAATTTTTTGTGTGTTTTTATTGTCTCGAGACAGAGTCTTGCTCTGTTGCTCAGGCTGGACTGCAATGGCGTGATCCTGGCTCACCGCAACCTCCACCTCCTGGGTTCAAGCAATTCTCCTACCTCAGCCTCCCGAGTAGCTGGGATTACAGGTGCGTGCCACCATGCCTGGCTAATCTTGTATTTTTAGTAGAGACAGGGTTTCGCCATGTTGGTCAGGCTGCTCTCGAACTCCTGACCTCGTGATCCACCTGCCTCGGCCTCTCAAAGTGTTGGGATTACAGGCATGAGCCACTGAGCCTGGCCTGGTGAGCTAATTTTTAAATTTGTTATAGAGACAAGAGTCTCTCTTATGTTGCCCAGGCTGGTCTCGACCCCCTGGCCTCAAGTGATCCTCCCACCTCAGCCTCCCAAAGTGCTGGGATTACAGATGGGTGTCACCGCACCTGGCCTCTGAGGAGGATTTCATTATAAACCTGCCCTGAAGGGAGGGAATCCAATTTTACGAGAGGGTGTAGCCTGGTGAGGCCTGGATGACCTCCGGAGGCAGGGGCTTGTGCCTGGGCTGAGGCCTAAGGGACAATGGGCAGACATGAAGTTGCCCCAGGCAGAGGGTACAGTGTGGGCAAAGTCAGGAAGTGGCAGGGCTTGGATCACTCCAGGAAGAGAGAGGAGTCATGTGTCACAGGAGCTCAAGACCCAGAGAGGGAGGCAGGCAGGCAGGCAGGGACCAAGCTTGGGCACAGCCAGGAAGGCAGAGGGCATGGTGGGGCCAATGGAATCATTACCCAAGACGGGGATTTTCAGGGAAACAGCTTAGATAAGGCCAGGCGTACAGTAGCTCCCACCTGTAATCCCAGCATTTGTGGAGGCTGAGGTAGGAGGACTGCTTGAGCCTGGGAGTTCGAGACCAGCCTAGGCAACATAGTGAGACCCCATATCCATAAAAAATTTAAAAAAGGAGTCTGTGTTCCTGTAGTAGCAGACTTGGGAGGTTGAGGTGGCAGTATCACTTGAGCCCGGGAGTTCAAGGCTAAAGTGAGCTGATTGAGCCATTGCACTCCAGCCTGAGCAACAGAGAGATACGCTGTCTCAAAGGAAATACAAATTAAAAAACCAGCCGGGCATGCTGGCGTGTGCCTGTAGTCTCAGCTACTTGGGACACTGAAGTGGGAGGATCGCTTGAGCCCAGGAGTTCAAGGCTGCCGTGAGCTATGATTGTGCCTCTGCAGTCCAGCCTGGGCGACAGAGAAAGACCCTGTCTCTTAAAAAAAAAAAAAAAAAAATCTTAGATAAGAGGATGCTGTGCCTCCCTGGGGGTCTTCAGTCACCCATAGTCCTGGCAAGAGAGGAGGGCCAGGAGAGAGCTTCACCCACCTGCTGTCCTGCCCATGTGACATCCGCAGGTGCTGCCATGGCCACGACTGTTGTTACACTCGAGCTGAGGAGGCCGGCTGCAGCCCCAAGACAGAGCGCTACTCCTGGCAGTGCGTCAATCAGAGCGTCCTGTGCGGTGAGTCCCCAGCAGCACCATGCCACCCACCCCGAGTATCCCCTGGGCACCCTGGCATAGCCAGATGACTTCCGTGCCCCTGTTGCAATAACCACTGCTTCCAAGTCTCTATAGACCACCCCTTGGGTATATCTAATGTAAGTGATATTTATTTTATTTATTTTTTGAGTCAGTCTCGCTCTGTCACCCAGGCTAGAGTGTGCTGATGTGATCTCGGCTCACTACAACCTCTGCCTCCTGGGTTCAAGCGATTCTCATGCCTCAGCCTCCCAAGTGGCTGGGACTACAGGCATGCACCATCACGCCCAGCTAATTTTTGTATTTTTTCAGTAGAGGTGGGGTTTCACCAAGTTGGCCGGGCTGGTCTCAAACTCCCCACCTCAAGTGCTCTGCCCGCCTCGGCCTCCCAAAGTGCTGGGATTACAGGCATGAGCCGTGGTGTCTGGCCCTAATGTGAGTGATCTTTAACACTGAGCACTTGAAAAAGAAAACCCTGAAGAAACCTAATTCTTTGATGTCTGGATGACAAGGAAGAAGATAGAAATGGCATCAGATAATAAACAGTGTAAATGTTTATCAGAAAGAGGCTGGTGGTCGGGACAAGTAGGAGGATTGCTTGAGTCCAGGAGTGCATCTCTACAAAAAAGTTAAAGGATTTTTTAACATTGGCCAGGCGTGGTGGCACACATCTGTGATCCCAGCTACTTGGGAGGCTGGGGCAGGAGGATTGCTTGAAGCCCAGGAGGTTGAGGCTGCAGTGAGCTGTGATCGAGCCACTGCACTCCAGCCTGGGTGACAGAGCAAACTCCAGTCTCAAAAAAAAAACAAATAATAATATTTTACATAACCAACCACTTCTAAAGATTAAAAAAACCCCTATGATTAAAAACCTCAGGTCCCTCAGGCAATCATACCAGATATTGAAACAAAGCAATAACATAAGGACTGCAGTATTCATTTTATTTTTATATTATTTATTTATTCTTCCTTAGTTTCTTGAGATTATCATCCGCTGAGGGTGGAAGGGGAGTGAGCAGACACACTTGGGAGGTGTCTTGAGATTATCATCCGCTGAGGGTGGAGCTGAGGGTGGAAGGGGAGTGAGCAGACACTCGGGAGGTGTCTTGAGATTATCATCCGCTGAGGGTGGAAGGGGATAGAGCAGACACTCCGCAGGTGTCTTGAGATTATCATCCGCTGAGGGTAGAGCTGAGGGTGGAAGGGGAGTGAGCAGACACTCGGGAGGTGTCTTGAGGCTCAGGGAGTTATCAATTATAGAATGTTGTTGAGTTGGAGGAGGTGGCTGGTGGCCCATCCTGTTTTTTAAAGTTTCAGCTGTGAGGTAGGGCCAGTAGGGCAATCCTGAAGAATGACGATGCTCCGCTGCCGCCATTCTGACCTGTAGGGCCAAAGGAGGGAATGTTTTCACACATATTCATTTGATGGACAAAATTACCGCCACCAACACAGTCTGCACCTTCTGTTGCTGGTGATAGATTTTTGCACCTTTCCATCCTCCAGGTTTCAAAATAGCAGTGTCAGTGTCATAATATCACCCTTCCACTGAGTACTGCCGACAGCTGGGGGGTAAAGAAAAGTCATTGGGACACACTGTTGTCTCCACATGCCACTGTGTCTGTCTGCAAATGTAGGCAGGCTGGGGTCCTGCCCCAGGGAAGACAGAGTCATAACAGAGTAATAAAGAAGCATGTTTGAGACACAGGAGTGTCTATGTCTATCCTCATTCCTCCCTCACAGCCATCACCAGAGCATGTTTCTTGCACCAGGTCAATAGACAGTAAGAGACAGTAAGAGAGGCATGAAAAGCCCATTGTCCACACATGTTGCAGCTTCTTTTTGGAGAATGTTTTCCAGGCCTTTTATGTTCTGTCTCTGATTCTCAGAACTCTGCAAGGTCAGTGTGACCACCCTGCTCCAAATCTAAGAAAACAGAGGTTTCCAGAGGAAGGAGAAATTGTGCCCAGGGTCACACAGCTTGCAAGAGGCAGAGTGGAAGTTGATTCCAGCTCTGCCTGCAGGACCCTCTCATTTCCCCTCTGTTTCCCTTCTTGACAAAGGATCTTCTTCACTCTGGAGGTGCCACCCATGAGAACAAAGAGCTCTGGAGAGATGTGGATTCCTGAAGAGCTGCAGGGGAACTGGGAGAGGGTTTTCTGACAGAACAATCTTACCTCAAGAAGTCAGTTAGGCATGGCTGTAATATTTCTTTTCACTCCCAGGTAATACCAAATTGTAAGTGCACTAGGACCTAAAGAATACTTTTGTCCATGGAAAAATGAGGTGGGAATTCTAAACAAAGCAAGTTTTAAAACTGTGTTTCACTTCAAGTGTACAAGTCCCATCGCGTGTAATCATAGGACTCGGCAGCTTTTGAAGGTACAGAGGCCACACAAGAACCAGCTTAGCTGAGCATCATTTAAGGCCTTCATTTGGAATTGTCCCTGTGGGTAATAAGTTACATTCACTCTTCACTAATTTACAGTCAGGGCCCATTTGCTATTACAAATACGGAACCTCTGACACTTAGAATATTAGATGGGGGCCCCACTGGGTGGGGATGAAGGTGTTTTTGCGCAACACGGTTACCAACAGGGATGGGACTGTGATGCTTGTAGGCAGCCTTCCTCTCTGCCATCTCCCTCTGCAGGGCTTGAGCACAGAGCCGTAGGGAGAAAAATGTATCCATGTCCTGACCTGGCAGACTATGTCCAAAAGCAAGGAAAACAAGCAAACTTACCCGGTTGCAAAGAGGCTTTCTTGCAGAAGGGGTGATCTGAAAAAGCCAACACATGAGAAATTGAATGTTGAGAGAGTCTAAGGGCCGTGGCATCATCTGCATCAGCACTGAACTATCCTGCAACTGCGGGGAGGAAGCTCCTTACTTTGCATCTGTAGTAGTCCTCTGCCCGCCGCCGCAACGCTTGCGCACGTTGAAACATTTCCCTATGGATTACAATCACTTTCATCAGATAAAGCACCACTTTCAGGATGATTTTAAATAATCTGCCATGTTTCTGTTATCCTCACAACTGTACCCTTACACAATCTATCTCTACCTAGAAAACGTATTTCAGATGGCTGTAAGAGTACAGTCTGAGCCGGTCACGGTGGCTGACGCCTGTAATCCCAGCACTCTGGGAGGGCGAGGCGGATGGATCACGAGGTCAGGAGATTGAGACCATCCTGGCTAATACGGTGAAACCCCGTCTCTACTAAAAATACAAAAAATTAGGCGGGGGTGGTGGCAGGCACCTGTAATCCCAGCTACTCAGGAGGCTGAGGCAGGGGAATCACTTGAACCTGGGAGGCAGAGGTTGCAATGAGCCAAGATCACGTCATTGCACTCCAGCCTGGGTGACACAGCGAGACTCCATCTCAGAAAAACAAAAACAAAAACAAAAACAAAAAAAACTGTACAGTCTGATCCAAACTGTTGCTGTATTGATTCCTCCTCTTGCTTACTGCCTGCTGACTTCTGAGATGATAGCTTCCTTCCCCATTCTCAGTATATCCCTAATTCATCCTTCATTGAGCATCTTTTATCATAAAGCTGTATTCTCTTTGTATTAATATCTTTACCGTGTTTCACAGGGCAGAAACAGCTGGGCTTATAAACAGGCATAGTCCTTTTGAAGGATGTGGTTGATCCTACAACAACACACTTTCCTAAGGATGACAACAACTCACCCCACCCCTAGAATGGCTGGTATGAACCGAGTTTCCACACAGTCTAGCTGGCAATGGGGTCAGGAGCCGTTTTGCTACTTCACATCTTTTGGTCACTGGTAAATATTAAGGTACTTTGTTTTCTGTTTTGTGAACTCTCTCTCTCTCTCACGATATGTCTTCTGACCATTTGTTTCTATTTCTGCATTTACTGGGTCTAAACATTGTACAAAGGTTAAAAACAACACTCCAATGGGCGTTTCCCAAGAGGGTGGGGTTCAGTTTCTGAACTCACATGTAGGTGTGTATTTCTTTCATATCCAATTTCCCGTTTTCCTCTGCCTCTGACACCTGCCTCTCCTTTTCTCCGTGCTCACGTTCTTTCATGCTTAGTTTCCTCAGACTAGAAGGGAGAGAAATGCACACACATGATCCACCAGCCCGTGTGGGATTCCCTCTGCCCTTCTGGCATCTGAAGGCTGATTCAAAGATCCCCCCTGCAACCTTCCCACAAATGAACCAACTGATTCTCACAAGCAAAGGGAGAATGGACACCTCCCATTGAGGGACAAAAAAAAAATCACACTCTGGCCTGCTGGCAAGTCACCTGTCATTTCCAGCTCATCTTCATAGTTCCATAGTTAGTCCTATTCTTTAGTAAATATAAAGACTATTAAAAGCTTCTATGAGGTGCACTATGTGTGTCTCTGGGGTCAGTCTTGTGCTTGACACAGCGAAAGCTCATTTTAGTTCAGTGTGAAAAACCAGACCTCACCAATTCATCACAACTAACTCCATCGGAGGCAGAGGATTGCTCCTCATCTGACTCCTCCTGTGTGAGACCTGATTCTCAGTCAGAGGCTGATGCCGGAACTGAGACCATCAGCCATAGAGAGATCCTTCCAGAATATGGTGTCATTAACCCCGCAGTTCACTACTGCACTTTGCCATGATTCAGGACTGGAACTCTTGTCATCGACTTTAAAGATCCTGAAAAGGCAATCTGAATGCTGGGCGCATCTATTGAATTAGAAATGATCGGAATGGCTCCTAAGTCAGGGTGTTATGTCCTGAAAATAGGTGACAACTGCAAACCATCCACCCTGGTGTTGACTGACTTTAACAAGGTTCAGTTCACAGAGATTGAGGGCAGAAAAAGGAAACGGCCTCAAAAGGGTAAGTTTGCTGTGTTGCCCTCACACCACTTGATTCATGGTCCTGATCCTAAGGATCTCACCTGATACTTGGTTTTATAGGAAGGATGTGTAAAATTCCCAGAATGCTAGGAAACAGGGATGAAAACACTTCAAAGAGAAAGTTAATGAACTTGTTTCTGACCACAGGGCATCCTTCAGCACATGCTGTCTGGAGTGGCCTCAAACAAGGTGTGTGTGGTGAGGTGCTGACAATGCAATGGGAGCAGGGTCCTGTCCCCACGCTAAAGAAGCTCACAGTTTAATGCAAATGAGAAGCCAGTGAGGACAGCACTACTCCTGCTGTGCACTTGGGAACTAGAAACACAAAACCTGACTCTGGAGGGAAGCTAAGGAAGCATTCTACTCTTGAGTTGACATAAGTGCATCTGAAGCTTCTGATCTCCGATGAGAACAATGGGGGACACCAAACAGAATATAAAACCCATGACTGAATACATCAAATTGCTCACATGGCAGTAAACAGACATGAGGTGAAGATGGAGAAGAAGGAAACCCAGGACGAAAGTCAGCCTCGCATTTGGAACCCATTTCCCTGAGTTTCATTGCTGAATTCCAGAAGGAACTACTGAGATGCAAAGAAGCACAGCAGCTTTTGCACACATGTGTGGGGTTAGATGGAAAACAAGTGGATTGAGGGTCTGCCAATGAAAGCGACCCATACTGAAGTCCACTGGCTCTGGTTGAGACCCAGAAGAGTCATGCATCAGAATAGAGGTGGACAGGAAATACCCTGGCCTTTGTAGGGACTGAGCCTGCACTGACGACCTCAATTGCAGCCTGTATGGAGGACCCCTGACCATCCCCCAGAAGTAGACTCCCATCTCTTCTGCAGCAAGATAACATGCTACTAGGCCTCAATTCATTGCTAAATATTTTTTAACAAGTATCTCACATTTAACAAAAAAAGATCAGTCATATGGCAGCAAAATACAATGTAATATGACCAAAACATGAAAGACTGTGAAAATGAATCTGGAGGTGACCCGAGCATTGAATTCAACAATCCAGGCTGGGTGCGGTGGCTCACACCGGGAGGCTGAGGTAGGCAGATCACCTGAGGTCAGGAGTTCAAGACTAGCCTGGCCAACATGGTGAACCCGTCTCTACTAAAAATACAAAAATTGGGCTGGGCACGGTGGCTCACGCCTGTAATCCCAGCACATTGGGAGGCCGAGGTGTGCGGATCATGATGTCAGGAGTTCTAGACCAGCTTGGCCAATATGGTGAAACCCCGCCTCTACTAAAAACACAAAAATTATCCGGGCATGGTGGCATATGCCTGTAGTCCCAGCTACTCAAGAGGCTGAGGGATAAGAATCGTTTGAACCTGGGAGGCGGAAGTTGCAGTGAGCCAAGATCTTGCCACTGCACTCTAGCCTGGGTGACAGAGTGAGACTCTGTCTCAAAAAAAAAAAAAAAAAAAAAAAAAAATTGGCCAAATGTGGTGGCACACTCCTGTAATCCAAGCTACTCGGGAAGCTGAGGCAGAATTGCTTCAAACTGGGAGGCAGAGGTTGCAGTGAGCCAAGATTGCACCACAGCACTCCAGCCTGGGCGACAGAGCGAGACTCTATCTCAAAATTTAAAAAAAAAAAAAAAAGGCTGGGTGTGGTGGCTCACGCCTCTAATCCCAGCACTTTGGGAGGCTGAGGCGGGTGGATTACCTGAGGTCAGAAGTTCGAGACCAGCCTGGACAACATGGTGAAACCCCATCTCTAGTAAAAATACAAAAATTAGCTGGGCGTGGTGGTGGGCACCTGTAATCCCAGCTACTTGGGAGGCTGAGGCAGGAGAATTGCTTGAACCCAAAAGGCAGTGAGCTGAGATTGTGCCATTGCACTACAGCCTGGGCAACAAGAGCAAAGCCCCATCTCAGGAAAAAAAAAAAAAAAAAAAAGAGAGAGAAAGGAAAACCAATGCCAGTACTAGCAACTCCTCTTCCCCTGAAAAAATGACAAACAAGAATGTAGGAAGGGAAAGGAATTATACAGCTTAAACTAATGAAGCAGAAAGGACAAACTCAATTTTGAACCCACTGAATTTGCCACAAATATTGTAGAAAATATTCTCAAGGACTTTACAGTTGTCTACTTTGATTGGCACATGGTTCATACAACAGTATTTGTGTCAAGGCACATCTTACTGTTCTTTGGCGGTCTTCCTCTTTCCATTGATTTTGTCATGACGGTTGACTTTTGTTGTCACCTTCATCTTACAGATTTTAGCTCGAACTTTGGTTTCCACCTGTCTCCATAAAGTAAAGATGTCTTCCAGGACAATTTTAATTCCTGGAAAGGAAGAAACTCTTTTCTTTGTGTGCATACAAACGGACCTCAGCCCTTGGTGAGAGTGAGGAGAGGAGAAGGTGAGAAACCTGAGGGCAAGAAGCTGTTCTTTCCCTTTCCAGGGCAAACTCATTTCCACACTATGGGGACTCCAACAGAGCCATACCTTCCTGTCTACGGCGGTTGGACCTCCTGGCTCTCTGCTGTACATCCGTGGATCCATCATGTCCATTTTGAGACGGGAAGATAGTCTTCAGGAAAGACACCTAGGAAATAATAATATAAGAATGACGGCTGGGCACGGTGGCTCATGCGTATAATCCCAGTACTTTGGGAGGCCGAGGCAGGGTGGATCACGGGGTCAGGAGTTCAAGACCAGCCTGGCCAAGATGGTGAAACCCCGTCTCTACTAAAAATACAAAAATTAGCCGGGCATGGCAGTGGGCGCCTGTAATCCGAGCTACTCGGGAGGCTGAGGCAGAGAACCATTTGAAGCTGGGAGGCAGAGTTTGCAGTGAGCCGAGATCACACCACTGCACTCCAGCCTGAGCGACAGAATGAGACTCTGTCACACACACACACACACACACACACACACACACACACACACACACACACAAAGAATGACATGAGGCTGGCACGGTGGCTCACTCCTGTAATCCCAGCACTTTGGGAGGCCGAGGCAGGCGGATCACCTGAGGTCGGGAGTTTGAGACCAGCCTCACCAACATGGAGAAACGCTGTCTCTGCTAAAAATACAAAATTAGCCAGGCATGGTGGTGCATGCCTGTAATCCCAGCTAGTCGGGAGGCTGGGGCAGGAGAATCACTTGAACCCAGCAGGAAAAGATTGTGGTGAGCTGAGATTGTGCCATTGCACTCCAACCTGGGCAACAAAATTGAAACTCTGTCTCAAAAAAAAAAAAAAAAAAATAGGCCAGGTGCGGTAGCTCACGCCTGTAATCCCAGCACTTTGGGAGGCCGAGGCGGGTGAATCACAAGGTCAAGAGATGGAGACCATCCTGGGCAACATGGTGAAACCCCGTCTCTACTAAAAATACAAAAATTAGCTGAGCATGGTGGCGCACGCCTGTAGTCCCAGCTACTCGGGAGGCTGAGGCAGGAGAACTGCTTGAACCCAGGAGGCAGAGGGTGCAGTGAGCCAAGATCCCACCACTGCACTCCAGCCTGGTGACAGAGTGAGACTCCGTCTCAAAAAAAAAAAAAAAAAAAAATGACATGAATATACTTCACACAACTGAACTGTACACTTCAACACGGTTAGATGGTAATTATCATCTTGTAAGTATTTTACCACAGGTTAACATGTTTCACAACTTGAAAAGGAAGTAATTAATTACCTTCAGCTCTCTGAGTTCTAGAATTTGTAACATTTCACCCCCTGCTCCTTCCTGATCTGCACTGGAGCATCTTTCTTCTGTCCCTGCTCTACTCAGAGTTCACTTTCCCTTCCCTCACATCAGCTTCGTTGAGGCTGGTTTGAACTTAACGCAAAACATTCTCACTAATGACTGAATTCCCGCCAAGATTTCCATATTATCACAGTATGCTTTTAATCTTCTAAGATATTAAATATTTGTTCTCATCATAGCTAAAATGCAATGCAAATCCCATCTCAGATGTGGGTCAGATACCTATGAATCTCCTGAGGTAGTCATTGAAATGACTTTTTTCTTGAGACGGAGTGTCACTCAACCATGCTGAAGTGCAGTGGCGCTACCTTGGCTCACGGCAACCTCCACCTCCCAGATTCAAGCGATTCTTGTGCCTCGGCCTCCCAAGTAGCTGGGATTACAGGTGCCTGCTACCATGCCTGGCTAATTTTTGTCTTTTTAGTAGAGATGGGGTTTCACTATGTTGGCCCATCTGGTCTTGAACTCCTGACCTCAAGTGATCCACCTGCCTCAGCCTCCCAAAGTGCTGGGATTACAGGCATGAGCCACCACACCTGGCCTGAAATAATATCTTTCAAATTCTTTGTAGAATTTGTTTTTTCCTGATTTCTGCACATAGGATGAAAAAAAAATCATGTACTAGGATTTCGAGAGAAGCAATGGGTAATCTAAAAAGATGAAAAGAGAAACCACGTCTATCCCACAGCTACTGCTAGATTTCATAGGAAAGGTAGCTGGCCCAGTTTGGAGCTAGGAGAAATGTCAAACACATGAAGAAATGAGAAGCAAAGAAATGCCATCACACATGAATGCTTCATGGCACCCATGATGTCCCTGCTTAGGAGGTAATGGTATAGATGACTAGATGACAAGGACAAAGATGAGAGGTGCAAAGTTGTCCAAGTCCAATAGCTCAACTGAACTTTCCTAATGGAATTGTTAAAAAGTGGTAAATTTAAAAACTTCCCCTGGCTCACGTGGTGGCTCACGCTTGTAATCCCAGCACTTTGGGAGGCTGAGGCGGGTGGATCATTTGAGGTCGGGTTTTGAGACTAGCCTGGCCAACATGGTAAAACCCCGACTCTACTAAAAATACACAAATTAGCTGGGCATGGTGGTGGGCACCTGTAATCCCAGCTACTTGAGAGGCTGAGGCAGGGGAATCACTTGAAGCCAGGAGGTGGAGGTTGCAGTGAGCCGAGATCACACCATTATACTCCAGCCTGGGCAACAGAGGGAGACTCGTCTTGGGGGTGAGAAAAGAAAAAAAAAAAGCTTCCTCCAATTTATACCGAAAATTCTCTGTTCAGGACTAAGTGGCATAGAGAATGTTAAATGTGCCTAGATATCTTCATAACTCATATATTTTCTGTTTTCTACATATCTTGAAAGGCAGTGCCAAATGACGTGTAATTATCTAGGCGGTAAAACTGAAACATACTTCCTCTTCCCTTGAATATCAAAAAGCATTGTGGTATTAGTACTTTTATCTTGGATCATTGTTCAGAAGGAGGTTCAGCCCCCAGACAACCACATTTTTACTGTCATGAATGGCAAGACAAAATGTAGAGCTCAACTTACCCAAAGGATAAAAGGCTCAAAAGACAAATTATGGCACAACTTAGCAGCCAAATTCTTACCAAGTACAGACTTTTGACATACTGATCTCTCTCCAGTTGCAAGTGGGAACATGCACTTTGAATGATGTCATTCAAAATTACCCTGCCCAGACACACTTTTCATTGATTCTCTTGGAGGGCAGTTCTAAGAGATTCTCTGGGGCTTTCTCTGCATCATGAGACGCAGTGCAGTTCTGCCCTTCACCTTCCGGCAGTTTGTCACCTCGTCCCTATGACCTCCGAGGAACTTTGTCTCAGGCCAACTGTTTGTTCCTTGGGCTCTTTCATTTCCCCTAAAAATCATTTGCTGCCCCTCTAAATGGCCTACATCTCCATCTATCTCCCTCTCCCCTCAGAAGAGGGTGCTCTTTAAGCATCAACCATCCAGCCCTTCTAGCAGTCTCATTTTTCAGCTGGTTCCCATGTTTATGTCTGTTCTATGTTTTTCTTTTCCTGTTAAGCTGTCTGTTGTCAGCTCATTTCTGCAGTGAATCTTCAGAGAGGAGATTGGAAGCTTTCCTTCCACCCATACGATAGAACTATAAAGCAGAAGAGTTTAGAAAGACTTTCCCATTTAAGTGACGAAACCTCATACTCCATTTGTGACAAATAGCACAAAGGTTAAAAAAACTTATTTTTGACCAAAAGCTCTGTTGACATTCTATTAAACACCGACCTATTTAATTTTCATAATGTAAATGGCAGATATTTTCATAATTCTTATGCTAATAAATCATTTCCCTGATTTTTTGGGTAAAACCACATATTCACAATGAAGTCCAGAAACGTGAATTGTTTCATATAATTTACTCTTATTTGTGATTACAAGTATACCTCTACAGAAAGTTAGTATACTCACACAAAGGTAACTTGTGCAGAGGGAGATGGCAAATTTATAACTTCTCAGAAACACAGTAATGATAAGTAACCAAGGACTTCCACCAAAGTCAGTCCCACGATGACGATGGTCAGCCAGAGTATTGATAACCTGGAATAATAATAGTTGAAATAATGAAAAGGTCAATGACACTGACAATATTTCACTCAGAAAGAATCATCCTTAGAAACCGTCAACCTCCTCCAAAAGGTAACCACATCCCTCAGATATCACCATGGGATTCCACTGCTACAAAAAAGAACAGAAGTTAGAGAAGTCTCATGTTTTTCAGATGGCTGGTAGTGTTTTTAGGCATTGCAAATGTGGGGTGTTGTCATTCTTGGTATAAAGCAGGGATATCCAATCTTTTGACTTCCCTGCCTATATTAAAAGAAGCAAAGTTGTCTTGAGCCACACATAACATACACTAACAATAGCTGATGATCTAAAAAAAAAAACTTTTTTTCTTTTTTTTTTTTGAGACAGAGTTCCGCTCCACTCAGTCGCCCAGGCTGGAGTGCAGTGGTGCAATCTTGGCTCACTGCAACCTCCAGCTCCTGGGCTCAAGCCATTCTCCTGCCTCAGCCTCCCGAGCAGCTGAGATTACCGGTCTCTGCCACCATGCCCGACTAATTTTTGTATTTTTAGTAGAGATGAGGTTTCACCATGTTGGCCAGTCTGGCCTTGAACTCCTGACAGGAGATCTGCCTGCCTCGGCCTCCCAAAGTGCTGGGATTACAGGTGTGAGCCACCGTGCCCGGCCATTTTTTTTGTTTTTGTTTGTTGTTTGTTTTTGAGATGGGGTCTCACTCTGTCACCCAGGCTGGAGTGCAGTGGTGTGCTCTCGGCTCACTGCAACCTCTGCCTCTCAGGTTCAAGTGATTCTCCTGCCTCAGCCTCCTGAGTAGCTGGGAGTACAGGTGCCTGACAGTGCACTCAGCAAATTTTTGTATTTTTTGTGGAGATGGGGTTTTGCCATGTTGGCCAGGGTGGTCTCGAACTCCTGACCTCAGGTAATCTGCCCGCCTCAGCCTCCCAAAGTGCTGGGATTACAGGCATGAGCCACTGTACCTGGCCAAAATCTCCTAATGTTTTAAGAAAGTTTACAAATTTGTGTTGAACTGCATTCAAAACTGTCCTGGGCCACATGCAGCCCGTCACTCATGGGTAAGACAAGCTAAGTATAAAGTAATTATCTTTTCTTTTCTTTTTGTTTTGAGACAAAGTCTTGCTCTGTCGCCCAGGCTAGATTGCAGTGGCATGATCTCAGCTCACTGCAACCTCCGCCTCCCGGGTTCAAGCGATTCTCCTGCCTCAGCTACTGAGTAACTGGGATTACAGGCGCCTGCCACCACGCTCGGCTAATTTTTGTCTTTTTAGTAGAAACAGGGTTTCACCATCTTGGCCAGGCTGGTCTCCAACTCCTGACCTCATGATCCACCTGCCTCGGCCTCCCAAAGTGCTGGGAATACAGGTGTGAGCCACTGCACTTGGCCAGTAGTTATCTTTTCTTTAATTATTTGTTTTTTAAATTGATGTATAACATTGGATGCATTTATTACATATCACATGGTAAAAGAATCCCTCTAAATAATACTTCTCTCTTGGATTACATGAATCTTTGTCATTTAAAGCTCAGTATAAGTAAAAAAAAAAAAATACAATGAAGAGATTACTTCATTCACAAATAAGTATCGAATTTTAGTGCTTAAAAATTAACAAGGTGGGCCGGGCGTGGTGGCTTACGCCTGCAATCCCAGCACTTTGGGAAGCCAAGGTGGGTGGACCGTGAGATCAGGAGATTGAGACCATCCTAGCTAACACGGTGAAACCCATCTCTACTAAAAATACAAAAAATTAGCAGGGCATGGTGGCACGCGCCTATAGTTCCAGCTACTTGGGAGGCTGAGGCAGAAGAATCACTTGAACCCGTGAGGCAGAGGTTGCAGTGAGCCGAGATCGCACCACTGCACTTCAGCCTGGGTGACAGAGTGAGACTCTGTCTGAAAAAAAAAAAAAAAATTACCAAGGTGGAGATCATGAAAATGGCATGAATAGTGTGGGATTTCTCTAAGATTGTTGATATTAATTCCATTAGACTCTTATGTGAGTGAAGACGAAGACTTCCCCTGAGTAAGTTCAGACAGCTTGTGATAACATTTCTACATCAATTCCTCAGGATTTAACTATATATTCTTGAAAACATCTCAATTTTAAGTGTTTCTTTCAAGATGGTGAATTAAACAGAGATAGCCCTTCAACAGGTTGAACTCAGCATATGCTGAGTCTGAAATGGAAATGATGGAGTTAGAGAACCATACAACAATGGTAATGATTTCAGAAACATGGTGTTGAGCAGAACAAAGCAGACACAAAAGAGTACCTATGGCATGGCATGCATCTGTATACGCGAAATTCCAGAATAAGCAAGCTAACCTATGATAAGAAAGAGACTGGCTGGGAAGAGTGAGAGTTCACTTTCTGGGGTGACATAATAGTGTAGATCTTGGCTGGGCACGGTGGTTCACGCCTGTAATCCCAACACTTTGGGAGGCCGAGGCGGGCGGATCACCTGAGGTCGGGAGTTCAAAACCAGCCTGACCAACATGGAGAAACCCTATCTCTACTAAAAATACAAAATTAGCTGGGAGTGGTGGCACATGTCTGTAATCCCAGCCACTCGGGAGGCTGAGGCAGGAGAATCGCTCGAACCTGGGAAGCAGAGGTTGCGGTGAGCTGATATTGCCCCATTGCACTCCAGCCTCAGCAACAAGGGAGAAACTGTCTCAAATAAATAAATAAATAAATAAATAAAATAATGTAGATCTTGAACGGGGGTTGGTTTATGCTGGTGTATGTACTTTCCAAAGTTAGTAAACTTACACTTGAGGTTATATATTTTGGCCAGGCGCGGTGGCTCACGCCTGTAATTCCAGCACTGGGAGGCCGAGGCAGGCGGATCACGAGGTCAAGAGATGGAGACTATCCTGGCGAACATGGTGAAACCCAGTGTCTACTAAAAATACAAAAATTAGCCAGGCGTTGTAATCTGAGCTACTCAGGAGGCTGAGGCAGGACAATTGCTTGAACCCCGGAAGCGGAGGTTGCAGTGAGCCGAGATCTTGCCACTGCACTCCAGCCTGGGCGACAGAGTGAGACTCTGTCTAAAAAACAAACAAACAAAAAAAAGTCATCAAACCAGATGACACAAATCAAATGACATTTCACTTTGTTTTGGTCCGTTTTGTCTGTTGGAGACAAGAGTGCAGCGGGGCCATCTCGGCTCACTGCAACGTCCAGCTCCTGGGCCCAAGCGATCCTCCCACCTCAGCCTCTCCAGTAACTGGGATAACAGGTACGCACCACCAGGCCCGACTAATCTTTTTTGGAATTTTTTGTAGAGATGGGGTTTCGCTATGATGCCCTGGCTAGTCTTCAACTCCTGGACTCAAGTGATCTGCCCACCTCGGCCCCCTAAAGTGCTGGGATTACAGGCCTGAGCTGTGTAATTTCATGCCGCGTGACACAGCCCAGTAAAAAGGAACAAACCCCGCGGGTCCAGCGTCTACTCACACAGGTGGACTGATGGCTGATAAATCCCAGCAGGAGCCAAAAGAGCAGCCACAGCACCCATCTACTCACACAGGTGGACTGATGGCTGATAAATCCCAGCAGGAGCCAAAAGAGGAGCCAAAAGAGTAGCCACCGCACCCGCATGTCCTGGTCCTTTCAGGGCTCCCTGAGGCGGCCAGGACAGAGGTGGAGGTGGCTTAGGGCAGGGGGGAGGGAAGGGGACGGGGACCGGGGCCGGATCTGAGTTGGGGAGGGGGAGGGGAGGGGGAGGGGAAGGGGAGGGGAAGGGGGGAAGTAAGGGAAGGGAAAGGAGGAGAAGGGGGCTGTTGGGGAGGAGGAGGAGGAGAAGAAGAAAGGGGTCTGGGAAAGGATCCGGTTCAAATTAAGTTCTCAAGCGCTGGTGGAAGGTTTAGCTACAGGTCACGGAGAAGATCAGGGAAGCAACAGGACAGGCAGGGCAAGGGAGCGTGAGGCTTAGGAGCAATTAGAGGGAGACAAAGGTTCTGCTTTCCACCAAACCTTCTTCGGTCTGGGCCCTCCCTTAGCAACCCTGGGGCTTTAGACTCTCTCTCCACCAATCCCTGATGACCCCGGTGGTGCCTCACAATGGACATTCCAAGTAGCGCCCGCATCATCCCAATGACCCCTCCCCCATCTCAGTCCCCCACGCTCCTCCCAAGGCCAGGTCCTCTCTGGAACCTTCACAAACCTGACTTCTGGTCCTCCCCAACCAGCTCCCTGTCCCTGCTTCTGGGCGCTCCTTCCTTCCTGAGCTCCCAGGGTTCCTCAAGGTCACTTTTGGCGACAAAACATAAAAAACAAATGATGGCAGGATGGCAGGAAGAACCTCATACCCAAGCAGAGTGCCAGGTTTTACAGCCTCCGCTCAGCCATTCATATCCTAAGCAACAAAACATCAGCAGGATGCGGAAGGTCCCGATAGTAAACCATCTCCATCACATCCATGTAGCCATCCGTCCATCAACCTGTATCTCAGGAACAAATGTACATACATTCATTTTAAGCATGCATGGTACATTTACAAAAATTAACCTGACTTATTTTGTTCCAGCAAATCTCAATATATTTGAGAGCAATCAAATCACACAGCATGTTTCTGATCATAAAACTGTGCTAGAAGTCAATGATTAAAAGCTAATTCAAAATTATTATTTGCTTGGAAATTCAAAGTGCCCTTATAAGACATAAACATAAGAAAGAATCCAAAATGAAACAAGATTGCCTTTCAACTCAATGATGAGATCATAACATGGCAATAAAATGTCTCCCTCTGGCCGGGGAATTCCTCTTTGTGGCACAACGTTGTGTGATCTCAAATCACCCCTAACCCACCTAGACATTTTAACATCCAAAACCGAGTGATGATGTCCTTATCTATATCATCTTACTGCCCGTGTGTGTGGACTTTAAATTCTGAACCCAAATGAGGGGGAGAAAACCAAGCTGACTTTCATGACTGAGCTCTCAGGGACGTCCAAGGAATCTGTGCATTTCAAGAAACAAAGTTCATCAGCTTCTCTCCTAAGGTATTTGCCCACAATAGCCAGAGGGCTTGGCCGCATCATGTGTGATGGGTGGGGAGCTCCAAGCAGGTGGGCAGGACCCAGGGGCCTGGTGACCAGGACAGACCCCCACTGTCCATCACCTTTCCTGGCCCTGTCCTCAGCTAAACTTCCCACAGGCCTTCTGCCCGATCACACAGAGTGTGCCCAAACTCACTCAGGCCTCTGGCAGCTGAAAACCACTGCTTTAAATCCCTTTACCATTTACTATGACATAAGGTTATTGTAAACAGGAAATATTCTATTGATGCTACAAATGGAAAGCCAATGCCTTTACCATAAATAGAAAAACAACCCTAAGAAACAAGCAAAACAGGGGCTGGGGGTGGTGGCTCACGCCTGTAATCCCAGCACTTTGGGAGGCTGAGGCGGGCGGATCACAAGGTCAGGAGTTCCAGACCAGCCTGGCCAATATGGTGAAACCCTGTCTCTAATAAAATACAAAAATTAGCTGGGTGTGGTGGTGGGCGCCTGTAGTCCCACCTACTTGGAAGGCTGAGGCAGGAGAATAGTTTGAACCCGGGAGGCAGAGTCTGCAGTGAGCCGAGATTGCACCACTGCACTCCAGCCTAGGTGACAGAGCGAGACTCTGTCTCAAAAACAGCAACAACTACAAACAAACAAAAAACAGGGTTAACAAAAGTATGGAATTCAATTCTTTTTATATGCTGCAGCCATGTTCCAGCCCTAGATTTGGCTGGGCATGGTGGCTCACGCCTGTAATCCCAGCACTTTGGGAGGCTGAGGCAGGCGGATCACGAGGTTAGGGGTTGACACGAGCCTGGCCAATATGGTGAAACCCCATCTCTGCTAAGAATACAAAAATTAGCTGGGCATGGTGGTGCACACCTGTAGTCCCAGCTACTCAGAGGCTGAGGCAGAGGAATTGCTTGAACCCGGGAGACGGAGGTTGCAGTGAGCCAAGATTGTGCCATTGCACTCCAGCCTGGGGGACAGAGTGAAACTCTGTCTCAAAAAAAAAAAAAAAAAATATATATATATATATATATGTGTGTGTGTGTGTGTCTGTCTGTGTGTGTGTGTGTATCTATATAAATCTCAAAAATAAAAGATCATTTTTGAGATTATCATTTTAAAAGACAAGATAATGTTCAACTTAATGAATAATTTAATTATTACTACTGGACTTTTTGTAGACTGCACAGAGCATTCAAAACAAATGAAGGAGAATAAAAAATATGTATTACATGTTGTAAAATAAATATGATGTGGTTAATTCTTTTATTCAAAATTATAGAACATATATATGTACTGTAGAATGTATTTCTTATTATGAGTCATGTTAAAAAGTAGTTTAGAAGCTGTTGATTTGAATTTCCTTTTCAAATTTTGCAGGATAATTTTTTTTTTTTTTTGACAGAGTCTCGCTCTGTCGCCCAGTCTGGAGTGCAATGGCGTGATCTCGGCCCACTAAAACCTCCACCTCCTGAATCTCAGCAATTCTCCTGTCTCAGCCTCCTGAGTAGCTGGGACTACAGGCTGACACCACCATGCCCGGCTAATTTTTGTATTTTTAATAGGGACGAGGTTTTGCCATATTGGTCAGGCTGGTCTCGAAGTCCTGGCCTCTGGTGATCCACCAGCCTCAGCCTCCCAAAATGCTGGGATTACAGGCATGAGTCACCATGCCCAGCCTAAACTTGGCAAGATAATAAATAACCTTTTAAAGTGTCGTTGGGCACTTGTCTGGTTGTTTTTCTTTAGGTTACCATGCCAGCAATGATTCCTTTTGAGTTTCTGACAGAAGATAGTGGTTTTCATCCAAATAAGTCAACTACTCTACCCCATCCCTAAGCCACTTGTATGGAAAGAAAAAGAGGAAGAAGCCAGTACTGAGACTGCGTAAGCTTCCCCCAGCATCACCCGCTATGAGATGTGTGGCAGCTGAGACCCGGGAACTGCTCAAGGGCACCAGGCCCCATCTGTCTGCACTCACTCACCTTCCTCAGGTACTCGCATGGGCATGTCACTGACTTTACGTGCTGCTGCAGCTCCTTGGTGAGCTGGCCCTGGTCATGGGACAGGAACCGTGGGGTCAGGACAATAGAGAGCTTCACCATTTGCAGAATGAGAACAGGGGCTCATGATGAGTGCCAACCTATTAGACAATTAAAAAAAAAAGTGTTGAATGAGTGGAAAAACAAGGTGATGTTTGAGTCTATAGTGGTCAAGGGCTTCAGAAAAGGACAGAACCAAGTTCAAATTCCTGTACTTTGAATTTCTACTTCATGCCATGCAAAATTACTTTACCCCTTTTAACCTCAGTTTTCTTCTGTGTGAAACAGGAACAATAGTTTCATTCGTCATTCAGTTTCTCTCAAGGTTTCACGAGATCATACCTATAAAACATCCAAGTCATTTAAATGTATCATCATTTCGGTCATAATTAGTGGGATCCATTTCACTATTATTGGATATACAGTTCTGTGCCTGAAACCTACAAAGAAAGAAAATGTTAAGTCTAAAAAGCATTAGTGATTTCTCATTTTTATATTACTAATTATAACCCTATTTAATCACACAAGGCCTTGTCCGCGGCAGGTGCTCAATAAACACTTGTCGAATCAATGCATGTGGGCTCCGGAGCCACACTGTTTAGATTCTATTCTGCCTCCACCACTTATCAGCTGTGTGATCTGGGTAAGATAATTCACCTCTTTATGTCTGCACTTCCCTCTCCATAAACTATATATAACGAGAATCCTTAGCTCATTTGGTTGTGGTGAGGGGTGAATGATTTGGCACACAGGAGGGGCTTGTTAACATTAGCTGTGATGATCTCCTTCCAAATCTTCATTTTCAGAGCCACAGATGAGGCCATAGGGCAACCAGGTGACCTTAGAGTGTAAGTACACATGATCGCCAGCTATGCTCTATCTCCACCATAGGTCCAAGACTGGGTAGTTCTGGCCTGGAGGCTTCTGCTGCATCTGCCTTCTCAGTGTTCACCTAATGACTTTTGTATTTTCCTCCTCACATCCCCACAGATGGGGTTCAGGCTGCCGAACACAGCTGGGTGATGCCAGGGCAGTGGCCACCTGTGCCAGCCCTGTGAGGTAGCTGGAGGATCATTGTTCCTTCCTTCTCGGGCTCTGGGCAGATGCCAGGGCTGGGGTGACCCATGACCTCAAGTTTCTTGCTTTGGAGGGCCACATTTTCCCTTGGCAAAGAGGGTAAAGGTCACAGGATGCCGGAGAGCTGTGACTTCTCTGTGCCCTGGGCCCAAACTATGAAGACCTGACACACTATGCTAAAAGTCCAAGGCTGGATGCTCCCCAGAGCTTCTTGCCTCACCGCTTCTGCTGAGGGAGGAATGAATACTATGTCCTCCCAGAGCTTTGGGAGCTTGTAGCAAGCAGCCTCCCCAGCGCAAAATCTCTTGGAAACCTCTAACTGTGTCGGAAACATTAGTGCAAATGTTGCATCCTATTTCCCATATGTCCGCGTGTTTTAGGAAAAAACCCTCAATTTCCTAAATATGCAAGAAAAATTGGTATTGTAGGACAATGTGACTTTTTAAAAAATGTTATTTAAACATCTTCCCCACCTCCTTTTCTGCCCTCCAAGACTGCCAAATACTTGTTGAACAAATATTATTAAATGCCTACTACGTGCCAGCCATGATTCATGGTCTTGGGGACACAGCAGAGAACGAACTGACAGGATTCCTCCCTTATGTAATTCACATTCTTATATGATAATGATAAGGGTTAACATTAATTAAGCTGTCACTACGTGTTAGTCACGGTGCAGTCATTCCCACACATTATTACACTTAAACCTGCTAGCAAGCTTGCAAGGTAGTTAGTTGTTTTTCCTTTAAAAACTGAGTCTCAGAATGATGAAGCACTTTGTCCAATGTCACACAGCTAGTAAGTGTGGAGACCTTGCATCCAATCAATGCCCGTCTCATTCTAAACACCACATTATGTGTTCTCCAGCCCATGGAGAATAATTTTAACACAGTCAATGAAATTTCTACACAACAATGTTCTTGTCTCAAGTCCAAGAATGCCTCCTACACCTCCCATAATACTGGCTTTCTGGTGAGTAAAGATGCCATTCTCATGTGTAATCAGGTGGCAAATGGAGATATGACCAAAGTAACCATTTGCCTACACTCGTAACCCTGTACACACTCTTCCTGTGTCGATTCAATTCAAGTACCCCTTTTGATCACTTAGCAAATCTGACCTTTAAAAGGGTTAAGGTTTTTATATCCATGTAAGTTTCTGTATTGCTTTGGAAGTCTCTGGTTAAATGAATACCCTTTTTAATAGTGACCTGTGATTCTGTTTTGATCAAGTGTTTACAAACTTGACATCTTTGATGGGTTTCTCCAGTGTCAAAATCCTAAATCAGGTCTTTTTGGCTTAAAATTAACTTTGGGATTTTTCAGCTGCATCCCTTCGGGAGTCTAAAGAATGCATCTCTCATCTTGTAGAGGTATTAAGTGATTCGATTTATTTGGTAGATTATATGGGCGGGCATTGTCAAATGTGGTGATACTGCATGGGAGGGCACTGTCAAGTGAGGTGACATTAGATCTCATCTCAGTTATATTTATGGGTATGTTGTTGATATACGTGTTCCAAAAATTACATACATTTATACAAATTTAATATGTTATGATTTGTAATTTTGATTGTTATGCTAAATATTTGCTAAAGTTTAGCTTTAGCAATATTATGCTAAATATATGCTAAATATTTGCTAAAGTTATATTTGCATAAACATGTTATGAATGGCTGGGCACCATCACTCATGCCTATAATCCCAGCACTTTGGGAGACCAAGGCAGGTGGATCACCTGAGGTCAGGAGTTCAAGACCAGCCTGACCAATAGGGTGAAAATTACACGAAAATACTGTCTCCATGAAAAATACAAAAATTAGCCAGGCTTGGTAGCACAGGCCTGTCATCTCAGCAACTCGGGAGGCTGAGATAGGAGAATTGCTTGAACCCAGGAGGCGGAGGTTGCAGTGAGCCGAGATTGCACCACTGCACTCCAGCCTGGGCGACAGAGCTGGAATCTATCTAAAAAAAAAAAAAAAAGTTATTAATTATTTCTGAAGATGATATGAAATTTATAAAACACTGGTGGTCCTGATGTAATGCTGTCAGTCATGATTCTGATCACTGTCTTAAAATGCTGCACATAAGATAAGTAATTGGCTGGGCACAGTGGCTCACACCTGTAATCCCAGCACTCTGGGAGGCCGAGGCGGGTGGATCACGAGGTCAGGAAATCGAGACCATCCTGGCTAACACGGTGAAACCTCGTCTCTACTAAAAACACACAAAAAAAAAATTAGCCGGGCATGGTGGCGGGTACCTGTAGTCCCAGCTACTTGGGAGGCTGAGAGGCTGAGGCAGGAGAATGGCATGACCCTAGGAGGTGGAGCATGCAGTGAGCGGAGATCACGTCACTGCACTCCAGCCTGGGTGACACAGTGAGACTCCGTCTCAAAAAAAAAAAAAAAAAAAGTAATTAAATTTCCTTGTGAACTGGGAAGTTTCATCAGACTTTTATCATAACTATTGTTTTCATCATCCACAGTTAGTTTTGAATTCTTCTCTAAAAATATTTGTAATTGGCAGTAGTCCAAATTTTCTTTTGTTTTCTTTCCTGTTTTTGAGACACAGTCTGGCTCTGTCGCCTAAGCTGGAGTACAGTGGTGCCATCTTGGCTCTCTGCAACCTCTGCCTCCTGGGTTCAAGCGATTCTCCTGCCTCAGCCTCCCAAGTAGCTGGGACTACAGTCGCCCGCCACCACGCCCAGCTAACTGGTGGTGGTACAGACGGGGTTTTACCATATTGGCCCGGCTGGTCTTCAACTCCTGACCTCGTGATCCGCCCGCCTCAGCCTCCCAAAGCGCTGGGATTACAGCCGTGGAGCCACCGCGCCCGGCCCCCAAATTTGCTTTGCATGGAGAAAACTCTAACAAATCCTCTTGAACATGGTTTTCTGATAACCCAGATCAATGAACTACCCAGGCTTCACCACTATAGGCATGTGAGAAACTCGCACTTATACCCCCTCAATACATTAAAACTAAATATTTTTTTAAAAATCAATGGGCCAGGCGCAGTGGCTCACGCCTGTAATCTCAGCACTTTGGGAGGCCAAGGCAGGCGGATCACTTGCGGTTAGGAGTTCCAGACCAGCCTGGCCAGCCCATCTTACTAAAAATACAAAAATTAGCCAGGCATGGTGGTGCATGTCTGTAATCCCAGCTACTCGGGAGGCTGAGGCATGAGAATCGCTTGAACCTGGGAGGCAGAGGTTGCAGTGAACCAAAATTGTGCCACTGCACTCCAGCCTGGGCGACAGACTGAGACTCTGTCTCAGAAATAAAAAAAATAAAAACCAATGAACTAAAAACCAATTTCTAGTGGCTTCTAATAAGGAAACAATGGTTCAAAAAACTGCTAAGCAAGATCAAGCAAAACAAAAAAATCTATTAAGATAATGTTTTTATAATTCGTATTTAAAACATTGTTGTTTGTTGATTCTTGATTCATTCTTTTTTTTTTTTTTTGAGACGGAGTCTCACTCTGTCACCCAGGCTGGAGTGCAGTGGCGGGATTTCTGCTCAGTGCAACCTCCGCCTCCTGAGTTCAAGCCATTCTCCTGCCTCAGCCCCCCGAGTAGCTGGGATTACCGGCGCCCGCCACCACGCCCAGCTAGTTTTTGTATTTGTAGTGGAGACCGGGTTTCACCATGTTGGCCAGGCTGGTCTCCAACTGCTGATTTCAGGTGATCACCCCCCCGCCTGGGCCTCCCAAAGTGCTGGGATTGCAGGCGTGAGCCGCCGCGCCGGGCCCTTGTTTTGTTTTCTAGATTGAAGAAAATTTTTTCTCAGAAGTTATCTAGAATTTACACCGATTTGGTAAAGCACACTTTTGTGAACAAAGGTGGGTGGAAGCGTTTGTTTTTCCTTCCTACTTGATCCTTCCAAAGTTTGGAAACTATTCATAAATATTCTTACTTTGATGTACACATGTTCTCCTTATAAGCAGGCTGTAATCAGAATGATTGGTTATATTATCAAGGCTTTGACTGAAACATCCTATTTAAGAATACGCAGAAAATGCCTGGCTTCGAGTTTGCAGCCTTACGTTCCAGTCAGGGGGAAACTGTCACTCCCTGCAGGCCTGAGAACCTGAGAGCTTTTCCGGGAGCAACTTGGCAGGGAGGGTCCCGGCAGCTGCTCCGTGGGCAGGAACCATGGGGCGCAGCCCCGGGCGACCCTCGGGCCGGCGGGGACCTTCCGCTTCCTGGCGTCTTTCTCCATCGCCCCGCCGGCTGCTGGGGAAGCGGCGGGTGCCCAGTGCCTGGAGGTCGCTCTCTCCCCACCTCTGGCTGCGGGAACGGAGAGGCCGCGGCGGCCGGAGCAGGGTGGGCGGCCTGAGGCGAGAGCCCAGCCGGCCTCCGCGGGGAATATGGCGACCTGCGGCGAGCTGAGCGTCAACTGCTGCGCCGCCGACTTCTCGGAGCAGCGAAGGCGACTCGAGAGAAGACGCCGCCAAGTGGAACCCGGGCCCCGCGGCCCTGGGATGGGGCAGCAGCCACTGCAGCCAGGAAGCCCTGGGCGGGGCGCTGGGCGCCAACGAGCGTCACGGCAACCTCCATGCGGCGCCCTCACCAGCCTACAGGCGGCACCGCAGCAGCCTCCAGGCAGCGCCCACACCAGCCTACAGGGGTCGCCGCTCGCACTGCACCTGCCTCCGCCGCCCCGGGGTGTGAACTGCGCTGTCTGTCGGCCTGGCTACGCTGACCCGGGCAGCCCAGGCCCGCAGCAGCCGGACGAGGAGCCCAGGGCCACTGCCCGGGGTTACGAGAAGGAGCAGGACGGTGCCCCAGAAAAATGCAAGAGCTCAGAGCTAGGGCCCCCGTGCCAGGAAAGGCTAGGAGCAGAAGATGGAGAGATGGAGATGGAGAAGCGGCAGGTGGGAAGGAGCGGCGCTCCACCGGTGGGGTCAGCATGCGCTGGCGGGGCTTAGAGTATGAAGAGGAAGAAGCTGGGCAGAAAGAGCGGAAACGAGAAGGTGCAATGACACAACAGAGCACAATGCAGAATCCAGCCCTAGGACTCCAATAAAGGCTGGGTTTAATTGCAACTCACACACCCCACCCCTAATCAGAGAGGATCAGGGGAGAGAGAGGACCCAAGGAACACTGGAACCTGAAGGGCGGGAATCTGAGGCCAAGACTGATTGTTGGAAATTGTGGGCATCAGGAAAGGAGAAAGTGAGTCAGAATGGGTGGACCGAGGGTGGTGTTGGGGCGGGGGGGGCAGTGAACTGGGTTAGGAAGGATTAGAAATCAGAACCTTAGGAAGGATCCAGAAAGGAACTGTCCTTAAAAAGGTGCATGCTGCGGCTGGGTACTGTGGCTCACGCCTGTAATCCCAGCACTTTGGGAGGCTGAGGCGGGCAGATCACGAGGTCAGGAGATGGAGATCATCCTGGCTAACACAGTGAAACCCCGTCTGTACTAAAAATACAAAAAATTAGCCAGGCGCGGTGGCAGGTGCCTGTAGTCCCAGCTACTTGGGAGGCTGAGGCAGGAGAATGGCGTGAACCCGGGAGGTGGAGCTTGCAGTGAGCTGAGATCACACCACTGCGCTCCAGCCTGGGTGACAGAGCGAGACTCCATCTCCGAAAAAACAAAAACAAAAATTAGCCGGGCATGGTGGCACATGCCTGCAGTCCCAGCTACTCGCGAGGCTGAGGCAAGAGAATCGCTTGAACCAGGGGGAAGGAGGTTGCAGTGAGCCGAGACTGCGCTACTGCACTTCAGCCTGGGAGACAGAGTGAGACTCCTCAGAAAAACTGCTTTCTTCCAACTTACAAAAGCCGGAAGAAGAAAATGTCATTTATTTTCATGGTAGGAGATTTATGCCAAGATTGTACACCAGGTGGAGACCTGTACCAGCTCCCTCTGCTCCCATCTCCCAGAGTTCTAGGAATTTACTCTTGCACACTGGCTCTTTCATGTCTCTTCGACTTTGCCTACGGAGGTCTCTCTGCCTAGCATGCCTTCTCTCCATGTCTCACCATTATCCTCCGGCTTTATTTATTTATTTATTTATTTATTTATTTATTTATTTTTATTGTTTGAGAAAGTGTCTGACTTTACCTTCCAGGCTGGAGTGCAGTGGCGTGGTCACTGTTGACTGCAGCCTCAAATTCCTGGGCTCAAGAAATCCTCCCGTCTCAGCCTCCCAAGTAGGTATGCATCGCCACACCCAACTAGTTTTTTAATTTGTGTGTGTGTGTTTGGTAGAGATGGTAGAGATGTTGCCCAGGCTGGTCTCAAACTCCTGGGCCCCACTGATCCTCCCACCTAAGCCTCCCAAAGTGCAGAGATTACAGGTATGAGCCACCACACACACCCAGCCTCTCCATCTGTTTTATTTATTTATTTATTTATTTATTTTTGAGACAGAGTCTCCCCCTATGCCCCACACTGGTGTGCAGTGGCGCAATCTTGGGTTCACCGCAACATTTGACTCCCGGGTTCAAGTGATTCTCCTGCCTCAGCTTCCAGGGTAGCTGGGATTACAGGCGTGCACCATCATGCCCAGCTAATTTTTCTGTTTTTAGTAGAGACGGGGTTTTGCCATGTTGGCCAGGCTGGTCTCAAACTCCTGACCTCAAGGGATGCACCTGCCTCAGCCTCCCAAAGTGCTGAGATTACAGGCCTGAGCCACCATGCCCTGCTACTGCACCCAGCTACTCAAGGCACATATGGAGCCAACATACTTGACCATCTGCAGGGGTCCACCCAGGGTAGGGGAGCTATGAGCACTGGCGTCGGAGGGAGCCCAGCTTATTGGCCCAACCCCGAGATAGACCCATTTCCCAGTGGGCATAGCACTCCAAGGCTTGTCACTCACAGCCTCTGCAACTCCAAGTCTTGGTATGCCTGAAACCCATACTCCACATGAGCACACCTTCACTGAGCACCTAGTGTGGGACAGATAGGCCAGGGCTGAGCACACAAGAGGAAGGAGACGCAGACTTTGCCTTGAGGAGATCACGTTCAGGCAGGGACAGAATTACTCCAGAGTGTCGCAGGCAAAGGGACCAAAGCCTCGGATTTTCTTTTCTTTTTTTTTTTTTTAATTTTTTTGAGATGGAGTTTCACTCTTGTTTCCCAGGCTGGAGTGCAATGGCATGATCTCGGCTCACTGAAACCTCTGCCTCCTGGGTTCAAGCGATTCTCCTGCCTCAGCCTCCTGTGTAGCTGGGATTACAGGCACCCACCACCACACCCAGCTAATTTTTTGCATTTTTACTAGAGACAGGGTTTCACCATACTGGCCAGGCTGGTCTCAAATTCCTGACCTCAGGTGATCCACCTACCTAGGCCTCCTAAAGTGCTGGGATCTCAGGTGTGAGCCACCGTGCCCAGCCGTCTCCAATAGAAGGAGGCAGAGAGAGGTTTGGCACCCAACAGAAATGAGTTTAAATCTTGGTTCCCCTGGTTCTTGGCTCAAGCTTCTCTGGTGCCCAGTGCCTTCCTATGAAAGGGAATGAGAGGGGTCTGGGGTTGTGACAAAATCATGTTTCTAGTGCTGGGCAAGGTGATATGCACCTGTAATATCAGCAACTCAGGAGCCTGAGGAGGGAGGATTGCTTGAGGTCAGAAATTCAAGCCCAGGCCGGGTGTAGTGGCACACAACTGTAATCCTAGCACTTTGGGAGGCCGAGGTGGGCAGATCACCTAAGGTCAGGAGTTTGAGACCAGCCTGGCCAACGTGGTGAAATCGCAGCTCTACTAAACATACAAAAAGTAGCTGGGCATAGTGGCGGGCAGCTGTAGTCCCAGCTACTCCCAACCTGGGAGGCAGAGGTTGCAGTGAGCCAAGATCGTGCCACTGCACTGCAGCCTGGGCGACAAGAGCAAAACTCCATCTCAAAAAATAAAAAAATAATAATAAATAAAATAAATGAATAAATAAATAAAATAAAAATAAAAATAAATTCAAGCTTAGCCTGGGCAACAGGCTCAACCCCATCTCAAAAAAAAAAAAAAAAAAAAAAAAAGGCCAGGCATGGTGGCTCACACCTGTAATCTCAGCACTTTGGGAGGCCAAGGCAGGTGGATCACCTGAGGTCAGGAGTTCAAGACGAGCCTGGCCAACATGTTAAAATCCTATCTCTACTAAAAATACAAAAACTAGCTGGGCGTGGTAGCACATGCCTATAGTCCTAGCTACTTGGGAGGCTGAGGCAGGAGAATCACTGGAACCTGGAGGCAGAGGTTGCAATGAGCTGAGATCACACCACTGCACTCCAGGCTGGACATCAGAGTGAGACTCTATCTCCAAAAAAAAAAAAAAAAAAAGTAGTCAGGAAGAGACATCAACAAAAATTGGTGATGAATGGGGTAGCAGTGGCACTGGGGACCAAAAGGGAACAGATATTTTGCACTACAATTGTCATCTCGTTTCTTTTCTTTTTTTTTTGAGATGGAGTCTCCCTCTGTTGCCAGGCTGGAATACAGTGGTGCGAACTCGGCTCACTGCAACCTCCGCCTCCCGGGTTCAAGCAATTCTCCTGCCTCAGCCTCCCGAATAGCTGAGACTACAGGCACATGCCACCATGCCCAGCTAATTTTTTTATTTTTAGTAGAGACAGGGTTTCACCATTTTGATTAGGATTGTTTTGATCTCTTGACCTTCTGATCTGTCCACTTCGTCCTCCCAAAGTGCTGGGATTACAGGTGTGAGCCATCACGCCTGGCCAATTGTCATCTCTTTTCACTTTTGAGCACATATGGGTATGCTGTAAAGGAAATTTTAAAATCTCAGGATCCCAGCCCCCCATCTTCTTATGCAAAAGAGAAAGTCATTGTGACACCCTTTTCCAAATGAATAGCTGTTCCTAAGATCATGTAACAGCCAGATAGATGTCCATTCAGCAAGAAAAGGCCTCAGGCATCTGGGAAGGGCTGCGCCCCGTAGATCATTCATAAATAAATTATTTGCTGGCCTCCTATAATCAAGTACATGCCAATGTTAACTTTAGGTCTACAATCTTTTTTTTTTCTTTGAGATGGAGTCTCCCTCTGTCACCGAGGCTGGAGTGTACTTGTGCAGTCTGGGCTCACTGCAACCTCTGCCTCTCAGGCTCAAGCAATTCTCTTGCCTCAGCCACCCGAGTAGCTGGGATTATGGGCGTGTGCCTCCGCACTGGGCTAATTTTTGTATTTTTAGTACAGATGGGGTTTTGTCATGTTGGCCAGGCTGTTTTCAAACTCCTGACCTCAGGTGATCCACCCGCCTTGGCCTCCCGAAGTGCTGGAATTACAGGTGTGAGCCACTGCACCCAGCTGAGTAAATTTCTTGATTGCACAGAATGTATGGTGATATTGGTGGACTTAAGGACATTGAATTGTTTATCAGGAATAAAGTATTATGTGTGTTTTCTGGGGTCCTGGATAATGCTGTAGCATTCAGGGTAGATTGAGTAAAAAAAATGTAGAGATGGTTTCCTAGTTACTTGTTTTTGCTTCTAATTTTCATTCATTTGCTATTTATTCTCTTCTGGCTTTGCTTGTGTATGCATATATATATAACCATTATTATTATTATTATTTTTAGTTTCTAGTGGAAGGCTTTTATTTGGTTCTGTGAATAGTCATTTTGTTTCCTATGTATTTCTAGCAAGTTGTATTCATTCCATTGATCTAGAATTCCTAGGCTGCCTTCGTTGGGCCTGCAGGAATTAATGGAGCATAGCAGCTTTTTATTTTTTATATTTATTTTTTGAGACAGAGTCTCACACTGTCGCCCAGGCTGGAGTGCAATGGTACGATATCAGCTCACTGCAACCTCCACCTCAGAGGTTCAAGTGATTCTCCTGCCTCAGCCTCTGGAATAGCTGTGACTACAGGCACCCACTACCACACCTGGCTAACTTTTTGTATTTTTAGTGGAGATGGGGTTTCATCATGTTGGCCAAGCTGGTCTCAAACTCCTGACCTCAGGTGATCCATCTGCCTCGGCCTCCCAAAGTGCTGGGAGTACAGGCTTGAGCCACACCGTCCAGCGAGTATACTTTCATAAATAGAATTTGAGTCATATTTCTGTCTCTGCCTAATTTCTCCAAAATTTGTAAACTATTTGTGAATATTCTTAATTCATGACAATGTGTTTGTTGGCATACAGTCCAACAGGGTCACCAGGGCCGATCAGGGAGAGAGAGCCTAGAAACTTGACATGTTGGCACTACTGTAACTGCTCAAGGGGTTCACCTTGCCCACTGCCTAGACAGAGCCGATTCATGAAGACAGGGGAATTGTAATTGACCAACATGGTATAATCCTGTCTCTACTAAAAAAATACAAAATTAGCTGGGAATGGTGGTGGGCATCTCTAATCCCAGCTACTTGGGAGCCTGAGGCAGGAGAACCGGTTGAACTCGGGAGGCGGAGATTGCAGTGAGCCATGATCGTGCCATTGCACTTCAGCCTGGGTGACAGAAAGAAAGAAAGAAAGAAAGAAGGAAGGGAGGAAGGGAGGAAGGAAGGGAAGAAAGAGAGAGAGAAAGAAAGAAAGCTGCTAACCCAAGCAGAACAAAAAATTAATTGAATACCAAAAAAACACTTTGCTAAATTTTCATGTTAAAACAGCCGATACCAAAATTGTTTAGATAAACAGTTTGGTTTTTGTTGTTGTTGTTTGTTTTTGTTTTTTGCTTTTTGCTTTTTTGAGACGGAGTCTCAATCTGTCACCCAGGCTGGAGTGCAATGGCGTGATTTTGGCTCACTGCAACCTCTGCCTCCCAGGTTCAAGTGATTCTCGTACCTCAGCCTTCTGAGTAGCTGGGATTACAGGTGCCCACCACTATGCCTGGCTAATTTTTTTGAATTTTTAGTAGAGACGGGGTTTCACCATGTTGGTCAGGCTGGTCTTGAACTCCCAACCTCAGGTGATCCACCCGCCTTGGCATCCCAAAGTGCTGGGATTACAGGCATGAGCCACCACCCCTTTTTTGTTGTTTTTGAAACAGGGTCTCACTCTGTCGCCCAGGCTGGAGTGCAGTGGAGCAATCTCCCCTCACTGAAACCTCCTTCTCCTGGGTTCAAGGGATTCTCCCATCTCCTCCCAAGTAGCTGGGATTACAGGCTTCTGCCACCATGCCCAGCTAATTTTTTGTGGGCTCGCCCAGCCTAGGTATACAATTTGAATGAACTCCAAGGTCTAAGTCAAATTACCTATGATAACCCATTAGGTATCAGTGCTATGCACGTAAACTGGAGAAACAACTGATATTCAGAGCACGCAAGTCCGATGTTAACCATGGACTCATGGAGAATCAAGATGGTCACCTTGTCCTTCCTGACTCCTTAAAGTGTTTGTTATTAAAGGTTCTGCAGTTGGGCGTGGTAGCTCACACCTGTAATCCCAGCACTTTGGGAGGCCGAGGTGGGCAAATCACCTGAGGTCGGGAGTTCAATATCAGCCTCACCAACATGGAGAAACCCCATCTCTACTAAAAATACAAAAAATTATCCGGGCGTGGTGGCTCATGCCTGTAATCCCAGCTACTCAGGAGGCTGAGGCAGAAGAGTCGCTTGAACCCAGGAGGCGGAGGTTGCGGTGAGCCGAGATAGCGCCATTGCACTCCAACCTGGGCAACAAGAATGAAACTCTGTCTAAAAATGAAAAATAAAAGACTCTGCATTCCATGACTCATCATGGAAAAGATAAAATGATCTAAATTAAATATGTATTGGTGTGCTGAATTATAAATTGCTAAAATAGTTCATAACCAATGTTTCGTTTGTCAAATTCATGTTCCTGGGAAGACAATCAAAGCTTCAGGTGCATTTGGCTACCTCATGGGCCATTTGAACATTTCAGTTGTCAATTATCATTTTCAATGCATGTTTTCTGGTTGCTTTCCCATGCAAGAGGGCTGATATTACAACAGTAGATCATTATGGTACAGTGTATTTTCACCAGGTACTGAAAGCTTTTTATGGCTCACTGACTGGGGACAATCAATTCCTTCACAATCTAGAACCAAAGATTGGATCTTCTGAGAACATCAGAGAAAGAATGTCCTTGCCATCCACAATACAGCAAAACTTCAGGACCTTGAACTTTGGGTTCATAATCTCACAAGAGGGAAGTTTTTCGCCAGAAAAAGATGGCATCCTTGATGTGAACAGCTTTTCCCAAGATCACAGATCAAGACTTCTAGTTTTTTTTTTTGAGACAGAGTCATTTTTTTTTTTTTTTTTGAGACATAGTCTCGGTCTTGTTGCTCAGGTTGGAGTGGAATAGCGCGATCTTGGCTCACTGCAACCTCCGCCTCCTGGGTTCAAGTAATTCTCCTGACTCAGCCTCCAGAGTAGCTGGGATTACAGGCGCCCACCACCATGCCCGGCTAATTTTTTTGTATTTTTAGTGGAGACAGGGTTTCACCATGTTGGCCAGGCTGGTCTCGAACTCCTGACCTCAGGTGATCCGCCTACCTCGGCCTCCCAAAGCGCTGGGATTACAGGCATCAGTCACCGTGCCCGGCCTTGTGATAGTGTCTTACTCTGGCACCCAGGCTGGAGTGCAGTGGTGCAATCTTGGTTCACTGCAACCTTCGCCTCCCAGATTCAAGCGATTCTTGTACATCAGCCTCCCGAGCCGCTGAGACTACAGGCACGTGCCACCATGCCTGGTTAATTTTGTGTGTGTGTGTGTGTGTATGTTTGTGTGTGATGGAGTTTTGCTCTTGTTGCCCAGGCTGGAGTGCAGTGGTGCGATCTTCGCTCACTGCAACGTCTGCCTCCCGGGTTCAAGCGATTCTCCTGCCTCGGGCTCCTGAGTAGTTGGGATTATAGGCGCTCAACACCATACCCGGGGAATTTTTTGTATTTTTAGTAGAGACGGGGTTTCATCATGTTGGCCAGGTTGGTCTCCAACTCCTGACCTCAGGTGATCCACCCGCCTCGGTGTCCCAAAGTGCTGGGATTACAGGCGTGAGCCCTGTGCCCAGCCTCAGTGTCTCTCTCTCTCTCGACTAGAGAGACTGACCAGGGACAATCAACTCTCTCCAGACTGACAGAGAGAGAGACAGAGAGAGCGAGAAAGAGACAGAGTCTGGCTCTCACCCAGGCTGGAGTGCAGTGGTGTGATCTTGGCTCACTGCAACCTCTGCCTTCCGTGTTCAAGCGATTCCTGTGCCTCAGCCTCCCAAGTAGCTGGGATTATAGGTCCACACCACCACGCCCGGCTAATTTTTGTGTTTTTAGTAGAGACAGCCTCACCATGTTGGCCAGGCTGGTTTTGAACTCCTGACCTCAGGTGATCCGCCAGCCTCGGCCTTCCAAAGTGCTGGGATTACAGGCGTGAGTCACCGCGCCCGGCCAAATAAAATAAAATGTTAAAGCAAATTCAGGACTACCCCTCCTCCAAGTCTTCTGTTCCCTTTGGGCGCCCAGGTGAGCGGGGGAGGGGCTGGGGGAGTAATAACATCAAAAGAGCGCCTTTTCCTCCCTTATTCCGAGGAGACTTCCCTGGGCCTGACTCCCGGTCCTGTCCCCAGCGCCCCGCGGCCTCTGGAGCCCCTTCAGTGACCAAGATACAGAGATCAGGACGCCTTTGCGCCGCCCCAGGTGCCCGCCCCTAGCTGGCTCTGCTTGGGCCGCGAGGGAAGGTGAGGTCGGGGGCGGAGCCGGGGCGTGACAGCCGGGGTGTGTGTCCGCCGGGCTTGGTGCCTCCGGTGGCCCTGCAGCACCGTCCCACCTCTGCCACCCTCCGATGGGGCCGCTACCTGTGTGCCTGCCAATCATGCTGCTCCTGCTACTGCCGTCGCTGCTGCTGCTGCTGCTTCTACCTGGCCCCGGGTCCGGCGAGGGTGAGTGAGGAAGGGGCTTTCCCGGAACTCAGGCGTTCCGGTATTCCTCCAGCCCTTCCTAGGGACCCAGCAGCCCTGCCTCCCATCCCTCTCCAAGTTCCTAGTTGCCCTAGAGCCCCCAGCTCGCTCTTCTAATGCTCACCCACACGATGCGCCCCAGCCTTCTGCAGGGCCCCCCACTCACTCCTCCCAGGGACCCAGAACTAGCCCAGTCCTTCCCCAGGGGCGCAGAGTCCTCTCCTGGCTCCCTCCCCTAACCGGCTGTGACCCTCTCCGGCAGCCCGGAAGCCTCCCGGTTGTCCTGATCTGGGGTCCGCGAACTTACCCTTCATTCCACCTGTCCCTGAGATGTGAGACACCAGAGGGTGGGAGGAGCAGGGGCAGAAAGGGCCGGCTTGGGGGTGGGAGAAGAATATATTGTGCCCCTGTACAACAAACCCCGGTGACCAAAAACAAAACAAAACAAAACAAACAAACAAAAAAACAAAAAATAGAACATACTGTCCCTATCTCACTATCCATCCTTTGGGGTCACTGTAGAGAGGTCCCGTGGGTGACTGCCCATTTCTGGGGTGCACAGATACATGTACCCGCAGAGTACTATGCAGACACCGCCAGCACACAGATGCGCAGGCACAGGACCAGCCCCAGACTCACCTGGCCCTCAGGTGTGCGGCTCCCACAGGGAAAAATACTGACATACCGCTAGGGGGACACACGCACACACAGCTCAAGGATACCCGAGACAGCACTCAGGACAATTCAGATGCACCGTGTACACACACACACACACACACACACACACACACACACACACACACACAGAGCAGCACAGACACACATATGTGCGCATAGACCCTGGGGTCACAGGATGGACAGACAGCCCTGGCCCTCCCCCGAGGAGGCTGCAGCGGGCAGACAGGGCAAACAGACCCCAGCGTGACCTGCCACACCTATGTTGGCACAGAGGGAGTGTTTTGCTTGGTTATAAGCACAGTGCTCATGCCTGCCCCACGCCTAGAACCCTCCCTCTATAAGGCTGTTGCTAGGGCTCTGAGATACCAGAGAGTGGTCAGGGACGGTGGCAGGGGAACCTTTGGGGACAGCTTCAGGGTACGGTGTTGGGACTGGGACATTGTCAGGGTGCTCAGACAGGGCGTGTTCCCTGGGTCTTGGTGCATTTAGAGGTCAAGGGACCATTTCTGGAAGCTCACTGTGTGCCAGGGCAGCTTATATCAGAGCTCAGCTCTTTTTTTTTTTTTTTTTTGAGACAGAGTCTCACTGTTGCCCAGGCTGGAGTGCAGTGGTACGAGCTCGGCTCACTGCAACCTCCACCTCCCGGGTTCAAGCGATTCTCCTGCCTCAGCCTCCCAAGTAGCTGGGATTACAGGCGTGCACCACCATGCCCAGCTAATTATGTATTTTTCGTAGAAACAGCTTTCTCCATGTTGGTCAGGCTGGTCTGGAACTGCTCACTTCAGGTGATCTGCCCGCCTCGGACTCCCAAAGTGCTGGGATTACAGGCGTGAGCCACCGCGCCCGGCCCCAAATGCGTTTTACATTTTCTTCCTCTTTGATTCATCTTTGTCCTCCAACATAAATATGCTACTTTTTCCACTGATAAAAAGACAAAATGGAATTTCAATCTGGCCTGGACTTCTCAAAAAAGTCAGTGTGATGAAAACTGTTCTAGATAAAACAGAAATGAGACTGGGCATGGTGGCTCATGCCTGGAATCCCAGCGCCTTCGGAGGCCAAGGCAGGAGAATCACTTGAGGCCAGGAGTTTGTGAACAGCCTGGGCAACATAGTGAGACCCCATATCTACTAAAAATTTAAAAATTAGCTGGGCATGGTGGTGCATGCCCGTATGTCTGGAGACTGAGGCAGGAGGATTGCTTGAGCCCAGGATTTGGAGGCTGCAGTGAACTGATTGTGCCACTGCACTCCAGTGTGGGTGACAAAGTGAGACACTGTCTCTAAAAAAAAAAAAAAGAGAGACAAGATGATCAGGATGAGCGCAGTGGCTCATGCCTATAATCCCAGCACTTTGGGAGGCCAAACCAGGTGGATCATATGAGGTCAGGAGTTCGAGACCAGCCTGGCCAAGATGGTGAAACCCCTTTCTACTAAAAATACAAAAATTAGCTGGGTGTGGTGTCGCACGCCTGTGATCCCAGCTACTCGGGAGGCTAAGGCAGGAGAATTGCTTGAACCTGGGAGGCAGAGGTTGCTGTGAGCAAGATTAAACCACTGTGCTCCAGCCTGGGCAACAAGAATGAGACTGTGTCTCAAAAAAAAAAAAAAAAGATGATCAAACACAATGCGTCAACCTCCCAGAGCTGTATAAACCCTAACCCTAACCCAGGAAGCAGGCAAGCCTGTGTGTGAGTTTCCACTCTATTGCTGGTACTACTCGGCTCTGGCAACCCCGAAGGCCACCTTCCCCTGTTGTCACTGTGTAAGGAGGAAGGAGCACTGGTTTGCAAGTCAGAAGCCTGGGTTGAAGCCTCTGCTCGGGTTCCTGCTGGCTGTGGGAATGTGGGGTTACCTTTCCCGGCTGGCCTCGTTTCCTACATGTCCAATGCAGGGGTTCCAGTCACATGCATTGGGCACCATTACATGTCCAAGCTGTGCCAGGATCTAGAAAAATGGCTGGGCTCAGGCCAAGGGGCCTTCCTGTCTGGCAGTGAAAATAAGAGGAGATACCAAGGGCCCTGAGTCTGAGTCTGGAGGGGAAGTCATGAGCACAGGGCAGTGCCAGGGCCCGGGAGCTGCCACAGAGGAGCCCACCTTGGTGACAGACACCTGTAGGCGCGTCCGTGATGCCCAGTTCCCAACACAGGGAACTGGACAAACGTTTCATGCACGACTCTTTTTTCCCTTCTTGGCTACCTTGAGGACCT
Organism: Homo sapiens; assembly: GCF_000001405.40. Lineage (NCBI taxonomy): Eukaryota > Metazoa > Chordata > Mammalia > Primates > Hominidae > Homo > Homo sapiens. The sequence continues at coordinate 14,730,345 of NC_000016.10, read as the reverse complement.
TGATTATAATAGTTAGCCTTTTTTTTTTCTTTTTTTGAGACTCTTGCTCTGTCACCCAGGTTGGAATGCAGTGGCAAAATCTTGGCTCACTGCAACCTTCATCTCTCAGGTTCAAGTGACTCTCCTTCCTCAGCCTCCCTAGTAGCTGGGATTACAGGCATGAACCACTATGCTCGGCTAATTTTTGTATTTTTACTACAGATGGGGTTTCACCATGTTGGCCAGGCTGATCTTGAACTGCTGACCTCAGGTGATCTGCCCGCCTGGGCCTCCCAAAATGTTGGGATTACAGGTGTGAGCCACTGAGCCCAGCCGGATTATAATAGCCTTTTCATGCACCAGGGGCTTTATACTCATTATCTCATTTCATTCATATGAGTTGAAGTCAGTTTATCCCCCATTTCACAGATGAGGAAACCAAGGCCCAGAGAGGTTAAGAATTTGTCCAAGGTCACACAGCCAGGAAGTAGGATTCAAACCCAGACAGCCAGGCTGTAACACCTGGGCTCTTCTCAGGCTCATGCCCTTCCCAGGGGTCTGGGAAGCCCTGACCTGCAGCCTGTCACCTTTGTTTACCCCCCAGCCTCCAGGATATTACGTGTGCACCGGCGTGGGATCCTGGAACTGGCAGGAACTGTGGGTTGTGTTGGTCCCCGAACCCCCATCGCCTATATGAAATATGGTTGCTTTTGTGGCTTGGGAGGCCATGGCCAGCCCCGCGATGCCATTGACTGGTGAGTGCATGCCTGGGACCAGGCCACAAAATCCCTCACACTCTGGGGTAGTCAAGGCTTATGAGGAAGTACCCAAAACTGAAGCTGGGGTTTGGTCCAGGGAGATCCCAGTGTGCAGTACTACTTTGCAGGCAGGCAGAGGCCTCTTGGATAACATGGCCAGTGAAGCCAGATCTTGGTACCAGCTGCCCCTTACCCTGGCCTTGAGCTGATGACGTTGCCTTAAAAACTTGGCTAGGAGCTGTGGCTCACTCCTGTAATCCCAGCACTTTGGAAGGCCGAGGTGGGCAGATCACTTGAGGTCAGGAGTTCAAGACCAGCCTGGCCAATATGGTGAAACCCCATCTGTACTAAAAATGCAAAAATTAGCTGTGTGTGGTGGCAGGCGTCTGTAATCCCAGCTACTCAGGAGACCGAGGCAGGAGAATTGCTTCAACCCAGGAGGTGGAGTTTGCAGTGAGTTGAGATTGCACCACTGCATTCCAACCTGGGTGACAGTGCGAGACCCTGTCTCAAAAGAAAAAAATAATAAAAATATAAAGTGACCAGGTGTGGTGATTCACACCTGTAATCCCACCACTTTGGGTCGAAGCAGTAATATCACTGGAGACCAGGAGTTTGAAACCAGCCTAGGCAACATAGTGAGACCCTGTCTCTATATTAAACACACACACACACACACACACACACACACACACACACACACACACACACACACAAAGGAAGCCAGACTATGCACTAGGAACTGCCCTGGGAATCCCTTTGCGTTCTCACAACAATCCCATTTCACAGATGAAGAAACCAAGGCACAGAAATATTCAGTAACGTGTCCAGGTGCGGTGGCTCACGCCTGTAATCCCAGTATTTTGGGAGGCCAAGGCAGGTGGATCACGAGGTCAGGAGTTCCAGACCAGCCTGGCCAACACGGCGAAACCCTGTCTCTACTAAAACTACAAAATTAGCCAGGCATGGTGGCGCATGCCTGTAATCCCAGCTACTCGGGAGGCTGAGGCAGGAGAATCACCTGAACCCAGGAGGTGGAGGTTGCAGTGAGCCAAGATCGTGCCATTGCACTCCAGCCTGAGTGGGATTACAGGCATGAGCCACTGAGCCTGGCCTGGTGAGCTAATTTTTAAATTTGTTATAGAGACAAGAGAGACAAGAGTTTTCTTATGTTGCCCAGGCTGGTCTCGACCCCCTGATCTCAAGTGATCCTCCCACCTTAGCCTCCCAAAGTGCTGGGATTACAGATGGGTGTCACCGCACCTGGCCTCTAAGGAGGGTTTCATTATAAACCTACCCTGAAGGGAGGGAATCCGATTTTATGAGAGGGTGTAGCCTGGTGAGGCCTGGATGACCTCCAGAGGCAGGGGCTTGTGCCTGGGCTGAGGCCTAAGGGTCAATGGGCAGACATGAAGTTGCCCCAGGCAGAGGGTACAGTGTGGGCAAAGTCAGGAAGTGGCAGGGCTTGGATCACTCCAGGAAGAGAGAGGAGTCATGTGTCACAGGAGCTCGAGACCCAGAGAGGGAGGCAGGCAGGCAGGCAGGGACCAAGCTTGGGCACAGCCAGGAAGGCAGGACAGGGCATGGTGGGGCCAATGGAATCATTACCCAAGACGGGGATTTTCAGGGAAACAGCTTAGATAAGGCCAGGTGTACAGTAGCTCCCACCTGTAATCCCAGCATTTGTGGAGGCTGAGGTAGGAGGACTGCTTGAGCCTGGGAGCTCGAGACCAGCCTAGGCAACATAGTGAGACCCCATATCCACAAAAAATTTAAAAAAGGAGTTTGTCTTCCTGTAGTAGCAGACTTGAGAGGTTGAGGTGGCAGTATCACTTGAGCCTGGGAGTTCAAGGCTAAAGTGAGCTGATTGAGCCATTGCACTCCAGCCTGAGCAACAGAGAGATACGCTGTCTCAAAGGAAATACAAATTAAAAAACCAGCCGGGCATGCTGGCGTGTGCCTGTAGTCTCAGCTACTTGGGACACTGAAGTGGGAGGATCACTTGAGCCCAGGAGTTCAAGGCTGCCGTGAGCTATGATTGTGCCACTGCAGTCCAGCCTGGGCGACAGAGAAAGACCCTGTCTCTTAAAAAAAAAAAAATCTTAGATAAGAGGATGCTGTGCCTCCCTGGGGGTCTTCAGTCACCCATAGTCCTGGCAAGAGAGGAGGGCCAGGAGAGAGCTTCACCCACCTGCTGTCCTGCCCATGTGACATCCGCAGGTGCTGCCATGGCCACGACTGTTGTTACACTCGAGCTGAGGAGGCCGGCTGCAGCCCCAAGACAGAGCGCTACTCCTGGCAGTGCGTCAATCAGAGCGTCCTGTGCGGTGAGTCCCCAGCAGCACCATGCCACCCACCCCGAGTATCCCCTGGGCATCCTGGCATAGCCAGATGACTTCCGTGCCCCTGTTGCAATAACCACTGCTTCCAAGTCTCTATAGACCACCCCTTGGGTGTATCTAATGTAAGTGATATTTATTTTATTTATTTTTTGAGTCAGTCTCGCTCTGTCACCCAGGCTAGAGTGTGCTGATGTGATCTCAGCTCACTACAACCTCTGCCTCCTGGGTTCAAGCGATTCTCATGCCTCAGCCTCCCAAGTGGCTGGGACTACAGGCATGCACCATCACGCCCAGCTAATTTTTGTATTTTTTCAGTAGAGGTGGGGTTTCACCAAGTTGGCCGGGCTGGTCTCAAACTCCCCACCTCAAGTGCTCTGCCCGCCTCGGCCTCCCAAAGTGCTGGGATTACAGGCATGAGCCGTGGTGTCTGGCCCTAATGTGAGTGATCTTTAACACTGAGCACTTGAAAAAGAAAACCCTGAAGAAACCTAATTCTTTGATGTCTGGATGACAAGGAAGAAGATAGAAATGGCATCAGATAATAAACAGTGTAAATGTTTATCAGAAAGAGGCTGGTGGTCGGGACAAGTAGGAGGATTGCTTGAGTCCAGGAGTGCATCTCTACAAAAAAGTTAAAGGATTTTTTAACATTGGCCAGGCGTGGTGGCACACATCTGTGATCCCAGCTACTTGGGAGGCTGGGGCAGGAGGATTGCTTGAAGCCCAGGAGGTTGAGGCTGCAGTGAGCTGTGATCGAGCCACTGCACTCCAGCCTGGGTGACAGAGCAAACTCCAGTCTCAAAAAAAAAACAAATAATAATATTTTACATAACCAACCACTTCTAAAGATTAAAAAAACCCCTATGATTAAAAACCTCAGGTCCCTCAGGCAATCATACCAGATATTGAAACAAAGCAATAACATAAGGACTGCAGTATTCATTTTATTTTTATATTATTTATTTATTCTTCCTTAGTTTCTTGAGATTATCATCCGCTGAGGGTGGAAGGGGAGTGAGCAGACACACTTGGGAGGTGTCTTGAGATTATCATCCACTGAGGGTGGAGCTGAGGGTGGAAGGGGAGTGAGCAGACACTCGGGAGGTGTCTTGAGATTATCATCCGCTGAGGGTGGAAGGGGATAGAGCAGACACTCCGCAGGTGTCTTGAGATTATCATCCGCTGAGGGTAGAGCTGAGGGTGGAAGGGGAGTGAGCAGACACTCGGGAGGTGTCTTGAGGCTCAGGGAGTTATCAATTATAGAATGTTGTTGAGTTGGAGGAGGTGGCTGGTGGCCCATCCTGTTTTTTAAAGTTTCAGCTGTGAGGTAGGGCCAGTAGGGCAATCCTGAAGAATGACGATGCTCCGCTGCCGCCATTCTGACCTGTAGGGCCAAAGGAGGGAATGTTTTCACACATATTCATTTGATGGACAAAATTACCGCCACCAACACAGTCTGCACCTTCTGTTGCTGGTGATAGATTTTTGCACCTTTCCATTCTCCAGGTTTCAAAATAGCAGTGTCAGTGTCATAATATCACCCTTCCACTGAGTACTGCCGACAGCTGGGGGGTAAAGAAAAGTCATTGGGACACACTGTTGTCTCCACATGCCACTGTGTCTGTCTGCAAATGTAGGCAGGCTGGGGTCCTGCCCCAGGGAAGACAGAGTCATAACAGAGTAATAAAGAAGCATGTTTGAGACACAGGAGTGTCTATGTCTATCCTCATTCCTCCCTCACAGCCATCACCAGAGCATGTTTCTTGCACCAGGTCAATAGACAGTAAGAGACAGTAAGAGAGGCATGAAAAGCCCATTGTCCACACATGTTGCAGCTTCTTTTTGGAGAATGTTTTCCAGGCCTTTTATGTTCTGTCTCTGATTCTCAGAACTCTGCAAGGTCAGTGTGACCACCCTGCTCCAAATCTAAGAAAACAGAGGTTTCCAGAGGAAGGAGAAATTGTGCCCAGGGTCACACAGCTTGCAAGAGGCAGAGTGGAAGTTGATTCCAGCTCTGCCTGCAGGACCCTCTCATTTCCCCTCTGTTTCCCTTCTTGACAAAGGATCTTCTTCACTCTGGAGGTGCCACCCATGAGAACAAAGAGCTCTGGAGAGATGTGGATTCCTGAAGAGCTGCAGGGGAACTGGGAGAGGGTTTTCTGACAGAACAATCTTACCTCAAGAAGTCAGTTAGGCATGGCTGTAATATTTCTTTTCACTCCCAGGTAATACCAAATTGTAAGTGCACTAGGACCTAAAGAATACTTTTGTCCATGGAAAAATGAGGTGGGAATTCTAAACAAAGCAAGTTTTAAAACTGTGTTTCACTTCAAGTGTACAAGTCCCATCGCGTGTAATCATAGGACTCGGCAGCTTTTGAAGGTACAGAGGCCACACAAGAACCAGCTTAGCTGAGCATCATTTAAGGCCTTCATTTGGAATTGTCCCTGTGGGTAATAAGTTACATTCACTCTTCACTAATTTACAGTCAGGGCCCATTTGCTATTACAAATACGGAACCTCTGACACTTAGAATATTAGATGGGGGCCCCACTGGGTGGGGATGAAGGTGTTTTTGCGCAACACGGTTACCAACAGGGATGGGACTGTGATGCTTGTAGGCAGCCTTCCTCTCTGCCATCTCCCTCTGCAGGGCTTGAGCACAGAGCCGTAGGGAGAAAAATGTATCCATGTCCTGACCTGGCAGACTATGTCCAAAAGCAAGGAAAACAAGCAAACTTACCCGGTTGCAAAGAGGCTTTCTTGCAGAAGGGGTGATCTGAAAAAGCCAACACATGAGAAATTGAATGTTGAGAGAGTCTAAGGGCCGTGGCATCATCTGCATCAGCACTGAACTATCCTGCAACTGCGGGGAGGAAGCTCCTTACTTTGCATCTGTAGTAGTCCTCTGCCCGCCGCCGCAACGCTTGCGCACGTTGAAACATTTCCCTATGGATTACAATCACTTTCATCAGATAAAGCACCACTTTCAGGATGATTTTAAATAATCTGCCATGTTTCTGTTATCCTCACAACTGTACCCTTACACAATCTATCTCTACCTAGAAAACGTATTTCAGATGGCTGTAAGAGTACAGTCTGAGCCGGTCACGGTGGCTGACGCCTGTAATCCCAGCACTCTGGGAGGGCGAGGCGGATGGATCACGAGGTCAGGAGATTGAGACCATCCTGGCTAATACGGTGAAACCCCATCTCTACTAAAAATACAAAAAATTAGGCGGGGGTGGTGGCAGGCACCTGTAATCCCAGCTACTCAGGAGGCTGAGGCAGGGGAATCACTTGAACCTGGGAGGCAGAGGTTGCAATGAGCCAAGATCACGTCATTGCACTCCAGCCTGGGTGACACAGCGAGACTCCATCTCAGAAAAACAAAAACAAAAACAAAAACAAAAAAAACTGTACAGTCTGATCCAAACTGTTGCTGTATTGATTCCTCCTCTTGCTTACTGCCTGCTGACTTCTGAGATGATAGCTTCCTTCCCCATTCTCAGTATATCCCTAATTCATCCTTCATTGAGCATCTTTTATCATAAAGCTGTATTCTCTTTGTATTAATATCTTTACCGTGTTTCACAGGGCAGAAACAGCTGGGCTTATAAACAGGCATAGTCCTTTTGAAGGATGTGGTTGATCCTACAACAACACACTTTCCTAAGGATGACAACAACTCACCCCACCCCTAGAATGGCTGGTATGAACCGAGTTTCCACACAGTCTAGCTGGCAATGGGGTCAGGAGCCGTTTTGCTACTTCACATCTTTTGGTCACTGGTAAATATTAAGGTACTTTGTTTTCTGTTTTGTGAACTCTCTCTCTCTCTCACGATATGTCTTCTGACCATTTGTTTCTATTTCTGCATTTACTGGGTCTAAACATTGTACAAAGGTTAAAAACAACACTCCAATGGGCGTTTCCCAAGAGGGTGGGGTTCAGTTTCTGAACTCACATGTAGGTGTGTATTTCTTTCATATCCAATTTCCCGTTTTCCTCTGCCTCTGACACCTGCCTCTCCTTTTCTCCGTGCTCACGTTCTTTCATGCTTAGTTTCCTCAGACTAGAAGGGAGAGAAATGCACACACATGATCCACCAGCCCGTGTGGGATTCCCTCTGCCCTTCTGGCATCTGAAGGCTGATTCAAAGATCCCCCCTGCAACCTTCCCACAAATGAACCAACTGATTCTCACAAGCAAAGGGAGAATGGACACCTCCCATTGAGGGACAAAAAAAAAATCACACTCTGGCCTGCTGGCAAGTCACCTGTCATTTCCAGCTCATCTTCATAGTTCCATAGTTAGTCCTATTCTTTAGTAAATATAAAGACTATTAAAAGCTTCTATGAGGTGCACTATGTGTGTCTCTGGGGTCAGTCTTGTGCTTGACACAGCGAAAGCTCATTTTAGTTCAGTGTGAAAAACCAGACCTCACCAATTCATCACAACTAACTCCATCGGAGGCAGAGGATTGCTCCTCATCTGACTCCTCCTGTGTGAGACCTGATTCTCAGTCAGAGGCTGATGCCGGAACTGAGACCATCAGCCATAGAGAGATCCTTCCAGAATATGGTGTCATTAACCCCGCAGTTCACTACTGCACTTTGCCATGATTCAGGACTGGAACTCTTGTCATCGACTTTAAAGATCCTGAAAAGGCAATCTGAATGCTGGGCGCATCTATTGAATTAGAAATGATCGGAATGGCTCCTAAGTCAGGGTGTTATGTCCTGAAAATAGGTGACAACTGCAAACCATCCACCCTGGTGTTGACTGACTTTAACAAGGTTCAGTTCACAGAGATTGAGGGCAGAAAAAGGAAACGGCCTCAAAAGGGTAAGTTTGCTGTGTTGCCCTCACACCACTTGATTCATGGTCCTGATCCTAAGGATCTCACCTGATACTTGGTTTTATAGGAAGGATGTGTAAAATTCCCAGAATGCTAGGAAACAGAGACGAAAACACTTCAAAGAGAAAGTTAATGAACTTGTTTCTGACCACAGGGCATCCTTCAGCACATGCTGTCTGGAGTGGCCTCAAACAAGGTGTGTGTGGTGAGGTGCTGACAATGCAATGGGAGCAGGGTCCTGTCCCCACGCTAAAGAAGCTCACAGTTTAATGCAAATGAGAAGCCAGTGAGGACAGCACTACTCCTGCTGTGCACTTGGGAACTAGAAACACAAAACCTGACTCTGGAGGGAAGCTAAGGAAGCATTCTACTCTTGAGTTGACATAAGTGCATCTGAAGCTTCTGATCTCCGATGAGAACAATGGGGGACACCAAACAGAATATAAAACCCATGACTGAATACATCAAATTGCTCACATGGCAGTAAACAGACATGAGGTGAAGATGGAGAAGAAGGAAACCCAGGACGAAAGTCAGCCTCGCATTTGGAACCCATTTCCCTGAGTTTCATTGCTGAATTCCAGAAGGAACTACTGAGATGCAAAGAAGCACAGCAGCTTTTGCACACATGTGTGGGGTTAGATGGAAAACAAGTGGATTGAGGGTCTGCCAATGAAAGCGACCCATACTGAAGTCCACTGGCTCTGGTTGAGACCCAGAAGAGTCATGCATCAGAATAGAGGTGGACAGGAAATACCCTGGCCTTTGTAGGGACTGAGCCTGCACTGACGACCTCAATTGCAGCCTGTATGGAGGACCCCTGACCATCCCCCAGAAGTAGACTCCCATCTCTTCTGCAGCAAGATAACATGCTACTAGGCCTCAATTCATTGCTAAATATTTTTTAACAAGTATCTCACATTTAACAAAAAAAGATCAGTCATATGGCAGCAAAATACAATGTAATATGACCAAAACATGAAAGACTGTGAAAATGAATCTGGAGGTGACCCGAGCATTGAATTCAACAATCCAGGCTGGGTGCGGTGGCTCACACCGGGAGGCTGAGGTAGGCAGATCACCTGAGGTCAGGAGTTCAAGACTAGCCTGGCCAACATGGTGAACCCGTCTCTACTAAAAATACAAAAATTGGGCTGGGCACGGTGGCTCACGCCTGTAATCCCAGCACATTGGGAGGCCGAGGTGTGCGGATCATGATGTCAGGAGTTCTAGACCAGCTTGGCCAATATGGTGAAACCCCGCCTCTACTAAAAACACAAAAATTATCCGGGCATGGTGGCATATGCCTGTAGTCCCAGCTACTCAAGAGGCTGAGGGATAAGAATCGTTTGAACCTGGGAGGCGGAAGTTGCAGTGAGCCAAGATCTTGCCACTGCACTCTAGCCTGGGTGACAGAGTGAGACTCTGTCTCAAAAAAAAAAAAAAAAAAAAAAAAAAATTGGCCAAATGTGGTGGCACACTCCTGTAATCCAAGCTACTCGGGAAGCTGAGGCAGAATTGCTTCAAACTGGGAGGCAGAGGTTGCAGTGAGCCAAGATTGCACCACAGCACTCCAGCCTGGGCGACAGAGCGAGACTCTATCTCAAAATTTAAAAAAAAAAAAAAAAGGCTGGGTGTGGTGGCTCACGCCTCTAATCCCAGCACTTTGGGAGGCTGAGGCGGGTGGATTACCTGAGGTCAGAAGTTCGAGACCAGCCTGGACAACATGGTGAAACCCCATCTCTAGTAAAAATACAAAAATTAGCTGGGCGTGGTGGTGGGCACCTGTAATCCCAGCTACTTGGGAGGCTGAGGCAGGAGAATTGCTTGAACCCAAAAGGCAGTGAGCTGAGATTGTGCCATTGCACTACAGCCTGGGCAACAAGAGCAAAGCCCCATCTCAGGAAAAAAAAAAAAAAAAAAAAGAGAGAGAAAGGAAAACCAATGCCAGTACTAGCAACTCCTCTTCCCCTGAAAAAATGACAAACAAGAATGTAGGAAGGGAAAGGAATTATACAGCTTAAACTAATGAAGCAGAAAGGACAAACTCAATTTTGAACCCACTGAATTTGCCACAAATATTGTAGAAAATATTCTCAAGGACTTTACAGTTGTCTACTTTGATTGGCACATGGTTCATACAACAGTATTTGTGTCAAGGCACATCTTACTGTTCTTTGGCGGTCTTCCTCTTTCCATTGATTTTGTCATGACGGTTGACTTTTGTTGTCACCTTCATCTTACAGATTTTAGCTCGAACTTTGGTTTCCACCTGTCTCCATAAAGTAAAGATGTCTTCCAGGACAATTTTAATTCCTGGAAAGGAAGAAACTCTTTTCTTTGTGTGCATACAAACGGACCTCAGCCCTTGGTGAGAGTGAGGAGAGGAGAAGGTGAGAAACCTGAGGGCAAGAAGCTGTTCTTTCCCTTTCCAGGGCAAACTCATTTCCACACTATGGGGACTCCAACAGAGCCATACCTTCCTGTCTACGGCGGTTGGACCTCCTGGCTCTCTGCTGTACATCCGTGGATCCATCATGTCCATTTTGAGACGGGAAGATAGTCTTCAGGAAAGACACCTAGGAAATAATAATATAAGAATGACGGCTGGGCACGGTGGCTCATGCGTATAATCCCAGTACTTTGGGAGGCCGAGGCAGGGTGGATCACGGGGTCAGGAGTTCAAGACCAGCCTGGCCAAGATGGTGAAACCCCGTCTCTACTAAAAATACAAAAATTAGCCGGGCATGGCAGTGGGCGCCTGTAATCCGAGCTACTCGGGAGGCTGAGGCAGAGAACCATTTGAAGCTGGGAGGCAGAGTTTGCAGTGAGCCGAGATCACACCACTGCACTCCAGCCTGAGCGACAGAATGAGACTCTGTCACACACACACACACACACACACACACACACACACACACACACACACACACAAAGAATGACATGAGGCTGGCACGGTGGCTCACTCCTGTAATCCCAGCACTTTGGGAGGCCGAGGCAGGCGGATCACCTGAGGTCGGGAGTTTGAGACCAGCCTCACCAACATGGAGAAACGCTGTCTCTGCTAAAAATACAAAATTAGCCAGGCATGGTGGTGCATGCCTGTAATCCCAGCTAGTCAGGAGGCTGGGGCAGGAGAATCACTTGAACCCAGCAGGAAAAGATTGTGGTGAGCTGAGATTGTGCCATTGCACTCCAACCTGGGCAACAAAATTGAAACTCTGTCTCAAAAAAAAAAAAAAAAAAATAGGCCAGGTGCGGTAGCTCACGCCTGTAATCCCAGCACTTTGGGAGGCCGAGGCGGGTGAATCACAAGGTCAAGAGATGGAGACCATCCTGGGCAACATGGTGAAACCCCGTCTCTACTAAAAATACAAAAATTAGCTGAGCATGGTGGCGCACGCCTGTAGTCCCAGCTACTCGGGAGGCTGAGGCAGGAGAACTGCTTGAACCCAGGAGGCAGAGGGTGCAGTGAGCCAAGATCCCACCACTGCACTCCAGCCTGGTGACAGAGTGAGACTCCGTCTCAAAAAAAAAAAAAAAAAAAAAAATGACATGAATATACTTCACACAACTGAACTGTACACTTCAACACGGTTAGATGGTAATTATCATCTTGTAAGTATTTTACCACAGGTTAACATGTTTCACAACTTGAAAAGGAAGTAATTAATTACCTTCAGCTCTCTGAGTTCTAGAATTTGTAACATTTCACCCCCTGCTCCTTCCTGATCTGCACTGGAGCATCTTTCTTCTGTCCCTGCTCTACTCAGAGTTCACTTTCCCTTCCCTCACATCAGCTTCGTTGAGGCTGGTTTGAACTTAACGCAAAACATTCTCACTAATGACTGAATTCCCGCCAAGATTTCCATATTATCACAGTATGCTTTTAATCTTCTAAGATATTAAATATTTGTTCTCATCATAGCTAAAATGCAATGCAAATCCCATCTCAGATGTGGGTCAGATACCTATGAATCTCCTGAGGTAGTCATTGAAATGACTTTTTTCTTGAGACGGAGTGTCACTCAACCATGCTGAAGTGCAGTGGCGCTACCTTGGCTCACGGCAACCTCCACCTCCCAGATTCAAGCGATTCTTGTGCCTCGGCCTCCCAAGTAGCTGGGATTACAGGTGCCTGCTACCATGCCTGGCTAATTTTTGTCTTTTTAGTAGAGATGGGGTTTCACTATGTTGGCCCATCTGGTCTTGAACTCCTGACCTCAAGTGATCCACCTGCCTCAGCCTCCCAAAGTGCTGGGATTACAGGCATGAGCCACCACACCTGGCCTGAAATAATATCTTTCAAATTCTTTGTAGAATTTGTTTTTTCCTGATTTCTGCACATAGGATGAAAAAAAAATCATGTACTAGGATTTCGAGAGAAGCAATGGGTAATCTAAAAAGATGAAAAGAGAAACCACGTCTATCCCACAGCTACTGCTAGATTTCATAGGAAAGGTAGCTGGCCCAGTTTGGAGCTAGGAGAAATGTCAAACACATGAAGAAATGAGAAGCAAAGAAATGCCATCACACATGAATGCTTCATGGCACCCATGATGTCCCTGCTTAGGAGGTAATGGTATAGATGACTAGATGACAAGGACAAAGATGAGAGGTGCAAAGTTGTCCAAGTCCAATAGCTCAACTGAACTTTCCTAATGGAATTGTTAAAAAGTGGTAAATTTAAAAACTTCCCCTGGCTCACGTGGTGGCTCACGCTTGTAATCCCAGCACTTTGGGAGGCTGAGGCGGGTGGATCATTTGAGGTCGGGTTTTGAGACTAGCCTGGCCAACATGGTAAAACCCCGACTCTACTAAAAATACACAAATTAGCTGGGCATGGTGGTGGGCACCTGTAATCCCAGCTACTTGAGAGGCTGAGGCAGGGGAATCACTTGAAGCCAGGAGGTGGAGGTTGCAGTGAGCCGAGATCACACCATTATACTCCAGCCTGGGCAACAGAGGGAGACTCGTCTTGGGGGTGAGAAAAGAAAAAAAAAAAGCTTCCTCCAATTTATACCGAAAATTCTCTGTTCAGGACTAAGTGGCATAGAGAATGTTAAATGTGCCTAGATATCTTCATAACTCATATATTTTCTGTTTTCTACATATCTTGAAAGGCAGTGCCAAATGACGTGTAATTATCTAGGCGGTAAAACTGAAACATACTTCCTCTTCCCTTGAATATCAAAAAGCATTGTGGTATTAGTACTTTTATCTTGGATCATTGTTCAGAAGGAGGTTCAGCCCCCAGACAACCACATTTTTACTGTCATGAATGGCAAGACAAAATGTAGAGCTCAACTTACCCAAAGGATAAAAGGCTCAAAAGACAAATTATGGCACAACTTAGCAGCCAAATTCTTACCAAGTACAGACTTTTGACATACTGATCTCTCTCCAGTTGCAAGTGGGAACATGCACTTTGAATGATGTCATTCAAAATTACCCTGCCCAGACACACTTTTCATTGATTCTCTTGGAGGGCAGTTCTAAGAGATTCTCTGGGGCTTTCTCTGCATCATGAGACGCAGTGCAGTTCTGCCCTTCACCTTCCGGCAGTTTGTCACCTCGTCCCTATGACCTCCGAGGAACTTTGTCTCAGGCCAACTGTTTGTTCCTTGGGCTCTTTCATTTCCCCTAAAAATCATTTGCTGCCCCTCTAAATGGCCTACATCTCCATCTATCTCCCTCTCCCCTCAGAAGAGGGTGCTCTTTAAGCATCAACCATCCAGCCCTTCTAGCAGTCTCATTTTTCAGCTGGTTCCCATGTTTATGTCTGTTCTATGTTTTTCTTTTCCTGTTAAGCTGTCTGTTGTCAGCTCATTTCTGCAGTGAATCTTCAGAGAGGAGATTGGAAGCTTTCCTTCCACCCATACGATAGAACTATAAAGCAGAAGAGTTTAGAAAGACTTTCCCATTTAAGTGACGAAACCTCATACTCCATTTGTGACAAATAGCACAAAGGTTAAAAAAACTTATTTTTGACCAAAAGCTCTGTTGACATTCTATTAAACACCGACCTATTTAATTTTCATAATGTAAATGGCAGATATTTTCATAATTCTTATGCTAATAAATCATTTCCCTGATTTTTTGGGTAAAACCACATATTCACAATGAAGTCCAGAAACGTGAATTGTTTCATATAATTTACTCTTATTTGTGATTACAAGTATACCTCTACAGAAAGTTAGTATACTCACACAAAGGTAACTTGTGCAGAGGGAGATGGCAAATTTATAACTTCTCAGAAACACAGTAATGATAAGTAACCAAGGACTTCCACCAAAGTCAGTCCCACGATGACGATGGTCAGCCAGAGTATTGATAACCTGGAATAATAATAGTTGAAATAATGAAAAGGTCAATGACACTGACAATATTTCACTCAGAAAGAATCATCCTTAGAAACCGTCAACCTCCTCCAAAAGGTAACCACATCCCTCAGATATCACCATGGGATTCCACTGCTACAAAAAAGAACAGAAGTTAGAGAAGTCTCATGTTTTTCAGATGGCTGGTAGTGTTTTTAGGCATTGCAAATGTGGGGTGTTGTCATTCTTGGTATAAAGCAGGGATATCCAATCTTTTGACTTCCCTGCCTATATTAAAAGAAGCAAAGTTGTCTTGAGCCACACATAACATACACTAACAATAGCTGATGATCTAAAAAAAAAAACTTTTTTTCTTTTTTTTTTTTGAGACAGAGTTCCGCTCCACTCAGTCGCCCAGGCTGGAGTGCAGTGGTGCAATCTTGGCTCACTGCAACCTCCAGCTCCTGGGCTCAAGCCATTCTCCTGCCTCAGCCTCCCGAGCAGCTGAGATTACCGGTCTCTGCCACCATGCCCGACTAATTTTTGTATTTTTAGTAGAGATGAGGTTTCACCATGTTGGCCAGTCTGGCCTTGAACTCCTGACAGGAGATCTGCCTGCCTCGGCCTCCCAAAGTGCTGGGATTACAGGTGTGAGCCACCGTGCCCGGCCATTTTTTTTGTTTTTGTTTGTTGTTTGTTTTTGAGATGGGGTCTCACTCTGTCACCCAGGCTGGAGTGCAGTGGTGTGCTCTCGGCTCACTGCAACCTCTGCCTCTCAGGTTCAAGTGATTCTCCTGCCTCAGCCTCCTGAGTAGCTGGGAGTACAGGTGCCTGACAGTGCACTCAGCAAATTTTTGTATTTTTTGTGGAGATGGGGTTTTGCCATGTTGGCCAGGGTGGTCTCGAACTCCTGACCTCAGGTAATCTGCCCGCCTCAGCCTCCCAAAGTGCTGGGATTACAGGCATGAGCCACTGTACCTGGCCAAAATCTCCTAATGTTTTAAGAAAGTTTACAAATTTGTGTTGAACTGCATTCAAAACTGTCCTGGGCCACATGCAGCCCGTCACTCATGGGTAAGACAAGCTAAGTATAAAGTAATTATCTTTTCTTTTCTTTTTGTTTTGAGACAAAGTCTTGCTCTGTCGCCCAGGCTAGATTGCAGTGGCATGATCTCAGCTCACTGCAACCTCCGCCTCCCGGGTTCAAGCGATTCTCCTGCCTCAGCTACTGAGTAACTGGGATTACAGGCGCCTGCCACCACGCTCGGCTAATTTTTGTCTTTTTAGTAGAAACAGGGTTTCACCATCTTGGCCAGGCTGGTCTCCAACTCCTGACCTCATGATCCACCTGCCTCGGCCTCCCAAAGTGCTGGGAATACAGGTGTGAGCCACTGCACTTGGCCAGTAGTTATCTTTTCTTTAATTATTTGTTTTTTAAATTGATGTATAACATTGGATGCATTTATTACATATCACATGGTAAAAGAATCCCTCTAAATAATACTTCTCTCTTGGATTACATGAATCTTTGTCATTTAAAGCTCAGTATAAGTAAAAAAAAAAAAATACAATGAAGAGATTACTTCATTCACAAATAAGTATCGAATTTTAGTGCTTAAAAATTAACAAGGTGGGCCGGGCGTGGTGGCTTACGCCTGCAATCCCAGCACTTTGGGAAGCCAAGGTGGGTGGACCGTGAGATCAGGAGATTGAGACCATCCTAGCTAACACGGTGAAACCCATCTCTACTAAAAATACAAAAAATTAGCAGGGCATGGTGGCACGCGCCTATAGTTCCAGCTACTTGGGAGGCTGAGGCAGAAGAATCACTTGAACCCGTGAGGCAGAGGTTGCAGTGAGCCGAGATCGCACCACTGCACTTCAGCCTGGGTGACAGAGTGAGACTCTGTCTGAAAAAAAAAAAAAAAATTACCAAGGTGGAGATCATGAAAATGGCATGAATAGTGTGGGATTTCTCTAAGATTGTTGATATTAATTCCATTAGACTCTTATGTGAGTGAAGACGAAGACTTCCCCTGAGTAAGTTCAGACAGCTTGTGATAACATTTCTACATCAATTCCTCAGGATTTAACTATATATTCTTGAAAACATCTCAATTTTAAGTGTTTCTTTCAAGATGGTGAATTAAACAGAGATAGCCCTTCAACAGGTTGAACTCAGCATATGCTGAGTCTGAAATGGAAATGATGGAGTTAGAGAACCATACAACAATGGTAATGATTTCAGAAACATGGTGTTGAGCAGAACAAAGCAGACACAAAAGAGTACCTATGGCATGGCATGCATCTGTATACGCGAAATTCCAGAATAAGCAAGCTAACCTATGATAAGAAAGAGACTGGCTGGGAAGAGTGAGAGTTCACTTTCTGGGGTGACATAATAGTGTAGATCTTGGCTGGGCACGGTGGTTCACGCCTGTAATCCCAACACTTTGGGAGGCCGAGGCGGGCGGATCACCTGAGGTCGGGAGTTCAAAACCAGCCTGACCAACATGGAGAAACCCTATCTCTACTAAAAATACAAAATTAGCTGGGAGTGGTGGCACATGTCTGTAATCCCAGCCACTCGGGAGGCTGAGGCAGGAGAATCGCTCGAACCTGGGAAGCAGAGGTTGCGGTGAGCTGATATTGCCCCATTGCACTCCAGCCTCAGCAACAAGGGAGAAACTGTCTCAAATAAATAAATAAATAAATAAATAAAATAATGTAGATCTTGAACGGGGGTTGGTTTATGCTGGTGTATGTACTTTCCAAAGTTAGTAAACTTACACTTGAGGTTATATATTTTGGCCAGGCGCGGTGGCTCACGCCTGTAATCCCAGCACTGGGAGGCCGAGGCAGGCGGATCACGAGGTCAAGAGATGGAGACTATCCTGGCGAACATGGTGAAACCCAGTGTCTACTAAAAATACAAAAATTAGCCAGGCGTTGTAATCTGAGCTACTCAGGAGGCTGAGGCAGGACAATTGCTTGAACCCCGGAAGCGGAGGTTGCAGTGAGCCGAGATCTTGCCACTGCACTCCAGCCTGGGCGACAGAGTGAGACTCTGTCTAAAAAACAAACAAACAAAAAAAAGTCATCAAACCAGATGACACAAATCAAATGACATTTCACTTTGTTTTGGTCCGTTTTGTCTGTTGGAGACAAGAGTGCAGCGGGGCCATCTCGGCTCACTGCAACGTCCAGCTCCTGGGCCCAAGCGATCCTCCCACCTCAGCCTCTCCAGTAACTGGGATAACAGGTACGCACCACCAGGCCCGACTAATCTTTTTTGGAATTTTTTGTAGAGATGGGGTTTCGCTATGATGCCCTGGCTAGTCTTCAACTCCTGGACTCAAGTGATCTGCCCACCTCGGCCCCCTAAAGTGCTGGGATTACAGGCCTGAGCTGTGTAATTTCATGCCGCGTGACACAGCCCAGTAAAAAGGAAGAAACCCCGCGGGTCCAGCGTCTACTCACACAGGTGGACTGATGGCTGATAAATCCCAGCAGGAGCCAAAAGAGCAGCCACAGCACCCATCTACTCACACAGGTGGACTGATGGCTGATAAATCCCAGCAGGAGCCAAAAGAGGAGCCAAAAGAGTAGCCACCGCACCCGCATGTCCTGGTCCTTTCAGGGCTCCCTGAGGCGGCCAGGACAGAGGTGGAGGTGGCTTAGGGCAGGGGGGAGGGAAGGGGACGGGGACCGGGGCCGGATCTGAGTTGGGGAGGGGGAGGGGAGGGGGAGGGGAAGGGGAGGGGAAGGGGGGAAGTAAGGGAAGGGAAAGGAGGAGAAGGGGGCTGTTGGGGAGGAGGAGGAGGAGAAGAAGAAAGGGGTCTGGGAAAGGATCCGGTTCAAATTAAGTTCTCAAGCGCTGGTGGAAGGTTTAGCTACAGGTCACGGAGAAGATCAGGGAAGCAACAGGACAGGCAGGGCAAGGGAGCGTGAGGCTTAGGAGCAATTAGAGGGAGACAAAGGTTCTGCTTTCCACCAAACCTTCTTCGGTCTGGGCCCTCCCTTAGCAACCCTGGGGCTTTAGACTCTCTCTCCACCAATCCCTGATGACCCCGGTGGTGCCTCACAATGGACATTCCAAGTAGCGCCCGCATCATCCCAATGACCCCTCCCCCATCTCAGTCCCCCACGCTCCTCCCAAGGCCAGGTCCTCTCTGGAACCTTCACAAACCTGACTTCTGGTCCTCCCCAACCAGCTCCCTGTCCCTGCTTCTGGGCGCTCCTTCCTTCCTGAGCTCCCAGGGTTCCTCAAGGTCACTTTTGGCGACAAAACATAAAAAACAAATGATGGCAGGATGGCAGGAAGAACCTCATACCCAAGCAGAGTGCCAGGTTTTACAGCCTCCGCTCAGCCATTCATATCCTAAGCAACAAAACATCAGCAGGATGCGGAAGGTCCCGATAGTAAACCATCTCCATCACATCCATGTAGCCATCCGTCCATCAACCTGTATCTCAGGAACAAATGTACATACATTCATTTTAAGCATGCATGGTACATTTACAAAAATTAACCTGACTTATTTTGTTCCAGCAAATCTCAATATATTTGAGAGCAATCAAATCACACAGCATGTTTCTGATCATAAAACTGTGCTAGAAGTCAATGATTAAAAGCTAATTCAAAATTATTATTTGCTTGGAAATTCAAAGTGCCCTTATAAGACATAAACATAAGAAAGAATCCAAAATGAAACAAGATTGCCTTTCAACTCAATGATGAGATCATAACATGGCAATAAAATGTCTCCCTCTGGCCGGGGAATTCCTCTTTGTGGCACAACGTTGTGTGATCTCAAATCACCCCTAACCCACCTAGACATTTTAACATCCAAAACCGAGTGATGATGTCCTTATCTATATCATCTTACTGCCCGTGTGTGTGGACTTTAAATTCTGAACCCAAATGAGGGGGAGAAAACCAAGCTGACTTTCATGACTGAGCTCTCAGGGACGTCCAAGGAATCTGTGCATTTCAAGAAACAAAGTTCATCAGCTTCTCTCCTAAGGTATTTGCCCACAATAGCCAGAGGGCTTGGCCGCATCATGTGTGATGGGTGGGGAGCTCCAAGCAGGTGGGCAGGACCCAGGGGCCTGGTGACCAGGACAGACCCCCACTGTCCATCACCTTTCCTGGCCCTGTCCTCAGCTAAACTTCCCACAGGCCTTCTGCCCGATCACACAGAGTGTGCCCAAACTCACTCAGGCCTCTGGCAGCTGAAAACCACTGCTTTAAATCCCTTTACCATTTACTATGACATAAGGTTATTGTAAACAGGAAATATTCTATTGATGCTACAAATGGAAAGCCAATGCCTTTACCATAAATAGAAAAACAACCCTAAGAAACAAGCAAAACAGGGGCTGGGGGTGGTGGCTCACGCCTGTAATCCCAGCACTTTGGGAGGCTGAGGCGGGCGGATCACAAGGTCAGGAGTTCCAGACCAGCCTGGCCAATATGGTGAAACCCTGTCTCTAATAAAATACAAAAATTAGCTGGGTGTGGTGGTGGGCGCCTGTAGTCCCACCTACTTGGAAGGCTGAGGCAGGAGAATAGTTTGAACCCGGGAGGCAGAGTCTGCAGTGAGCCGAGATTGCACCACTGCACTCCAGCCTAGGTGACAGAGCGAGACTCTGTCTCAAAAACAGCAACAACTACAAACAAACAAAAAACAGGGTTAACAAAAGTATGGAATTCAATTCTTTTTATATGCTGCAGCCATGTTCCAGCCCTAGATTTGGCTGGGCATGGTGGCTCACGCCTGTAATCCCAGCACTTTGGGAGGCTGAGGCAGGCGGATCACGAGGTTAGGGGTTGACACGAGCCTGGCCAATATGGTGAAACCCCATCTCTGCTAAGAATACAAAAATTAGCTGGGCATGGTGGTGCACACCTGTAGTCCCAGCTACTCAGAGGCTGAGGCAGAGGAATTGCTTGAACCCGGGAGACGGAGGTTGCAGTGAGCCAAGATTGTGCCATTGCACTCCAGCCTGGGGGACAGAGTGAAACTCTGTCTCAAAAAAAAAAAAAAAATATATATATATATATATATGTGTGTGTGTGTGTGTCTGTCTGTGTGTGTGTGTGTATCTATATAAATCTCAAAAATAAAAGATCATTTTTGAGATTATCATTTTAAAAGACAAGATAATGTTCAACTTAATGAATAATTTAATTATTACTACTGGACTTTTTGTAGACTGCACAGAGCATTCAAAACAAATGAAGGAGAATAAAAAATATGTATTACATGTTGTAAAATAAATATGATGTGGTTAATTCTTTTATTCAAAATTATAGAACATATATATGTACTGTAGAATGTATTTCTTATTATGAGTCATGTTAAAAAGTAGTTTAGAAGCTGTTGATTTGAATTTCCTTTTCAAATTTTGCAGGATAATTTTTTTTTTTTTTTGACAGAGTCTCGCTCTGTCGCCCAGTCTGGAGTGCAATGGCGTGATCTCGGCCCACTAAAACCTCCACCTCCTGAATCTCAGCAATTCTCCTGTCTCAGCCTCCTGAGTAGCTGGGACTACAGGCTGACACCACCATGCCCGGCTAATTTTTGTATTTTTAATAGGGACGAGGTTTTGCCATATTGGTCAGGCTGGTCTCGAAGTCCTGGCCTCTGGTGATCCACCAGCCTCAGCCTCCCAAAATGCTGGGATTACAGGCATGAGTCACCATGCCCAGCCTAAACTTGGCAAGATAATAAATAACCTTTTAAAGTGTCGTTGGGCACTTGTCTGGTTGTTTTTCTTTAGGTTACCATGCCAGCAATGATTCCTTTTGAGTTTCTGACAGAAGATAGTGGTTTTCATCCAAATAAGTCAACTACTCTACCCCATCCCTAAGCCACTTGTATGGAAAGAAAAAGAGGAAGAAGCCAGTACTGAGACTGCGTAAGCTTCCCCCAGCATCACCCGCTATGAGATGTGTGGCAGCTGAGACCCGGGAACTGCTCAAGGGCACCAGGCCCCATCTGTCTGCACTCACTCACCTTCCTCAGGTACTCGCATGGGCATGTCACTGACTTTACGTGCTGCTGCAGCTCCTTGGTGAGCTGGCCCTGGTCATGGGACAGGAACCGTGGGGTCAGGACAATAGAGAGCTTCACCATTTGCAGAATGAGAACAGGGGCTCATGATGAGTGCCAACCTATTAGACAATTAAAAAAAAAAGTGTTGAATGAGTGGAAAAACAAGGTGATGTTTGAGTCTATAGTGGTCAAGGGCTTCAGAAAAGGACAGAACCAAGTTCAAATTCCTGTACTTTGAATTTCTACTTCATGCCATGCAAAATTACTTTACCCCTTTTAACCTCAGTTTTCTTCTGTGTGAAACAGGAACAATAGTTTCATTCGTCATTCAGTTTCTCTCAAGGTTTCACGAGATCATACCTATAAAACATCCAAGTCATTTAAATGTATCATCATTTCGGTCATAATTAGTGGGATCCATTTCACTATTATTGGATATACAGTTCTGTGCCTGAAACCTACAAAGAAAGAAAATGTTAAGTCTAAAAAGCATTAGTGATTTCTCATTTTTATATTACTAATTATAACCCTATTTAATCACACAAGGCCTTGTCCGCGGCAGGTGCTCAATAAACACTTGTCGAATCAATGCATGTGGGCTCCGGAGCCACACTGTTTAGATTCTATTCTGCCTCCACCACTTATCAGCTGTGTGATCTGGGTAAGATAATTCACCTCTTTATGTCTGCACTTCCCTCTCCATAAACTATATATAACGAGAATCCTTAGCTCATTTGGTTGTGGTGAGGGGTGAATGATTTGGCACACAGGAGGGGCTTGTTAACATTAGCTGTGATGATCTCCTTCCAAATCTTCATTTTCAGAGCCACAGATGAGGCCATAGGGCAACCAGGTGACCTTAGAGTGTAAGTACACATGATCGCCAGCTATGCTCTATCTCCACCATAGGTCCAAGACTGGGTAGTTCTGGCCTGGAGGCTTCTGCTGCATCTGCCTTCTCAGTGTTCACCTAATGACTTTTGTATTTTCCTCCTCACATCCCCACAGATGGGGTTCAGGCTGCCGAACACAGCTGGGTGATGCCAGGGCAGTGGCCACCTGTGCCAGCCCTGTGAGGTAGCTGGAGGATCATTGTTCCTTCCTTCTCGGGCTCTGGGCAGATGCCAGGGCTGGGGTGACCCATGACCTCAAGTTTCTTGCTTTGGAGGGCCACATTTTCCCTTGGCAAAGAGGGTAAAGGTCACAGGATGCCGGAGAGCTGTGACTTCTCTGTGCCCTGGGCCCAAACTATGAAGACCTGACACACTATGCTAAAAGTCCAAGGCTGGATGCTCCCCAGAGCTTCTTGCCTCACCGCTTCTGCTGAGGGAGGAATGAATACTATGTCCTCCCAGAGCTTTGGGAGCTTGTAGCAAGCAGCCTCCCCAGCGCAAAATCTCTTGGAAACCTCTAACTGTGTCGGAAACATTAGTGCAAATGTTGCATCCTATTTCCCATATGTCCGCGTGTTTTAGGAAAAAACCCTCAATTTCCTAAATATGCAAGAAAAATTGGTATTGTAGGACAATGTGACTTTTTAAAAAATGTTATTTAAACATCTTCCCCACCTCCTTTTCTGCCCTCCAAGACTGCCAAATACTTGTTGAACAAATATTATTAAATGCCTACTACGTGCCAGCCATGATTCATGGTCTTGGGGACACAGCAGAGAACGAACTGACAGGATTCCTCCCTTATGTAATTCACATTCTTATATGATAATGATAAGGGTTAACATTAATTAAGCTGTCACTACGTGTTAGTCACGGTGCAGTCATTCCCACACATTATTACACTTAAACCTGCTAGCAAGCTTGCAAGGTAGTTAGTTGTTTTTCCTTTAAAAACTGAGTCTCAGAATGATGAAGCACTTTGTCCAATGTCACACAGCTAGTAAGTGTGGAGACCTTGCATCCAATCAATGCCCGTCTCATTCTAAACACCACATTATGTGTTCTCCAGCCCATGGAGAATAATTTTAACACAGTCAATGAAATTTCTACACAACAATGTTCTTGTCTCAAGTCCAAGAATGCCTCCTACACCTCCCATAATACTGGCTTTCTGGTGAGTAAAGATGCCATTCTCATGTGTAATCAGGTGGCAAATGGAGATATGACCAAAGTAACCATTTGCCTACACTCGTAACCCTGTACACACTCTTCCTGTGTCGATTCAATTCAAGTACCCCTTTTGATCACTTAGCAAATCTGACCTTTAAAAGGGTTAAGGTTTTTATATCCATGTAAGTTTCTGTATTGCTTTGGAAGTCTCTGGTTAAATGAATACCCTTTTTAATAGTGACCTGTGATTCTGTTTTGATCAAGTGTTTACAAACTTGACATCTTTGATGGGTTTCTCCAGTGTCAAAATCCTAAATCAGGTCTTTTTGGCTTAAAATTAACTTTGGGATTTTTCAGCTGCATCCCTTCGGGAGTCTAAAGAATGCATCTCTCATCTTGTAGAGGTATTAAGTGATTCGATTTATTTGGTAGATTATATGGGCGGGCATTGTCAAATGTGGTGATACTGCATGGGAGGGCACTGTCAAGTGAGGTGACATTAGATCTCATCTCAGTTATATTTATGGGTATGTTGTTGATATACGTGTTCCAAAAATTACATACATTTATACAAATTTAATATGTTATGATTTGTAATTTTGATTGTTATGCTAAATATTTGCTAAAGTTTAGCTTTAGCAATATTATGCTAAATATATGCTAAATATTTGCTAAAGTTATATTTGCATAAACATGTTATGAATGGCTGGGCACCATCACTCATGCCTATAATCCCAGCACTTTGGGAGACCAAGGCAGGTGGATCACCTGAGGTCAGGAGTTCAAGACCAGCCTGACCAATAGGGTGAAAATTACACGAAAATACTGTCTCCATGAAAAATACAAAAATTAGCCAGGCTTGGTAGCACAGGCCTGTCATCTCAGCAACTCGGGAGGCTGAGATAGGAGAATTGCTTGAACCCAGGAGGCGGAGGTTGCAGTGAGCCGAGATTGCACCACTGCACTCCAGCCTGGGCGACAGAGCTGGAATCTATCTAAAAAAAAAAAAAAAAGTTATTAATTATTTCTGAAGATGATATGAAATTTATAAAACACTGGTGGTCCTGATGTAATGCTGTCAGTCATGATTCTGATCACTGTCTTAAAATGCTGCACATAAGATAAGTAATTGGCTGGGCACAGTGGCTCACACCTGTAATCCCAGCACTCTGGGAGGCCGAGGCGGGTGGATCACGAGGTCAGGAAATCGAGACCATCCTGGCTAACACGGTGAAACCTCGTCTCTACTAAAAACACACAAAAAAAAAATTAGCCGGGCATGGTGGCGGGTACCTGTAGTCCCAGCTACTTGGGAGGCTGAGAGGCTGAGGCAGGAGAATGGCATGACCCTAGGAGGTGGAGCATGCAGTGAGCGGAGATCACGTCACTGCACTCCAGCCTGGGTGACACAGTGAGACTCCGTCTCAAAAAAAAAAAAAAAAAAAGTAATTAAATTTCCTTGTGAACTGGGAAGTTTCATCAGACTTTTATCATAACTATTGTTTTCATCATCCACAGTTAGTTTTGAATTCTTCTCTAAAAATATTTGTAATTGGCAGTAGTCCAAATTTTCTTTTGTTTTCTTTCCTGTTTTTGAGACACAGTCTGGCTCTGTCGCCTAAGCTGGAGTACAGTGGTGCCATCTTGGCTCTCTGCAACCTCTGCCTCCTGGGTTCAAGCGATTCTCCTGCCTCAGCCTCCCAAGTAGCTGGGACTACAGTCGCCCGCCACCACGCCCAGCTAACTGGTGGTGGTACAGACGGGGTTTTACCATATTGGCCCGGCTGGTCTTCAACTCCTGACCTCGTGATCCGCCCGCCTCAGCCTCCCAAAGCGCTGGGATTACAGCCGTGGAGCCACCGCGCCCGGCCCCCAAATTTGCTTTGCATGGAGAAAACTCTAACAAATCCTCTTGAACATGGTTTTCTGATAACCCAGATCAATGAACTACCCAGGCTTCACCACTATAGGCATGTGAGAAACTCGCACTTATACCCCCTCAATACATTAAAACTAAATATTTTTTTAAAAATCAATGGGCCAGGCGCAGTGGCTCACGCCTGTAATCTCAGCACTTTGGGAGGCCAAGGCAGGCGGATCACTTGCGGTTAGGAGTTCCAGACCAGCCTGGCCAGCCCATCTTACTAAAAATACAAAAATTAGCCAGGCATGGTGGTGCATGTCTGTAATCCCAGCTACTCGGGAGGCTGAGGCATGAGAATCGCTTGAACCTGGGAGGCAGAGGTTGCAGTGAACCAAAATTGTGCCACTGCACTCCAGCCTGGGCGACAGACTGAGACTCTGTCTCAGAAATAAAAAAAATAAAAACCAATGAACTAAAAACCAATTTCTAGTGGCTTCTAATAAGGAAACAATGGTTCAAAAAACTGCTAAGCAAGATCAAGCAAAACAAAAAAATCTATTAAGATAATGTTTTTATAATTCGTATTTAAAACATTGTTGTTTGTTGATTCTTGATTCATTCTTTTTTTTTTTTTTTGAGACGGAGTCTCACTCTGTCACCCAGGCTGGAGTGCAGTGGCGGGATTTCTGCTCAGTGCAACCTCCGCCTCCTGAGTTCAAGCCATTCTCCTGCCTCAGCCCCCCGAGTAGCTGGGATTACCGGCGCCCGCCACCACGCCCAGCTAGTTTTTGTATTTGTAGTGGAGACCGGGTTTCACCATGTTGGCCAGGCTGGTCTCCAACTGCTGATTTCAGGTGATCACCCCCCCGCCTGGGCCTCCCAAAGTGCTGGGATTGCAGGCGTGAGCCGCCGCGCCGGGCCCTTGTTTTGTTTTCTAGATTGAAGAAAATTTTTTCTCAGAAGTTATCTAGAATTTACACCGATTTGGTAAAGCACACTTTTGTGAACAAAGGTGGGTGGAAGCGTTTGTTTTTCCTTCCTACTTGATCCTTCCAAAGTTTGGAAACTATTCATAAATATTCTTACTTTGATGTACACATGTTCTCCTTATAAGCAGGCTGTAATCAGAATGATTGGTTATATTATCAAGGCTTTGACTGAAACATCCTATTTAAGAATACGCAGAAAATGCCTGGCTTCGAGTTTGCAGCCTTACGTTCCAGTCAGGGGGAAACTGTCACTCCCTGCAGGCCTGAGAACCTGAGAGCTTTTCCGGGAGCAACTTGGCAGGGAGGGTCCCGGCAGCTGCTCCGTGGGCAGGAACCATGGGGCGCAGCCCCGGGCGACCCTCGGGCCGGCGGGGACCTTCCGCTTCCTGGCGTCTTTCTCCATCGCCCCGCCGGCTGCTGGGGAAGCGGCGGGTGCCCAGTGCCTGGAGGTCGCTCTCTCCCCACCTCTGGCTGCGGGAACGGAGAGGCCGCGGCGGCCGGAGCAGGGTGGGCGGCCTGAGGCGAGAGCCCAGCCGGCCTCCGCGGGGAATATGGCGACCTGCGGCGAGCTGAGCGTCAACTGCTGCGCCGCCGACTTCTCGGAGCAGCGAAGGCGACTCGAGAGAAGACGCCGCCAAGTGGAACCCGGGCCCCGCGGCCCTGGGATGGGGCAGCAGCCACTGCAGCCAGGAAGCCCTGGGCGGGGCGCTGGGCGCCAACGAGCGTCACGGCAACCTCCATGCGGCGCCCTCACCAGCCTACAGGCGGCACCGCAGCAGCCTCCAGGCAGCGCCCACACCAGCCTACAGGGGTCGCCGCTCGCACTGCACCTGCCTCCGCCGCCCCGGGGTGTGAACTGCGCTGTCTGTCGGCCTGGCTACGCTGACCCGGGCAGCCCAGGCCCGCAGCAGCCGGACGAGGAGCCCAGGGCCACTGCCCGGGGTTACGAGAAGGAGCAGGACGGTGCCCCAGAAAAATGCAAGAGCTCAGAGCTAGGGCCCCCGTGCCAGGAAAGGCTAGGAGCAGAAGATGGAGAGATGGAGATGGAGAAGCGGCAGGTGGGAAGGAGCGGCGCTCCACCGGTGGGGTCAGCATGCGCTGGCGGGGCTTAGAGTATGAAGAGGAAGAAGCTGGGCAGAAAGAGCGGAAACGAGAAGGTGCAATGACACAACAGAGCACAATGCAGAATCCAGCCCTAGGACTCCAATAAAGGCTGGGTTTAATTGCAACTCACACACCCCACCCCTAATCAGAGAGGATCAGGGGAGAGAGAGGACCCAAGGAACACTGGAACCTGAAGGGCGGGAATCTGAGGCCAAGACTGATTGTTGGAAATTGTGGGCATCAGGAAAGGAGAAAGTGAGTCAGAATGGGTGGACCGAGGGTGGTGTTGGGGCGGGGGGGGCAGTGAACTGGGTTAGGAAGGATTAGAAATCAGAACCTTAGGAAGGATCCAGAAAGGAACTGTCCTTAAAAAGGTGCATGCTGCGGCTGGGTACTGTGGCTCACGCCTGTAATCCCAGCACTTTGGGAGGCTGAGGCGGGCAGATCACGAGGTCAGGAGATGGAGATCATCCTGGCTAACACAGTGAAACCCCGTCTGTACTAAAAATACAAAAAATTAGCCAGGCGCGGTGGCAGGTGCCTGTAGTCCCAGCTACTTGGGAGGCTGAGGCAGGAGAATGGCGTGAACCCGGGAGGTGGAGCTTGCAGTGAGCTGAGATCACACCACTGCGCTCCAGCCTGGGTGACAGAGCGAGACTCCATCTCCGAAAAAACAAAAACAAAAATTAGCCGGGCATGGTGGCACATGCCTGCAGTCCCAGCTACTCGCGAGGCTGAGGCAAGAGAATCGCTTGAACCAGGGGGAAGGAGGTTGCAGTGAGCCGAGACTGCGCTACTGCACTTCAGCCTGGGAGACAGAGTGAGACTCCTCAGAAAAACTGCTTTCTTCCAACTTACAAAAGCCGGAAGAAGAAAATGTCATTTATTTTCATGGTAGGAGATTTATGCCAAGATTGTACACCAGGTGGAGACCTGTACCAGCTCCCTCTGCTCCCATCTCCCAGAGTTCTAGGAATTTACTCTTGCACACTGGCTCTTTCATGTCTCTTCGACTTTGCCTACGGAGGTCTCTCTGCCTAGCATGCCTTCTCTCCATGTCTCACCATTATCCTCCGGCTTTATTTATTTATTTATTTATTTATTTATTTATTTTTATTGTTTGAGAAAGTGTCTGACTTTACCTTCCAGGCTGGAGTGCAGTGGCGTGGTCACTGTTGACTGCAGCCTCAAATTCCTGGGCTCAAGAAATCCTCCCGTCTCAGCCTCCCAAGTAGGTATGCATCGCCACACCCAACTAGTTTTTTAATTTGTGTGTGTGTGTTTGGTAGAGATGGTAGAGATGTTGCCCAGGCTGGTCTCAAACTCCTGGGCCCCACTGATCCTCCCACCTAAGCCTCCCAAAGTGCAGAGATTACAGGTATGAGCCACCACACACACCCAGCCTCTCCATCTGTTTTATTTATTTATTTATTTATTTATTTTTGAGACAGAGTCTCCCCCTATGCCCCACACTGGTGTGCAGTGGCGCAATCTTGGGTTCACCGCAACATTTGACTCCCGGGTTCAAGTGATTCTCCTGCCTCAGCTTCCAGGGTAGCTGGGATTACAGGCGTGCACCATCATGCCCAGCTAATTTTTCTGTTTTTAGTAGAGACGGGGTTTTGCCATGTTGGCCAGGCTGGTCTCAAACTCCTGACCTCAAGGGATGCACCTGCCTCAGCCTCCCAAAGTGCTGAGATTACAGGCCTGAGCCACCATGCCCTGCTACTGCACCCAGCTACTCAAGGCACATATGGAGCCAACATACTTGACCATCTGCAGGGGTCCACCCAGGGTAGGGGAGCTATGAGCACTGGCGTCGGAGGGAGCCCAGCTTATTGGCCCAACCCCGAGATAGACCCATTTCCCAGTGGGCATAGCACTCCAAGGCTTGTCACTCACAGCCTCTGCAACTCCAAGTCTTGGTATGCCTGAAACCCATACTCCACATGAGCACACCTTCACTGAGCACCTAGTGTGGGACAGATAGGCCAGGGCTGAGCACACAAGAGGAAGGAGACGCAGACTTTGCCTTGAGGAGATCACGTTCAGGCAGGGACAGAATTACTCCAGAGTGTCGCAGGCAAAGGGACCAAAGCCTCGGATTTTCTTTTCTTTTTTTTTTTTTTAATTTTTTTGAGATGGAGTTTCACTCTTGTTTCCCAGGCTGGAGTGCAATGGCATGATCTCGGCTCACTGAAACCTCTGCCTCCTGGGTTCAAGCGATTCTCCTGCCTCAGCCTCCTGTGTAGCTGGGATTACAGGCACCCACCACCACACCCAGCTAATTTTTTGCATTTTTACTAGAGACAGGGTTTCACCATACTGGCCAGGCTGGTCTCAAATTCCTGACCTCAGGTGATCCACCTACCTAGGCCTCCTAAAGTGCTGGGATCTCAGGTGTGAGCCACCGTGCCCAGCCGTCTCCAATAGAAGGAGGCAGAGAGAGGTTTGGCACCCAACAGAAATGAGTTTAAATCTTGGTTCCCCTGGTTCTTGGCTCAAGCTTCTCTGGTGCCCAGTGCCTTCCTATGAAAGGGAATGAGAGGGGTCTGGGGTTGTGACAAAATCATGTTTCTAGTGCTGGGCAAGGTGATATGCACCTGTAATATCAGCAACTCAGGAGCCTGAGGAGGGAGGATTGCTTGAGGTCAGAAATTCAAGCCCAGGCCGGGTGTAGTGGCACACAACTGTAATCCTAGCACTTTGGGAGGCCGAGGTGGGCAGATCACCTAAGGTCAGGAGTTTGAGACCAGCCTGGCCAACGTGGTGAAATCGCAGCTCTACTAAACATACAAAAAGTAGCTGGGCATAGTGGCGGGCAGCTGTAGTCCCAGCTACTCCCAACCTGGGAGGCAGAGGTTGCAGTGAGCCAAGATCGTGCCACTGCACTGCAGCCTGGGCGACAAGAGCAAAACTCCATCTCAAAAAATAAAAAAATAATAATAAATAAAATAAATGAATAAATAAATAAAATAAAAATAAAAATAAATTCAAGCTTAGCCTGGGCAACAGGCTCAACCCCATCTCAAAAAAAAAAAAAAAAAAAAAAAAAGGCCAGGCATGGTGGCTCACACCTGTAATCTCAGCACTTTGGGAGGCCAAGGCAGGTGGATCACCTGAGGTCAGGAGTTCAAGACGAGCCTGGCCAACATGTTAAAATCCTATCTCTACTAAAAATACAAAAACTAGCTGGGCGTGGTAGCACATGCCTATAGTCCTAGCTACTTGGGAGGCTGAGGCAGGAGAATCACTGGAACCTGGAGGCAGAGGTTGCAATGAGCTGAGATCACACCACTGCACTCCAGGCTGGACATCAGAGTGAGACTCTATCTCCAAAAAAAAAAAAAAAAAAAGTAGTCAGGAAGAGACATCAACAAAAATTGGTGATGAATGGGGTAGCAGTGGCACTGGGGACCAAAAGGGAACAGATATTTTGCACTACAATTGTCATCTCGTTTCTTTTCTTTTTTTTTTGAGATGGAGTCTCCCTCTGTTGCCAGGCTGGAATACAGTGGTGCGAACTCGGCTCACTGCAACCTCCGCCTCCCGGGTTCAAGCAATTCTCCTGCCTCAGCCTCCCGAATAGCTGAGACTACAGGCACATGCCACCATGCCCAGCTAATTTTTTTATTTTTAGTAGAGACAGGGTTTCACCATTTTGATTAGGATTGTTTTGATCTCTTGACCTTCTGATCTGTCCACTTCGTCCTCCCAAAGTGCTGGGATTACAGGTGTGAGCCATCACGCCTGGCCAATTGTCATCTCTTTTCACTTTTGAGCACATATGGGTATGCTGTAAAGGAAATTTTAAAATCTCAGGATCCCAGCCCCCCATCTTCTTATGCAAAAGAGAAAGTCATTGTGACACCCTTTTCCAAATGAATAGCTGTTCCTAAGATCATGTAACAGCCAGATAGATGTCCATTCAGCAAGAAAAGGCCTCAGGCATCTGGGAAGGGCTGCGCCCCGTAGATCATTCATAAATAAATTATTTGCTGGCCTCCTATAATCAAGTACATGCCAATGTTAACTTTAGGTCTACAATCTTTTTTTTTTCTTTGAGATGGAGTCTCCCTCTGTCACCGAGGCTGGAGTGTACTTGTGCAGTCTGGGCTCACTGCAACCTCTGCCTCTCAGGCTCAAGCAATTCTCTTGCCTCAGCCACCCGAGTAGCTGGGATTATGGGCGTGTGCCTCCGCACTGGGCTAATTTTTGTATTTTTAGTACAGATGGGGTTTTGTCATGTTGGCCAGGCTGTTTTCAAACTCCTGACCTCAGGTGATCCACCCGCCTTGGCCTCCCGAAGTGCTGGAATTACAGGTGTGAGCCACTGCACCCAGCTGAGTAAATTTCTTGATTGCACAGAATGTATGGTGATATTGGTGGACTTAAGGACATTGAATTGTTTATCAGGAATAAAGTATTATGTGTGTTTTCTGGGGTCCTGGATAATGCTGTAGCATTCAGGGTAGATTGAGTAAAAAAAATGTAGAGATGGTTTCCTAGTTACTTGTTTTTGCTTCTAATTTTCATTCATTTGCTATTTATTCTCTTCTGGCTTTGCTTGTGTATGCATATATATATAACCATTATTATTATTATTATTTTTAGTTTCTAGTGGAAGGCTTTTATTTGGTTCTGTGAATAGTCATTTTGTTTCCTATGTATTTCTAGCAAGTTGTATTCATTCCATTGATCTAGAATTCCTAGGCTGCCTTCGTTGGGCCTGCAGGAATTAATGGAGCATAGCAGCTTTTTATTTTTTATATTTATTTTTTGAGACAGAGTCTCACACTGTCGCCCAGGCTGGAGTGCAATGGTACGATATCAGCTCACTGCAACCTCCACCTCAGAGGTTCAAGTGATTCTCCTGCCTCAGCCTCTGGAATAGCTGTGACTACAGGCACCCACTACCACACCTGGCTAACTTTTTGTATTTTTAGTGGAGATGGGGTTTCATCATGTTGGCCAAGCTGGTCTCAAACTCCTGACCTCAGGTGATCCATCTGCCTCGGCCTCCCAAAGTGCTGGGAGTACAGGCTTGAGCCACACCGTCCAGCGAGTATACTTTCATAAATAGAATTTGAGTCATATTTCTGTCTCTGCCTAATTTCTCCAAAATTTGTAAACTATTTGTGAATATTCTTAATTCATGACAATGTGTTTGTTGGCATACAGTCCAACAGGGTCACCAGGGCCGATCAGGGAGAGAGAGCCTAGAAACTTGACATGTTGGCACTACTGTAACTGCTCAAGGGGTTCACCTTGCCCACTGCCTAGACAGAGCCGATTCATGAAGACAGGGGAATTGTAATTGACCAACATGGTATAATCCTGTCTCTACTAAAAAAATACAAAATTAGCTGGGAATGGTGGTGGGCATCTCTAATCCCAGCTACTTGGGAGCCTGAGGCAGGAGAACCGGTTGAACTCGGGAGGCGGAGATTGCAGTGAGCCATGATCGTGCCATTGCACTTCAGCCTGGGTGACAGAAAGAAAGAAAGAAAGAAAGAAGGAAGGGAGGAAGGGAGGAAGGAAGGGAAGAAAGAGAGAGAGAAAGAAAGAAAGCTGCTAACCCAAGCAGAACAAAAAATTAATTGAATACCAAAAAAACACTTTGCTAAATTTTCATGTTAAAACAGCCGATACCAAAATTGTTTAGATAAACAGTTTGGTTTTTGTTGTTGTTGTTTGTTTTTGTTTTTTGCTTTTTGCTTTTTTGAGACGGAGTCTCAATCTGTCACCCAGGCTGGAGTGCAATGGCGTGATTTTGGCTCACTGCAACCTCTGCCTCCCAGGTTCAAGTGATTCTCGTACCTCAGCCTTCTGAGTAGCTGGGATTACAGGTGCCCACCACTATGCCTGGCTAATTTTTTTGAATTTTTAGTAGAGACGGGGTTTCACCATGTTGGTCAGGCTGGTCTTGAACTCCCAACCTCAGGTGATCCACCCGCCTTGGCATCCCAAAGTGCTGGGATTACAGGCATGAGCCACCACCCCTTTTTTGTTGTTTTTGAAACAGGGTCTCACTCTGTCGCCCAGGCTGGAGTGCAGTGGAGCAATCTCCCCTCACTGAAACCTCCTTCTCCTGGGTTCAAGGGATTCTCCCATCTCCTCCCAAGTAGCTGGGATTACAGGCTTCTGCCACCATGCCCAGCTAATTTTTTGTGGGCTCGCCCAGCCTAGGTATACAATTTGAATGAACTCCAAGGTCTAAGTCAAATTACCTATGATAACCCATTAGGTATCAGTGCTATGCACGTAAACTGGAGAAACAACTGATATTCAGAGCACGCAAGTCCGATGTTAACCATGGACTCATGGAGAATCAAGATGGTCACCTTGTCCTTCCTGACTCCTTAAAGTGTTTGTTATTAAAGGTTCTGCAGTTGGGCGTGGTAGCTCACACCTGTAATCCCAGCACTTTGGGAGGCCGAGGTGGGCAAATCACCTGAGGTCGGGAGTTCAATATCAGCCTCACCAACATGGAGAAACCCCATCTCTACTAAAAATACAAAAAATTATCCGGGCGTGGTGGCTCATGCCTGTAATCCCAGCTACTCAGGAGGCTGAGGCAGAAGAGTCGCTTGAACCCAGGAGGCGGAGGTTGCGGTGAGCCGAGATAGCGCCATTGCACTCCAACCTGGGCAACAAGAATGAAACTCTGTCTAAAAATGAAAAATAAAAGACTCTGCATTCCATGACTCATCATGGAAAAGATAAAATGATCTAAATTAAATATGTATTGGTGTGCTGAATTATAAATTGCTAAAATAGTTCATAACCAATGTTTCGTTTGTCAAATTCATGTTCCTGGGAAGACAATCAAAGCTTCAGGTGCATTTGGCTACCTCATGGGCCATTTGAACATTTCAGTTGTCAATTATCATTTTCAATGCATGTTTTCTGGTTGCTTTCCCATGCAAGAGGGCTGATATTA
Organism: Homo sapiens; assembly: GCF_000001405.40. Classification (NCBI taxonomy): domain Eukaryota; kingdom Metazoa; phylum Chordata; class Mammalia; order Primates; family Hominidae; genus Homo; species Homo sapiens. Next base: position 14,696,061 of record NC_000016.10, on the reverse strand, counting down.
CAACAGTAGATCATTATGGTACAGTGTATTTTCACCAGGTACTGAAAGCTTTTTATGGCTCACTGACTGGGGACAATCAATTCCTTCACAATCTAGAACCAAAGATTGGATCTTCTGAGAACATCAGAGAAAGAATGTCCTTGCCATCCACAATACAGCAAAACTTCAGGACCTTGAACTTTGGGTTCATAATCTCACAAGAGGGAAGTTTTTCGCCAGAAAAAGATGGCATCCTTGATGTGAACAGCTTTTCCCAAGATCACAGATCAAGACTTCTAGTTTTTTTTTTTGAGACAGAGTCATTTTTTTTTTTTTTTTTGAGACATAGTCTCGGTCTTGTTGCTCAGGTTGGAGTGGAATAGCGCGATCTTGGCTCACTGCAACCTCCGCCTCCTGGGTTCAAGTAATTCTCCTGACTCAGCCTCCAGAGTAGCTGGGATTACAGGCGCCCACCACCATGCCCGGCTAATTTTTTTGTATTTTTAGTGGAGACAGGGTTTCACCATGTTGGCCAGGCTGGTCTCGAACTCCTGACCTCAGGTGATCCGCCTACCTCGGCCTCCCAAAGCGCTGGGATTACAGGCATCAGTCACCGTGCCCGGCCTTGTGATAGTGTCTTACTCTGGCACCCAGGCTGGAGTGCAGTGGTGCAATCTTGGTTCACTGCAACCTTCGCCTCCCAGATTCAAGCGATTCTTGTACATCAGCCTCCCGAGCCGCTGAGACTACAGGCACGTGCCACCATGCCTGGTTAATTTTGTGTGTGTGTGTGTGTGTATGTTTGTGTGTGATGGAGTTTTGCTCTTGTTGCCCAGGCTGGAGTGCAGTGGTGCGATCTTCGCTCACTGCAACGTCTGCCTCCCGGGTTCAAGCGATTCTCCTGCCTCGGGCTCCTGAGTAGTTGGGATTATAGGCGCTCAACACCATACCCGGGGAATTTTTTGTATTTTTAGTAGAGACGGGGTTTCATCATGTTGGCCAGGTTGGTCTCCAACTCCTGACCTCAGGTGATCCACCCGCCTCGGTGTCCCAAAGTGCTGGGATTACAGGCGTGAGCCCTGTGCCCAGCCTCAGTGTCTCTCTCTCTCTCGACTAGAGAGACTGACCAGGGACAATCAACTCTCTCCAGACTGACAGAGAGAGAGACAGAGAGAGCGAGAAAGAGACAGAGTCTGGCTCTCACCCAGGCTGGAGTGCAGTGGTGTGATCTTGGCTCACTGCAACCTCTGCCTTCCGTGTTCAAGCGATTCCTGTGCCTCAGCCTCCCAAGTAGCTGGGATTATAGGTCCACACCACCACGCCCGGCTAATTTTTGTGTTTTTAGTAGAGACAGCCTCACCATGTTGGCCAGGCTGGTTTTGAACTCCTGACCTCAGGTGATCCGCCAGCCTCGGCCTTCCAAAGTGCTGGGATTACAGGCGTGAGTCACCGCGCCCGGCCAAATAAAATAAAATGTTAAAGCAAATTCAGGACTACCCCTCCTCCAAGTCTTCTGTTCCCTTTGGGCGCCCAGGTGAGCGGGGGAGGGGCTGGGGGAGTAATAACATCAAAAGAGCGCCTTTTCCTCCCTTATTCCGAGGAGACTTCCCTGGGCCTGACTCCCGGTCCTGTCCCCAGCGCCCCGCGGCCTCTGGAGCCCCTTCAGTGACCAAGATACAGAGATCAGGACGCCTTTGCGCCGCCCCAGGTGCCCGCCCCTAGCTGGCTCTGCTTGGGCCGCGAGGGAAGGTGAGGTCGGGGGCGGAGCCGGGGCGTGACAGCCGGGGTGTGTGTCCGCCGGGCTTGGTGCCTCCGGTGGCCCTGCAGCACCGTCCCACCTCTGCCACCCTCCGATGGGGCCGCTACCTGTGTGCCTGCCAATCATGCTGCTCCTGCTACTGCCGTCGCTGCTGCTGCTGCTGCTTCTACCTGGCCCCGGGTCCGGCGAGGGTGAGTGAGGAAGGGGCTTTCCCGGAACTCAGGCGTTCCGGTATTCCTCCAGCCCTTCCTAGGGACCCAGCAGCCCTGCCTCCCATCCCTCTCCAAGTTCCTAGTTGCCCTAGAGCCCCCAGCTCGCTCTTCTAATGCTCACCCACACGATGCGCCCCAGCCTTCTGCAGGGCCCCCCACTCACTCCTCCCAGGGACCCAGAACTAGCCCAGTCCTTCCCCAGGGGCGCAGAGTCCTCTCCTGGCTCCCTCCCCTAACCGGCTGTGACCCTCTCCGGCAGCCCGGAAGCCTCCCGGTTGTCCTGATCTGGGGTCCGCGAACTTACCCTTCATTCCACCTGTCCCTGAGATGTGAGACACCAGAGGGTGGGAGGAGCAGGGGCAGAAAGGGCCGGCTTGGGGGTGGGAGAAGAATATATTGTGCCCCTGTACAACAAACCCCGGTGACCAAAAACAAAACAAAACAAAACAAAACAAACAAACAAAAAAACAAAAAATAGAACATACTGTCCCTATCTCACTATCCATCCTTTGGGGTCACTGTAGAGAGGTCCCGTGGGTGACTGCCCATTTCTGGGGTGCACAGATACATGTACCCGCAGAGTACTATGCAGACACCGCCAGCACACAGATGCGCAGGCACAGGACCAGCCCCAGACTCACCTGGCCCTCAGGTGTGCGGCTCCCACAGGGAAAAATACTGACATACCGCTAGGGGGACACACGCACACACAGCTCAAGGATACCCGAGACAGCACTCAGGACAATTCAGATGCACCGTGTACACACACACACACACACACACACACACACACACACACACAGAGCAGCACAGACACACATATGTGCGCATAGACCCTGGGGTCACAGGATGGACAGACAGCCCTGGCCCTCCCCCGAGGAGGCTGCAGCGGGCAGACAGGGCAAACAGACCCCAGCGTGACCTGCCACACCTATGTTGGCACAGAGGGAGTGTTTTGCTTGGTTATAAGCACAGTGCTCATGCCTGCCCCACGCCTAGAACCCTCCCTCTATAAGGCTGTTGCTAGGGCTCTGAGATACCAGAGAGTGGTCAGGGACGGTGGCAGGGGAACCTTTGGGGACAGCTTCAGGGTACGGTGTTGGGACTGGGACATTGTCAGGGTGCTCAGACAGGGCGTGTTCCCTGGGTCTTGGTGCATTTAGAGGTCAAGGGACCATTTCTGGAAGCTCACTGTGTGCCAGGGCAGCTTATATCAGAGCTCAGCTCTTTTTTTTTTTTTTTTTTGAGACAGAGTCTCACTGTTGCCCAGGCTGGAGTGCAGTGGTACGAGCTCGGCTCACTGCAACCTCCACCTCCCGGGTTCAAGCGATTCTCCTGCCTCAGCCTCCCAAGTAGCTGGGATTACAGGCGTGCACCACCATGCCCAGCTAATTATGTATTTTTCGTAGAAACAGCTTTCTCCATGTTGGTCAGGCTGGTCTGGAACTGCTCACTTCAGGTGATCTGCCCGCCTCGGACTCCCAAAGTGCTGGGATTACAGGCGTGAGCCACCGCGCCCGGCCCCAAATGCGTTTTACATTTTCTTCCTCTTTGATTCATCTTTGTCCTCCAACATAAATATGCTACTTTTTCCACTGATAAAAAGACAAAATGGAATTTCAATCTGGCCTGGACTTCTCAAAAAAGTCAGTGTGATGAAAACTGTTCTAGATAAAACAGAAATGAGACTGGGCATGGTGGCTCATGCCTGGAATCCCAGCGCCTTCGGAGGCCAAGGCAGGAGAATCACTTGAGGCCAGGAGTTTGTGAACAGCCTGGGCAACATAGTGAGACCCCATATCTACTAAAAATTTAAAAATTAGCTGGGCATGGTGGTGCATGCCCGTATGTCTGGAGACTGAGGCAGGAGGATTGCTTGAGCCCAGGATTTGGAGGCTGCAGTGAACTGATTGTGCCACTGCACTCCAGTGTGGGTGACAAAGTGAGACACTGTCTCTAAAAAAAAAAAAAAGAGAGACAAGATGATCAGGATGAGCGCAGTGGCTCATGCCTATAATCCCAGCACTTTGGGAGGCCAAACCAGGTGGATCATATGAGGTCAGGAGTTCGAGACCAGCCTGGCCAAGATGGTGAAACCCCTTTCTACTAAAAATACAAAAATTAGCTGGGTGTGGTGTCGCACGCCTGTGATCCCAGCTACTCGGGAGGCTAAGGCAGGAGAATTGCTTGAACCTGGGAGGCAGAGGTTGCTGTGAGCAAGATTAAACCACTGTGCTCCAGCCTGGGCAACAAGAATGAGACTGTGTCTCAAAAAAAAAAAAAAAAGATGATCAAACACAATGCGTCAACCTCCCAGAGCTGTATAAACCCTAACCCTAACCCAGGAAGCAGGCAAGCCTGTGTGTGAGTTTCCACTCTATTGCTGGTACTACTCGGCTCTGGCAACCCCGAAGGCCACCTTCCCCTGTTGTCACTGTGTAAGGAGGAAGGAGCACTGGTTTGCAAGTCAGAAGCCTGGGTTGAAGCCTCTGCTCGGGTTCCTGCTGGCTGTGGGAATGTGGGGTTACCTTTCCCGGCTGGCCTCGTTTCCTACATGTCCAATGCAGGGGTTCCAGTCACATGCATTGGGCACCATTACATGTCCAAGCTGTGCCAGGATCTAGAAAAATGGCTGGGCTCAGGCCAAGGGGCCTTCCTGTCTGGCAGTGAAAATAAGAGGAGATACCAAGGGCCCTGAGTCTGAGTCTGGAGGGGAAGTCATGAGCACAGGGCAGTGCCAGGGCCCGGGAGCTGCCACAGAGGAGCCCACCTTGGTGACAGACACCTGTAGGCGCGTCCGTGATGCCCAGTTCCCAACACAGGGAACTGGACAAACGTTTCATGCACGACTCTTTTTTCCCTTCTTGGCTACCTTGAGGACCTTGATTATAATAGTTAGCCTTTTTTTTTTCTTTTTTTGAGACTCTTGCTCTGTCACCCAGGTTGGAATGCAGTGGCAAAATCTTGGCTCACTGCAACCTTCATCTCTCAGGTTCAAGTGACTCTCCTTCCTCAGCCTCCCTAGTAGCTGGGATTACAGGCATGAACCACTATGCTCGGCTAATTTTTGTATTTTTACTACAGATGGGGTTTCACCATGTTGGCCAGGCTGATCTTGAACTGCTGACCTCAGGTGATCTGCCCGCCTGGGCCTCCCAAAATGTTGGGATTACAGGTGTGAGCCACTGAGCCCAGCCGGATTATAATAGCCTTTTCATGCACCAGGGGCTTTATACTCATTATCTCATTTCATTCATATGAGTTGAAGTCAGTTTATCCCCCATTTCACAGATGAGGAAACCAAGGCCCAGAGAGGTTAAGAATTTGTCCAAGGTCACACAGCCAGGAAGTAGGATTCAAACCCAGACAGCCAGGCTGTAACACCTGGGCTCTTCTCAGGCTCATGCCCTTCCCAGGGGTCTGGGAAGCCCTGACCTGCAGCCTGTCACCTTTGTTTACCCCCCAGCCTCCAGGATATTACGTGTGCACCGGCGTGGGATCCTGGAACTGGCAGGAACTGTGGGTTGTGTTGGTCCCCGAACCCCCATCGCCTATATGAAATATGGTTGCTTTTGTGGCTTGGGAGGCCATGGCCAGCCCCGCGATGCCATTGACTGGTGAGTGCATGCCTGGGACCAGGCCACAAAATCCCTCACACTCTGGGGTAGTCAAGGCTTATGAGGAAGTACCCAAAACTGAAGCTGGGGTTTGGTCCAGGGAGATCCCAGTGTGCAGTACTACTTTGCAGGCAGGCAGAGGCCTCTTGGATAACATGGCCAGTGAAGCCAGATCTTGGTACCAGCTGCCCCTTACCCTGGCCTTGAGCTGATGACGTTGCCTTAAAAACTTGGCTAGGAGCTGTGGCTCACTCCTGTAATCCCAGCACTTTGGAAGGCCGAGGTGGGCAGATCACTTGAGGTCAGGAGTTCAAGACCAGCCTGGCCAATATGGTGAAACCCCATCTGTACTAAAAATGCAAAAATTAGCTGTGTGTGGTGGCAGGCGTCTGTAATCCCAGCTACTCAGGAGACCGAGGCAGGAGAATTGCTTCAACCCAGGAGGTGGAGTTTGCAGTGAGTTGAGATTGCACCACTGCATTCCAACCTGGGTGACAGTGCGAGACCCTGTCTCAAAAGAAAAAAATAATAAAAATATAAAGTGACCAGGTGTGGTGATTCACACCTGTAATCCCACCACTTTGGGTCGAAGCAGTAATATCACTGGAGACCAGGAGTTTGAAACCAGCCTAGGCAACATAGTGAGACCCTGTCTCTATATTAAACACACACACACACACACACACACACACACACACACACACACACACACACACACAAAGGAAGCCAGACTATGCACTAGGAACTGCCCTGGGAATCCCTTTGCGTTCTCACAACAATCCCATTTCACAGATGAAGAAACCAAGGCACAGAAATATTCAGTAACGTGTCCAGGTGCGGTGGCTCACGCCTGTAATCCCAGTATTTTGGGAGGCCAAGGCAGGTGGATCACGAGGTCAGGAGTTCCAGACCAGCCTGGCCAACACGGCGAAACCCTGTCTCTACTAAAACTACAAAATTAGCCAGGCATGGTGGCGCATGCCTGTAATCCCAGCTACTCGGGAGGCTGAGGCAGGAGAATCACCTGAACCCAGGAGGTGGAGGTTGCAGTGAGCCAAGATCGTGCCATTGCACTCCAGCCTGAGTGGGATTACAGGCATGAGCCACTGAGCCTGGCCTGGTGAGCTAATTTTTAAATTTGTTATAGAGACAAGAGAGACAAGAGTTTTCTTATGTTGCCCAGGCTGGTCTCGACCCCCTGATCTCAAGTGATCCTCCCACCTTAGCCTCCCAAAGTGCTGGGATTACAGATGGGTGTCACCGCACCTGGCCTCTAAGGAGGGTTTCATTATAAACCTACCCTGAAGGGAGGGAATCCGATTTTATGAGAGGGTGTAGCCTGGTGAGGCCTGGATGACCTCCAGAGGCAGGGGCTTGTGCCTGGGCTGAGGCCTAAGGGTCAATGGGCAGACATGAAGTTGCCCCAGGCAGAGGGTACAGTGTGGGCAAAGTCAGGAAGTGGCAGGGCTTGGATCACTCCAGGAAGAGAGAGGAGTCATGTGTCACAGGAGCTCGAGACCCAGAGAGGGAGGCAGGCAGGCAGGCAGGGACCAAGCTTGGGCACAGCCAGGAAGGCAGGACAGGGCATGGTGGGGCCAATGGAATCATTACCCAAGACGGGGATTTTCAGGGAAACAGCTTAGATAAGGCCAGGTGTACAGTAGCTCCCACCTGTAATCCCAGCATTTGTGGAGGCTGAGGTAGGAGGACTGCTTGAGCCTGGGAGCTCGAGACCAGCCTAGGCAACATAGTGAGACCCCATATCCACAAAAAATTTAAAAAAGGAGTTTGTCTTCCTGTAGTAGCAGACTTGAGAGGTTGAGGTGGCAGTATCACTTGAGCCTGGGAGTTCAAGGCTAAAGTGAGCTGATTGAGCCATTGCACTCCAGCCTGAGCAACAGAGAGATACGCTGTCTCAAAGGAAATACAAATTAAAAAACCAGCCGGGCATGCTGGCGTGTGCCTGTAGTCTCAGCTACTTGGGACACTGAAGTGGGAGGATCGCTTGAGCCCAGGAGTTCAAGGCTGCAGTGAGCTATGATTGTGCCACTGCAGTCCAGCCTGGGCGACAGAGAAAGACCCTGTCTCTTAAAAAAAAAAAAATCTTAGATAAGAGGATGCTGTGCCTCCCTGGGGGTCTTCAGTCACCCATAGTCCTGGCAAGAGAGGAGGGCCAGGAGAGAGCTTCACCCACCTGCTGTCCTGCCCATGTGACATCCGCAGGTGCTGCCATGGCCACGACTGTTGTTACACTCGAGCTGAGGAGGCCGGCTGCAGCCCCAAGACAGAGCGCTACTCCTGGCAGTGCGTCAATCAGAGCGTCCTGTGCGGTGAGTCCCCAGCAGCACCATGCCACCCACCCCGAGTATCCCCTGGGCATCCTGGCATAGCCAGATGACTTCCGTGCCCCTGTTGCAATAACCACTGCTTCCAAGTCTCTATAGACCACCCCTTGGGTATATCTAATGTAAGTGATATTTATTTTATTTATTTTTTGAGTCAGAGTCTCGCTCTGTCACCCAGGCTAGAGTGTGCTGATGTGATCTTGGCTCACTACAACCTCTGCCTCCTGGGTTCAAGCGATTCTCGTGCCTCAGCCTCCCAAGTGGCTGGGACTACAGGCATGCACCATCACGCCCAGCTAATTTTTGTATTTTTTCAGTAGAGGTGGGGTTTCACCAAGTTGGCCAGGCTGGTCTCAAACTCCCCACCTCAAGTGCTCTGCCCGCCTCGGCCTCCCAAAGTGCTGAGATTACAGGCGTGAGGCATGGTGTCTGGCCCTAATGTGAGTGATCTTTAACAATGAGGACTTGAAAAAGAAAACCATGAAGAAACCTAATTATTTGATGTCTGGACGACAAGGAAGAAGATAGAAATGGCATCAGATAATAAACAGTGTAAATGTTTATCAGAAAGAGGCTGGGGGTGGGGACCAGAAGGAGGATCGCTTGAGGCCAGGAGTGCATCTCTACAAAAAAGTTAAAGGATTTTTTTAACATTGGCCAGGCGTGGTGGCACACATCTGTGATCCCAGCTACTTGGGAGGCTGAGGTGGGAGGATCGCTTGAAGCCCAGGAGGTTGAGGCTGCAGTGAGCTGTGATCGAGTCACAGCACTCCAGCCTGTGTAACAGGGCAAAACCCAGTCTCAAAAAAAAAAAAAAAAAATTTTACCTAACCAACCACTTCTAAAGATATATAAAAAAAACCCTGCAATTAAAAATCTCAGGTCCCTCAGGCAATCCTACAAGATTTTGAAACAAAGCAATAACATAAGGACTGTAGTATTTATTTTATTTTTATATTATTTATTTATTGTTTGTTTGTTTGTTTTTGGAGTGTGGGTTTTTTTGTTTGTTTGTTTTTTGATTTTTTTTTGTTTTTTTTTGAGACAGAGTTTTACTCCTGTTGCCCAGGCTGGAGTGCAATGGCATGTTCTTGGCTTACTGCAACCTCCACCTCTTGGGTTCAAGTGATTCTCCTGCCTCAGCCTCCTGAGTAGCTGAGATTACAGGTGCCTGCCACTACACCTGGCTAATATTTTTGTATTTTTAGTAGAGATGAGGTTTTGCCATGTTGGTCAGGCTGGTCTTGTACTCCTGACCTCAAGTGATCCACCCGCCTCAGCCTCTCAAAGTGCTGGAATTACAGGTGTGAGCCACTGCATCTGGCCGTGGTATTTATTTTTAAGATTCCATTTTGGGCCGGGTGCTGTGGCTCACGCCTATAGTTCCAGCACTTTGGGAGGCCAAGGCAGGTGGATCACTTGAGGCCAGGAGTTTGAGAGCAGCCTCAATGGTGAAACCCTGTCTCTACTAAAAATACAAAATTACCCTGGTATGTTGGTGCATGCTTGTAATCCCAGCTACTCGAGAGTCTGACGCAGGAGAATCACTTGAATCCAGGAGGCACAGGTTGCAGTGAGCCGAGATCGTACTCCAGCCTGGGCAACAGAGTGAAACTCTATCTCAAACAAAAACAAAAAGAAATAGATTCCATTCTGATGTATGGCATTTTCCATTTATAGTTTCCCTTCAAATAAATAAGAAAGCTAAAACAATGAAAACAACTAGGAAGTGAGTAATGGTACAGGGAGAATGCAGATAAGGCTTGAGTTTCGGCAGCGAGACTCAAAGTTATCTGAAGAGCTAGTCATGATCCAGACCACTAGTTCCATCCCTTTTTTTCTATTTTCTGTTACTTGAAAATAGACATAACAGGCTCGGCGCTGTGGCTCACTCCTGTAATCTCAAGACGGGCAGATGGCTTGAGCCTAGGAATTCAAGACCAGCCTGGGCAACATGGTGAAACCCTATCTCTACAAATAATATGAAAACTAGCACGGTGTGGTGGTGTGCACCTGCAGTCTCAGCTACTTGGGAGGCTGAGGAAGGAGGATCACCTAAGCCCAGGGAGGCTGAGGCTGTAGTGAGCCAAGATTGCACCACTGCACTTCAGCCTGGGCAACAGAGTGAGAGCCTGTCTCAAAAAAAAAAAAAAAAAAAAAGAGTAAAGAAAAAAAGAGGCTGGGCGTGGTGGCTCACACCAGTAATCCCAACACTTTGGGAGGCTGAGGTGGGCGGATCACGAGGTCAGGAGTTCCAGACCAGCCTGGCCAACATGGTGAAACCACGTCTCTACTAAAATACAGGTGGGTGCTTTTAATTCCAGCTACTAAGAAGGCTGAGGCAGGAGAATTGCTTGAATCCAGGAGGTGGAGGTTGCAGTGAGCCGAGACTGCACCATTGCACTCCAGCCTGGGCGACAGCGTGGGACTCTGTCTCAAAAACAACAACAACAACAAAAAGAAAATAGACATAACACAAAATTAACTATGTTAAAGTGTATAATTCAGTGATACTTAGTATATTCACAATGTCATCCAACCACCACCTAAACTTTTTCATCACTCTGCCTCGAAAAATCCCTTTCCCCTTAAGCAATCCGTTCCCATTCCTCCCTACCACCAACACCTGGTAAACTTACCAGGTTACCAGTTTTCTATCTCTGGATTTACCCTGTCTAGATATTTCATATAAATAGAATCATACACTATGTTCCTGGCTTCTTCACTTAGTATAATGTTTTTGAGATTTGCTCATTTTCTTTCTTTTTTTTTTTTTTTTGACACGAAATCTCACCTGTCACCCAGGCTGGAGTGCAGTGGTGCCATCTCGGCTTACTGCAACCTCCGCCTCCCGGGTTCAAGCGATTCTCCTGCCTCAGCTTCCTGAGTAGCTGGGATTACAAACGTGCACCACCATGCCTGGGTAATTTTGGTATTTTTAGCAGAGATGGAGTTTTACCATGTTGGCCAGGCTGGTCTTGAACTCCTGACCTCAAGTGATCTGCCTGCCTCAGCCTCCCAAAGTGCTGTGATTACAGGCGTGAGCCACCACACCCATCCTGTTCATGTTGTATTAATAGCATGTGTCAGTACGTCATTCATTTTATGGCTGAATAATATCCACTGCATGGATAGATCACATTTCGTTTATCCATTCATTCAATGATGGGCATTTGGGTTGTTTCCACCTTTTGGCTTATGTGAATAGTGCTGCTATGAACATTCATGAACAAATACTTATTTGAGTACCTGGTTTCAATATTTTGGAGTATATACCTAGGAGTGGAATTGCTGGGTCATACGGTAATCCTGTTTTACTTCTTTTGTTGAGACAGGGTCTTGCTCTGTCACCCAGCTTGGAGTACAGTGGCATGATCATGGCTCACTGCAGCCTCAAACTCCTGGGCTCAAACTATCCTCTTGGCTCAGCCTCCTGAGTAGCTGAGACTATAGGTGTGTGGCACGATGCTGGGCTAATTTTTTTGAGACAAAGTCTCACTTTGTCGCCCAGGCTGGAGTGCAGTGGCACGATCGTGGCTCACTACAACCTCTGCCTCCCAGGTTTTAGCGATTCTCCTGCCTCAGCCTCCTGAGTAGCTGGGATTTCAGGTGCCCGCCACCACGCCCAGCTAATTTTTGTATTTTTAGTAGAGACTGGGTTTCACCCTGTTGGTCAGGCTGGTCTCAAATTCCTGACCTCAAGCAATCCACCCACATTGGCCTCCAAAGTGCTGGGATTACAGGCATGAGCCACTGTGCCTGGCCAAGTGCCCAGCTAATTTTTAGCCTTTTTTTTTTTTTTTTTTTTTTTTGAGATGGAGTCTCACTCTTTTTGTCCAGGCTGGAGTGCAATGGCGTGATCTCGGCTCACTTCAGCCTCCGCCTCCTGAACTCAAGCTATTCTCCTGTCTCAGGCATGCACCACCACGCCCGGCTAATTTTTATATATTTTTTAGTAGAGACGGGGTTTCACCATGTTGGCCAGGCTGTCTCGAACTCCTGACCTCATGATCCATCTGCCTTGGCCTCCCAAAGTGCTGGGATTACAGGCGCGAGCCACCACGCCCCGCCATTTTTAAACTTTTTGTAGAGATAAGTTGCCCAGGCTGGTCTCAAAATCTTGGCTTCAAGCAATCCTTCTGCCTGTCTGCCTCTGAAAGTGCTGGGATTGCAGGCATGAATCACCATGCCCAGTTAAGAGTTCTTTATATACTGTGGATACTGACTCTTACCCGATATGTGATTTGCAAATATTTTCTCCCATTATGTAAGTTGTCTTTTCACTTCCTTGATAGTGTCTTTGCACAAAACTGTTTAAGTTTGATGAAGTTCAATTAATCTGTTGTCTTTTGTTGCTCGTGTTTTTGGTGTCCTTAGAATCCACTGCCAAATCCAAAGTTATAAATATTTACCGTTAAGTTTTCTTCTAATAGGTTTATCATATTTAACTCTAATATTTAGGTCATTGATCCATTTTGAGTTAATTTTTGTCTACGGAGTGAGGTAAGGGGTTGAACTTTATTCTTTTGCATGTTGTTATCCAGTTATCTCAGCCCTCTTGGTTGAAGAGACTCTTCCCCATTGAATCATCCTGCTACCTTTGCTGAAAATCACCGCCAGGAGTGGTGGCTCACACCTGTAATCCTAGCACTTTGGGAGGCTGAGGCGGATGGATTGCCTGAACTCAGGAGTTCGAGACCAGCCAGGGCAGCACGGTGAAACCCCATCTCTACTAAGATACAAAAAAAAATTAGGCGGGTGTGGCAGCATGCTCCTGTAGTCCCAGCTACTCAGGAGGCTGAGGCAGGAGAATTGCTTGAACCTGGGAGGTGGAGATTGCAGTGAGCAGAGATTGCACCACTGCACTTCAGCCTGGGCAACAGAGCAAGACTCCATCTCAAAAAAAAAAAAAACAAAAAAAGAAAGAAAAAGAAAATCACTTGGCTCTAGATGGAGGAGGATTTCATCACTTTGAGCTAATAATTTGACTTCTCTTAACCCCAGCTTCCTTACCTGTAAGATAGGTGTTGTGAAGATGAGAAAAGATTTGTAAGATGAGAAACAGATTTTGTTTTTGTTTTGAGATGGAGTCTTGCTCTGTCGCCCAGGCTGAAGTGCAGTGGCACGATCTCTGCCCACTGCAAACTCTGCCTCCTGGGTTGAAGTGATTATCTTGCCTCAGCCTCCCAGGTAGCTGGGATTACAGGCCCCTGCCACCACACCCAGTTGATTTTTGTATTTTTAGTAGAGATGGGGTTTCACCATGTTGGCCTGGCTGGTCTCAAACTCCTAACCTCAGGTGATCTGCCCACCTCGGCCTCCCAAAGTGCTGGGATTACAGGTATGAGCCACCATGCCCAGCTGAGAAACAGATTGGATGGGAATTTTTCTTCTATCTCCTCCTCCTATCTTTATCTGAACTTCTCTCTGACCCCTGCTAACTCCTGGAGAGAATCAAAGATCTGTTCCAACTCTTGATTAAAACTCCAGGTTCTGCTGACTTGGTCTGCTCTGGTGGCAAAGAGGCTATTGTAAGCGTTATTAGAAGTATGTTTTTATTTTTATTTATTTTTTGAGACAGAGTCTTACTCTGTAGCCCAGGCAGGAGTACAGTGGAGTGATCTCAACTCACTGCAACTCACTGCCTCCCAGGTTCAAGTGATTCTCATGCCTCAGTCTTCTGAGTAGCTGGGACTAGAGGTGCACACCACCATGCCCAGCTAATTTTTTTGTATTTTTAGTAGAGACAGTGTTTCACCATGTTGGCTAGGCTCGTCTTGAACTCCTGATCCATCCGCCTCGGCCTCCCAAAGTTTTGGGATTACAGGCACGAGCCACCGCGCCCGGCCTACTTGAAGTATGTTTTTAGATCTTCAGCTATATATTCTTACTACGGATTAGAACTTGGCATAAGAGCAAAGCTGAATTAATATGATGATATAATCAATTTTTAGGCCTGAACATGCCCCAGGTATCTATCATCTCATCCAACCCTCTCATTTAGAGTTGGGGAAACTGGCTGGGCATGGTAGCTCATACCTATAATCCCAGCACTTTGAGAGGCCAAGGCAGGAGGATAGCTTGAGCCCAGGAGTTCAAGACCACCCTGGCAGCATAGAGAGACCCCATCTCTACAAAAGACAAAAATAAAGGGGAAACTGAGGCTCAGGGAGAGTAAGTGACTTATTCCCAAAACTGCCCCCTTCTGGTGTGGGTGATGAGGAGGTGAAATGAGGCTTCAGTGGGAAATCTGTTGAAAATCTTTCCTTTCTCCCTTCAACTTGCCTATTCTGCTTGCTCCTACCCAGGTGAAAATGATATTTATAAAATATTGGTGTGTCTGTTGGTAGAGTCTGTGCCTGTTTACAGAACTGTCTTCTCTGAACCAAATGAAAGGAACTAAAATATCTATTATGCATTTTGGACTAAAAATATTATCTTATTCTGTTTGGAGATATTCTGAACATAGTTGTTTATTTAATTACAGGTTTGGCCCATTTTCCATTTATGGGCCTGACTTAAATATATTAAAAAAAATTTAAACCTATAATAATATTTACTAGCAGGCCTTAATTTTAAACTTAAGCCTCGGGAGCTATTCTTCCTTTCAAATTTTTATTCTTCTTCAAAATGTGATGCCATCGGGTTCCTGAGATCATGGAGCAGTGGGGCCAGGTCTTGCTGTTGGCGGAATCTTTGTTGCTCAAGGAGAAAAGTAAGAGGACAAGCAGAGGCGTTGTTGGGTCAGGAGACCCTGGGCTGGAATCCTGGTCCACACCTTCCCAGTTCTGTGACCTTGGATGAGTTACCGAATTCCTGTAAGCCTCACTTTCCTCATCTGTAAAATGGGAATAACAGACCAGAGTTGCTGGGGTTGTGTGAGCATTGGAGATTGTATATGGCTTTGCTTTTCTTTTCCCTCCTCTCCCCTCCTCTCTCTCTCTCCCCCCTCCCCCTTTTCTTTTCTTTTCTCTTTTCTTTTCTTTGAGATAGAGTCTCACTCTGTTGCCCAGGCTGGAGTGCAGTGGTGCTATCTCAGCTCACTGCAACCTCCACCTCCCCGGTTCAAGCCATTCTCCTGCCTCAGCCTCCCAAGTAGCTGGGACTACAGGCGCACCACCATACCCAGCTAATTTTTTTTTGTATTTTTAGTAGAGACGGGGTTTCATCATGTTGGCCAGGCTGGTCTTGAACTCCTGACCTCAAGGGATCTGCCCACCTCAGCCTCCCAAAGTGCTGGGATTACAGGCATGAGGATGAATGGCTTTTCTAAGGCTTTTCTCTGGTCTGTCAACAAATATTACTGTGAGTCTACTCTGCCGGGCTCCATGCTAGGTTTTGGGCAAGGCAGAGCCACGAGGTATTGTTAAAAAGGAGGAGACAGGGAAGTAGTGTGTGCGCCAAGTGCTTTGTAACTATTGTGTTGAGAGATAAAGCAGGTGAATTACTATACCTGCTACAACATGGATGAACTTTGAAAATATGATGGGCTGAGTACGATGGCTCCCACCTGTAATCCCAACACTTTGGGAGGCCAAGACAGAAGTATCACTTGAGCCCAGAAATTTGAGACCAGCCTGGGCAACATAGCGAGACCCTGGCATAGTAGCGCATGCCTGTAGTTCCAGCTACTCGGGAGGCTGAGGTGGGAGGATCACTTGAGCTCAGGAGGTCCAGGCTGCAGTGAGCCGTGATCATGCCACTGCATTCCAGCCTGGGTGACAGAGTGAGACCCTGCCTCAACAAAAAAGGCCGGGCACAGTGTCTCACGCCTGTAATCCCAGCACTTTGAGAGGCTTAGGCTGGTGAATCACTTGAGGTCAGGAGTTCGAGATCAGTCTCGCCAACATGGTGAAACCCCGTCTCTACTAGAAATATGAAATTAGCCGGTCGTGGTGGCAGGTGCCTGTAATCCCAGCTATTCGGGAGGTTGAGGCAGGAGAATTGCTTGAACCTGGAAGACAGAGAGGTTGCAATGAGTGGAGATCATGCCACTGCCCTCCAGCCTGGGCGACTGAGTGAGACTCTGTTTCAAAAAAAAAAAAAAAGAAAAGCAAAAAGAAAGGAAGAAGAAATACAGCATCGAGTGAACAGAGCCAGACATAAGAGGTCATGTATATAGGCTTTCTGTTGCTATGTTAGGAATACAAAAAAGAGGTCACGTATATCATATGACTTCATTTATATGAATTGTCCAGAATAGGCAAATCCACAGAAATAGAAAGTAGACTAGTGGTTGCTGGGAATGCAGAAGAGTGGGAACGGGGAGCGAATGCTTAAAGAGAGTTGGGTTTCTTCTGTGGTGACCATCTCGATCTGTCACCCAGGCTGGGTGCAGTGGCATGATCACAACTCACTGCAGCCTCAAAATCCTGAGATTAAGGGATTCTCCTGCCTCAGCCTCTCAAGTAGCTGGGACTACAGGCACGTGCCACCATGCTGAGCTAATTTTTGTATTATTATTATTATTATTATTTTTTTTTTTTTTTGAGGTGGAGTCTTGCTCTTGTTGCCCAGGCTGGAGTGCAATGGCATGATCTCGGCTCACTGCAACCTCCGTCTCCCGAGTTCAAGTGATTCTCCTGCCTCAGCCTCCCTAGTAGCTGGGATTACAGGCATGTGCCACCACACCTGGCTAATTTTTGTATTTTTAGTAGAGATGGGTTTTCTCTATGTTGGCCAGGCTGTTCTTGAACTCCTGACCTTGTGAACTGCCCGCCTCGGCCTCCCAAAGTGCCGAGATTACAGGCACGAGCACCACGCCCGGCCTGTATTTTTTGTAGAGATGGTGTCTTGCTATGCTGCCTAGGTTGGTCTTGAACTCCTGACCTCAAGCAATCCTTCTGACTCAGCCTCCCAAAGTGTTGAGATTACAGCCCTAAGCCACCATGCTCAGCCTGGGGTGATAACAGTGTTTTAGTACTAGATAGGTGCCCAGCATTGTGAAGGTACTAAATGCTACTGACTGTACATTTTAATATGGTAAATTTTAGGTTGTGAGAATTTTGCCCCAATAACAAAAAGCAGGAGTGCATGGTGAGGATTTCTCTGTTACTGAGAGTGGTTGGGGTGAGAGAAAGTCTCCCGGAGACACCAATGAAGCAGAGACCTGAGGAACAGAGGAGACAGCCACGTGGAGGTGATGCAACAGCCAGTGCAAGGGCCCTGGGGTACGCACAAGTGTCTGGGTGGTCTGAGGATCACAAGGAGTTCGGTGAGGCTGGAGCAGAGTCCCCCAGAGTGACAGAAGTAGGGGATGATGTCGGAGAGTGATAGGGGCTAGATTCCTAGGGCATTGGAGGCTCTTCTCTGAGAGAGATGGGGAGCCAAGGAGGGTTTTGAGCAGGGGAGGGACATGACCTGATTTGCATTTTTTTTTTTTGAGACAGTCTTGCTCTGTCACCCAGGCTGGAGTGCAGTGGTGTGATCTCGGCTCACTTCAACCTCTGCCTTTTGGGCTCAAGCGATCCTCGCACCTCAGCCTCCTGAGTAGCTGGAATCACAGGTATGTGCCACCATGCCCTGCTAATTTATGTACTTTTAGTAGAGATGGAGTTTCACCATGTTGGCCAGGCTGGTCTCAAAATTTCTGACCTCGGGTGACCCACCTACCTCGGCCTCCCAAAATGTTGGGATTACAGGCGTGAGCCACCACACTCGGCCTTGATATGTATTTTAACCAAACTACTCTGGTTGCCATATGGTACAAACCCAGGAGAGGGAAAGGGTGGAAGCTGGATGTGGCTATCAGGCTGTTGCAGTGGTCTTGGAGAGAGGTGGCTTGGGCAGGGGGTGGCAGTGAAGATGGTGGAAGGGGCTGGCTTCTGGACAAATCTGGCTGGATGGAACTGCAGGAGTTGCCAGTGGATGGGTGAGGGTGTGAGGGGAAGAGGAGCTGGCTGGGGTATTTGTCCCCGTCGCCCTGTAGCTGACCACTCTTCTGTCCTTGGACAGCCGGCCTTCAGCCAGCCCTGTATGCCACCCTGGGGCTATAGCCAGGAAGCTACAGTGGCTCCTTCCTCAAGAGTCCCCTCCCCACTACATCATATTTCTCTGAGGGTTTCTGTTGTGCAGCAGCCCATGGAAAGCTTACAGGCAGGAAGGCTTGTTCCTGCACTGGCTGGTTCTATGACTAATTTTCGCACATATTATGTTTATCCATTCATCTGTCTCGCCATCTATTCATCCATTATCCATTCACCTATCATCCATCTATCCATCCATCCATCATCCATCCATTCATTCTTCCATCTATCCATCCATCCATCCATCCATCCATCCATCCATCCATCCATCTATCCATCCATCACCCATCCATCCAATTTCCATCCATCCATCATCCATCCACCCATCTTCCATCCATCCACCCACCATCCATCTATCCAGCCATCCATTGTCCATCATCCATCATCCATCCATCCATCCATCCATCCATGGGGAGTGCCTGCTTGAGGGGAATGGGGTTTCTTCTGGGGTGATAAAAATGTTTTAGAACTCCGGGCGCAATGGCTCACGCCTGTAATTTAGGAGGCTAAGGCGGGCAGATCACGAGGTCAAGAGATTGAGAGCATCCTGGCCAACATGGTAAAACCCGGTCTCTACTAAAAACACAAAAATTAACTAGGCGTGGTGGTGTGCGCCTGTAGTCCCAGCTACTCGGGAGGCTGAGGCAGGAGAATCGCTTGAACCCAGGAGGCGGAGGTTGCAGTGAGCTGAGATCGTGCCACTGCACTCCAGCCTGGCAACAGAGTGAAACTCCGTCTCAAAAAAAAATGAAAAGTTTTAGAACTAGATAGATGCCCAGCATTGTGAATGTACTAAATGTCACTGACTTGTACACTTTGAAATGGTACATTTTGTGTTGTGAGAATTTTGCCCTGGTAACAAGAAGCAGGAGTGCATGATGAGGGATCCATCTATCCCACCATTCATTCAACCATTCATTTGCATACTTTTTCTGATTCAAACCCAATACATGTTTGTTATGAAAAATTAAAACATTCCAGAAATATTCTTTTGAAAATTTTTACTTATTATTTATTTCAGTAGCCTTAGGGGTACAAGTGGTTTTTGGTTACATGGATGAATTGTATAGTGGTGAAATCTGAGCTTTTAGTGCACCCATCACCCAAGTAGTCTACATTGTACCCAATACATAGCTTTTTATCCCTCCCCACCTCAGTCTCCAATGTGTCCGTTATACCACTCTGTATGCCTTTGTGTACCCCCCATAGCTTAGCTCTCACTTATAAGTGAGAACATACAGTATTTGGTTTTCCATTCTTAAGTTTCATCAGTTAGAATAAGTGACGTAACTTCCTTGCAATCCCTATCAAAATACCAACATCAATTCATCCAAGTTGCTTCATCCAGCTTCATCCAAGTTGCTGCAGAAAACATTTTGTTCTTTTTTATGGCTAAGTAGTATTCCATGGTGTATATGTAACCACATTTTCTTTTCCTTCTTTTTTGAGAAGGAGTCTTGTTCTGTCACCCAGGTTGGAGTGCAGTGGCGTGATCTTGGCCCCCTGCAACCTCCACCTCCTGGGTTCAAGCGATTCTCCTGCCGTAGCCTCCCAAGTAGCTGGGACTACAGGCATGCGCCACCACGCCTGGCTAATTTTTGTATTTTTAGTAGAGATGGGGTTTCACCATATTGGTGAGGCTGGTCTTGAACTCCTGACCTCGTGATCCGCCCACCTCGGCCTACCAAAGTGCTGGCATTATAGGCGTGAGCCACTGCACCCAGCCACCACATTTTCTTTATCTGCTCATTGGTTGATGGGCACTTAGGTTGGTTCTATATCTTTGCAATTGTGACTGTGCTGTGATAAACAAATGCGCGCACGTCTTTTTGATATAATGATTTATTTTCCTTTGGGTAGATACCTAGTAGTGGGATGGCTAGAAAGAATAGTAGATTTACTTTTCGTTCTTTGAGAAATCTCCATACTGTTTTCCATGGAGGTTGTGCTAACTGATCTTAGCACCAGCAGTCTAAAAGCATTCTTTTTTCATCACATTCAGGTCAATGTCTATTTTGACTTTTCAATAATGGCCATTCTGGCTGGGGTAAGGTAGTATCTCATTGTGGTTTTAATTTGCAGTTCCCCGATGACGAGTTATGTTAAACATTTTTTCATTTGCTGGTCATTTATATATATTTTGAGAAATGTCTATTCATGTCATGTGCCCACTTTTTTTTTTTTTTTTTTTTGAGTCTTGCTCTGTCACCTAGGCTGGAGCGCAGTGACATAACCTCAGCTCCCTGCAACCTCTGCCTCCCGGGTTCAAATGATTCTCCTGCCTCAGCCTCCCAAGTAGCTGGGATTACAGGCATGAGCCACCACACTAGGCTAATTTTTGTATTTTTAGTAGAGACGGGGTTTCACCATGTTGGCTAGGCTGGTCTCGAACTCCTGACCTCATGATCTGCCCACCTTGGCCTCCCAAAGTGCTGGGATTACAGATGTGAGCCATCGTGCCTGGCCATGTGCCCACTTTTTGATGAGGTTTTTTCTTTTCTTCTTGCTGATTTGAGTTTTTTGTAGATTCAGGATATTAGTCCTTTGTCAGATATGTAGTTTGCAAATATTTTCTCCCATTCTGTGGGTTGTCTGTTTACTCTGATGATTACTTCTTTTGCTATGCAGAAGCTTTTTAGTTTAATTAAGTCCTATTTATTTATTTTTGTTTTGTTGCATTTGCTTTTGGGGTCTTAGTCATAAATTCCTTGCCTAGGTCAATGTCCAGGGGAGTTTTTCCAAGGTTTTCTTCTAGAATTCTTATGGTTTCAGGTCTTAGATTTAAGTCTTTAATCCATCTTGAGTTGATGTATATGGTGAGTTTTGTAGATGGTGAGAGATAGGGATCCAGTTTCATTCTTCTACATGCAGCTCTTCAGTTTTCCCAGTACTATTTATTGAATAGGGTGTCATTTCCCCAATTTATGTTTTTGAGTGTTTTTTTTTTTTTTTTGAGATGGAGTTTCACTCTTGTTGCCCAGGCTGGAGTGCAATGGTGCAATCTCAGCTCACTGCAACCTCCTCCTCCCGGGTTCAAGCGATCCTTCTGCCTCAGCTTACCAAGTAGCTGGGATTACAGGCATGTACCACTACGCCCAGCTAATTTTGTATTTTTAGTAGAGACGAGGTTTCTCCATGTTGGTCAGGCTGGTCTCAAACACTGAACCTCAGGTGATCCGCTTGCCTTGGCCTCCCAAAGTGCTGGGATTACAGGCATGAGCCACTACGCCTGGCCTTGAGTGCTTTGTTGAAGATCAGTTAGTTGTACGTGTTTAGCTTTATTTCTGGGTTTTCTATTCTGTTCTGTTGGTCTATGTATCTACTTTTATATTAGTACCATGCTGTTTTGGTTACTATAGCCTTGTAGCATAATTTGAAGCTGGGTAGTGATGCCTACAGATTTTTTCTTCTTTTCTTTTTTTTTTTAGATGGAGTCTCTCTGTCACCCAGGCTGGAGTGCAGGGGGCATGATCTCAGCTCACTGCAACCTCTGCCCCCCAGGTTTAAGTGATTCTCCTGCCTTAGCCTCCCGATCAGCTGGGCTTATAGGCACACACCATCATGCCTGGCTAATTTTTGTATTTTTAGTAGAAATGGGGTTTTACCATGTTGGCCAGGCTGGTCTCGAACTGACCTCAGGTGTTCCACCCACCTCGGCCTTGCAAAGTGCTAGGATTACAGGCGTGAGCCACTGTGCCCAGCCTATTTGGCTCTTTTTTAGTTCCATGTAAATTTTAGGATTGTTTCTTCTAATTATGTGAAAAATGATGTTGGTATTTTGATAGGAATTGCATTGAATCTGTAGATTGCTTTGGGTAGTATGGTCATTTTCATTACATTGATTCTTCCAATCCATGAGCATGGGATGTATTTCCATTTGTTTGTGTCATCTATGATTTCTTTCGGCAGTGTTTTGTAGTTCTGTTTGTAGAGATCTTTCACCTTCCTGCTCAAGTATATTACTAGGTTTGGGGTAGCTATTTTCCTTTTTTTTTTTCCAGCTATTATAAAAGGGACTGAGTTCTTGATTTCATTCTCAGCTTAGTCCTTATTGATGTATAGCAGTGCTACTGGTTTGTAACCTGAGACTTTATTGAATTCATTGGTCAAATCTAGGAGTCTTTTGGAGGAGTCTCTAGGATTTTCTAGGTATATGATTGTATCATTGGCAGAGGTAGTTTGATTTCCTCTTTTCCCATTTGGATGCCCTTTATTTCTTTCTCTTTCCTGACTGCTCTGGCTAGGACTTCCAATACTTTGCTGAATAGAAGTGGTGAGAGTGGGCATCCTTGTCTTGTTCCAGCTCTTGGGGGAATGAATGCTTTCAACTCATCCCCATTCAGTATGATGTGGGCTATGGGTTTGTCATCTATCACTTTTATTATTTTGAGGTATGTTCCTTCTATGCCTAGTATATTGAGGAGAAGTATGTTTCTTTAAAAAAAATATTATTATGGGCTGAGAGTGGTGGCTCGTGCCTGTAATCCCAGTACTTTGGGAGGCTGAGGCAGGTGGATCACTTGAGCTCAGGAGTTCAAGACCAGCCTGGCAATATGGCAAAACCCCATCTCTACTAAAAATACAAAAATTAGCTGGGCATGGTGGTGGGCCTGTAGTCCCAGCCACATGGGAGGCTGAGGTGGGAGAATGGCTTGAGTCCAGGAGGCGGAGGCTGCAGTGAGCCACAACCTTGCCACTACACTCCAGCCTGGGTGACAGAGACAGACCTTATCTCAAAAAATAAATAATTACTATTATTATTTTTAAATAAAGGAATCCCCAAATGAAGTCGTGTAATATCAGGCCAGGCATGGTGGCTCACGCCTGTAATCCCAGCACTTTCGGAGGCCGAGGTAGGTGGATCACCTGAGGTCAGGAGTTCGAGACCATCCTGGCCAACACGACGAAACCCTGTCTCCACTAAAAATACAAAAAAAATTAGCTCGGTGTGGTGGCCTGTGCCTTTAGTCCCAGCTACTTGGGATGCTGAGGCAGGAGAATCACTTGAACCCGGGAGGCGGAGGCTGCAGTGAGCTGAGATCATACCACTGCACTCCAGCCTGGGCGACAGAGCAAGCCCCCATCTCAGAAAAAAAAAAAAAAAAAAAGAAAAGAAAAAAGAAATCGTGTAATATTGATGCAGAAGAGCAGTATGGCAGACTTTGGACTCTCCATTTGAAACTTTCAATTTCCTTTTCTGTAAAATGGGGCTGACATCACCTGCTTCCTGGGGAGCCCTGCAGATGGAGATCACGTGGTGGGCTGTCAAGTGTCTCAGAAATGTAATTTATGACCCGTCCTGCCTCTTGCTTTACTGGTTTCCCTTGAGTCTCTCCAGGTCCCTGCTCTAATCTCAGTTTCCCCACTTCTTCCAGGACCGGCAGAGAACAAATGCCAAGAACTGTTGTGCAAGTGTGACCAGGAGATTGCTAACTGCTTAGCCCAAACTGAGTACAACTTAAAGTACCTCTTCTACCCCCAGTTCCTATGTGAGCCGGACTCGCCCAAGTGTGACTGACTACCTTGACTTGAAATGCTCTTTTGCACAAGGAAATAAAGCGTCCTCTCAGTAATGAACAACAGCATTCAGTTATTTGCAGAAGGGAACCGAAGCCAAGTGATAAAGCCACAACCTTGTGTTTGCTTTCCCTCCCAATCCCAGAACTCAGGACTGGAGCCCATGTGGTTTGCAGTTAAAGGCCAAAAGTCCTGCACCTATTTTATAAAACTATGACTGTGTTTATCACTGTGTTGGGGTCGGTTCCATTTTTGAGGTTCCATCTTTATGAAAAGATAACCTGTCTTCTAACCTGCTTGGATGGCTGGTAGTCAAATGTGAACGAACACCTACCGTGTGCCTGGCCATGTTCTATGTTCTAGGCTGCAGCAATCAACAAGATGGCCATACAACACCCACCCGGTGAAGTTCAAGTCCAGTAGCTGTTAGCTTAAGAAAGAGTATTCCCTTATCCCACTACACCTTAAAATGTATTTGCTGTCCTGCAGCGTTGGCTCATTTCTGTAAGCCCAGCACAATGATTACAAAAGTGGTACATACTTGTTGCTTCTTAAAAAAATGAAAGTGCAGAGAAATATAGAGCAGAAAGAAAAATCACTCCAATTCCCACAATTCAGAATAATCTGTTAGGATCTATAGTTTTAAAAATGTAGTTCAAGGCCGGGTGCTGTGGCTCACGCTTGTAATCCTAGCACTTTGCGAGGCCAAGGCACGTGAATCACAAGGTCAGGAGTTCGAGACCAGCCTGACCAACATGGTGAAACCCCGTCTCTACTAAAAATACAAAAATTAGCCAGGCGTGGTGGCACGCGCCTGTAATCCCAGCTACTCAGGAGGCTGAGGCAGGACAATCACTTGAACCCAGGAGGTGGAGGTTGCAGTGAGCAGAGATTGTGCCACTGCACTCCAGCCTGGGCGACAGAACAAGACTCTATCTCAAAAAAAAAAAAAAAAAAAAAAAAAAAAGGGTAGTTCAGATTATACTGTATGATGTTTATAAACTTTTCTCCATGTCATAAAAAATCTTTGGAAACTTCATTTAAAATGTCTGTGTTAGGGTTGGATGAGGTGGCTCATGCCTATAATCTCAATACTTTGGGAGGCTAAGGAGGGAGGACTACATGAGGACATGAGTTCAAGACCAGCCTGGGCAACAGAGCAAGACTCTATCTGTATAAAACAAAAAAAATTAGTAAGGCATGGTGGCATGCACCTGTTGTCCCAGCTACTCGGGAGGCCGAAGAGGGAAGATAACTTGTGCCTAGGAGTTCAAAGTTGCAGTGAGCTATGATTACATCACTGTACTCCAGTCTGGGCAACAGAACAGGACCTTGACGCAAATAAATAAATAAATAAATATCTGTATTAGATACCATTTTATAGATTGACAGTTTTTGGATATTGGAGCTATTTTCTGTTTCCATTAGTTGCTTGATGAGGATGCTTGTAAATAAATCTTCACCACTCCCTTCCCCATAACCTATTCCTTAGCCCAGATTTGCAGAAATGGCATTTTTGGATCAAAGGATCTGAATATTTTTTGAGACAGGGTCTCCCGCTATCACCTAGGCTGGAGTGCAGTGGTGCAACCTCAGCTCATTGCAGCCTCGACCTCCTGGGCTCAGGCAAATCTCACTTCAGCCTCCCAGGTAGCTAGGACTACAGGTGCGTACACTCACATCTGGCTAGTTTTTTTATTTTTAGTAGAGATGAGGTTTCCACATGTTGTCTAGGTTGGTCTCGAACTCCTGGGCTCAAGTGATCTGCCCACTTCAGCCTCCCAAAGTGTTAGGATTACAGGTGCGAGCCACCACACCCAGCCGGGTCTGAGTATTTTATTTTTATTTTGCATTTTTCGGAGACAGAGTCTCACTGTGTCGCCCAGGCTGGAGTGCAGTGGGGCAATCTCGGCTCACTGCAACCTTTGCCTCCCGCGTTCAAGCGATTCTCCTGCCTCAGCCTTCCGAGTAGTTGGGATTACAGGTACTGCCACCACACCCAGCTAATTTTTTGTATTTTTTCCCCCTGAGATGGAGTCCTGCCCTGTCGCCCAGAGCTGGAGTGCAATGGTGTGATATCGGCTCACTGCAACCTCCACCTCCTGGGTTCAAGCAATTCTCCTTCCTCAGCCTCCCAAGTAGCTGGGATTACAGGCACACGCCACCACACCTGGCTAATTTTTGTATTTTTATTAGAGATGGGGTTTCACCATGTTGGCCAGGCTGGTCTCGAACTCCTGACCTTGTGATCCACCCTGCCTTGGCCTCCCAAAATGCTGGGATTACAGGTGTGAGCCACTGTGCCCTGCCAATTTTTTGTACTTTTAGTAGAGATGGGGTTTCACCATGTTGGTCAGGGTGGTCTTGAACTCCTGACCTCAGATAATCCACCCACCTCGGCCTCCCAAAGTGCTAGGATTACAGGCATGAGCCACTGCATCCAGCCTGGACTATTTTAAGACACCCCCTTTAGATGTACCCATCCTGCTATGATTGGTAAGAAGAGGTAGAGGCAGCCTGTGGCCCCTGATCTGAGTGTGCCCGTCCCTCCTGCTGGTGATAAGGAGTAAGGTCCTGCCCAGCCTGTTTGCTCTACGCCATGGCTTTGCCCCAGTCCCTGAGCAAATCTGGGTATTACTCATCTTTGAAGCAGGGTGTGGGAGCAGGTGGCGACAATGTGAGAGGCCATGGGGTGGAGGTGGATGGCCCAGGCCCAGCTCTGCCAAAGCCAGCCAGCGCCAACTTGGTGTTTTGCCAGCCATCCTCCATCTATTCACCTGTAAAGGATACTGGCAACCCCTGGGTGGCATGAGACCAGGGATATGCAAACACTGCCATGTGAGTGTCCATGGGAGGTCACAAGCATTAAATAGGTAAAGTCAAGCAACCCTGGGGCTTGATGTGCAAACACGAGCAGGAAAAAACCCATTTTCCCTTAGGGTGGCTCCTCGGCTCAGTATCTGCGTCAGGCTGGGGGATTTAAGCATGACTAGACTGACTAGATGACTTTTTTTTTTTTGAGACGGAATCTTGCTCAGTCACCCAGATGGAGTGCAGTGGCATGATCTTGGCTCAATGCAACTTCTGCCTCCTGGGTTCAAGTGATTCTCCTGCCTCAGCCTCCCAAGTAGCTGGGACTACAGGTGCGCACCACCGTGCCTGGCTAATTTTTGTATTTTCAGTAGAGACGGGGTTTCACCATGTTCGTCAGGCTGGTCTTGAACTCCTGACCTCAAGTGATCCATCCACCTTGGCCTCCCAAAGTGCCGGGATTACAGGCGCGAACCACCACGCTCGGCCCATGGCTAGAAGATTCTATCCGGCAATGCAGAAGTTTTGTGTTTTCTAGACAATTGCTTTTTCTCTACATATAGGTTTTATCTATATAGAAATCTTTATTTTTATTTCAAGTAATTTCTTCGAACTTCCAGATGCAACTTTTGAGTAAAATTTTCACTCAAAGATACAAAGGGTTAATGAATGGTTCATGGAGTCACAAGATAATATTTTGGATGTAGGCCTATTTCTGCAAGGCCTGTCTTCCAAGATGACATCTCACACCTGCTGTGTTCACACTGGAAGGAAATAAAAGGCCATAGTTCACTTCATGCCATATTTATAACTATAGCGCTTGGTGTAATTATACCTGCTGTATTATACATCAGGATAGGACAATAAAGATTATATAGTGTGAGCTCAATTTACAAAACATTTCCTTGAACAAAACGACTATCCCGGAATTTATTTTACAGATGATTTTTTTTTTTTTTTTAAGACAGAGTCTCCCTCTGTCACCCAGGCTGAAGTGCAGTGGTGCAGTCTCCCTCCCTGCAACCTCCGCCTCCTGGGTTCAGGCGATTTCCAATTCCAAGTAGCTGGGATTACAGGTATGTGCCATCACACTTGGCTAATTTTTGTATTTTTAGTAGAGATGAGGTTTCACCATGTTGGCCAAGCTGGTCTTGAAGTCCTGGCTTCAAGTGATCCGCCTGCCTCACCCACCCAAAGTGCTGGGATTACAGGGGTGAGGTATCACCAAAACAATTCTGAATAACATGAAGGCCACTAAATCTAATGGGAACTGCCCGACATCCCTCTCAATCTCTCCATTCAGAGAAAGGGATCCAGACCTTCAATGATTTCCATAAAGCAAAACAAAAGCCCAGTGACTACAAGTCTAACCATCATTCTAGGCTCAAACTGAATCCTTTGAGTTTTACTCTGAATCCTAGCAACTCTTCAATAAGACAGAATTGTTGATTGAATTTTGGGTTTTCTTCGGTATTTTTTATGTGCAACTCTCTATGCCTATGACAGAATCTTATCCTTGTTTTCCTAAACTTGACTTAGAGGACAGGCCAGGCCCCAATAAACCTGGTCTCAGGCTCTGAGATCCGGATCCTCTGTCAGTCACTGAGGTTGGGGAGGGGACTGATGTGGCACCCTTCTGATGTCACCCACACCATGTCCACTGAGGACCCTGAGTCTTGCCAGCCGTTGGGGACTGAGCCTCCTAGTCCCTGTGAGGAAGGTGGCTGGGTGGGAAGGGCTGCTGCTGTGTCAGCCAAACAGACAATCCTCCCTGTGCGGATGTCAGTCCTTGCTCGTGCCACCCACAGGCTGAGGGGGAGAGGACATGGTTGGAGCTTTTGATATACAAAGCAGCACCTTGTTTTACTGAGGGTAGAAAATAGGAAGTCCGCTCCCTGCCTCACCCCTCTTAAGCATCAAAGCTCAGACGTCAGCGGGACTTGAAGAGTCTCAGCCTGGGCAGTGCCAGTCACAACACCTGGGTTTCCAGCCGCCGGAGTTCCTTGACCACAAGATCAATGTTAATAATTGGGTTAAAGTACAGGGCCCAGTAAAACAAACAGTTGCAAACAAACTGAGGGATGAGGGGCCAGAACATGGCCACAAAAAGCCCCTGCGTTGATACTTTCCAGAAATGGCTCCACATCCTCTGAGGCACGGTCCTGAAACAAGAAGAGAAGAGGCTGAATCGGAGGCGCTTCTCATGACCACACCCAGGAGTCCGGGCCCTGGGCCTTTTCTGGGTGCTGGGAAGAGCATGGCTGCCCGTGCTGAATGTCCTTGTCTTCTGTCCCCGGTGCCTGAGACCTCTGCCTACTCAACCCATCTTTTAACTCTCAAGGACATGACCTACAGGGAGCTTCTTTGCCCCCACACTGGGCAAGGCCTCCCTGTGACAGCCTCAACTTCACCTGCTTCATCACTTTGTTACATTTACATATTTTTTTTTCCTTTTGAGACAGGGTCTCATTCCTTTGTCCAGCCTGGGAGTGCAGTGGTGCAAATGTGGCTCAACTGCAGCCTTGACCTCCAGGTCTCAAGTGATCCTCCTGAGTAGCTGGGACCACAGGCACACATCACCACATCTGGCTAATTATTATTATTATTATTATTATTATTTTAAGTAGGGACAAGGTCTCGCTATGTTACCCAGGCTGGTCTCAAACTCCTCGGCTCAGGTGATCCTCCACCTCAACCTCCCGAGTAGCTGGGACTACAGGTGTGCACCACCACGCCCAGTTAATTTTTTGTATTTTTAGAGACAGGTTTTGCCACGTTGCCCAGGCTGCACTTGAACTCCTGGTCTCAAGCAATCCTCTCACCTCCCAAAGTGCTGGGATTACAGGCATGAGCCAAGGTGCCTGACCATCTATTTTTTAACGTACATATTTTCTTTGCTAGGCTGTAGGGCCTCACACTATAGACTGTCTTCTTTACCAAAAGATCTGCCATGCCCAGGAGAGAACCAGGAGTACAGTAGGGGCATAAATATGCATATTGTATATAAATAAGTGAGTTTGCTAAATGGAAAGAAATGAGGGAGATTCTTTTTTTATTTTTACCTAGTGAGTCACCATTGGAAAGGTGAGGGAGATTGTTAGGTTCTCAGAACCATTCATAAGGCTGCGAGTCAGAATGTCAAGGTAAAAGGCTGCAAGGGTGGCAGTGTTACTTCTGCCTGTCCCTTTCTTCTGGAAATAGCTTCTAAGTTTTTGGGGGTTTTTTGAGATGGACTCTCGTTTTGTCGCCCAGGGTGGAGTGCAATGGTGCAATCTTAGCTCACTGCAACCTCCACCTCTCTGAGTTCAAGCGATCCTCCTGCCTCAGCCTCCCGAGTAGCTGGGATTACAGGCACCCACCGCCACGCCTGGCTAATTTTTGTATTTTTGGTAGAGATGAGGTTTCACTATGTTGGCCAGGCTGGTCTC
The DNA here is from genome assembly GCF_000001405.40 of Homo sapiens. Lineage (NCBI taxonomy): Eukaryota > Metazoa > Chordata > Mammalia > Primates > Hominidae > Homo > Homo sapiens. The sequence goes on along the minus strand of NC_000016.10, from coordinate 14,666,368 downwards.
GAACTCCTGACCTCAGGTGATCCACCTGCCTTGGCCTCCCAAAGTTCTAGGATTACAGGCATGAACCACTGCACCTGGCAACAGCCTCTAAGTTTTGGGGATTCTCTCTCCTTTGTTCTTTTCCATGTGGTCTGGGTAGGGCTGAAACCAGCCTCTGGTTGTGGGGTGAACTCATGCCTCAAGCCTGGGTCCATCAGAACAAAGGCATGTGAGCCCTGAGACCTTTTCCAGTGCCACAGGGAAGGAAGTGCTTTCTTTCTGGAGGTTTGTTAAGCTGCACAGATCAAAGTCTGGAGTGGAGAAGACAAGGGCCCCCACATGAAGAGAGATGCCTGAGGCAGAAAACACAAGAAAGAACAGTGCTGTGAGGGACAGAGAAAGAGTCAGTACTGGTGACAGCGTTTGGGTCTCAGGGTCCAGTCATGCTTGAAGCCTAAGTTATTATTATCCTAGTTGGTTACAGATCAGGATTAGAACTCATGCCTACAGAATTTCCCATGAGATCTCTTTATGCTCTACCTTACTGCATTTTCTATAAAGCACCCTGTGGAGGCCAAAGCAACTCTATATTGGATGCTAATCTGCCATATTGACTTCTCACTAACTCCGGTTTGGGGGAAGCCTCTAAGATCTCTGGTTTTATCTAATGTTTCTTGTGTAAGAGCACGTACATCACGTAAATCCTGCCCTTTGGTGAAACAGCCTTGATGTTCTCTTACTTACCATAGATCCCGACCCTAAGCAATTGTTCTGCACATCCCTTCTGAAGCATGTATGCCCCTTCCCTATGTATACAAGCCCTGAGTCTGGGGATCCACCATCTTGTCTCGCTACCATCCAAGACACAGACAGGGCTTCTGTTGGCAAGGCCTTATTAAGTGTTTCTTTCTGAGAAACTGAATTTGCCAGCTTCTTCCTTCAGCCCCTCAGCTTCCTCTGATTTAGGGGATAGGTTTGCACAGGCCTGCCTACCTTAAAACAGACCCTTTTCTATTCAGTTGCTTATTCCTTGATTATTACAATCCTTTGCCCCCCTCCCCCTGAAATTAAATGGTATATTATTGCATAGAGATAAGACATATAGGAAAATACTTTTAACAATGAGCACCACAACCCCCACCCCCAAAACACAGGTAATTGTCCTATTCACTGCTTAAGCTAGGTTTCTCAAAGCAGAGTCTGAAGGGTCTGGGTGGATGGAGGATTTATTTCAAGTGTGAGAAATAAAAGAGGATCTTTCTCTCACTTGGTATTTCTTTCCCATCCCCTGTTGTGACAACCATTAAAACATACTTACTTCAGTTCACTTCTCGACCAGATTCTCCAAAAGGAGAATAATTCCAGAACTGAGAGTAACATAGCATTGATGATGAGAAACCGTGATGTCCAGTAATGGACCTCCAACCAGTCCCAAGCAAACTCAGCAATCAGCTGGTATGGAAGGAAGGAGTATTTGACCAGGAACTCTCTCCACTGCTTCCACGTAGGCTCCTTAAGATCCTTAAAAAATAACACACAGACGCAAAAAGTCATGAGGACTGACTTTTACACAAAATATTGTGATGATCAGGCTAGGCACGGTGGCTCACACCTGTAATCCCACCACTTTGGGAGGCCTAGGTGGGCGGATCACCTGAGGTAAGGAGTTCAAGACCAGGCTGGCCAACATGGTGAAACCCCATCTCTACTAAAAATTCAAAAATTGGCCAGACGTGGTGGTGTGTGCCTGTAATCCCAACTACTCTAGAGGCTGAGGCAAGAGAATCACTTGAACCCGGGATGTGCAGGTTGCAGTGAGTTGAGATCGCACCACTGCACTTCACCCTGGGTGATAGAGGGAGACTGTGTCTCAAAAAAAATTGTGATGATCACAGTGAGTTCTACATTGATTACCACACACACACACACATCCAACAATCTAAAATGAAATTTCCATCCATCAACTCATCTTGTAATTGTTTTTTTTTTTTTTTTTTTTGAGACGGAGTCTTGATCTGTTACCCAGGCTGGAATGCAGTGGTGCCATCTCGGCTCACTGCAGCCTCCACCTCCTGGGTTCAAGTGATTCTCCTGTCTCAGCCTCCTGAGTATGTTCTCGTACTTACCATAAATCCCGACCCTAAGCAATTGTTCTGCACATCCCTTCTGAAGCATGTATGCCCCTTCCCTATGTATACAAGCCCTGAGTCTGGGGATCCACCATCTTGTCTCGCTACCATCCAAGACACAGACAGTGCTTCTGGGATTAAAGGTGTATACCACCACGCCCGGCTAATTTTTGTATTTTTAGTAGAGACGAGGTTTTGCCATGTTGGCCAGGCTGGTCTTGAAACTCCTGACCTCAGGTGATTTGCCCGCCTCTGCCTCCCAAAGTGCTTGGATTATAGGAGTGAACCACCGCACCCGGCCGTAATTAATCTCAAATTAAGTAAATGTTAGCAAAAAGGTTGAAATGAAATGCTTGTCATATAATTGTGGAAGCTCAGAAAAAAAAAAGCATGAATTATGAATACATTGAAATAAATTTAAATTAACCAGTTATTCTCCCATCAAGCTACCCAAATGGTAGCTTGAACCATTTCCTAAATTCAACATTGGCTATGGTAGAATAATGGTAGTTTCTGGGAAAATTACAAACACTCCCTCCTCCCTCCAAAAAAAGGTAATTTTTTTTGTGATGGCAGGAGGAGAAGCTTTTCAATTACACATATTAGCAGATAAAAAATTAGCCTGATGATGGCCAGGTACAGTGGCTCACGCCTGTAATCCCAGCACTTTGGGAGGCTGAGGAGGGCGGATTACGAGGTCAGGAGATCAAGACCATCCTGGCTGACACAGTGAAACCCCATCTCTACTAAAAACACAAAAAATTAGCCGGGTGTGGTGGCGGGCGCCTGTAGTCCCAGCTACTCAGGAGGCTGAGGCAGGAGAATGGCATGAACCCGGGAGATGGAGGTTGCAGTGAGCCAAGATTGCGCCACTGCACTCCAGCCTGGGCGACAGGGCGAGACTCTGTCTCAAAAAAAAAAAAATTAGCCTGATGAACAGGCAGAGGCTGTTGGAGCTCGTTAAAATTGAAGGGCTGGGTGCCAGGTGCAGTGGCTCACGCCTCTAATCCCAACACTTTGGGAGGGCAAGGTGGGAGTAAGGGAGGAGACCACCCCTCATGTTGTCTTATGCCCAATTTCTGCCTCCAAAGAAAGAAGTAAAAACTAAAAGGCAGAAATGAAATCCACAGGCAGACAGCCCGGCGCTGCGCTCTGGGCCTGGTAGTTAAAGATCGACCCCTGACCTAACCAGTTATGTTATCTATAGATTCCAGACATTGTATGGAAAAGCACTGTAAAAATCCCTGTCGTATTCTCTTCTGTTCTGATTACCGGCGCATGCAGCCCCCAGTCACGTATCCCACTGCTTGCTCCATTGATCACGACCCTCTCATGTGGACTCCCTTAGAGTTGTGAGCCCTTAAAAGGGACAGGAATTGCTCACTCGGGGAGCTCGGCTCTTGAGACAGGAGTCTTGCCGACGCTCCCGGACAAATAAATCCCTTCCTTCTTTAACTCGGTGTCTGAGGGGTTTTGTCTGCAGCTCTTCCTGCTACAGGAGGATGGTTTGAATTCAGGAGTTCAAGACCAGGCTGGGCAACATGGTGAAACCCTGTCTCTGCAAAAAATGCAACAATTAGCTGGGTGGTGGTGCTCGCCTGTAGTCCCAGCTACTTGGGAGGCTGAGGTGTGAAGATCGCTTGAGCCCAGGAGGTCGAGGCTGCAGTGAGCTGTGATTGTGCCACTGTACTCCAGCCTGGGAGAAAGAATGAGACCCAATCTCAAACAATCAATCAATAAATAAAATTAAAGGTCAGGGTCTCTGCACAGCCAGTCTGGTGAGGTAAACAGCAAGTGGAGACTGGGTAATTAGGGGAGGAATGTGCAAGGGAGCCGATTAGCAGGCTTCAGACTATATTCAAGGCTGAAACCAGTTAGCCAGCACTTGATTGTAGTGTTTACAAGGGTCTTTGGGGGAAAAAAAGGATCTCTGGAGATTTCAAAATTCTGTGTTATTATTTATGGGTGTGGATGATACTTGATGATTCCTCTATGCATGTGACTTGATATGAACAGGTCAGAAGTACTGGCCCCAAGAGAAGCAAAGCAAAGGATATTACTCTCAAATGACCTACCAGACATTCTGAAGGAGTTCATGGGTCAAACTGAAGAAACATGGCACCCATGGTGGGTAGCAATCTCTGCAAATAACTTGACAGTGGAATAACTTTATTCCAGGCACTGTGCAGACCTACCAGAAGCTTGGTGACGATGTCCTCCCCAGAGCTGTCTTCTTGCAGAGGGCAGATGGTGTGGATGAAAGGTAGGAAGGTGTCGGTGTAGTCAAACAGGTACAGGTAGAGCAGACTCAGCCTGGGGGAGCTCTTGAGGGCGTATAGCAGGAACAGGGACCTGCCTGGGTTCACAGCCTGCAGAGGAGAAGAGTACAGGGCCACATTACAACCATGGCGGCCAGCTACCCACCCACGCTCCTTCCCATCTCTCGCTTGTTGCCATCAGCCTTTTTGCATGGTACACACAATGCATGAATGAATGAACGGCAAGAAGAGGCCAAGTGATCCACATTTGGGGTTACATTGTATAAAGATTCGATCTTGGCGGAGCATGGTGGCTCACGCCTGTAAATCCCAACACTTGGGAAGGCCGAGGTGGACGGATCACTTGAGGTTAGGAGTTTGAGACCAGCCTGGCCAACATGGTGAAATGCTGTCTGTACTACAAATAAAAAAATTAGCTGGGCATGGTGGCTCATGCCCTGTAGTCCCAGCTACTCAGGAGGCTGAGGCTGGAGAATCGCTTGAACCTGGGAGGTGGAGGTTGCAGTGTGCCGAGATCATACCACTGCACTCCAGCCTATGCAATACAGTGAGATTCCAGCTCAAAAAAAAAAAAAAAAAAAAAAAAAAAGATCCAATCTCTAGCTCTAGCTGGGGGGAGGGGTGAAAAGCATACTCTTGCACCCTGCTTGCAGAATATAGCCTTTTTAAAAAGCTATTTTGAAAAAGGTATCAAAGAGTCTTAAAATTGTTTAATTCAATCAGTCTGTAAGTGGGCACCACTTAATGCAAATAATCTGAAATACAGATTTTATATACAAGATGTTTAGTACTACACTGAGTGTAATAGTGAAACCAGTGAAATCTACAGTTACAGCAGATACTTAACATGGAATTCACATAGCCATTTTCATTTTCTTCAGTTTTTTAAATCAAGTTTTACTACAGTGAATGTTTACTTCCTTATTATAAAAGTAACTGAATAGATTATTCAGGGTAAGCGTGGTGGCTCACGCCTGTAATCCTAACACTTTGGGAGGCAAGAGGATTGCTTGAGGCCAGGAGTTCAAGACCAGCCTGAGCAACAAAGCAAGACCCAGTCTCTTAATTTTTTTATTTTTTTGAGACAGAGTCTTGCTCTGTCGCCCAGGCTGGAGTGCAATGGTGCATTTTTGGCTCACTGCAACGTCTACCTCCCAGGTTCAAGCAATTCTCCTGCCTCAGCCTCCCAAGTAGCTGGGATTACAAGTGAGTAATGCCACGCCTGGCTAATTTTTGTATTTTCAGTAGACACTGGGTTTCACTATGTTGGCCAGGCTGGTCTCGAACTCCTGACCTCAGGTGATCCACCTGCCTCGGTCTCCCAAAGTGCTGGGATTACAGGTGTGAGCCACCACGCCTGGCGTAAGACCTCGTTTCTTTAAAAAAAAAAAAAAAAAGGCCGAGTGCGGTGGCTCACACCTGTAATCCCAGCACTTTGGGAGGCCAAGGCAGGAGGATCACCTGAGGTCAGGAGTTCGAGACCAGCCTGACCAATATGATGAAACCCTGTCTACTAAAAATACAAAAATTAGCTAGGCTTGGTGGCATGTGCCTGTAATCCCAGCTACTCGGGAGGCTGAGACAGGACAATCACTTGAACCCGGGAGGCAGAGGTTGCAGTGAGCCAAGATCTTGCCATTGAAATCCAGCGTGGGCAACAAGGGCAAAACTCCATCTCAAAAAGAAAAAAGATTCAATTTATTTGATTCTTAGTAGCATCAAAATAAAATGAGCAGTTTACCACAGAAGATATAAGGATGGCAAATAAGCATGTGAATGTGAATTAAATGAGAAATGCAAATTAAATCCCCAGTGTCCAGTGGAGATCACTGCATCCTTGTTGGAATTGGGAGGGCTGGGAGGGAAGGCTTAACAGGGGCAGGAGGAAACTTCTGGGAGTGACGGAGATGTTCCCCATCTTCATCGTGTGATGCTTTCATGGGTGTGCATATGTGAAAACTTATCACATCGTACACTTTAAGTAGGTGTATATCAATTTTACCTCAATAAAAACTGTTAAAACATTCAATTTAGCTGATGCTATGAATAACTTACTGTTAGATTTTTAAAAAGTGTGATGATGATTGCATTTTTAAAAAGATTCTTTCTCTTTAGAAATGTATACTATAGAGACCGGGCGTGGTGGCTCAGCCTGTAATCCCAGCACTTTGGGAAGCTGAGGCAGGCAGATCACCTGAGGTCAGGAGATTGAGACCAGCCTGGCTAAAACGGTGAAATCCCGTCTCTACTAAAAATACAAAAAATTAGCCGGGCATGGTGGCGGGTGCCTGTAGTCCCAGCTACTGGGGAGGCTGAGGCAGGAGAATGGTGTGAACCCAGGAGGCGGAGCTTGCAGTGAGTGGAGATTGCGCCACTGCACTCCAGCCTGGGCGACAGAGTGAGACTCCATCTCAAAAAAAAAAGAAGTATACTATAGAGGCCGGACATGGTGGCTCACGCCTGTAATCCCAGCACTTTGGGAGGCTGATGCAGGCAGATTGCCTGAGGTCAGGAGTTCGAGACCAGCCTGACCAACATGGTGAAACCCTGTCTCGACTAAAAATACAAAAAAAATTAGCCGGTGTGGTGGTGGGCACCTGTAGTCCCAGCTACTTGGGAGGCTGAGGCAGGAGAATCGCTTGAACCTGGGAGGTGGAGGTTGCAGTGAGCCAAGATCATGCCACTGCACTCCATCCTGGAGGCAGAGCGAGACTCTGTTTCAAAAAAAAACAAAAAACAAAAAAAAACAAAAAAAACCAAATTGCATACTACAGGCTGGGCATGGTGGCTCACGCCTATAATCCCAGCACTTTGGGAGGCTGAGGCGGGTGGATCACCTGAGGTCAGCAGTTTGAGATCAGCCTGGCCAACACGGTGAAACCCCGTCCCTACTAAAAATACAAAAAATTAGCTTGGCATGGAGGCGCACACCTGTAGTCCCAGCTACTCAGGAGGCTGAGGCAGGGGAATCGCTCGAACCTGGGAGGTGGAGTTTGCAGTGAGCTGAGATCGCGCCATTGCACTCCAGCCTGGATGACAAGAGCAAAACTCCATCTCAGAAAAAAAAAAAAAATCATAATTACTATTAATTGGTGGAGGGGTGTACAATGGTGATATTGTAATTTTGTCTTTTGAAAAGTCCTTACTTTTCAAGCAGGACATGGTAGTGATACAGGAGTGAAGAAGAAGTTACTTAGGCAGATAGTGAGGGTAAGGGAGCCCTCATTAAGGTTTTCCTTTTTTTTTTTTCAGATGGAGTCTCGGTCTGCCACCCAGGCTGGAGTGCAGTGGCACAATCTTGGCTCACTGCAAGCTCCGTCTCCCGGGTTCACGCCACTCTCCTGCCTCAGCCTCCCCAGTAGCTGGGACTACAGGCGCCCACCACCACGCCCAGCTAATTTTTTTTTGTATTTTAGTAGAGATGGGGTTTCACTGTGTTAGCCAGGATGGAGGTTTTCCTTTTAATGAAAAGCAGCCTCAAATCATTTTCCTTTCTAACAAACAGCAGCCTGTAAAATGGAACTGCAGACACAGATGCTGGCAGTTATGTCAATCATGTTCAAGACAGAAGCTCCATCTTCCCTTCTCTTTGTCAGCCACATGTACAGTACAGTAAGGAGCAGACAAGATAGCACCAGCCAAGGGGACAGAAAGTTCCTTTGCATAATAAGATTAGGGTGGGGTGACCACCCTTCCTGTGCACTGTGGAAACATCATACCTGATCGAACCAATCTGTGAGCCCTATGTAAATCAGACACCGCCTCCTCAAAACTGACTAAAAAATCCAGCACATCTGCTGCCTGCCAGTCTTTTCCTCTTGGAAGTCCCCTCTCTCTTGCTAGAGACAGAGCTGTTTTCCTTTCTCTTACTTTTGCCTATTAAACCTCTGCTCAACTCTTGTGTGTCTGTGTCCTAAATTTTCCTGGTGCAAGATGACAAACCCCAGTTCCCCAGGCAATGTAGCTGCTTCAGTAGCCTGTGCCTGTAGCCCCAGCTACTTGGGAGGTTGAGGTGGGAGGATTACTTGACCAGGAATTTGAGACCAGCCTGGGCAACATGGTGAGACTCCATTTCAAAAAAAAATTTTTTTTTAAGAGATTAATGCTGAAATATTTACCTATGAAAAATATGGCAGCTTGGCTGGGCGCAGTGGCTCACGCCTGTAATCCCAGCACTTTGGGGAGGCTGAGGCGGGCAGATCACCTGAGGTCAGGAGTTCAAGACTAGCCTGGCCAATATGGCAAAACTCCGCCTCTACTAAAAATACAAAATTAGCTGGGCATGGTGGCACCTGCATGTATTCCTAGCTACTCTGGAGGGTGAGATATGAGAATTGCTTGAACCTGGAAGGCAGAGGTTGTAGTGAGCTAAGGTCGCACCACTGCACTCCAGTCTGGGAAACAGTGAGACTCTGTCTCAAAAAAACAAAAACAGGTCAGGCGCGGTGGCTCACACCTGTAATCCCAGCACTTTGGGAGGCCGAGGCAGGCGGATCACAAGGTCAGGAGATCCAGACTACCCTGGTTAACATGGTGAAAGCTCGTCTCTACCAAAAAATAAAAAAATTAGCCGGGCACGGTGGTGGGCGCCTGTAGTCCCAGCTACTTGGGAGGCTGAGGCAGGAGAATGGCGTGAACCCAGTAGGCAGAGCTTGCAGTGAGCTGAGATCGCGCCACTGCACTCCAGCCTGGGCGACAGAGCGAGACACCCTCTCAAAAAACAAAACAAAACAAAACAAAAACAAAAACCAAATAACACAAAAAATAACAAACATTCTATTTCAGGAGCTCCACGCACATTCTTTACAATATTTGAAACTAGTTATTAAAGTAATACACGCACATATTACAGAAGCATTTTTTATTTCTTTCTTCATTTGAGACAGTGTCTCACTCTGTCACCCAGGCTGGAGTGCAGTGGCACCATCTCAGCTCACTGCAACCTCCACCTCCTTAGTTCAAGCAATTCTCCTGCCGTAGCCTCCTGAGTAGCTGGGATTATAGGCATGCACCACCACACCTGGCTAATTTTTGTGTTTTTAGTAGAGATGGGGTTTCACCATGTTGGTCAGGCTGGTCTGGAACTCCTGGCCTCAAGTGATCAGCCTGCCTCGGCCTCCCAAAGTGCTGGGATTACAGGACTTTGTTCCTTATGGATTACAGGACTTTGTTCCTTATTAACACAAAGTCTTTGTCTCCTTTTCCGGTGGCTGCCTACATGGGTGTGCCTTGTTTATTCAACTTGTTCCTAATGAGGGGCACTTAGGTTGTTTTCTACTCCCTGCAATTACCAACAATGCTGCCGTGAATAACTTGTTTAACAACTTTCCGTTAATCAAACATTGGAGTCTCACAATGACCCTCTAAGGTTATTTACCCAGGAGGAAACAGGCAAGGAGAGGTGCAGGTACTTGCTGGTGTTCCAACAGGTGGTGTGTCTTGGAGGAGCTGGCCCAGGCAGGCTAGTGCCAGGGCCTTTTTTTTTTTTTCTGAAACAGGGTCTCAACTCTCTTGCCCAGGCTGGAGTGCAGTGGTTCGATCATGGTTTAGCGCAGCCTCAGCCTCGCAAATGGCTGGCATCACCACACTCAACTAATTTTTTTTGTGTCTGTACTTTTTGTAGAGATGGGGTCTTGCCATGTTACCCAGGCTAGTCTTGAACTCCTGAGCTAAGCAATCCTCCCACCTCAGCCTTCCAAAGTACTAGCATTATAGTTGTGAACCACCATGCCCAGCCCACAGCGTTACTCTTTTTGTTTCTGTTCTTTGCTTTTTTTTTTGGGACGGAGTCTTGCTCTGTCCCCTAGGCTGCCATGCAGCGGTGTGATCTCGGCTACCGCAGCCTCAACCTCCCAGGTTCAAGCATTTCTCCTGCCTCCAAGTAAATGGACCTACAGGAGTGTGCCACCACTCCCAGCTAATTTTTGTGATTTTAGTAGAGACGGGGTTTCACCACGTTGGCCAGGCTGGTCTCAAACTGCTGACCTCAGGTCATCCCCCCGCCTCGGCCTCCCAAAGTGCTGGGATTACAGTTGTGAGCCACGGTGACCAGCCCAGAGCCTCACTCTTGACCACCGTGCTGTGCTGCCTCCATTCCAAGTGCAAAGGAGTGAAATGCTGGCTTAAAGAGCAGATGCGGTTTAAACTGAAATGTTATTGACAAATTGTCCTCCAGTGATATTCCAACAATTCAAGGTCCCCAAAACATGTAAGTGTCTCTTTCCTTATTTATTTGTAAAACAGGCCAGGCGCGGTGGCTGACGCCTGTAATCCCAGCACTTTGGGAGGCTGAGGTCAGGAGGCAGGTGGATCACCTGAGGTCAGGAGTTTGAGATCAGCCTGGCCAACATCCTGAAACCATCTCTACTAGAAACATAAACATTAGCCTGGTGTGGTGGCGTGTGCCTGTAATCCCAGCTGCTGGTGAGGCTGGGGTAGGAGAATCGCTTGAACCTGGGAGGTGGAGGTTGCAGTGAGCCAGAAAAAAAAAAAAAAGAAAGAAAAAATTAGCTGGGTAGGGTAATCCCAGCTACTCTGGAGGCTGAGGTAGGATAATCACTTGAACCTGGGAGGCAGAGGTTGCACTGAGCTGAGATTGCGCCATTGCACTCCAGCCTGGGCGACAGAGAAGGACTCTGTCTCAAAATAAAATAAATAAATAAATAAGTACATAAACTGTCAAAAATAAAAAAGAAAACCCTGAAATTAAAAAAAATTAACAAAAAATAAAAATAAAAAGTAAAAAAAAAAAAAAAAAATTAAAGTGTTCACCTTATATTCCCAGAGATTCTGGGGGGGCTTCACGCCTAATGCTTTGACACGTTCTAGCTCCATGAGGATGGCTCTCCTGTGGCTGCTGTTTTCTATGGTATAGGGCGTCTTGGAAAATTCTTCCTCTGTCAAAGTTAAAAGCAACCTGTAGAGGGGCAGGAGGAGATTTATTTTGCGATTATATACTGGAAGCAAACTCTCTACACTCAGAGTTCCATCTTACTAATATAAATATTGTAGGCTTGAGGTATGGTGAGACATTTCACATTTAACAACATCAAGAGCAGCAAATAATTGAATGCTTACTATTTACCAGTGACAATCTATAAATACTTTCATAAGTCATCACTGATCCATATAACAATTATTCAGGGTAGTGGCATTATGCTGCTTTTGTAGATCAGAAAACTCGCTTTGGCTGGGTGCAGTGGCTCATGCCTATAATCCCAGCTCTTTGGGAGGCTGAGGCAGGCAGATCACTTGAAATCAGGTGTTTAACACCAGCCCAGCCAACATGGTGAAACCACGTCTCTACTAAAAGTACAAAAATTAGCGTGCACCTGTAATCCCAGCTACTTGGGAGGCTGAGGCATGAGAATTGCCTGAACCTGGGAGGCGGAGGTTGCAGTGAGCTAAGATCTCGTCACTGCCCTCCAGCCTTCAGCCCAGGCAACAGAGTGAGACTCCATCTCAAAAAAAAAAAAAAAAAAAAAAAAAGGAAAACTCACTTAGAGAAATAAGGTGACTTTCCCAAGGCACTCCTAGGTCTGTTTTGTTCCTAAGCCTTTGATCTTTCAGTTATACGCTCTGACCTCTCACATATTACTCTATTTTTATTTATTTTTTTATATTACTCTATTTTTAAAACTGTGTGTATGTATAGGAAAAATTAGAAGGAAATCCAATAAAACATTACAACATTAAGAATAGTTCGCACTTTGGGAGGCCGAGGCGGGCAGATCACGAGGTCAGGAGATCAAGACCATCCTGGCTAACACGGTGAAACCCCGTCTCTACTGAAAATACAAAAAATTAGCCAGGTGTCGTGGCAGGCGCCTATAGTCCCAGCTACTCGGGAGGCTGAGGCAGAAGAATGGCGTGAACCCGGAAGGCGGAGCTTGCAGTGAGCCGAGATCACACTGTTGCACTCCAGCCTGGGTGACAGAGCAAGACTCCGCCTCAAAAAAAAAAAAAAAAAAAAAAAGTTCTTAGATGGGCACAGTGGCTCACACCTATAATCCCAGTACTTTGGTAGGCTGAGGCAGAAGAATCACTTGAGCCCAGGAGTTTGAGACCAGCCTGGGCAACACAGTGAGACCCTGTCTCTCCAGAAAAATTAGCCAGGCATGGTGGCATGCACCTGTCGTTTTAATTACTTGGGAGGCTGAGACAAGAGGATTGCTTGAGCCCAGGACTTTGAGGCTGTAGTGAGCTATGATACTGCTACTGCACTCTAGCCTTGGTGACAGAAAGAGACTCTGTCTCTTGAAGAAAAAAGAGTAGTTGTTTTAAGGTAGGGATTTAATTTAATAAAAATAATTGGAGATCCCGTATCTGCTTTCCTCATCAGAAAACACAAATTCTGGCTGGGGGCGGTGGCTCATGCCTGTAATCCAGCACTTTGGGAGGCTGAGGCACAGGTAGATCATCTGAGGTCAGGAGTTTGAGACCAGCCTGGCCAACGTGGTGAAACCTCGTCTCTACTAAAAATACAAATTAGGCGGGCATGGTGGCGTGTGCCTGTAATCCCAGCTACTCAGGAGGCTGAAGCAGGAGAATCGCTTGAACCCAGGAGGTGAAGGTTGCAGTGAGCCAAGATCACGCCACTGCACTCCAGCCTGGGCAACAAGAGTGAAACTGTCTCAAAAAAATAAAAATTAAATTAAAAAAAACACACACAAGAAAACACAAATTCCCCTCCACAGTGATTCATCCTTAAAAACATCACTGTAAGCTGGCCGGAGAGCTATTAACAGGCATATGCAACTACTGGTTGAGTGGTGTAAATTGATCGTCCTTTTATGGGTAATTTGGTGATGCTTATTAAATTTGTACAGATTTACTATCTTTGGCCCAGCAATTCCAGTTCCAGGAATTTGTCCTCTAGAAAGCTATGTAAAAATACATTGTACTAACTAGGTAGAGAAATTTTTATACCATAATTTTGCGGGAGGTGAATTTCTATATAAAGCTAATTAAAGTAGGAGCATGCCATTTCCTCAAAACAGAGTCAGTCAAGTGCTGAAAACTGAGTGGAGAGGAGAGAAAAAGTCACTGGAGTAGGAGGGGTGGCAGTCAGGCAGCCAGGCAGTGGGTGAAGTGGGTGTCTGAAACAAATGAATCAGGGAGAGAGGCTGCTCTTATCACTGTGTGATGTTATACGTAACACCCTTAGGGGGTGGATATAGATGTAAATATATATATACATGTATACATACAAACACATGTCTGTTTAGTACAATCATATTTTCAGTTTAAATTAAAAAAAACACATTTATATCTGTGTAAGTACTGAAACATCTGGAAAGGTGTCTAGCAAGATAAATTGTTTTCTGAAGAGTAGGATTACAAGAGTATGTCACTTTCAATATCACATAGTTATTATTTTTTTAAAAATAAAAATATATATTTGCCAGGTGTGGTGGCTCACACGTGTAATCCTAGCACTTTGGGAGGCCGAGGTGGGTGGATCACCAGAGGTCAGGAGTTTCAGACCAGCCTGGTCAACATGGCGAAACCCCATCTCTACTAAAAATACAAAAATTAGCCACGCATGATGGCAGGCGCCTATAATCCTAGCTACTCGGGAAGCTGAGGCAGGAGGATCACCCAAAACTGGGAGGTGGAGGTTGCAGTGAGCTGAGATCGCTGCCACTGCACTCCAGCCTGGGAGACAGAGTAAGACTCCATCTCAAAAAAAAAAATAAAAATATATATTAATGTGGTGTTACATATTGGCTTTCGTCCATAGTTCCCGGCTCATAGCTGCTGTATCCCTTATTCCAATCTGTGTTAGAATGTTGGAGGCCTAGCACGGTGGCTCACGCCTATAATTCCAGCACTTTGGGAGGCCAAGGCGGTGGATCACCTGAGGTCAGTAGTTCAACACCAGCCTGGTCAACATGGTAAAACCCCATCTCTACTAAAAATACAAAAATTAGCCGGGCGTGGTGGCAGGCACTTGCAGTGCCAGCTACTCGGGAGGCTGAGGCAGGAGAATCGCTTGAACCCAGGAGGCGGAGGTTGCAGTGAGCCAGGATCACACCACTACACTCCAGCCTGAAGGACAGAGCGAGACTCCATCTAAAAAAAAAAAAAAAAAAAAAAAAATTGGGCATGTCAGGCCTCAGTACAGGCATCTGACCTCCTGCTCTCCTTTCACTCTAATCTTTTCCTACCTTTCTGATTGTGGGTCTTAAGAATCTTCCATGAGGAGGGTGCGGGGGCTCATGCCTATAATCACAACATTTTGGGAAGCTCAGGCGGGTGGATTGTTTGAGTCTAGGAGTTCAAGATCAGACTGGGCGACATGGCAAAACCCTGTCTCTATTAAAAATACAAAAATTAGCTGGGCCTGATGGCATGTGCCTGCAGTCCCAGCTACTTGGGAGGCTGAGGTAGGACTCCTTGAGCCCTAAACACAGAGATTGCAGTTGAGTTGAGGTTGTGCCACTGCACTCCAGCCTGGGCTACAGAGTGAGACCCTGTCTGAAAAAACAAAAACAAAAACACAATACTCCGGGGGACAGGATTCAGTGAGCTTCTGGATAGCTGAGCATGTGAGGTTCCTGGAGGGGAGTGCACCCGTGGAGAGCATGGAAGCTCTGTGCCCCTTCCCCCATACCTTGCCCTAAGTGTCTCTTTATCTGTATCTTTTGCAATATCCTTTATAATAAACCAGTGAAAGTACGTGTTTCCTTGAGTTCTGTGAGCTGCTCCAGCAAATTAATTGAACCCAAAGAGGGAATCATGGGAACCCCAACTTGAAGCTGGTGGGTCAGAAATTCTGGAAGCCTGGATTTCTGACTAGAATTAGTCAGGGGCAGTCTTGGGGACAGAGCCCTCACCCTGTGGGATCTCACACTATCTCTGGGTAGACAGTGTGGGAACTGAATTAGAGGACATCCAGCTGGTGTCTCCTGCTGGGTGTGTGCAGGAGAACCCCACATATTTGGTCACAAAAGTCTTCTGTGTTGATTCTTGTGATTAGAGAGAATTTTTCCTTACACAATTTGATAATCCGGAAGCAACAAAGAAATTTAAATGTCATGGACATTAAACGGTGTAGCTGCTGTGGAAAATAGTTTGACAGTTAAACATAGAGTCTGAATAGAGTTACCATATGACTCAGTCATTCCACTCCAAGACAGTATTGAAAATACATGTTCATGCAAGAATCTGCACATGAACGATCATAGCATCATTATTCATAATAGCCAAAAAATGGAATCAGCCCAAATGTCCATCAACCAATGAATGGATAAACAAAATACGGTATACTCTTACAGTAGAATTATTACTCAGCCATAAAACGGAATGAAGTACTGATACATGTTATGTCACGGGTAAACCTTGAAAAAGATTATGCTAAGTGAAAAAGCCAGACACAAAATACCACGCATTGTATGAATCCATTTATATCAAACGTCCAGAATAGACAAATCCATAAAGACAGAAAGTAGAATGGTGTTTGCCAGGGGCTGGGGGTTGGGGAGAAATGAGGATTGACTGAAGGGTAAAAGCTTTCTTTTAGGGTGATGAAAATGTTCTAAAACCAGCTGTGGTGATAATCACACTATTTGTGAACACATTAAAAACCATGGATTGTGCACTTCAAACGTGTGAATTTTATGTAGATTACATCTCTCTCTCTCTCTTTTTGAGATGGAGTCTTGCCTTGTTGCCTAGGCTGGAGTGCAGTGGCATGATCTTGGCTCATTGTAACCTCCACCTCTTGGGTTCAAGTGATTCTCCTGTCTCAGCCTCCCGAATAGATGGGATTACAAGGTGTGCACTACCAAGCCTGGCCAATTTTTTTTTTTTGTATTTTTAGTAGAGATGGGGTTTCATCATATTGGTCAGGCTGGTCTGGAACTCCTGACCTCAAATGATCGATCCGCCTCGGCCTCCCAAAGTGCTGGGATCCAGGTGTGAGCCACCGCGCCTGGCCTGGATTATATCTCAAGAAAGCTGTTTTCTAAAATGTCCACGGTGTGTCAGAAGACTTTGCTCCTCACCTTCCATTTACTCGTTCAGATAAAAACCTTTCCCTGTAAAGAGATGCCCAAGGGCCCAGCTGCTCCAGCCAGAGGACAACTTCTTCCGCCGTCCATTTGGCCACAGCCTTGTGGACCAGGAGGTCGTGTTCAGATTCCCTGCTGCTCCAGTGATAGACGAGCAGGACCACCTGGGGAAAAGTGACAGGGACTTTAAACCATGGAGAGGCAGAGATGCCAGTTTCTAAATATGCGGGTGGGAGGTGGGGAAAGGAAGAGGCTGAGCTCACAGGGAATGATGCGGAGCCCGTACACAGAAGCAGGGCAACAAAAGCAGGGCAACGCCACGGCCACAGAGAACTGGGGACCACAGCTCTCCTCGGGTGCCTCTCTCTGCTGATTGCGTGGCAGTGAGGGCACAGAGGCGAGAAAAGGACTTATCTCAGGCACCTGGGAGCAGGTGGTGCCTTGACTCCATCAACTTGCTCAACATAACTGACTTGTGCCTTTTCTACTGGAAAAACATTTAGATTTTTTATGCACAGAACTTTAAAAGAAAATAGTCTCCACATTGGAAGTTAGTAAACTGGTGGGTTCTTAAGACTGTATTACCAAGGAGGTCCAGGCGTGGTGGCTCACGCCTATAATCCCAGCACTTGAGGAGTCTGAGGCGGGTGGATCACTTGAGGTCAGGAGTTCCAGACCAGCCTGGCCAACATGGTGAAACCCCATCTCTACTAATCACACAAAAATTAGCCTCTTGTAGTGGCGCATGCCTGTAATCCCAGCTACTTGGGAAGCTGAGGCAGAAGAATCACTTGAACTCGGGAGGTGGAGGTGGCAGTGAGCCGAGATCATGCCACCGCACTCTAGCCTAGGCAACAGGGCAAGACTTCATCTCAAAAAAAAAAAAAAAAAAAAAAAGAGCAAGAGATGTAATCCACATAAAATTCACACATTTGAAGTGCACACAATCCACGGTTTTTAATGTGTTCACAAATATGTGTCATCATCACCACAGCTGGTTTTAGTTCATTTTCACCACCCTAAAAGAAAGTTTTTACCTAGATCGCACCACTGCACTCCAGCCTGGGCGACAGAGCAAGAGTCCGTCTCAAAAACAAAACAAAACAAAAAAAGATTGTATTACCAAGGCAGACATGGTCTTGAATTCCAGTTCTACCACCTTTCTCCATTTACTAGGTACTATGATCTGATCTACCTGAGTAAGCAACATTCCTGAGGAAATCATAGAACCCAGCAGATTTCAATGTACGTAGTAAATTACATGGAGTCACATCATCAATTATTTCAGTGATTTCAACAGAACTGACTTCAGTGGAAATCAGGGGTCGGGGGGTGAGGTGTGGGGGGGCACAGAGGAACACAGTGATCAACTTACTGCCACTCCAGTTAAAGCTGTGAGCACACCGGAAAAGAATCCCCCTCCCATCTGCTGATTCGCTCGGCCTGTGTTAGGAGCTAAAGGAATCTGATCATTCCCATATTTCTGAAAGGCTGCAAGACTTTGGACTATGTCATTATTCTGCTGAATGTCTTCAAATCTCAGTCTAATGGCATCAGGAAATAACTTTTCAATGGCATCCCTATGGAGAATAGAAAAAAAAAATTAAGACAGTTGTTTGACTAAATATCATGTTTAGAGGCCAAAAAAGCCCTGATAGTCAACATCTAATAATATATAGCTACCCTAGGAGAACTGACAAGAAATGTATTATAGTCCTGTGGGTAAAAGCAAAAAATCTGAAATAATCTATTAGGTTGTTTACCATTACTTTCTCCTTTTGTTTTTTTGAGACGGAGTCTTACTCTGTCGCCCAGGCTGGAGTGCAATGGCGTGATCTTGGCTCACCGGTGCACACCACCATACCCGGATAACTTTTTTTTTGTATTTTTAGTAGAGATAGGGTTTCACTATGTTGCCCAGGCTGGTATTGAACTCCTGAGCTCAGGCAATCTGCCCACCGGGGCCTCCCAAAGTGCTAAGATTAGAGGCATGAGCCACTGCACCCAGCCTACCATTACTTTCAATGGTAAAAACTGCAATTACTTGTGCACCAACCTGATGATATACATTTACTACTAGGTAAAAGGCTAAATGAAATATGGTATATTCATACAATGAAGTATCACAATTTTAAATGCATTTGCTGGATCACTAAATGTGTCAAGGTGGAGAAATTTAAGACGTACATAATTGATTTAAAATAGTAAACTGCAGAACCATGCAGAGAGCACATCAATGATGTGAGAAAATACTTGCATTTTCTATTGGCACTTGTTTTTTTTTTTTTTTGAGACAAGAGTCTTGCTCTGTCACCCAGGCTGGAGTGTAATGTCATGATCTCAGCTTACCGCAACCTCCGTGTCCTTCAAGTGATTCTCATGTCTCAGCCTCCTGAGTAGCTGGGATTATGGGCATGCGCCATTACACCAGGCTAATTTTTGTATTTTTGGTCATGTTGGCTAGGCTGGTCTTGAATTCCTGGCCTCATGAGATCCGCCTGCCTCGGTCCTCCCAAGGTACTGGGATTACAGGCATGAGCCACCGCACCCAGCCTGGCACATGTATGTTTAGAAGTATTTTTAAGCCGGGCGTGGTGGCTCACGCCTGTAATCCCAGCACTTTGGGAGGCCGAGGTGGGCAGATCACTTAAGGTCAGGAGTTCCAGACCAGCCTGGCCAACATGGTAAAACCCTGTTTCTACTAAAAATACAAAAATCAACCGGGTGTGGTGGTGGGCGCCTGTAATCCCAGCTACTTGGGAGGCTGAGGCAGGAGAATCGCTTGAACCTGGGAGGAGGAGGTTGCAGTGAGCTGAGATCGCACCATTGCACTCCAGCCTGGGCAACAGAGCGAGACTCTGTCTCAAAAAAGAGTATTTTGAAAAATCTGAGGCTGGGTGTAGTGGCTCACGCCTGTAATCTCAGCACTGTGGGATGCTGAGGCAGGAGGTTCACTTGAGCTCAGCAGTTGGAGACCAGCCTGGGCAACATAGTGAGACCTGATCGCTACTAAAAAGTTAAAAAAAAGTATTTAAAAAAATCTGAACAAAAGCACAACTAAGTCATAACTGAAATTATTCTAAGGAAAAAGGAAAGGATTCTAAGATGGGAAAATAAGGGGTCAAAAGGATCTTTAGTTTTATCAGTAATTTTCCAATATTTTAAAAAGAGGCTGGGCGCGGGGGCTCATGCCTGTAATCCCAGCACTTTGGGAGGCTGAGGCGGGCGGATCACCTGAGGTCGGGAGTATGAGACCAGCCTGACCAACATGGAGAAACTCTGTCTCTACGAAAAATACAAAATTAGCCAGGCATGGTGGCACATGCCTGTAATCCCAGCTACTTGGGAGGCTGAGGCAGGAGAATCACTTGAACCTGGGAGGCGGAGGTTGCAGTGAGCCGAGATTTTGCCAATGCACTCCAGCCCGGGCAACAAGGGTGAAGCTCCATCTTAAAAAAAAAAAATTTTAGCTGGGCATTTGGCCAGGCACAGTGGCTCACGCCTGTAATCCCAGCACTTTGGGAGGCCAAGACGGGCGGATCACTAAAGGTCAGGAGTTCGAGACCAGCCTGGCCAAAACTGTGAAACCCCGTCTCTACTGAAAATACAAACATTCACCAGGCACGGTGGCTCACGCCTATAATCCCAGCACTTTGGGAGGCCAAGGTGGGCGGATCATCTGAGGTAAGGAGTTTGAGACTAGCCTCATCAACATGGGGAAACCCCGTCTCTACTAAAAATACAAAATTAGCCGGGCGTGGTGGCAGTTGCCTGTAATCCCAGCTATTAGGGAAGCTGAGGCAGGAGAAAACTGCTTGAACCTGAGAGGGAGAGGTTGTGGTAAGTCGAGATCACGCCATTGCACTCCAGCCTAGGAAACAAGAGTGAAACTCCGTCTCAAAAAACAAAAAACAAACAAAAAAACCCAAAAATTAGCTGGGCGTGGTAGCAGGCTCCTGTAATCCCAGCTACTCCAGAGGCTGAGGCAGGAGAATCACTTGAACCTAGGAGGTGGAGGTTGCAGTGAGCCAAGGTCGTACCACTGCACTCCAGCCTGAGCGACAGAGTGAGACTTTGTCTCAAAGAATATAAACAATGAATGTATGTATGTGTGTGTATGTGTGTGTATATATATGTATCTTATGTTATTAAAATCAGTTTATAAGAAGGGAAAAAAGCAAAATTCAGTAATAAGACCAACTGTCAGCTTAAATTGTAGGGCTCTTTTTAAATGTTCAGTTATACACAAAGAACCCTCCTTTAATTTAAGATTAAATTTAACCTTCAGCTAAATCAAGACTGACAGGTAAGAGCAAAGTGTAAACACATCTTTTGTGAAAAAGAAAAGGTTGGGTTCATGGAACTTTCTAGTACTCTGTTGAAATCAAGAAGGGCACACACATTGTTAGACAATAGAAGAGGGGAAGAGGATTTAAGCCTCAGAGCCTTCACAGGTACATTATGAGCCAAAGAAGCAGAAAATAACAAGCTATCTGAAAGGTGGCTTTGGCACTGTGATGCTACACATGAGAAACTCTATTAATGTGATAACTGGAACTGGGGTTATCTAAAGATTATTAAAATCAGCAACAAACCAGTTATTCACAATTATACAGTTATACCATTTGCTTTCTTTCTTTCTTTCTTTCTTTTTTTTTGAGACAGGGTCTTGCTCTGTTGCCCAGGCTGGAGTGTAGTGGTGTGAGCTCATTGCAGCCTCGACCTCCCAGGCTCAAGCAATCCTCCCACCTCAGCCACTGGCATAGCTGGGACTATAGGCATGTACCACCACACCTGGCTAATTTTTAAAACTTTCTATAGAGATAAGGACTCACCGTGTTGCCCAGGATGCTTCTAAATTCCTGGTGTCAAGCAATGTTCCTACCTCAGCCTCTGAAAGTGTTGGGATTACAGGCGTGAGCCACTGGTCTGGCCTTTATATGACAGGATTACCAGCAACGGTCTGCTAACCAGACTTTCTTTCTTTCCTTCATTCATAATAAATAATTTAAAAAGTCATGGTCACCTATGAGGAAGAGAATCTGGATTTCCAGTTCCTTGAGCTCCCTGACTCATATTCCAGAAGATCCACCCCCAAGGAGGTGGGCTCCAAGTGTGCGACCTTTCAAACACTGCTGTTCCTGTTAAGAGAAAGCCCACTGGCTGGACATGGTGGCTCACACCTATAATCCCAGCACTTTGGGAGGCTGAAGTGGGAGGATCACTTGAGGTCAGGAGTTTGAGACCAGCCTGGGCAACATAGCGAGACGCCATCTCTGTTAAAAAAAAAAAAAAAAAAGCAAGAGAGAAACCACATTTTATGGGCTGTTTGTGCTACCAATATAGGCTGAACATTACCTGAGGAGAATACTGACTTTGGGGAAACCTTCCCATTTTTCTCTGCATTCTGGACATTCTGTTTTCTTTGAAGATGCCCACCATAAAGCAAGGCAGTGACGGCAGAAGCTGTGCCCACAGTTCAAGGTGGTGGGGTTAACCAGGATGTCGTAGCAGCAGTGGCAAGAAAATTCACTAACAGAAATCTGAGGGCCGGTGCTTTTGAGAGGTTCATCTCTCTCAAGGTCCATTGTGTTCACATAGCTTTTCTGAGGTTCCTCCATCTCTTAGCAAATTCTGGGTTCCAGAGACATAAAAAATTTCAGACGTAGAAAACTGCTGCAAAACATCATTAATCTAGAAAAAAAAAACAGAGACAAAAATAAGGCAAATAGTAGTTGTTTGAAGAGCAGTTAATATAAAAGTATTGACATTCTATTGAAGCGCTAATTTTTTTTTTTTTTTTTTGAGACACAGTCTTGCTCTCTGGCCCAGGATGGAGTGCAGTGGCGTGATCTCAGCTCACTGCAACCTCCACCTCCCAGGTTCAAGCAATTCTCCTGCCTCAGCCTCCCCAGTAGCTGGGACTACAGGTGCAACCCACCATACCCAGCTAATTTTTCATATTTTTTTAGCAGAGACGGGGTTTCACCGTGTTAGCCAAGATGGTCTCGATCTCCTGACCTCGTGATCTGCCTGCCTTGGCCTCCCAAAGTGCTGAGATTACAGGCATGAGCCACTGTGCCCAGCCTGATTTTTTTTTTTTTTTGGTGGGGGTGGGGGAGGCTTTCTGATAAAGACCAGAAAACCTTCTAGACAAATTGTAAAGGAGTTGTAATACTAAAGCTCTAATTTTAATTAATTAATTAATTCATTCTCAACAAGGCTGGAGTCCAGTGGCGCAATCACAGCTCACTGCCGCCTCAACTTCCCAGGCTCAGGTAGGTGATCCTCCACCTCACCCTCCTGAGTAGCTGGGACTACAGGTGTGCACTACTATGCCCGGGTAATTTTTTGTATTTTTAGTAGAGATGCAGTTTCGCCACATTGCCCAGGCTGGAGCTCTAATTTTTTAAAGTGACAAATTTGATTTATTAAAATCCACATACCATAAACCACATAATCAGCATTCAATTTCTTTCTGGCCTATTTGTTATACTTTTCAAATGTAGTAAAGCAAAATAATATGTGTAGTGGAAGGTTCCATAGACTCGAAGGATGTGGGCAGAGATTTCTGGATCATTCTCCTTCACTAACTTCCTTAGAAAATGAAATTTCCCTGATCTCAGTGTTCTCAATTAAATTTCCTTTTTTTTTTTTTGAGACGAAGTCTCACTCTATCAGCCAGGCTGGAGTGCGGTGGTGTGATCTTGGCTCACGTCAACCTCTGCCTGCCAGGTTCAAGCAATTCTGCCTTGGCCTCCCAAGTAGCTGGGATTACAGGTGCGTGCCATTGGGCCCAGCTAATTTTTGTATTTTTAGTAGAGACGGGTTTTCGCCATGTTGGCCAGGCTGGTCTTGAACTCCTGACCTCAGGTGATCCACCCTCTTCAGCCTCCCAAAGTGCTGGGATTACAGGTATGAGCCACCACATCTGGCTTTAATTTTTGTATTTTTAGTAGAGGTGGGTTTTCACCATGTTGGCCAGGCTGGTCTCGAACTCCTGAACTCGAGTGATCTGCCAGTCTTGGCCTATCAAAGTGCTGGGATTACAGGTGTGAGCTACTATGCCTGGCCTCAATTAAATTCCCAAAGACCTTTCCAGGTCTATGACTTTAAATAAACCAGCTTCTTGGCCTAGTAAAATGTCTGGGGTTGGTAACAACAGATATGCTTCCTGTAAATAACACTTGTTGTGCACACAAATCTGCCTTCTCATTAGGCAATCATTATTTTATAAACATTTGACTTCAGAGGCTCTAATGCGAGCAATTCCAAGAAGTGAGTGAAGCCTCATTTTCTAGCTGTGCCAGGCCAAATCTGCCATGGCTCAATATACCCTTTCCCTCCAAATCAACCCAAAAAATGCATCTCATGCCCTCTGGATCCAGCCAGCTTGGTGCCACAGAAATGCTAATATTACTAATAAGCAAATGACAAAAGGTAAGCAAATGACAAAGGACCATTCTCTTCTTGTTTTCATCTGGGTTTTAGGAGACATTTTTAAAAATTTTTTTAAATTGAGAAGTAGTATGACACAGATCTTGGAGTTGGACTCTTAACTCCCCCAAGTCACTAGCTCTGTGACTCTGCAGAAGTTACTCAAGCTCTCTGATCAAGTTTCCTCAACTGTGAAATGGTGGTCACAGTACACAAACCATCAAGATTTCTTGTGAGGATTAGAGACAGTGAAGGAAAGTGGCTCAAAATTTGTATGGTGTAAATACGCGCTATAGAAATGATTATTCATACTATTTCTGGTGAGTTTCTCAATCTTGCTATTGTGAAGGAAAAGACTGAAAATTGCTCTCCGCCGCCCACACTGGCCATGCAGGGAAGGGCTCACGCTTCATGCTCTGGAGGCACAGTGGTTAGGAACACAGGTCCCATGGCTGGGCTGCCTGGGTTCTCACCCCACCTCTGCCATTTACCAGCGGTGAGGCTCAGCTTGCTCACCATATAGATGAGGGACAATGACAGCACTTAACCATAGTGGGAGTTTTGCAGCATTAAAGAAGAGAATTCGAGTCAAGTGCCTAGTACAGAGCCTGGCACATGGTAAGTCTACCATAAATGGTAACAATTCACTTGATTTTTATTTTATTTTAGTGATAGAGTTTTGCTCTTTTTGCCCAGGCTGGAGTGCAATAGCACAACCTGAGCTCACTGCAATCTCCACCTCCTGGGGTTCAAGCGATTCTCCTGCCTCAGCCTCCTAAGTAGCTGGGATTACAGGCAGGCACCACCACATCTGCTAATTTTGTATTTTTAGTCGAGATGGGGGTTTCACCATGTTGGTCAGGTTGGTCTTGAACTCCTGACCTCGGGCAATCTGCCTGCGTCAGCCTCCCAAAGTGCTGGGATTACAGGCGTGAGCCACCATGTCCGGCCTCTATAGTATACTTTTTTTTTTTTTTTTTGAGATGGAGTCTCACTCTGTCGCCCAGGCTGGAGTGCAGGGGCGCGATCTCCACTCACTGCAAGCTCCGCCTCCTGGGTTCACACCCTCCTGCACCAGCAATAATGCTGGTTATTAATTATTAACTAATTAATAATTAAAGGCCTCTTTGAGAAGGCCTCCACCTCCTAAGGATGTTTACAGTTGTTCTCTGCACATATGGCTAGCTGTCAGCAGCAGGCTGCAGGCGTTAGAAGCAGCTCTCAGCTACTCTTCTCTTCACTGTTTTCTCCATCTTGAAGGCTCCAAAGACAAGGGGGTAGGGGCAGGATTGCGGGGAGGAGAATCATTCTATTCCTACCCCTGGTGCTCCATTCATATGGATACACTTGTGTTTAGGAAATCATAACTGTTATTTACCAAGTTTAGTTGATCTTAGCCAAAAGGGCGAGAAGCAATAATTACTTAGTTCAAAAACGAATGGGAAGAATGACTGGGTTTGGAAAAATCTACAAAACAGCAAACAAACAAGTTTAAAACCATAGACTGAACACCTTAGAACTGAAGAGGACAGCAAAACCTCAGGAGTTCCCATAGGCACTGAGTCACTCTGAAGAGCTAAGGTTTCTGAATAAAAAGTTGGGTCTACAACTGGTATCTGGAGAGATGCCTCGGGAAGTCTGAATTCTGTGCCACGCTTGCGTTTGTGTATGGTACGTCCATGTTTCTAGAAGGCAGTCTATAGGGTTTATTAGGCTCTCAGAAGGGGCCAACTCCCAGAGGCGGTTAAGAGCTACTGCTGATCTACTGGGATAAGAGGGTGTTAATGTGCGACACACTTCTGCCTCTTGCAGTGGTTATAAGGAAGCAGGTGAGCCTCACCACGGTGACGCATCATTATTAACATCATCATCCATCTTCCGTGTCCTGGAACAGTCTCACCACCAGTAGCCACCGCCCTACCAGGGCAACACCTGGCCTGTAGGGAGGCTTTCCTTCACCTGGTGTTTTTTCTCCCTTTTCTAAGTTAAATGAGGTGCCAGCATTTACAAAAAAAAATCTGATATGACATAAAAATCTAGATTCCTGGCTTCTCTTGAAAAAAAACAAAAACAAAAACCCAGAGATCTGGCAATACTGGAATCGCATCACGCATGACAAGATCAGCTCGAGCAGAGGAACTCAGCAGCCGTGCCAGCGTCAGCTTGCTACACTCCTCTCCCACCTGTCCATTTCAGTTCTGTTACCTGCCTGACCCCCGAGCTTTCATCCCCTGTCCCATAATGTGATGCCTTCTTCCAAGTGTACTAATGGGTATATATGGTTGTTTCTAGGCAGCTTGGCTTTAGGCTAGTTAGCTTTTGGAGTTCTGTCAGCTTCGAGCTTTCCTCTCTCTCTCTCTTCTTCTTTTTTTTTTTTTTGGAGCTAGGTCTCACTCTGTTGCCCAGGCTGGAATGCAGTGGTGAGATCATGGCTCACTGTAGCCTCGACCTCCCCAGGCTCAGGTGATCCTCCTGCCTCAGCCTCCTATGTAGCCTGGACTACAGGTGTGCGCCACCACACCTGGCTAATTTTCTGCAGAGATGGGATTTTGCCATGTTGCCCAGGCTGATCTCGAACTCCTAAACTCAAGCAATCTGCCTACCGCGACCTCCCAAAATGCTGGGGTTACAGGTTTGAGTCACTGTGCCTGACCAGAGCTTTCCTCTCTCTTGATTTCACGTCAGGTCGTTACTTATCATTGTTGGCACAACTGACAGGAAACCAATATCATAATCTCTGAGGATCTGGACAATTCCAAGATATATAATCAACATGACCTTCTCTATGTTTTCCTGAAGACATGCCTAACTGACAAAGTATAATTATCTTTAAATCCCTAAAAGAAAAGGAAAGACTGGGAACACACACAATCTCCCAATGATGCATGTAACTAAAGAACTTGTTTCTGGCCTGGCGTGGTGGCTCACGCCTGTAATCCTAGCACTTTAGGAGGCTCTGTCTACCAAAATGGAGGTGGGCGGATCACCTGAGGTTAGGAATTCGAGACAAGCCTGGTCAACGTGGTGAAACTCCATCTCTACCAAAAATACAAAAATTAGCCGGGCATGGTGGTGCACGACTGTAATCCCAGCTACTCAGGAGGTTGAGGCAGGATAATCATTTGCACCCAGGACGTGGAGGATGCAGTGATACAAGATTGCACCACTGCACTCCAGCCTGGGTGACACAGCGAGACTCTGTCTGAAAAAAAAAAAAGAACTTATTTCTTAGTTCTGGGGTGCTGGGATGAACGTGGCTATTCTTCCCTGGACTTTGGGAGGCTGAGGCGGGTGGACTGCTTGATTCCAGGAGTTGGAGACCAGCCTACCAGCCTGCCAGCCTGGGCAACATGGTGAAACCCGGTCTCTACAAAGGAACTTGTTTTTCTGAGTTGGTGAATTTGAATGATCATCTATGGATCTATCCAGAGGGCTATTCTCCAGGAGGCAGTGGCACCCTGTTTGCTTCTTTAGCTGTCCAATTAACACTTAGGAAAGTCAATTAATACAATCATTCTTACTGCGTTTATTAAAGAGAAATCATTAATTCTGAGTTTAAGAATTTTTCTTTTTTTTTTTTTCTTTTTGAGACAAGTCTTACTCTGTTGCCCAAGCTACAGTGCAGTGGTGCAATCTCGGCTCACTGCAACCTCCGCCTCCTGGATTCAAGCAATTCTCATGCCTCAGCCTCCTGAGTAGCTGGGATTACAGGCGCCCAGCACCATGCCTGGCTAATTTTTGTATTTTTAATAGAGATGGGGTTTGCCACGTTGGCCAGACTGGTTTCAAACTCCTGACCTCACGTGATCCACCCATCTTGGCCTCCCAAAGTGTTGGGATTACAGGCGTGAGCCACTGCACCCAGGCTAAGAATTTTTATACCCTTACTTATAAAGATCTTGTGATGTAATGATTGTTAACTCTTTAGAAATTGTAATCTTTATCCAGAATCACAGGGAAAATAAAGAAATCGTAATTTTTAAACCACTTGGTTCAGCAGTATATGATCATGGTTGCACCCCTTCACTCAACATACATTTATTATGACCATTGTATATGGCTAATATTTTAAGAATGATCCTTTTAAGGGCTACTTTATTGGAAGTCCAGCCTGAAAAATATGATTTCAATCATTTCTTCTTTTTTAGAGACAGGGTCTCACTCTGTTGCCCAGGCCTGGAGGGCAGTGGTGCAATCATGGATCACTGTGGGCTTGAACTTTCGGGCTCCAGTGATCCTCCCACCTCAGCCTCCCAAGTAGCTGGGACCATAGGCATGTGCCACCACACCCAGCTAATTAAAATTTTTTTTGTATAGACAGGGTCTTGTTAAGTTGTCCATGATGGTCTCGAGTTCCTGGGCTCAAGCAATCATCTGGTCTCAGCTTCCCAAAGGGCTGGGATTATGGCATGAGCCCAGCTGACCTCAATTGTTTCTCAGCAAGAAGGTTCAGTGTAAGAATAGAAAGATTTTGGCTTCCATGGGCCTCTGGTTAGGCTAAATTCTCTCGTTATATATTAACTGACAATAGATGACTTCTTTACTTCGCAATGATTGCCTGTATTTATCACCTTATTTTTCCAGGGTACAAACTGAAAAAAAAAATCAAAGAGAGAAATTAAACTTCTCTAGCAGCAGGGAAAATACAGCATTGGAAATAAAATACATTGCAGGAAAAAAAAATGACTTTTTTTTTTTTTCTGAGATGGAGTCTTGCTCTGTCACCCAGGCTGGAGTGCAGTGGCACAATTTTGGCTCACCTCAACCTCTGCCTCCTGTGTTCAAGCGATTCTCCTGCCTCAGCCTCCCGAGTAGCTGGGATTACAAGCAGGCGCCACCATGCCTGGCTAAATTTTTCGTAGAGATGGGGTTTCACCATGTTGGCCAGGCTGGTCTCAAACTCCTGACCTCAGGTGATCTGCCTGCCGTGGCCTCTCAAAGTGCTGGGATTTACAGGCGTGAGCCATTGCACCCCGCGACAATTATTAATATTTACGGAGGCCTTATAATATTAAGGACATAACAATCATATGGAATAAGCATTACTACCATGTTCATTTTACAGATGAGAAAATGGAGTTCTAACTAGTAAAGGGCAGAGCCATGTTTTAAATCATGGTCTGGTCCCTGGTTGGAAACCAGGCGGAAACACCAAAAGAAAAAAAAAAATCATGGTCTGACTTAAAGCCTGTCTTCCTAATACGCCATTATCCTGATAAAGTAATCAATAACGGTTATTAGTTCAAAGGACTGATTTACTCCTTTATCATCTAGGCCACATCATAGAGATGCTACTGCACAGCTGAGAAAAACAAACTAGCATTTGACCACACAGCATTTTGGAACATGAACTCTAGCTGGTAGCTGTTAGGGTGACTATGCAGAGACATTTACAATAGAAATAGGGGTAGGAATGGGTGGGGGTGGGGGGAAAAGAAAGAGAGATCAGATTGTTACTGTGTCTGTATAGAAAGAGATAGACATAGGAGACTCCATTTTGTTCTGTACTAAGAAAAATTCTTCTGCCTTGAGATGCTGTTAATCTATAACCTTACCCCCAACCCCGTGCTCTCTGAAACACGTGCTGTGTCAACTCAGGGTTAAATGGATTACGGGCGGTACAAGATGTGCTTTGTTAAACAGATGCTTGAAGGCAGCATACTCCTTAAGAGTCATCACCACTCCCTAATCTCAAGTACCCAGGGACGCAAACACTGCGGAAGCCCGCAGGGACCTCTGCCTAGGAAAGCCAGGTATTGTCTAAGGTTTCTCCCCATGTGATAGTCTGAAATATGGCCTCTTGGGAAGGGAAAGACCTGACCGTCCCCCAGCCCGACACCCGTAAAGGGTCTGTGCTGAGGAGGATTAGCATAAGAGGAAGGCATGCCTCTTTGCAGTTGAGCCAAGAGGAAGGCATCTGTCTCCTGCCCGTCCCTGGGCAATGGAATGTCTTGGTATAAAACCCGATTGTATGTTCCATCTACTGAGATAGGGGAAAACCGCCTTAGGGCTGGAGGTGGGACATGCAGGCAACAATACCGCTCTGTAAGGCATTGAGATGTTTATGTGTATGCATATCTAAAGCACAGCATTTAATTCTTTACCTTGTCTATGATGCAGAGACCTTTGTTCACATGTTTATCTGCTGACCTTCTCTCCACTATTATCCTGACCCTGCCACATCCCCCTCTCTGAGAAACACCCAAGAATGATCAATAAATACTAAGGAAACTCAGAGGCTG
Organism: Homo sapiens; assembly: GCF_000001405.40. Classification (NCBI taxonomy): domain Eukaryota; kingdom Metazoa; phylum Chordata; class Mammalia; order Primates; family Hominidae; genus Homo; species Homo sapiens. The sequence continues at coordinate 14,636,288 of NC_000016.10, read as the reverse complement.
GCGGGATCCTCCATATGCTGAACGCTGGTCTCCTGGGCCTCCTTATTTCTTTCTCTATACTTTGTGTCTTTTTCTTTTCCAAGTCTCTCGTTCCACCTAACGAGAAACACCCACAGGTGTGGAGGGGCAACCCACCCCTTCATGGGGGAAACCCCTATTTCTGACACTCCAGGTCCATTCCTGGAGACATCACTATAACTACCAGCAGAATACTACAGAAATTATTAAATATCTAGAGTGCACACCCATTTATAGTGACTACAAAATTAAAACGTGCTCAAATGTAAGCAAGGCAAGGTTCAGGAACCGCAAACAGAACAGACAAAAGCCGGCTCTCCCATTAACATAAGAGAAGCATTAGGCCGGGGCAGTGGCTCATGCCTGTAATCCCACCACTTTGGGAGGCCGAGGCGGGTGGATCAAGAGGTCAGGAGTTCGAGACCAGCCTGGCCAATATGGTGAAACCCCGTATCTACTAAAAATATTAAAATTAGCTGGGTGTGGGACTCCATCTTAAAAAAAAAAAAAGAGAGAGAAGCATTTCCAGTCACTTACTGTATAAAACATTGAGTTTTCAAACTCCAACTAGATTTTTTTTCTGGACAGGGTCAGAAACCAGTGGAGCAAAGGTGACTAGCTCCTCTAGATGCTGACTTGCTGCCTAGACCTTAAAGCCCTGTGATTTATTGCCCTAGGTGGTGTAGGGTAAGACGAAGGCGGGCTGAGAAGGCTATCCTGGCTCTCGCTGGAGCCTGCCCTCTTTCATTTCTCGTGGCATATATGCAAGGACCTATCCTGTACTATACTCTGTAGATGTTCAGTAACTCAGCTATCAAAAACTATGGTTAGTTACCAAGTCAGTAACTCAGATAGCTATAAAAAACTATGGGTAGTTACCAAGTTACACGCACTTTAACTATTGGTTTTTGTTTGTTTTCAATCTTTTATGTCTTTGAGACTGAGTCTCACTCTGTCGCCCAGGCTGGAGTGCAGTGGCACAATCTCGGCTCACTGCAACATCTGCCTCCTGGGTTCCTGCGATTCTTGTTTCTCAGCCTCACAAGTAGCTGGAACTACAGGCGTCCACCACCATGCCCAGCTAATTTTTGTATTTTTAGTAGAGACAGGGTTTCACCATGTATCCCAAGCTGATCTTGAACACCTGAGCTCAAGCAATCTGCCCGCCTTGGCATCCCAAAGTGCAGGGATTACAGGAGTGAGCCACCGTGCCTGGCCTTGGACATTTTTCCTTATCCTCACATTGTTCCCTTCACCTGTAACACAACTTCACAACATCGCTGGGTCAAAAGTATCCAACTGGAAAGACCCAAATCAACTGTCACTTGAAAGTCTTTAATGACTAACTCCTCAACACCCAAATTAATCTTTCTTGTCTCTGTGCATTAGCATAACTTTTATTTGTGTACGTTTTCTCATCTCCTGGATTATAATTTCCTTAGGCTGGTAGAGTTGAAACAGTATGGTCTTAGGAGTGACACTGATCTGGGTTCCAAATCGCGTCACGATTTATTCTTCCTAAACTTCCTATTTCCCACTGATCCGTCTAGGATAATCATGTCAACTTCGAAGGGCTGTTGGGAGGTTTACTTTAAAAAAATTTTTTTAAGAGACAGCGTCTCCCTATGTTGCCTAGGTTGGTCTGGTCTCCTGGGCTCAAGGGATACTCCCACTTCTGCCTCCCAAACTGCTGGGATTACAGGCGTGAGCTGCGGAGCCCCGCCCTGCTGTGAGGTTTAGATGACAAACTATCTACAGGTACTCAAAGTTTGCTGTGTGGGGCTGATCGGCATTATTAACAGAATTATCAATAGCAGCATTTATTGAGTGATGGCTACCTACTTAGTGGCACTGCCAAACGCTGGAACCAAAAAGCAAACAAAAAGAACTGCCCTGGAGAAATACAATGTCTCCATCAAGTTTATGGATATAGGGAAATGCAGAGCACACCTGTCAGGATACACCCAGGCTGGATGTTGAGAAAACAGCAGCGACAAGAACAAACAAAACAACCCCATCAGCACGTGCAGTCCCTGCCGGCTCGGGGGTGTGTCCTGGGAAGAGAGTAAAGCTCTTTCCTATTGGCGATTTGGAGCATGACATCAAGACCACCCCCCTTGCAAAGGACCGACCAATGGGCTTCGGCGGGGAGGACCCAATGGCGACAGTTGAGGGCTTAACAGCGTCTAGGCTCTCACTCTGTTTTCCGCGGAAGCTGGGATGCTGCCTCCTGCCCCTCCAAAGGTCCCCGTTTAGACACAACCTGACTCTCATCTGTCGCCCCCTCCCGCCGGCTTTTTTAATAAAAGACAATTCTCGGCCGGGCGCGGTGGCTCACGCCTGTAATCTCCCCACTTTGGGAGGCCGAGGCGAGTGGGTCACTTGAGGCCAGGAGTTCGAGAACAGTCTGACCAACATGGTGAAACCCCGTCTCTACTAAAAATACAAAAATCAGCCGGGCGTGGTTACGCGGGCCCGTAATCCCAGCTACTCAGAAGGCTGAGGCAAGAGAATCGCTTGAACCTGGGAGGCGGAGGTTGCAGTGAGCCGAGATTGCTCCACCGCACTCCAGCCTGGGCGGCAGGGCAAGACTCCGTCTCTAAAAAGAAAAAAAAGAAAATTCTCTTTTGCCTAAGTTATTTCCGAGCCGCAAGTCGCAGAATCAGAAGAGCCGAGTTCTTGCCTGGCCCCAGTGTGACTTTGGGATTTCACTTTCTCCCTTCTGCGCTTCGGTCACCCTACTTTAAAGAATGGGCACAATCGCTCCGCCTTAGGCCAGGAACGTGCCTCGACAATTAGACCGTAAACTCAGCGTGGCGACTATCAGAAGCCTCATCAATTCTGGTCCGGCTGTTGCAGGGTGTGGCAAGCGCTCCTGGCGGGCAGGCGCCCCGTGGTTCCCCTCCAAGGTGTTTGGAAGCGACCCCTCCTCCTTCCCGCCCTAGGGAGCCCCAGGAGGGAGTGGCTCTGACCCTGACCCCCGAAAGGACGCAGGCGAGGCCCAGCGACCGGCTGTGCGGACGTGGGGCTCTCGGGAAGGGATAGCGCAGTTGGCCAAGCTGGGGTCCGAACCCCGCGGCCAGGAGTGGGGATGCTCAGGACTCGGGCCTGCGTGAGGAGAGGCCCCGCGCGCCTCCTACGACCCGGCTGGGGAGGCTCCGCAGAAGGGATTCCCGCTCCGTCTTCCACATCACTCCCCGATATCAAGCCCGAGTCGCCCCCTCAGCACCCCCCAGCCGTGTCGCGGCTTACCATTCCACTCGTCCCGGGCCAACCGGGCCATTATTCTCAGCACAGACCCCGCGGGAGCAGAGGAAGAGGGAGAGGCTTCGCTACCGGAAGTAACAAGACAGAGTGGGGGAAGCGTGCCCCGGCCCCGTGACCATAGAGGAGAGGCCGCTCTCCTTTCACAACCCCCCTCAACCCCGCGACCTCCCCGCTGCCTAGAGCGGCCACTCCCAGCCGGAGGAAGTGGGCGCATGCGTAATACCGCCGGTCCCGCCCCTTCCTCTTCACCCAGAGACCGAGTACCCGGGCTCGGCAGTCACAGCCCAAGGGGTGACGGGTGTGTGTCAGTTTCCGCTCCTCCTGGGCGGCTGTTCTTGTATCCGGAGGATACAAGCTTTGCCTAGAAATTAAAATATTACAAGGCCGCACCGTACTCTCTACAGTTATTTTTTGCCTTCACATTTTATGTAGAAAATCACAGGACTATACGTTCAATTTACGGTGTTAAGAATCGGAATTAAATGACTTTTATTTCTATTAAAATATTTTTTTTTTCGTAGAGATGGGGTCTCGCTGCGTTTTCCAGGCTGATCTTGAACATATGGCGTCAAGGGATCCTCCTGCCTCAGCCTTACAAAGTGCTGCGATTACAGGCGTGAGCCACCTCGTACAGCTTGAAATGGTTTTCTTATCACCACGTTTCGCCCCTTCCCAGCGTCTAGGTCACAGCGTCTAGAACTTATGCTGATTATTTGGTTTTGTTTTGTTGTTGTTGTTTGTTTTTGAGACAGAGTCTCACTCTCACCCGCCAGGCTGGCGTACAGTGGCACGATCTTGGCTCACTGCAACCTCCGCCTCCCGGGTTCAAGCGATTATCCCACCTCAGCCTCGTGAATAGTTGGGACTACGGGCGTGCACAACCACGCCTGGCTCATTTTAAAATTTCATTTTATTTTTATGGAGACAGGGTCTCGCTCTTTTCCCCAGGCTGGTCTGGAACTCCTGGGTTCAGGCGATTCTCCTGCCTCAGCCCCCGAAAACGCTGGGATTACAGGTGTGAGTCATGGCGCCAGGCCCCCATTAAACAGTTATTTATACAGATTTATTAATACGCTGCTTCCCAGTTCACATTCATTAGCACCACTGAGCCTCAATACAATCCCAGGAAATTGAGGTTTAGGAAGGTTTAATGCATTCCAGAACTAATAAGTGGCTGAGATAGATTTTGAAAATAGGTCTTCTAATCAACTTTCCTTTTGTTCGTTTGTTTGTTTTGGAGACGGAGTCTCGCTCTGTCGCCCAGGTTGGAGTGCAGTGGCACAATCTTGGCTCACTGCAACCTCCGCCTCCCGGGTTCAAGCAGTTCTCCTGCCTCAGCCTCCCGAGTAGCTGGGACTACAGGGGTGCGCCACCACGCCAGGCTAATTCTTTGTATTTTAGTAGAGATGGGGTTTCACCGTGTTGCCCAGGCTGGTCTCGAGCTCCTGGCCTCAAGCAATCCGCCTGCCTCGGCCTCCCAAAGTGCCAGGATCACAGGCGTGAGCCATCGCATCCGGCACTAACCAACTTTTCATAGTTGGCTTTTGTGAAAGACCAACCTGAATGTATTCATTCAACCCATGCTTATTGAGTGTCTACTACGTGTCAGCCCAGTGCTAGGCATTGGAGAACAGCAACCCCAAACCAACATACAATTCCATTAGGGCCGGGCCTCATATGTTGCACTCGACATAGTATTCCCAGAGGCTAATGCAGTAGCTAAGGGTCTCAGCTTTGCTTTCCGTGATCACCTAAGTAACAACCCCTATTATTCTTTTAATTTAATTTAATTTTTTTTTTGAAAACAAGTCTCGTTCTGTCACCCAGGCTGGAGTGCAGTGGCGTGATCTCGGTTCACAGCAACCTCCGCCTCCCAGGTTCAAGAGATTCTCCTGCCTCAGCTTCCCGAATAGCTGGGATTACAGGCGCGCACCACTGCACCCGGCTAATTTTTTGTATTTTTAATAGAGACAGGGTTTCACCATGTTGGCCAGGCTGCTCTTGAACTTCTGACCTCAGGTAATCCGCCCGCTTCTGCCTCCCAAATCGCTAGGATTACAGGCATGAGTCACCAAGCCCAGCCAATTTTTATATTTTTAGTAGAGACAGGGTTTCACTATGTTGGCCAGGCTGGTCTCGAACTCCTGATCTCGTGATCCGCCCGCCTCGGCCTTCCAAAGTGCTGGGATTACAGGCATAAGCCACCGGGTCCGGCCTAATTTTATTTTTTTAAGAGACAGGTCTCACTATGCTGTCCAGGCTGGTCTCGAACTCTTCAGTTCAACGGATCCTCCCGCCTCGGGTTCCCAAAGTGTTAGGCTTACAGGCGTGAGCCACCGCACCCGGATCCCATTATTCTCTATTACATCGCCCCGCTCTTTTTCTTAATAGCGATTTTCATGTGTTACCAAATGGCAAGTTTCACTCCTGCCTGAATTTCCCCTTACCCCAAGTTTAAGCTACAATGGGGCAGGGAGCACGTCTTCCTGTTCATCACTGTATCTCCACCCCTGTAAGAGTGGCTAGCATATCACAGAAACCCAGTCAGTATTTCCTGGTCGACTGGATGTCGAGACATGCACATTTTTTCTACTGAAGTGAAAGCCCGCACAAATTAGGCCACGCCTTGGGGACTTCGATAGCCACGCCCCTCCCCTGTCCCTATAAGGAGGGAAAGGAGCCCAGCCTTGGCCCCGCCCCCGCCGCCGCGCAGGCGCTGACGCAAGCGCAGCAGGCGCGCGCTGTTTCCGGAAGTCGCGGCCGGCGTCACCGCTGCGGCTGCCTCAGCTACTGCCGCAGTCGCCGCGGAATTCGGCGAGTAGAACCGCTGAGGCGGGCGCGGGCCCGGGTGGGGCCAAGGTTCCGGCCACTCTGCAGAATGGAGATAATCAGGAGCAGTGCGTGTCCGCCGTACACCTCCCCGCCTCCCCACACCCGGCTGCCCCTGGCCTGCTAGGCCGAGACCATGGCCGGCGTGTTTGGCTGGGCCTGGGGCTGAGGCAGCCCCTCAGGGCTTTTCCCTCCTTAAGCCGGTGCGCCTCTTGGGGTCTTTTCCGGCTGCGGACCGTGCACCCTAGGAGCCTTGTACTTACTCCTCCAACCCCGGCACCATCCGGGGCCTTGTCCTTCTCCGGGCCGGGCACCCCCCGGGGCTTGTCCCCCCTGACCCATGCACCCCTCGAGGACTTGATTCCCCTCGCCCCGGTGCACACCTCCGGGACTTTTCCCCTTCCGGCTCTCAGCCTCGGGAGCTCCTCGGCCCTCCTTCCCTCTCCCCTTAGCAGGAATTCAGGCCACTGGTTCTGAGCCTCTTTTCGGTTTCTCCGCAGATTTTAAGAGTAATCTTCACAAAGTGTACCAGGCCATAGAGGAGGCCGACTTCTTCGCCATCGATGGGGAGTTTTCAGGTATCCCTCCCTTGCAAGCTCAGGCTAGCACTTTGCAGTGCATAGCCAAGGCTCCTTCAATCCCCCAGCCCCCAACTTCTTATGCTTGGTGGTGGCCTCTTGCTGTTAGTAGCCTTGGGCGGGTTTCACAGGTCTCAGTGTTACCCTTTAAACGTTTCAAAAGCACGAAAGAAATGAAGATACGCCGTAGGTTTGTGATTGGACTCAGGATCTCAGATAGAGATGATGGTTTTGATGCTGCTTAAAACAGTGCGGCGTGTACATTGCAGAGAGCTTGAGGATTAGGGTCAGACTGTTTTTTTTCTTGATTGTAAAATAGGTATAACATGAAATTTGCCATTTTAAGTGGCTTTACAGTTAAGTGGCATTAAGTACATTCACATTGCTGTGCAAACATCACCATCCATCTCTAGGACTTCTTCATCTTCACAGTCTGAAACTCTTTACACATTAAACTCCCCATTTCTCCTTTCGCCCAGCCTTTAGCAACCGCCATTTGTCTCTGAATTTGACTGCCCTTAACATCTCATATAAGTGGAATCTTACAATATTTGCCCTTTTGTGACCGGCTAGGGTCAGGTTTTTGCAGATAAATGAGATATTTCTTTATGCATTAGTGGACGTGTTCATTGCCTGCCTCAACAGGTGTGTATACAGGAAATACTTCACTGACACTTAAAGTTGCAAATTTTTTTTCCCCTTTTTTAGGGGGAGCAAAGACTAGTTTTTAAATTGCTGATGTCAATATGAACGGTTCACTCCCTTTGATATGGATATCCATTTTTGCTGTCTGATTTTCCATGTTTGAATCATGAAGGAATCCATGCAGGGGTAAATAGTATCCTTGGCTTTAGGTAGTGTCTAGTTGGAATCACTTCCCTAGGAAGCTAAGAGTTTTCACTTAGAGAAATAATTTTCTCTTAATCTTGAAGATACATTCTTTGCATAGATATTAACCACTCCAAACTCTTGACCAAGACTGGAACTCTGGCAATAATATACTTAGGGATTTATTGATGTCTGTTTATACAGGAATCTTTTAAAGCAGCAAAACTTATTCAAGCATAGAGATTGTTTTCTTACATGATTACTGTGTTTTAAGTCATGTTTTAGACGCTGGAACTGCCTATTCTCATGTTGAAACATTCGCATCTCTAAGTTCATTATTAGAGGGTTTAACCTGGTGGCCACTGAAATTAATGCTTATTTTAAAAAAGTAAGTTAGGGAGTGCTTCCAAGTAACCTTAATTCGTGATACGACATTATAGAGGCACTGAATGATTGACTGGCATTTTTACGTTAGTATTTATTAGTAAGCTAAAAATTTTTATTTCTTAAAATCTAGGAATCAGTGATGGACCTTCAGTCTCTGCATTAACAAATGGTTTTGACACTCCAGAAGAGAGGTATCAGAAGCTTAAAAAGGCAAGTGGATGTGCTAGGAAATCTTTTTCTTTCTCATGTTAGTCTTCCTTATGTTAAATGATAAATATTGTTACTAAACTTGTGCATTAAGGTTTTGTAAGTGCAGTATTTTCTCCTCAAACCTAGCCATGAAGTGATTTTTTTTTTTGTTTTGTCTTGTTTTAGAGACAAGGTCTCGCTCTGTCACCCAGGCTGGGGTGCAGTGGCGTGATCACTGCTCTGTGGAGCCTTGAACTCCTGGCTCAACTGATTCTCCTGCCACAGCCTCCCAAGTAGTTGGGACTACAGGCGCAAGCCACTGTGCCCAGCCAATTATTATTATTTTTTTTAATTTTTACATATTCTTTTGTAGAGATCGGTCTCACTTTGTTGACCAGGCTGGTCTCGAACTTCTGGCGTCAAATGATCCTCCTGCTTTAGCCTCCCAAAGTGCTGGGATTACAGGTGTGAGCCACCACACCTGGCCTTAAAGTGTTATTTTAATGATATTTAAAACAGCAAAAATAATTGTTTGCTGGAAAATATTTTGGGGAAAGTTTAGCATTTTCAGTGTTAATTTGATTCATAGGAAATATGAGGCAGTTATTTTAATCATTTGGAAATAGACCTAATATGATTCTTTGGATGATGGATAAATAGGTCCTTAAATGGGAAAAGTATTATGAAATGTATACAAATTAATAATGCTTCTGATTCATATGTGTAATCTGTTCTAATTGGAAGTATTCTGCTGAAGTCTCATTGAGTAATTCAGAAAGCCCACCTGTTTGAGAATGCTATGCTCACATGGAATATGCAGCACTTTTGTGACAGATGTTTTATTTCCCTTTTCCAGCATTCCATGGACTTTTTGCTATTTCAGTTTGGCCTTTGCACTTTTAAGTATGACTACACAGATTCAAAGTAGGTTGTGTTAACAAACGTTGGGAATTCCGTTTTTGTGGCACAATGTCACCTCCTAAGTCTCCTTTTATCTTATCCCAGGTATATAACGAAGTCATTTAACTTCTATGTTTTCCCGAAACCCTTCAATAGATCCTCACCAGATGTCAAATTTGTTTGTCAGGTAAGTAGCATAATTGAGATTTTTCTTTTCTGAATTGCTGATGAGGCAGCATGGAAATGTGAAATCAGAATTTGGTTCTCTATTAACTTTGGGCTTTGGGGCAAATCATTTCACCTTTGACCTTCAGTTTTAGGGTAATAAATTCATGACCCTGTTATCTCCTCCTTTGCTGTAGAATGAATTAAGGAGGGCCAGGTACGGCGGCTCATGCCTATAATCCCAGCACTTTGGGAGGCCGGGGAGGGCGGATCATGAGGTCAGGAGATCGAGACCATCCTGGCTAACATGGTGAAACCCTGTCTCTACTAAAAATACAAAAAAAAAAATTTGCCGAGTGTGGTCATGGGTGCCTGTAATCCCAGCTACTTAGGGAGGCTGAGGCAGGAGAATGGCGTGAACCTGGGAGGTGGAGGTTGCAGTGAGCCGAGATCACGCCCCTGCACTCCAGCTTGGGCAACAGAGCGAGACTCTGGCTCAAAAAAAAAAAAAAGAATGAATTAAGGAATAAGATGCAGAGACAGACAGACAGATATGAGAACATGAGGTTTAGTAATTCTAAAGCTGAATTTGAGAACATAGTTTCGTAACTCCATTTGGGATTTTTATTATTTTACCCCCAAGTTGAACCACCTACACATCAAGACTTGCAGGCTTCTTGGCTGGATGTGGTGGTTTACACCTGTAATCCTAGCAGTTTTGGAGGCCAAGACGGGAGAATCACTTGAGCTCAGGAGTCTGAGACCAGCCTGGGCATAAAATAGTGAAACCTCATCTCTATTTTAAAATAAAAATTAAAATAAACAAAAGACTTGGAGGCTTCTCCCTATCCTCACTCATTCTCCTCGCATCCACTCTGAGGGTGTAGACCTTTATTTTCTGGAAAAGCAGAGTATGTGTGTATCCTATGCAAAAAGAGAAAGCGCAGAAGGGGTTCAAGTATTTATGCTGACTTCCTTTTCTCAAGCTCACTAATTAGGAAAGGGGGGTAGAAAAAAAAACTACTGTTTCTCTTGAGGAGAAGAGAGCTTAATTGATGGGTCAATATTAGGGAGGTTCTCCTTCAGGATATTCCCTCTAGAGGTGTTGTAGCTGACCTGGTAGACACTCAGTAAATATCACTGTTTCCTTTCTGCTCTTTTGATTATCTGTTGTAATGGATAAGGAGAATGTGAGTAAGGGGTATGGTTGTGTGGCTATGTGATTAAAGATAAGTCTTAATCTTTTCTCCCTTAAAATCTTGCATCCTATCTTCTCTCCCACTAAAAACATGAATTCATTTGAGTCTTGCCATCTTTCCCTTCTCTTGCAGATTAATGGTAATGCAGTTATGAAAGCCTCGAGGGTAGGCTTCAAGTGATTGAGTTATGTCAAATTCTTTCTCAAAACTGGCAGTATATAAACAAATGAAATCGAGAGTTAATCATATGCTTATGGGCAAAAGAGAAAAGGTGAAGGTTAAATTCTGGTCTTATAGACAGTTTCCTAAATTAGCAAGTAAACCAGTTGACATTTTACCTTTACCCTGCAATCAGTTAATAGCTATTTGTCAATCACCGTGGTATGGGATACTTAAAGAGTATTTATAAATTTTCTTTTCTTTTTTTTCTTGAGATGAAGTTTCGCTCTTCTTGTCCAGGCTAGAGTGTGATGGCATGATCTAGGCTCACTGTAACCTCTGCCTCCTGGGTGGAAGCGATTCTCCTGCCTCAGCCTCCCGAGTAGCTGGGATTACAGGCATGCACCAAGATGCTCAGCTAATTTTGTATTTTTGGTAGAGGTGAGGCTTCTCCATGTTGATCAGGCTGGTCTCGAACTCTCGACCCCAGGTGATCTGCCCGGCTTGGCCTCCCAAAGTGCTGAGCCACCGCACCCGGCCTTACAGTTTTGTTTTGTTTTGTTTTTTTTTTGGTAAATTTTCATTGAGGGAAAAGTAGGCTCAGTTGGGAAATTTGTGTGGATATAGTTTTCTAGCAGTACCAGCAACACAGAATTATTTAAAGTGGGTTCCATGGCTTTGGCCAGGGGTTAATCAAACAAAAGCAGAGGGTGGCAATGAGACACCTTGGGGATGGCACTTTGTTCTTTTTTTTTTGAGATGGAGTTTCGCTCTTGTTGCCCAGGCTAAAGCCCCGGGTTTAAGTGATTCTCCTGCGTCAGCCTCCTGAGTAGCTGTTATTACAGGCATGCACCATCACGCCGGCTTATTTTATATTTTTAGTAGAGATAGGGTTTTTCCATGTTGGTCAGGCTGGTCTTGAAATCCCGACCTCAGGTGATCCTCCCATCTTGGCCTCCCAAAGTGCTGGGATTACAGGCATGCACCACCACACCGGCTAATTTTATATTTTTAGTAGAGATGGGGTTTCTCCATGTCGGTCGGGCTGGTCTCAAACTCCTGACCTCAGGTGATCCTCCCACTTTGGCCTCCCAAAGTGCTAGGGTTACAGGCGTAAGCCACCACATCTGGCCGATGGCACTCTGTTCTAAACAACCAAGACAAAACTGGTTATTTTGAGAAATGTATTGGAAACAGATCAGAGGAACTTCACCCATTGTACAAACCATGATTGTACACCTGGAATACTTAATACAGTTGTAGTTGCCAGCCACTCCTTTAAAAAAAGCTATCATAGACTTGAAGATAGCCCAGAGAGTAATGTCTAAAACAGATGAATAAAAATGCCGGGATTCTCTAGTGTGGAAAAGCAAAGGCAGAGAAAAGGTTTAGACTCTAAATTTGGGAATTGTATGAAAAGGTTAATGTATTTTTGGATTTTCTTTGGTCTCTCATTTAAGGTTTTTGTTTTATTTAAAATTCTATAGTTGTAGCAGAGTTGCATACAAGGGCATTAGTTTCTGGAGTTATTAAGTAGGGTGAAAATTGGGTCAAAATCTCTCTCAGAAAGCTCTTATCACCCTTAAAGCATATAGGATTTGAGGATACAACAATTTAATATGTTCTTTAAAAAATAAGACCCTGTGTGCGCAGTGAGATGCTCCCATATGCTTGTCAAGATGTGGAGGAATGGGCTGACAGAACCACACTCACACCCAGAAGAGTGTGTTTGTAGAATAGTAGGGCAGTCAGCATAGCATGACATTTACATCATTTTTGTCTTCTCCTTTTTCTTTTCTTCCTCTTCCTTTTTCAGGCTGAAGATCTGTAGTTGAATTCATAGAAGGTATTTTATATATATGGTTGTGAAAAATTGAAGCATAACTGCTGTATGTAGAGTAACAGATGTGTTTCTTTTCTTTTTTTTTTTTTTGAGATGGAGCCTTACACTGTCGCCCAGGCTGGAGTGCAGTGGTGTGATTTCGGCTCACTGCAACCTCTGCCTCCTGGGTTCAAGCAATTCTCTTGTCTCAGCCTCCTGAGTATCTGGGACTACAGGCACCTGCCACCACGCCCTGCTAATTTTTGTATTTTTAATGGGGACAGCGTTTCACCATATTGGTCAGGCTGGTCTCAAACTCCTGACCTCAGGTGATCCACCCGCCTTGGCCTTCCAGTGTGCTGGGATTATAGACGTGAGCCATCGCGCCTGGCCAGATGTGTTTCTTTTTTTTTTCTTTTCTTTTTTTTTGTTTTTGAGATGGGGTTTTGCTCTGTTTCCAGGCTGGAGTGCAGTGGTGCGATCTTGGCTCACCACGACCTCCACCTCCTGGGTTCAAGCGATCCTCCTGCCTGAGCCTCTGGAGTGGCTGGGACTACAAACATGTGCTAACACGCCCAGCTAATTTTTGTATTTTTAGTAGAGACGGGGTTTCACCATGTTGGCCAGGATGGTCTCGATCTCTTGACCTCGTGATCTGCCCACCTCGGCCTCCCAAAGTGCTGGGATTACAGGTATTAGCCATGGTGCCTGGCTGTGTTTCCCTTCTTATATCCTTTTCCCATGCCACTTCCTTCCCATTTTACTCCTTTTTTCCTAGCTTTTATGTACATGTATACATATAGACATATGCCTAGACACACATACATATTAGCTTTTTTTTTTTTTTGGAGACAGAGTCTCTGTCACCAAGGCTAGAGTGCAGTGATGTTGTCATGGCTCACTGCAGCCTTGACCTCACCAGCTCAAGTGATCCTCCTGCCTTAGCCTCCTCAGTAGCTGGAACTACAGGCACATGCCACCATGCCCAGCTAATTTTTGTATTTTTTGTAGAGCCAAGGTTTTACCATGTTGCCTTGGCTCGTCTTGAACTCCTGGGCTCAAGCGATCTGCCCACTTTGGCTTCCCAAAGTGCTGGGATTACAAGCACGTACCACTGCGCCAGGCTTACATTGTAAAAAATGGGCCGGGTGTGGTGACTCACTCCTGTAATCCCAGCACTTTGGGAGGCCAAGTCGGGCGGATCACGAGGTCAGGAGATTAAGACCATCCTGGCTAACACGGTGAAACCCCGTCTCTACTAAAAATACAAAAAAAATTAGCCAGGCGTGGGGGCGGGCGCCTGTAGTCCCAGCTACTCGGGAGGCTGAGGCAGGAGAATGGTGTGAACCCGAGAGGCAGAGCTTGCACTGAGCCAAGATCGCGCCACTGCGCTCCAGCCTGGGTGACAGAGCGAGACTCCGTCTCAAATATATATATATGGAATCCTAATTTCACATTTTATGCAACTCGCACTTGCCACTCAGCAGAATGTCTTTTATTTCGTAGTATGGATACGTATAATTTGTTTGATCAGTTAATTGAAATTTGGAGGCTTTCCAGTGGTTATCAGCAATTCTATAGTCAACATCTGTGTTCAGTATATCTTTTTGTATGTGTAAGAATTTTTTTGTATTGTAGATTTCCTAGAAGGAGAGTTGTTGAGACATAGGATATATGCATTTAAAGTTTTGATGGATGTCTCAAATTGTCCTCCCAAATATCTGTTCTCATGTCTTGAATCTTTTTATTTTTTTTGAGACGGAGTCTCACTCTGTCACCCAGGCTGGAGTGCAGTGGCACTATCTTGGCTCACTGTAACCTCCACCTCCCGAGTTCAAGTGATTCTTCTGCCTCAGCCTCCCAAGTAGTTGGGTCTACAGATGCGTGCCACCATGCCTGGCTAATTTTTGTATTTTTAGTAGGGACAGAGTTTCACCATGTTGGCCAGTCTGGTCACGAATTCCTGACCTCAAGTGATCCACCCGCCTTGGCCTCCCAAAGTGCTGGAATTACAGGCGTGAGACACTGCTCCCAGCCTCATCTCTTCAATCTTGAACATGTTACATTTATGACAAATCAAAGGTAGTGGCTAGTAAACTCCAAAAGGTTTTGTTAGTTCAAAGGTTTTTTTTTTTTTTTTTGAGACGAAGCCCCTGTCGCCCAGGCTGGAGTGCAGTGGCACGATCTTGGCTCACTGCAAGCTCTGCCTCCCGTGTTCACGCCATTCTCCTGCCTCAGCCTCCCAAGTAGCTGGGACTACAGGCGCTGCCACCATGCCCAGCTAATTTTTTGTATTTTTAGTAGAGACAGGGTTTTCACCGTATTAGCCAGGATAGTCTTGATCTCTTGACCTCGTGATCTGCCTGCCTCGCCTCCCAAAGTGCTCGGATTACAGGCGTGAGCCACCGTGTCTGGCCAAGTTCAGAGGTTTTCTTAAAAATTGTGGTAAAATATATGTAACATAAATTTTACTATTCTAACCGTATTTAAATGTATAGCTCAGTGGCATTAAGTACATTGACACTATTGTACAACCCAAAGAGTGTTGTTTTGATTAGAAAATAAGCAGCTTCAGGAAAGGCATAGATGACTCTGACTTTGAATTCAGTGGGATAAAGGAAAGTAGGATGTTTTGGTGTCTAGTACTAGAAGGACAAAAATGCCTTCCACAGTTTGTGTTTCAGTGCCTTTGTCAGAGATGGAATGTTTAGGTGGGCAGAGTTATAAGAACACTCCAGCCATGGTAGACAGAAGCCCACAGACCAATCAAAATACATTGAGTCTTGGTTCTTGGTTCAGGACAGGATTAAAAAAGAAGTGGGGGTAGGGAAAGATTGCTTGTTGTAAAGTATAAAAGCCTGGACACGATGGAAGTGATTTGCATGTGCTTCTATTTGTTTGTGTGTTTTTCTGTGTTCAGATTGTCTTTTTATATCTCACCATTTCAAAACGATTTGTTTTGGTTATTAAAGATATATACGGTATTTACCTTTTAACATAAGATTAAAAAATTAGTAAATGAAAATTTGAAAGAAAAGAAAAATGATACAATCACTATGGTATGAATAGAACACAGAATTTGTGCCAAAGAAAGTGTAATTTGTTTGTCCCTGAGCTTCCTAGTAGCAAAGAAAAGAGGGAAACACAGTCATTCCGTGGTCCATAGGATTAGGACAATCCAGAACTCAGGATTAGTATAGCTTTCCCCAGAATAGAGACCTCAGAACATTTACCCTTGAATTATAAGTAAATGATTACTGTAGAAAACCTGATCTTCAATCACATCTCTGAAGTCAGTACTGTGATAAGTTTAATGGAACTGTTTGTTACCATGTCCTTCAATCTAGACTGATGGCATAATGTCAAAGTACAGTGCAGGAAAGGGACCAGATGAAAATGATTCAGATGTGTAGCCTGCTGATGTTCTGACTTGGCCAAGAATAAAATTAGAGTAGCTACAGTAATGCTTATTTCTTAAGTTCATTTGAGTATGAACTCCATAATTTTGCCGTGCTTGTGTTTCATCTATAGTATTGTTCACTTAATACAGTGTTTTTTGTTTTTTGTTTTTGAGATGGAGTCTCGCTCTGTCGCCCAGGCTGGAGTGCAGTGGCACAAACTCAGCTCACTGCAAGCTCCGCCTCCCTGGTTCACACCATTCTCCTGCCTCAGCCTCCCGAGTAGCTGGGACTACAGGTGCCCACTACCGCGCCTGGCTAATTTTTTGTATTTTTAGTAGAGACGGGGTTTCACCATGTTAGCCAGGGTGGTCTCGATCTCCTGACCTTGTAATCTGCCCGCCTGGGCCTCCCAAAGTGCTGGGATTACAGGCATGAGCCACTGTGCCCGGCCAGTGTTTTTTTTTTTTTTTTTTTTTTGAGACAGAGTCTTGCTCTGTCACCCAGGCTGGAGTGCAGTGGCATGATCTCGGCTCATGGCAACCTCTGCCTCCTGGGTTCACACCATTCTCCTGCCTCAGCCTGCTGAGTAGCTGGGATTACAGGCGTGCACCACCACGCCTGGCTAATTTTTGTATTTTTAGTAGAGACGGGGTTTCACCATGTTGGTCAGGCGGGTCTCGAACTCCTGACCTCTTGATCCGCCTGCCTCAGCCTCCGAAAGTGCTGGGATTACAGGCATGAGCCATCACACTCAACCTGTTTTTTGTTTTTTTTTTAAGAGGCAGAGACTTGTTCTGTCACCCACGCTGGAGTCCAGCGGTGTGATCACAGCTCACTGCAGACTTGAACTCCTGGGCTGAAATGATTTTCTGATTCTCCCACCTCAGCCTGTGGGATAGTTGGGACTACAGATGGGAACCACCACACCTGGCTAATTTTTAAATTTTTTGTAGAGATGGGTCTCCCTATGTTACTCAGGCTGGTCTCGAAGTCTTGGGCTCAAGCGATCCTCCCACCATCTCCTAAAGTGCTGGGATTACAGGTGTGAGCCACTGCACCCAGCCTAATATATACTTATTTTAAAATAATTTTATTATTATTATTTTTAATTGAAATGGGGTCTTGCCATGTTGCCCAGGCTGGTCACACAAACTCCTGGGCTCCAGCGATGCAACCACCTCAGCCTCCGGAAGTGCTGGGATTACAGGTGTGAGCCACCATGTCCAGCCCAGTCTAATGTTTTTATTTAAATCTGGGAACATATTTTGGCTCATGCTAGGTTCGAGATATATTTGTTTCGTAAGGCTTATTATTGGGAACTTTCCTTTTGATCTTTTTTGTTTTGAGGCAAGGTCTCACTTTGTCACTCAGGCTGGAGTGCAGTGGCATGATGGTAGCCCACTACAGCCTCAACCTCCTCACCTTCCATACTTAAGTGATCCTCCTACCTCAGCCCCTGGGTAGCTGGGACTGCAGGCATGTGCTACCATGCCTGGCTAATTTTTAAATTTTTTGTGGAGATAGGATCTCACTGTTTTGCCCAAGCTGGTCTTTAACTCCTGGGCTCAAGCGATCTTCCTCATTTGGCCTCCCTAAGTGCTAGGATTACAGGTGCGAGCCACCGTGCCTGGTTTCTCTTTTGATCTTCAACATTGAGAACATTTAATTAAGATTTTGGGCTTTCATTATCTAATTTGAGGTGGATGTCAGTGTCTTATAACCTGTGCATGTGCCTGTGTTAAACTTGAACCTGGGACAGGGTAATAAAATACATACTAGTTCTATTTATAGTTTCCTAGTCAGTACTGCAACAGTCAAGCGATCAGGAGCTTTCTGCCTATTGGGAGAATAATCCGTTCGCCCAGTGGAATATTTTTTTTTTTTTTTTTTGAGACAGTCTTGCTCTCTCGCCTGGGCTGGAGTGCAGTGGCTCTCTCGGCTCACTGCAACCTCCACCTCCCAAACTCAAGAAATTTTCCTGCCTCAGCCTCCTGAGTAACTGGGATTGCAGGTACACACCACCACACCTGGCTAATTTTTTTTTTTTTTTTTTGAGACAGAGTCTTGCTCTGTCACCCAGGCTGGAGTGCAGTGGCAGTGGCATGATCTCGGCTCACTGCAAGCTCCACCTCTCGGGTTCACGCCATTCTCCTGCCTCAGCCTCCCCAGCAGCTGGGACTAGAGGCACATGCTGCCTCGCCTGGCTAATTTATTTTTATTTTTAGTAGAGACGGAGTTTGACCATGTTAGCCAGGATGGTCTTGATCTCCCGACCTCGTGATCTACCCGCCTTGGCCTCCCAAAGTGCTGGGATTACAGGTGTCAGCCACCGCGCCTGGCACACCCGGCTAATTTTTGTATTTTTAGTAGAGACAGGGTTTCACCATGTTGACCAGGCTGTTCTCAAAGTTCTGACCTGCCGGTCTCGAACTTCTGACCTCAAGTGATGTGCCCACCTCTGCCTCCCAAAGTGCTGGGATTACAGGCATGAGCCACTGTGCCGGTCTACCCAGTAGATTTTTAAAAAATATTATGAAGTAGGCTGGATGTGGTGACTCACATCTGTAATCCCAGCACTTTGGGAGGCCGAGGCAGGAGGATTGCTTGAGTCCGGAAGTTTGAGACCAGCCTGGGCAACATAGTGAGACCCTGTCTATAAAAAAAAAATTGTGAAACAAAGGATGTTTGTTTTGTAAGCTATAAAGGAGAAGAGCCCAAATGTTTTAAGCAAGTTAATGGATTGTTTGTGGAGTAGAAATTCCTTGTATTGTGACCTCTGGCACATCGCTTCCTTCCCATATTGTCTTTGTTTTCTTGTTTGAGTTACTTCTCTGCATCTCTTTATATTCCTGCCGCTAACATCCCCAAAACATGTGTTCTGTTTACTCTGTTTCAGAGCTCCAGCATTGACTTTCTAGCAAGCCAGGGATTTGATTTTAATAAAGTTTTTCGAAATGGTAAGATTATGGGTAACCTATCTTTAGAGCTTATAAACCTTCAAAATATCCTTGGGAAGTAAGTCTGAACTTGGTTGAGAATTATTATTTTGTGCCTGCTGAGACACAGTCTTAGAGTTCCAGCATACATGTGCAGCCAGTACACATATGCAGCCTTAGAATTTTTAAAAACTTGCTTACTGTGATTTTTTTTTTTTTTTTTTTTTTGAGAAGAGTCTCGCTCTGTTGCCCAGGCTGGAGTGCAGTGGTGTGATCTCGGCTCACTGCAAGCTCTGCCTCCCAGTTTCACACCATTCTCCTACCTCAGCCTCCCGAGTAGCTGGGACTACAGGTGCCCGCCACCACGCCTGGCTAATTTTTTGTATTTTTAGTAGAGACAGGGTTTCACCGTGTTAGCCAGGATGGTCTCGATCTCCTGACCTCGTGATCTGCCCACCTTGGCCTCCAAAAATGCTGGGATTACAAGTGTGAGCCACCACGCCTGGCCTACTGTGATCTTTTTTTTTTTTTTTTAAAAAAAAACAAAAAACATAATCAGCCATGAGCTAAACAGAATAGATACTACTTCATTTAACTCTGATAAGGCCTTTCAAACTCCTGTTTTTATCGAGTGCAGTTTATTCTACCACTGGCGTGATATAGTGGCCTAACTCACCACCTGTGGGGAGTGCTTCCTTGTTTTCTTCCAGTGTAACAAGAGGTATGTAGTTTAGAAATGTCCTGTATTCCACTGATGCTGTAATGAAAACCCTCTTTTCCAGCTAGTGCATGTTTATGTTTATTTTATTTTTTATGTTTATTTTTTATAACCCCTCTGCTGGCAGGAATTATTTTTAATTTTTTTTTTGAGACAGGGTCCCACTCTGTCACCCAGGGTGAGTGCAGTGGTGCAATCATAGCTCACCGGAGCCTTGACCTCCTGGGCTCAAATGATCCTCCCACCTCACCCTCCCAAGTAGCTGGAACTACAGCTGTGCACCAGCATGCCTGGCTGATTTTCGAATTTTTTGTAGAAATGGGATTTCGCCATTGCCCAGGCTGGTCCCAAACTCCTGTCCTCGAACAATCCACCTGCCTTGGCCTCCCAGCCTGCTGGGATTACAGGCATGAGACACCACACCCTGCCTACCTGTTGCTTTTTTAGTAGTTGGAGACAGTTTCTTAGTTTCTTATGGGAGAAGAAAAGTGCAGAGACTGCACGATTGATAATGGCTAACTTGCTAGAGTGATGGCCTGGGGAGCACCTGAGGAAGGGATTGTGTCTTGTTCTTTTCACATCCCCTTGCATAGCATGATTTCTCTTCTACATCAGGGAGGTGACCACCAAATATTTGATGCATAAATGGGTGCATGACTACTGGACATTAGAACATTTCAGATTGGTTTTCCTTCCTCTCCATTTGTTTCTCTAAAAGTGTTTGGAAAGACTGTGCTTTTTGCAGTGGTATTAAGTATGTACAAGGTCAATATTTTAATTTAATTATTTACATAAATTTTGTTTTTTTTCCCCCATGGTGAATGTAGAATTAATGAATGAAAGAGGGAAGGAGGTTTATCCCAACAAAAATAACTGAACTTTTCTCAAAAAAAAGTACATGGACTTCAAATGAATTCTCCTATTCTCAGCAGAACCTCTTTGCAAGGTGTTTAGTACCCATGCCATATTGGTGGTGTTTTTTTTTTTTTTTTGAGACAGAATCTCACTGTGTCGCCCAGGCTGGAGTGCAATGGTATGATCTCGACTCACCGCAGCCTCCACCTAACAGGTTCAAGTGATACTCGTGCCTCAGCCTCCCGAGTAGCTGAGACCACAGGCACATGCCACCACGCACACCTAATTTTTGTATTTTTAGTAGCGATGGGGTTTCACTATGTTGGCTGGGCTGGTCTTGAACTCCTGACCTCAAGTGATTCACTTACCTTTGCCTCTTAAAGTGCTGGGATTACAGGCATGAGCCACCGGGCCTGGCCCATATTGTTTTTTAATTGTTTCAGTGATGCTGCATCTTAATTTTTACTGATTTTGATCTTCGGAGGTAATAAAAACAAACTTGTTTTGAGCCAAAACTGCTTCACATAGTGACTGAACCAGCAGAGCAATACAGTTTGGGTATTATAAAGAATTTTTTTTATTCGTCTCATACTTGACTCTGAAAGCCATTATAAAATATAAGTTCCAAATGCATTTAGAGCACTATATTGGACTAGTGGCAGCATCTCTTGAAGGAACCACTTTATCTGGTACTCATATGGATGCATAGTTCTAACTTGTTTTTTTTTTTTTTTCCCATAAAAGAAGAGAAACAGCCAGATTGGAATGTGCCTCCTTCTTCTGTTTTATAGTCATGCCCTGGAATATTTTAGTCACGATAGTCAGGACTCCCAGGTCATCCATACTACCAAGCCTCATCCCATGCCGTTGTTGATATGCTCTAAATCTGACTTAGACCCTCATCTCTCTCCATTTTCAAGGCTTTCCATTCAGGCTCTGTAAATGTCAGGCCCTTTCTTTACGGCAGTCTTCTCTCAAGTTCCTTTTGATTTCCTTGTCTGGAGGGAAACCAGGTGACTCCTTGTTAGTTTCCCCCTGTAGCCTTCTCCATCCCCGGTGGTTTTCCCTCTCACTCTTGTCTTCCTCTGGCCAGGCTGTGCTAGGTGTCCTCCTTGTTTCCCCACACCACCTTCAGACACCTGAATTTTCTTTTCTTTTCTTTTTTTTTTTTTTTTTTTTTTTTTTTTTTTTGAGACAGTTTCGCTCTTCTTTCCCATGCTGGAGTGCAATGGTGCGATCTCAGCTCACCACCACCTCTGCCTCCTGGGTTCAAGTGATTCTCCTGCCTCACCCTCCCAAGTAGCTGGGATTACAGGCATGTGCCACCACACCCAGCTAATTTTGTATTTTTAGTAGAGACAGTTTCTCCATGTCGGCCAGGCTGGTCTCCAACTCCCGACCTCAGATGGTCCACCTGCCTTGGCCTCCCAAAGAGCTGGGATTACAGGTGTGATCACCGTGCCTGGCCCCTGAATTTTCTTTTGTACGGGAGCCACCATTTTCAGGCTGTCACCAGCTCTGCTGCCCCTCTGTGCTGACTCCTGTAGGCACAGCGTGCATCTTAGCCTTGGCTTTGGTGTGTTATAATTCTCTCCACTCCTGCCCCTCTCTGGGTGACTTTAGTATCCTCAAGGATAACCAGCAAATGCTCTGGTCTGTTTCTTGACCAGGTGGTCAGCATCTTTCTATCTCTCTTTAGTCCTCTATACCAATGGCAGCGTCATGGGTCTTAGGGTCAAAAACTGCACCTCTCATTTACTCTTTTTTTTTTTTCCCATTTTTGAGACAAGATGTTGCTTTGTCACCAGGCTGGAGTGCACTGGCACATTCATGACTCACTGCAGCCTTGACCTCCTGGGCCCAAGTGATTCTCCCACCTCAGCCTTCCGTGTAGCTGGAACCATAGGTGCACACCATCATGTCCAGCTAATTTTTATGTTTTTTATAGAGGCAGGGTCTCACTATATTGTCCAGGCTGGTCTCAAACTCCTGGTATTCCTGCCGCCACCCCCTAAAGCTCTGGGATTATAGGAGTGACCTGTTACGCATGGTCTCATTTATTGTTTTTAGTGTTTTTAATGTTTCTTTTTTTGAGAGTACTACTCATGCTTCTGATTCACTTGCTCTGGTACCTATTTCAGCAATCTGTTGACTTCCATTGCTTTTTCACTATCTGTTGCCTTCCCGCTTCTCCTCTATGTGTATTCTTCTCCGTGTATCATACCAGGAGGCACGTGATGTCATTTGTCCCAATACTGGTGATGTTAACGTGGACCACTTTTTTTGCCAGTTAGTTTTAGCATCTATTGATAGTTCTTGCTTTAAGCAATTATCGTTGACTGATGGTGGTTTTCTACGTTCATTGTTCTTTCTACAAATTCCTTAGTGTCCCATGGCTTTGTTGTTATTGTTGTTTTGAGACTGTCTCACCCTGTCGTCCAGGCTGGAGTGCAGTGGCGTGATCTTGGCTCACTGCAACCTCTACCTCCCAGATTCACGTGATTATCCCACCTCAGCCTCCTGAGTACCTGGGACTATAGGCGCGTGGCACCACGCGTGGCAAATTTTTGTACTTTTTGGTAGAGAGAGGGTTTTACCATATTGGACAGGCTGGTCTTAAACTCTTGATCTTAAGTGATGCGCCCTCCTCAGCCTCCCAAAGTGCTGGGATTATAGGCATGAGCCAGGCGCCCGGCCTCCCATGGTGTTTTGTTTTTTTTTTTTTTTTGAGATGGAGTTTCACCCTTGTTGCCCAGGCTGGAGTGGAATGGTGCAATCTTGACTCACCGCAACCTCTGCCTCCCAGGTTCAAGCGATTCTCCTGCCTCAGCCTCCAGAGTAGCTGGGATTACAGGCATGTGCCACCACGCCCGGCTAATTTTGTATTTTTAGTAGAGACAGGGTTTCTCCATGTTGGTCAGGCTGGTCTTGAACTCACGACCTCAGGTGATCTGCCCGCCTTGGCCTCCCAAAGTTCTGGGATTACAGGCGTGAGCCACCGCGCCCCGTCCCCATGGATTTTAATACCACCCGTGTCCCAATGATAACTAAATGTATATCTCAACACCTTTCTCTTGAGCTATAGGCTTGTAACTGCAGCTTTTAATTTGTGTATTCCCTTAGATGATTTAACATGTCCGTGGTAGGGCGCGGTGGCTCACGCCTGTAATCTCAGCACTTTTAGAGGCTGAGATGGGCAGATGACCTGAGGTCAGGAGTTCAAGATCAGCCTGGCCAACATGTTGAAACCTTGTCTCTACTAAAATACAAAAATTAGCTGGGTATGGTGGCGGGCGCCTGTAATCCCAGCAACTTGGGAGGCTGAGGCGGGAGAATTGCCTGAACCCGAGAGGTGGCGGTTGCAGTGAGCCGAGATCGTGCCATTGCACTCCAGCCTGGGTGACAGAGCAAGACTTCGTTCTAAAAAGAAAAAAAAGAAAAAAAAATAGTATGTCCAAAAGGTAGCTTTTGATTTTCACTCCTTGGACCCCGATACCTATTTTTCCCCTCATTGTCTTCACATCAGTTAGTGGCCCTACCATCTTCCCAATCGCTTGAACCAAATAGCAAGGTGTTTTTTTTATTTTTATTTTTATTTTTTTTTGAGACAGTGTCACACCGTCGCCAGGCTGAAGTGCGGTGGCACGATCTCGGCTCACTGTAACCTCTGCCTCCTGTGTTCAAGTGATTCTCCTGCCTTAGCCTCCCAAGTAGCTGGGACTACAGGCACACACCACCATGCCCAGCTAATTTTTGTATTTTTAGTAGAGACGGGGTTTCACCATGTTGGCCAGGCTGGTCTCCATCTTTTGAACTTGTGATCCGCCCGCCTCGGCCTCTCAAAGTGGTTGGATTATAGGCGTGAGCCACCATGCCCGGCCGCAAGGTGTTACTCTTGATTTTGCCTTTCCCTTTATCCTTCATCTCCAGGATATCAGTAAGTGTTACGTCTTATGTCTAGAAAATCACTGTCTCCTTCTACCCTGCCATCTCTACACCAGGGTTACAAACAAGAGCCCACTGCTGGCTCCTTGTTTTGTAAATAAGATTTGTTGGACTACAGCTATGCCCGTACATGTACATTTTGTGTATGGCTGCTTTTGTGCCACAACAGCAGGGTTGAGTATTGCGACAGAGACCCCCATTGCCCACAAGCCTAAAACATTTGCCATCGAGCCCTTTAAGAAAGAGTTTGCTGGCCGTGCGCGGTGGCCGTGGCTCCCGCCTGTAATCCCAGCACTTTGGAAGGCTGAGGCAGGCGGTGAGGTCTGGAGTTCGAAACCAGCCTGGCCAACATAGCGAAACCCTGTCTCTACCGAAAATACAAAAATTAGCCTGGTGTGATGGTGCACGCTTGTAATTCCAGCTACTCGGGAGGCTGAGACAGAAGAATTGCTTGAACCTGGGAGGCAGAGGTTGCAGTGAGCTCATATTGTGCCATTGCATGCCAGCCTGGGTGACAGAGTAAGACTGTCTCACAACAAAACAAAACAAAGAAAAAGTTTGCTGACCTCTGATCTGAGCTCTTGTCTCTTGCCTGGACAATTGCTCCTGACTTGTTTCCTAACTTCACTCTCAGAGTAGTCATCATGGCCTTTGAAACATTATGCAGGTAAGGTAATTATCTTGCTTAAAATCTTCTAATGTTGTCCAGCCACTGTTAGAATAATGTACATTTCTTACACTGGCCTGTGAGGGCCTGCAGAATCTTGCTCCATACTCTCTCCAATGTGATGCTGTACCATTCCATTTTTGCTCATGACATCTGGCCACACCAGCTCCTTGCTGCTCCTGGAACCGTCCAAGCCATTTCCATGTTCTGGGTATTAATACTTGTTTCCCCTACCCGAAGGACTCTTCCCCTAGCTCCTTTCGTATCCGACTTATTCTCATCCTTTGGGTTTTCCCTGACTTTCCTGATTTTCTTGTCAGAAGTAGTTCCCTTCACTACAGAGCAGGATGCATCAGCTTGTCACTGTTCATTCCCCAGTGCCTAATATAATGCTTTGGCACAGCATAAGTGCCAGATAAATATTTCTTGAAAGAAGACTGAATGAATGGATGAATGATAAACACATTTCAAAATCATTTGCCTTTCTGTTCATTTTTTGAGATGTAGTTAAATATGGTAAATCTTTCCTGAGTAATTTAGACTCTTTGGTTTGTTAAACAAATTTTATGTTAGACAGTTACTTCTGCTAATGCATTCTTTTTAAAATCGTGTTTAGGAATTCCATATTTAAATCAGGAAGAAGAAAGACAGTTAAGAGAGCAGTATGATGAAAAACGTTCACAGGCGAATGGTGCAGGAGCTCTGTCCTATGTATCTCCTAACACTTCAAAATGTCCTGTCACGATTCCTGAGGATCAAAAGAAGTTTATTGACCAAGTGGTGTAAGTTCCTAAATTAAAACTAAGCGTGCATTGTGTGCTATATATTGGGGATGACAGGCATCTATATCTCAAACCTGTGCTTTACAAACATAGTACACACACGGGTGTGATGTTGTGAATGGCAGGATATAATTGTGGCATATTAAAAAAAAAATTTTTTTTTTTTTTTTTTTGAGACAGTCTTGCTCTTTTGCCCAGGCTGGAGTGCATTGGTGCAATCCTGGCTTACTGCAACCTCTGCCTCCTAGGTTCAAGCAATTCTTGTGCCTCAGCCTCCAGAGTAGCTGGGATTATAGGCGTGCACCACCACACCCGCCTAATTTTTATATTTTTAGTAGAGACGAGGTTTTGCCATGTTGGCCACGCTGGTCTCGAACTCCTGGCCTCAAGTGATCTGCCCGCCTCAGCCTCTCAAAGTGTTGAGATTACAGGCATGAGCCAGCATGCCTAGCCGGCATATTCAAATTAGTGTAACAGCAACAAATTGTAAATAGAGTTCCATGTATTGTACTTGGACTTGCTACATGTCACTAGGCAAGAGATTTCAGTACGTGGTCAGACCTGCGTGGATTTTTTATTTTATTTTATTTTTTTTAATAGAGACGGATCTCACTATGTTTCCCAGGCTGGTGTCAAACTCCTGAGCTCAAGGGATCTTCCTGCCTCAGCCTCCCAGAGCGCTGGGATTACAGGCGTGAGCCATTGTCCAGCCCCTTTTCTTGTTTTTTAAATGCTAATCAGCTGACTTCTAAAACTTGCATGGACTGAATACCTGACAGCCACTGTCCAATGTCCTTGAAGGCAGAGGAGTGGATCAGGCTTATCCAGCCTGTAGCATGTCCATGTTCTCTTTGCTTGCAGTAAAGGTGCCGACAAGCAGATGTGATTTTGGACAAGTGTCTGGTCTTGCTCAGCTTAGTTGTTGGTGTAACCATTTTACTGGGAAAGTCAAAAATTAAATCACTTGTATTGACGAGTCCTTGAGAAGTTGTCACTAATAAATAGCAGCAGTAACCCTCTTCCCCCCAAAATACGCCAAATAAAGCTTTTTTATTTTATGTTATTTATTTTTTGAGACAGGGTCTCGTTCTGTTGCCAAGGCTGGAGTGCAGTGATGCGATCACAGCTCACTGCAGCCTCAACTTCCTGGGCTCAGGTGATCCTCCCACCTCCGCTTCTGGAGTAGCTGGGACCACAGTTACACTGCACCACTCCCAGCTAATTTTTAAGATTTATTTTTTGTAGTGAGGGGCTCTCAGTATATTGCCCAGGCTGGTCGCGAACTCCTGGGCTCAAGTGATCCACCCAACGTCGACCTCCCAAAGTGCTGGGATTCTATGCCTAGGTCAAAATAAAGCATTTTTAAAAAAGTCTTTGAACTAAAATTTCTAGGGTAATTTGGTAGAATTACATTGTCACATGTTCTTATAGTTAGACTGTTTTTGGTTGTGATTATTTTCTTGGTTGATGACTTCATTCCTTAAAGGTACTGATGGTTATGGTCTATTCTTATTCCTCAGAGAGAAAATAGAGGATTTATTACAAAGTGAAGAAAACAAGAACTTGGATTTAGAGCCATGTACCGGGTTAGTTGTCCTGAACATTTCTGCATGTCCTTTTTTTGGAAAGGTAGATGGTTTGTGGCATTTGATGCATCTAGTCTTTTAAAAACAGCTTTATAAAGGGTCTTTTTATTATTGCTATGTTCTCAAGAATTAAACACTAACTTTAGCGTTACACAGTGGGGATGACTGTGTATACTGAGACACTGAATGAATGCTTTGTCCTGTACTTGGAGCGGAGAAAACTGTTGTGCAACCTTGACTTTCAGTTATGCCCAAGAGTGGCATAATTAATTTGGCCTTGAGGCGCGCTTAATACGTGAAGGCTTCAGAAGAAAGAATTCACTTTCAGGCTACTTCCACCCTTTTAATTTCTCTCTGTATTCAGAGAACATTAGCATTTCAAAGAGTCAGTAACGTGATTGTCTTTTTTTCCTTTTACTTTGTGAGGAGTTTCACAAAAGTATTTCAATGCATCTGTCTACTTTAAGCTCTCTTTATGCAGCTGCAGGAAGCAATATTTTGATTAGACGAGAACTTCTACCTCTTCAGTAAAAGCAGCATAATATTAAAGAAAATTTTAGAAGACAAGTGATGAGGAAATCCCCCCACCTCAAAAAACCTGCGTATTTTTGTTTGCAAATTACCTATCAGTTCTAATGAAGTCTCTTTTTAAAGCGAAATCCTTCTCAACAAATGCTTGATCAGTTTGGATTTACTTCTAATGAGCCAAAATCAATACCTTTTCTTTTGTTTTTATAGGTTCCAAAGAAAACTAATTTATCAGACTTTGAGCTGGAAGTAAGTATTTATATTGTATGCAGCAGCTCTGTGGGGGACCCAGGATTTAAAGACTAAATATAATCTCTTAGTTCTCATTTCCTTTTTGAAATTCTGCGGTTCTCAGTGATTTGACTACATGAAGTTCCCCCTACTTTCTTAAGTTGAATACTCACTTAATTTTCTTTTGTTATTGTTTTTTAACAGATGCTTTAAGGCTTCTTAAAATAATTATCACTTTGGTGCATCTGTTAAGCTATGGATTGGTAGTGTTTTTGTCCTTTGGGGTATACAATAAATATTTGGTTTTCAGACCTAGGAAATACTCAGATGAATGCTTTTGGTAAAGCAAGAGTTCTTAACTTAGGGTGAGACTATGGATGGGTTTCAGGAGGTCTGTGAATCCCCTGAAATAACATCCAGACTTTTGTGTGTGTATTTTTCCAAGGATGTTTCCCTTGGTTTCCTTGTGTTTGCAGGTGGGTCTTCAACTCAGAAATTGAACATTGACATAGACAGGTGGACATTTCCATTTGACTTTGGGGACCTTGTTCTTCTGTTGGAATCTACCAGTGACATGTATACTGGGAATATACTTTGAACACAACAGGAAAGGGCTGTTTAGTTTGCCCACACTCCTTTCCTGTCATGTCGTCCTTGCAGCCTACTCCACCTGCATTCCAGATCCCTCTCCTCCTTGGCTGATGCAAGCTGTTAATACCATGCAAAACTACAGCAGAGCTGGCCATCTAAAACCTCCTCTTTATATGCCCTGTGCAATCTAAAAAGACTCAGGCCGGGCGCGGTGGCTCACTCCTGTAATCCTGGTACTTTGGGAGGCCGAGGTGGGCAGATCACCTGAGGTCAGGAGTTCAAGACCAGCCTGGCCAACATGGTGAAACCCCGTCTCTACTACAAATACAAAATTTAGCCGGACATGGTGGCACATGCCTGTAATCCCAGCTACTTGGGAGGCAAAGGCAGGAGCATCTCTTGAACCCTGGAGGCAGAGGTGCAGTGAGCCAAGATTGCGGCTTGGCACTCCAGCCTGAGTGGCAGAGTGAGACTCCATCTCAAAAAAATAAATAAATAAATAAAATAAAAAGACTTTCACAATTTCAGTTAGGAAACATTTTTATATTTGGAAGCAAGATTTGACTCTGTGGTAATGAGTTGACTGTATTTTGAGATGTAGGACATTTTAGAAAGTGCCTAAGTCCTGGTCAGGCGCAGTGGCTCACACCTGTAATCCCAATACTTTGGGAGGCCCAGGCGGGAGGATCACGAGGTCAGGACATCGAGACCATCCTGGCTAACACGGTGAAACCCCGTTTCTACTAAAAATACAAAAAATTAGCTGGGTGTGGTGGCAGGTGCCTATAGTCCCAGCTACTTGGGAAGCTGAGGCAGGAGAATGGCGTGAACCAGGGAGGTGGAGCTTGCAGTGAGCCGAGATCGCGCCACTGCCCTCCAGCCTGGGCGACAGAGAGAGACTCTTGTCTCAAAAAAAAAAAAAAAAATAGAAAATACCTAAGTCCTAAAAAAAATTAATTTGAAGTCAAATCCACGTTTATGTGTTTAAGAGCAAGGGTAAGGAAACATTTAGCAGCTGAAACGTTATAAAATAAATGTGCTGTAAAGTCTCCATTGTAGTGATAATTATTTTGTAGTTAATAAAACTTACTTAATTAGTAGCTGGATAGTTGCTTATAAAATACTTTGGGATTTAGCTGTCATTGACTCATCTACTGATACTATGTTTTTCTTTTCTTTAGGTATCCGAAAGGCATTCATGTTGAGACTTTAGAAACTGAAAAGGTAACCCCAAGAATTATCTAGGGCTAACATTAAACACATCCATTGTTACACTGTTAGGGGTTTCTTTTTTTTTTCTTTTTTTTTTTCCCTCAGGGTCTTTCTCTGATTACCCAGGCTGGAGTGCAGTGGTTAGTCACGGCTCACTGCAGCCTTGACTTCCTGGGCTCAGGTGATCCTCCTACATCAGCCTCCCAAGCTGGGACTACAGGCTCGTGCCACCATGCTTGGCTAATTTTTTATATTTTTAGTAGAGACAGGGTTTCGCCCTGTTGCCCAGGCTAGTCTTGAACTCCTGGGCTCAAACAATTTGCCCGCCTCGGCCTCGCAGAGTGCTGGATTACAGGCCTGAGCTACCATGCTCAATCCTTAGTGTGCTGAAAGTCAGAATTTGTATCTTGTCTGTGCTTGTTATGAGCTAGGTAACCTAGGGTAAGTCATTTGATCTCTTTAAGCCTAATTTTCTTCTGTACATTGGGACTGAGCATGATAACGGTGATCTATACTTTCTCATAGCCTTTTTATGGTGATACCGTGGGTAAGTGGAAGTGATGCCTTGTAAACTTGAAAGTATACAAATATTAGTTTGTATTCTTACTATGGCAGAAAGCTATAATGGTACATGTGAAGAAATGGCTTCATGTTGCGTGGGCAGACAAAATTAAATTTTAGAATTTGGGTCGTAAGCACAGCTATTGTCCTGAGTACACAGGGTACACTGATAGAATTGTGATGGGAAGTGGGTGGCTAGTGGTGGGTTCCTTCTGCAGTTTTTCAATTTTATAATTTGTTGTTGCTGTTAAGTCAGGTATAAAATTAGAGATTAAATAAAGTAGAAAAATAATCTTGGTAGATAATTTATCTTTAGTGGACACAAAATATATGAGAAAGAAAGTACTAGTTATCTGACACTTTGGCAGAAAATCCAGAGTTTTTTCTTATGGTAATACAACATATATATGTAAGTTTTGTTAATGTTAATACAACATATACATTTTACTTTAAAACTCTTCAGAAGTCAATGTTCAAATGCAATATAACTTTTTTAGTATTTGTCATAGGAAATGTCTTATTCTCACAGTCTGTTGATATTTTTAACTGATGTCTGTTGGGTTGAATTAGTAAACCGTAGGAAAATGTCATGGAAACACAGAGACAAAATTTGGTTTGTAATGCATTAGCTCAACTTATGTTGGCATTTCAAAGTATTTTCTGTTGTATTTGGCTCATGAAAGACTACAGTGGCTGGGCATGGTGGCTCAGGCCTGTAATCCCAGCACTTTGGGAGGCTGAGATGAGCAGGTCATTTGAGCCCAGGAGTTTGAGACCAGCCTGGACAACATGGTGAAACTCCGTCTCTACTAAAAATATAAAAAGAAATTAGCCAGGCATAGTGGTACATGCCTGTAGTCCCAGCTACTCAGGAGGCTGAGGTGAGAGGATCATCTGAACCCAGAAATTTGAGGCTGCAGTGAGCTGTGATCATGCCACTGCACTCCAGCCTGAGCAATGGGAGTGATAACCTGTCACACATACAAAAAAAGTGTGCGGTTACAAAAATTACAACTTCTGGCTGGGTGTGGTGGCTCATGCCTGTAATCCCAGCACTTTGGGATGCCAAGGTGGGCAGATCACTTGAGGTCAGGAGTTTGAGACCAGCCTGGGCAACATGGTGAAACCCTGTCTCTACTACAAATACAAAAATTAGCTGGGCGTATTGGTGCGCACCTGTAATCTTGGCTACTCTGGAGGCTGAGGCAGGAGAATCACTTGAATCTGGGAGGCAGAGTTTGCAGTGAGCTGAGGTTGTGCCACTGCACTCCAGCTTGGGTGACAGAGTGAGACTGTCTCAAAAAAAAAATTCTAATGGCAGCAGAAATCTGAATTTTTTGGATTAAGTTGTCTCTAGAAAATTGTATATATCTGTGGCCAGGACCGTGGCTCACACCTGTAATCCCAGCACTTTGGGAGACTGAGGCGGGTGGATCACCTGAGGTGGGGAGTTTGAGACCAGCCTGACCAACATGGAGAAACTCCGTCTCTACTAAAAATACAAAAATTAGCCGGGTGTGGTGGCACAAGCCTGTAATCCCAGCTACTCGGGAGGCTAAGGTAAGATAATCGCTTGAACCCAGGAGGCGGAGTTTGCAGTGAGCTGAGATCATGCAATTGCACTCCAGCCTGAGCAACAAGAGCGAAACTCTGTCTCAAAAAAAAAGAAAAAGAAAAGAAAATTGTATATCTGCTTTATGTCTTTTAGAAGGAGCGATATATAGTTATCAGCAAAGTAGATGAAGAAGAACGCAAAAGAAGAGAGCAGCAGAAACATGCCAAAGAACAGGTAATTGGGCTATGTTAATTCTTGGGGGGTGAGAAATGGCAACATAAATATTGATTTATTCCTGTCTATTTCAGATCATATGTTGGATTCAATTTAATGAATAGTTTTCTTTCATAGAACAATGGAATTGGCAGAAAAACCTGGACTAGAATAAGGGGAAGTTAGATTTAAGCATGAGACGTAGCTAGCAAAGTGAGTCTGACGTCACTGATGACCAGTGTCTACTTAAACCAGTCCTGAAGAAAGTACTCTTGATTCTCATTTAGCTTGTGTCACTGAGTGTCACTATCCTTTAATACTGCAACGTCTAACTTCATGTATAGTTACTAGTTTTCCTTAAACCAAGTTCAGAGCACATGATCTGACAGATGAGGATGACATGCTTAGGTTGTACTGTTGGAACATCACCCTGCTTGCTGTGTGAAGAATGGTTTCGAGTGAGTAAGACTGGAGGCAGGAGACTAGTTAAGCTGTGGAGTAACCTAGCTAGGAGATGTTGGTGACCTGGCGTAGGATAGTGAGTAGCAGTGTAGATGGAATCTGGAGATACTTGGAAGGTAGAATCCATGGAATTTATGACTGAATGTGGGTGGTGGAGGAGGAAGGGGGAAGGAGGAAGATGCTCATGCCAGACATTTGCACAACGGGGTAGACTGCACTCCATTCACTTGGAGGGGTTGGCTGGAGTGACATCGGTTGGGGGAAAAGGTGGAGGAGAGAGGAGTGGGTTTGCATGTGGATGAATGTCATGCTCATATGTACATTAGGCAGGGTCACTCCTAATTGACTTAACCACAATGACCCACTTTGGGAGACAGCATATTACCTACACAGGGAAAGATTAGCAAGAGGTGCTGCCTGTGGTCCCTGTCCCACATACTAAAAAGGACAACGCAGAAACAAAAGGTGCCAGTTAGAGGCCAGGTGTGATGGCTCATGACTGTAATCGCAGCACTACTTTAGGAGGCTGAGGTGGGAGGATCACTTTGAGCTCAGTAGTTTGAGACCAGTCTGAGCAACATAGCGAAACCCCATCTCTACAAAAAATACAAAAAAAATTATCCAGGTGTGGTGACGTGCGCCTGTAGTCCTAGCTACTTGGGAGGCTGATGCTGGAGAATTGCTTGACCCCGGGAGGTGGAGGTTGCAGTTGCAGTGAGTTGAGATTATGCCACTGTACTCTAGCTTGGGTGACAGAGTGAGACCTTGTCTTAAAAAAAAAAGATACGAGATGATTGCAGCATGTGTTTTGTGATGTGGCTTCACTGAGGATGAGTTCTAGGCTGCAGCTCAGGGCTTTGATACTCTGCAGCTCTCTTCTGAGAGGGCGAGGCAGAGAGCCCCACACCTCCTCAGAACCCAGGAGGCAATGAGGAACTGTTTCATGACAGCCTCCCAGGAGTGACAGGGAAGGGGGTGGGAGCTGGCCTCATAGCAGCTCCTTAGAAGCCTCTGCCTCCCACCCTTCCCTCCTGATGTGTTGTGCCAAGACGCAGATGAGTCTGTGGCCAAGACGCAGATTAGCCTTTACCTGCATGGCCCGTTTTGATACATGCAAGGCCACCAGGGCACCATGGCATCCCCTAGAGTGGAAAAAGATGTTC
Organism: Homo sapiens; assembly: GCF_000001405.40. Lineage (NCBI taxonomy): Eukaryota > Metazoa > Chordata > Mammalia > Primates > Hominidae > Homo > Homo sapiens. Next base: position 14,602,541 of record NC_000016.10, on the reverse strand, counting down.
CCCCAGAGTGGAAAAAGATGTTCCATTCTGGTTTTGACCTGATGAGGTTTCGAGTGTTTTTAGGACATGCAAGGGTGGATGTCCTCTTAGCAGGTTTGTCAGTGTTGAGCACAGGAGAGGGGTGAGGGCTAGGCATGATTGTCATTGGCAGAGAGACTGGGACTGGATCAGAGCAACTGCAGAGTACGTGAGGAATGAGAAGAGGACCTGGGGCTGAATCCTGAGGATCAACAGCATTTAAATGATAGGCAGAAGTCGACAAAATGTACCGGGAGATTATTGTGGTACACAGCCAAGGGAGGAGAGAAAAAGGGGCAGTCAGCAATGTCAGCTCCCATGTAGGGGTTAGTATTGAGACATGGCTGTTGGATTCAGCCCTGGCAGTAGTTTTTTAAACTATAATTAAAGCAATTTTTCCCTATCTCTACTAAAAGTGCAAAAAAATTAGCCGGGCGCAGTGGCATGTGCCTGCATTCCCAGCTACTCGGGAGGCTGAGGCAGGAGAATCGCTTGAACCCGGGAGGCGGAGGTTGCAGTGAGCCGAGATCACGCCACTGCACTCCAGCCTGGACAACAGAGTGAGACTCTGTCTCAAAAACAAAAAACAAAACCAAAAAAGCAATTTTTGTTTTTGTTTGAAATGGAGCCTTGCTTGCAGTGACATGATCTCGGCTCACTGCAACCTCCGCCTCCCGGGTTCAAGCGATTCTCCTGCCTCAGCCTCCCGAGTAGCTGGGATTACAGGTGCATGCCACTGCGTCCGGCTAATTTTTGTATTTTTAGTAGAGACGGGGTTTCGCCATGTTGGCCAGGCAGGTCTTGAACTCTTGACCTCAGGTGATCTGCCTGCCTCAGCCTGCCAAAGTGCTGGGATTACCAGCGTGAGCTACCATGCCTGACCCCCCCAAAAAAATTTTAATTGTGGTAAAATACACATAACAAAATTTATCATCTTAACTATTAAATGTATAGTTCAGTGACATCAAGTAGTTTAACATTGCTGTGCAATCATCACCACCATCCATCTCCAGAATTCTCTTCATCTTGCAAAACCGAAACTGTACTAATCAAGCAGCTCTCCATCTCCCACCCCTGACACCCAGCCCCTGGCAACCACTATTCTACTTACTGTCATATGAATTTGGTCACTCTGAGTACCTCATATAAGTACAGTATTTGTCCTCCTGTGACTGGCTTATTTCTCTTAGCATAGCAGCCTCAAGGTTCCCCATGTTATAGCATGTGTCAGAATTTCCTTCCTTTTTAAAGGCTGAATAATATTCCATTGTGTGGCTAGACCACATTTTGTTTATCCATTTGTTTGTGGACACCTGGGTTGCTTTTGACTATTGTGAATAATGCTCTTGTGAATTTAGGTATGCATATACCTATTTGAGTCCCTGCTTTCAATTCTTTGGGGTATATACCCAGAAATGGAATTGCTGGGTAATATGGGAATTCTTTTTGGGATGAGCCTCCATACTGTTTTCCTTAGCTGCTGCACTGTTTAACATTTTCATCAACGGCACACAGGTTCCAGTTTCTCTACATCCTTGCAAATACTTGTTAGTCTTGGGGTTAGTTTTTTGTTTGTTTGTTTGTTTTTTGAGATGGAGTTTCGCTCTTGTTGCCCAGGCTGGAGTGCAATGGTGCGATCTTGGCTTACAGCATGCAACCTCCGTCTCCCGGGTTCAAGCGATTCTCCTGCCTCAGCCTCTGGAATAGCTGGGATTACAGGCATGCACCACCACGTCCGGATAATTTTTTATTTTTAGTAGAGACAGGGTTTCACCATGTTGGTCAGGCTGGTCTCGAACTCCCGACCTCAAGTGATCCATCTGCCTCTGCCTCCCAAAGTGCTCGGATTACAGGCGTGAGCCACTTCACCCAGCCAGTGTTGGGGTTAGTTTTAAGGAGGTGAGCAATTTCAGTGAGCATGAAGCCAGAGGGCTGGGAACACCTGGGAGTTAAACTGGAGAAAGCAAGTTAGCTTTGATGAGACAAGTAGAAGGGGCAGTAGTCTGAGAGATCTTAGAGGAGGGGAGGGTTTTCAAGATAAGAGAGACACTGAGCCTCTTTCAACACTGCTGGAAAGAATATAGGAGAGAAGAAGGTGGGTGGGAGAATTTTGTAAAAATGTATTTTTCGAGGAAAAAAAATCAGGAATTATGAAAATACTTGATTTGATCAGTTAACTGCCAGATGGGTTTCCTCAGAATTGAATGTGTTACTGAGTTTAGCCTGCAGGTGGCAACTTTTTAAGTTACTGTTTTTAAGACACCTTGAAAGACTTGGAAATTTTAAAGAAGTCGGTGAAGTGATGGATAAACCCTAAGCATTGTTCTTTTAGTAACTAATGAATAATTTTCCATTTGTTCATTCTACTTTCTAAAATAGAAGAAAAGTATGTACGTAGATCATTTTAGATGCAAATGTTTGGGAAGATAGGCGCAAAGCACAGGAAACTAAAGCTATCTAACTTGATACAAAATTTCAGTGTCTTTTTTTTGGGGTAGTTTTTTAATTCACATAAGGAATATTTATACATCAATAATACATATGTATATATTTTTTTAATTAGGAGGAGCTGAATGATGCTGTGGGATTTTCTAGAGTCATTCACGCCATTGCTAATTCGGTAAGTGAGCCAGACTTTTTAGCAAGATTGCAGAACATACTATTTCAGGTGAAGTATCTAATTATCATTGCAGATTAATCATTTCATCTCCTTTAGAATGTTTACCTAGAACATTCTAAGAAGTTAGAACTTCATCAAGATAGACTGTTGTTATAATGCACTTGGTGAGGCATAATTGCTAAATTATATTCAAATCAATTTTCAGGGAGCCTTGCTTGAAAAATGCATAGGAGGGTTACACTATGTTGTCCTTATATGGCTACATGGAAACCAAGAGTTATTTTCAAAACCAGTAAGAAGTCGAAAAAGAAAGTAAGGAATAAGGGGAGAAACAATCAGATATTTGACTGAAGGTGTTTTGTTCCCTAAGTAGAAGAATCTAGAGGGTAAAAATAATGATGTCTTTGTTTAGTGCTACATAAGTGTAATTGAATCTTATTCTTAATAATATTTGATATGTTTTAAAAAGATATTGGCCATTTGTGTAAATGTGCTAGGGGACTCTATGATAGATATGATGGGTGTTTTTCCTTGCTTTGTGAGGCCTTTCTGAAAACAGGCGGCCGGGCATAGTGGCTCATGTCTGTAATCCCAGCACTTCGGGAGGCCGATAAGGATGGATTGCTTGAGCTCAGGAGTTCGAGACCAGCCTGGGAAATATGGGGAAACCCCATCTCTACCAAAAATACAAAAATTAGCCAGGTGTGGTGGTATATGCCTGTGGTTCCAGCTACTTGGGAGGCTGAGGTGGGAGGATCGCTGGAGCTCGGGAAGTCAAGGCTGCAGTGAGCTGTGATCACGCCATTGCACCCCAGCCTGGGTGACAGACAGACCCTGTCTCCAAAAAAAAAAAAAAAAAAAAAAAAGAAGAGGAGAAAGAAAACAGGCATCCGCATTTTACATAGGTAAACTAGGTCATGCTGCTGGTTGTTCTAGACAGCTTGCTTGGATGCTGAATTGCCTGTAGTCTAGGACATTCTCTTATTTGAGCAGTTGGCCTGGGAGAAGGAATCATCTTATACCTTAGATGCTGAACTTTGCATCAGGGAAGCTTTAAGGCCATAGAAACCCTCTCAAGGTTTCATGCTGTCTCACTGCCAGCTGCAGGCTTGTAAACACAGGGGCGCTGTAGGGAAGGCCCCTGCTGTCCTCATTCCGGGATAAACAGAGGTTTACAGAGCCTTGTAAAAGAAGAGGGTTGGCTCACGAGGACTTCTCTTGCTCAAGTAAGTGGGGCGATTAAAGTCGAATAGAAAGTTGGAAAGATCCGGAGAGAAACAATGCTGTGAGCCTCTTCAGCAGTGGCTGAGATTACAGGTATCCAGAAAAGCAGAGTTGAGTTTCTGGTTCCATTTGCTCATGTTGTGCACACCTAGCCAGCAGACTTCAGATAAGTGGTGGTTTTGATTGAGGCGGGCCCTAAAATTCAGAGATACGGAACATAAGTTGGTTTTGAGCTCTTTTGTAGCCGTCATGATAGTTCAGTCAGCTTTTCCAAGATTGGACATTTGTTTGTCTTATACACATTCGGATACCTTAGCTTGCTGTACCTGTTTTCTTTTCTCTGACATCTTTCTTCTACAGAATATTCATAACATGTTGCTGACCGTTGGTAGTCAACATCCCAAAGCATACTACCAAAAAGCCCTGTTTATTAGCGATCCGGACATTTAAAATTTTTGAGTCTTGAATGAAAGTTGACTAAAGTAAAATAAGATGCGTAAATCCCATACCTTAAATATATATATATATATATTTTTTGAGCCGGAGTCTCGCTCTGTTGTCCTGCTGGAGTGCAGTGGCGCAATCCTGGCTCACCACAACCTCCGCCTCTCGGGTTCAAGCAAGTCTCCTGCCTCAGCCTCCCAAGTAGCTGGGATTACAGGTGCCTGCTACCACGCCTGGCTAATTTCTGTATTTTTAGTTGAGACGGGCTTTCACCATGTTGGCCAGGCTGGCCTCGAACTCCTGACCTCAAGTAATCTGCCTTCTTCAGCCTCCCAAGATACTGGGTTTACAGGTGTGAGCCACCATGCCCGGCTGTATAACTTGGATACTTTTGAATGGTATTGATTGCTGTTTTGTCAGAAGTCCGCCAGTTGGAATTTGTCTCACATTTTCTCATGACTGATTTGAGGATATATGGTTTGGCAAGAATACCACAGAAATGATGGTTCATGATGTCGATCAATTTTTTTTTTTTTTTTGAGATGGAGTCTTGCTTTGTCGCCCACGCTGGAGCGCGGTGGCGCGATCTTGGCGTACTGCAAGCTCTGCCTCCTGGGTTCACGCCATTCTCCTGCCTCAGCCTCCTGAGTAGCTGGGACTACAGGCGCCTGCCACCACACCAGGCTAATTTTTTTGTATTTTTAGTAGAGACGGGGTTTCACCATGTTAGCCAGGATGGTCTCGGTCTCCTGACCTCGTGATCCGCCTGCCTTGGCCTCCCAAAATGCTGGGATTACAGGCGTGAGCCACCATTCTCTGCCCGTGATGTTGATCTTGATCGCTTGGTTAAGGTGGTGTTGGCTGGATTTGTGTTCTGTGAAATTAATTTTATAGTTAATAAGTTAACTATGTCATTAAATTATAGTTAAATTAACTATATAGTTTAACTTTATAGTTTATGAATATCTTGGGGGAGATACTTTGAGACCATGAAAATCCTGTTTTCCCTCAAACTTTGCCTACTAATATTATCGTCTATCAGCATATCTTGCCTGTAGCAGTTATTACTGTGGTATTCTAATGGCAAGTTTATATTTCCTTCGTCCTTTCTACATTTATTCTTGGAATTCTTCTATAAAGAAAAAAATGGGCTGGGCATGGTGGCTCACACCTGTAATCCCAGTACTTTGGGAGGCCAAGGGGGGCGGATCACTGGAGGTCGGGAGTTCGACACCAGCCTAACCAACATGGTGAAATACCATCTCTAATGAAAATACAAAAATTAGCTGAGCGTGGTGGCACACACCTGTAATCCCAGCTACTTGGGAGGCTGAGGCAGGAGAATCGCTTGAACCTAGGAGGCGGGGGTTGCAGTAACCTGAGATTGCACCATTGCACTGTAGCCTGGTGACAAAGTTGAGACCCTGTCTCGAAAAAAAAAAAAAAAGGAAAGAAAAAAATGTCCTTTTCCCCTGTTTATTTATGTATTTATTTAATTTTGAGACACAGTCTCTGTCTGTTCCCCAAGCTGGGAGTACACTGGCTCACTGCAGCCTCTACCTCCCGGGCTCAAGCGATCCTCCCTCCTCCTTAGCCTCCTGAGCAGCTGGGACTACAGGCATGCAGTACCACACGTGGATAATTTTATATATATATTTTTTTTGTGGAGAAGGGGTCTTCCTATGTTGTCCAGGCTGGTCTTGAACTCTTAGGCTCAAGCAGTCTCCCGCGCCTCAGCCTCCCAAAGTATTTGGATTATAGGCACGAGCCACCACACCCAGCCCTTTCCCTTGTTTATTTAATGGTTTTTATGTATATGTATGGACTCAGGGATTTTTTTTAATTATTAGTATTAATAATAATACTAGATTATTATCTAGGATTTTTACTGTTTACTTTGTTGCTTAAATTGTACCACCTTTGGCCATTGGAGCTTCTTTGACTTGGCTCCTGTGCCCTCTGAACAAGCCCCCCATCCTTTTCTGAGCACTTCTTTGCTTTCTGGTATTCTTGTAGTTTCTCTGGCTCAGCTATGGAATGAATGACTTCTCCACGGAGCTCTGGTTCCTCTTAATGGGGAATGATGTTTAGAAACCAAGATCTGGCCCTAGGTTACTGCTTCTGGCCCTAGGTGATATTATTGCTTCTAAGCCCTCTCACTGGACAGAACTAAGAACCATATGTATGTAGACCTAGGCATGTACACACACAGCTATATTTCTGTGTCTCTCTGTATATGTATGTGTGTGTGGATCTATATAAATGTGTATGTAGCTGGGCATGGTGGCTCAACCCTGTAATCCCACACTTAGGGAGGTCAAGGCAGGAGGACTGCTTCAGGCTAGTAGTTCAAGACCAGCCTGGGCAACATGGGAGACCCCCTCTCTACAAAAAATGTAAAAATTGGCTGGGTGTGGTGGCTCGCTCCTGTAATCCCAGCACTTTGAGAGGCCAAGGCGGGCAGATCACGTGAGGTCAGGAGTTTGAGACCAGCCTAGCCAACATGGTAAAACCCCGTCTCTACTGAAAATCCAAAAATTAGCTGGTGTGGTGGTGCCACCTGTAATCCCAGCTACTCAGGAGGCTGAGGCAGGAGAATCTCTTGAACCTGGAAGGCAGAGGTTGCAGTGAGCTGAGATTATGCCACCGCACTCCAGCCTGGGCAACAGAGCAAGACTGCATTTCAAAAAAAAAAATTAAAAAATTAGCCAGGAGTGGTGGCACATGCCTGTGGTCCCAGCTGTAGGGGAGGCTGAGGTGGGAGGATTGCTTGAGCATGGGAGTTTGAGGCTGCATTGAGCCATGATGGTGCCATTGCACTACAGCCTGGGCAACAGAGCGAGACCCTGTCTCTAAATAAATAAGTGTGTGTGTGTTTGTGTGTGTGTGCGCATGGGTGTATGCATGCCTTTATACTGATACCTCAGATTCCAGTACAATACCACGTGACTTATTTTTAGCTTCCTCTCTTTTCTTATTTGTGCCTTCTTTCTCAACAGTGAGAAATCCAGTTTCTATTACTTCCATTATGTTTATTTGTTTAAACCCGGTATACACATAAAGTAGCTTCAGAGCTACTAACCCATACCTCGCGAGAAGTACATTTATTGATGAAATGATAACATTTATGATTTATGTGCAATTCGTTTTGTTTTTAGCCTTACAGTATCTAGTCAAGATGCTCTTTTCCAAGTTAGTTTGTTTCTTCTTAACCTTCAGTGTGGTTATGGTAGTCATTTATAATACAGTTTGGTTCATTTCTTAGTGTTTGCATTCCATTTGGGGTTACCTACACATCTTTTCTGTGGTTTCAATCAATGCTCATTATTTTAGCGTAGCATAGGTATTCAGAATGTACACCAATAATGAGCCAAAAGGACAGCTTCTCTGTTAGATTTGGGAGATTTTGTGTAGGATTATTTCAGATAATTAATGTGTAGTCCCATGAATCAAGCAGTGTTACACTGAAGGTCCTTTGGGTTATAGTAAAAGCTCCATCGTGGTAACCTGATTTTTTTTTCCAAGACAGAGTCTGACTGTCGCCCAGGCTGGAGTGCAGTGGTGCGATCTCAGCTCACTGCAACCTCCGCCTCCTGGGTTCAAGCCATTCTTTTGCCTCAGCCTCCCGAGTTGCTGAGATTACAGGCATCTGCCACCACACCCAGCTAATTTTTTGTGTTTTTAGTAGATACAGGATTTTGCCATGCTGGGCAGGCTGTTCTCAAACTCCCGACCTCAGGTGATCCGCCTGCCTTGGCCTCTCAAAGTGCTGGGATTAACAGGTGTGAGCCACCACGCCCGGCCCCTGATGTTTTATGTTAAAAATGGTGTCACCTGGCTGGCTAAATCTAAATTTATGTTCCATTTTGGAAATTTAATTTTTATCAAAATGGACTAATTTGTTGCACATATAGTGTGAGACAGACACACCGCCCATTGCACGAAGAGGGCTGCCAGCACATATATTGTATTTCGGTTGGCTGAAAGGCAGTGACTTTTAATGGATGTGTGTTTAAGAACATGCCCCATGAATTTTGACATAATGATATAGGAAATGCAATTCTGTTTAATATAGTTAGAAATTAGTTATTTTTACCTTTTAGCATTGGTATGAATGTATCTTTTAAAATAAGTGGGTTGTTTTAAAGGATGCAGCCCTAAAATTTGTGTTTAGTTTTTTCCCAAATTATTTGACAGTTTAAGGGAGTCAACGCTTTCAGATTTTACTTTTTTTTTTTTGAGACGGGGTCTCACTCTGTTGCCCAGGCTGGAGTGCAGTGGTGCAATCTTGGCTCACTGCAGCCTCTGCCTCCCGGGTTCCAGCGATTCTCCTGCCTCAGCCTGCTGGGTAGCTGGAGTTATAGGCATGCACCACCGCACCTGGCTAATTTTTCTATTTTTAGTAGAGATGGGATTTCGCCATGTTGGCCAGGCTGGTCTCGAACTACTGACCTCAGGTGATCCACCCGCCTTGACCTCCCAAAGTGGTAGGATAACATTTGTGAGCCACCGTGCCTGGCCCAGATTTTACTTTTAAAAAAACTTTTCAATCAAAATTTTACTACTTCTGATTCATGAGGGTGGCATAATTAATAAAAATTCAAGAAAAAGATCAGTGACATCAAAGTCATTTGTGCTTTCACTTTGCTTTCTGGATTTAACATTCCAAAATGGAGGAGGAATGAAGCCAGCCCAAATTAGCTTATTTGTACTTTTTTTTTTTTTTTTTTTTTTTTTTTTTTTAAGTCTGGAAAGCGAGTTTAGTACAAAGTCCTCTTGGAATCTGAACTATACATTCTGAAACCCCAGTATAATTTCGAATGTAGAAGTCTTTTTTCTAACCTTGACTTTCTTTAGGGAAAACTTGTTATTGGACACAATATGCTCTTGGACGTCATGCACACAGTTCATCAGTTCTACTGCCCTCTGCCTGCGGTAAGTGACCTGTTGGTCTGTGTTTAATATTAGCAGGATTCTTTTTATCTGAAAAAATATTATTATGATGCTTTTAACTGAACTGTCCTCTACTTGGGTGCCATTTCCTTGTATGCAGCATGTTCCCAGAGAGAATCTTATGCACTCAGTTGCACATTTTTTTTTCCTTGAGATGTATTCTCACTCTGTTGCCCAGGAGTGCAGTGGTGCAATCTTGGCTTGCTGCAGCCTCCACCTCTTGGGTTCAAGCGAGTCTCCTGCCTCAGCCTCCTGAGTAGCTGGGATTACAGGCACCCGTCACCACGCCCAGCTACTTTTTGTATTTTTAGTAGAGATGGGGTTTCACCATATTGGCCAGGTTGTTCTCGAACTCCTGACCTCGTGATCCGCCTGCCTTAGCCTCCCATAGTGCTGGGATTACAGGCCTGAGCTACCACGCCTGGCCACAAACTTTTTTATTAAGGGATCTTCAGTCACTGCCATTGCCAGAGGAAGATTAAACATTTGTTTCATTGTCTTAATGCCAGTGGTTTGCTCATTTAGTGCTGGGCAGGGATTCCCAGGCCACAGGTGTGGGCTGCTAGTTTGGTCCTGCTACAATTAGACATAGCAGGGCCATTGAAGGTAAGTGGTGGCAGCTGAAGTGGGTCCAGTCCTACAGAATTCTTGATCGCCCTTGCTAGGCTGCTTCCCTTAGATTCTCTGCTGACCTCAGTAGTGCATTTTTCAGTCCTTGAGCCAAGTTGCCTTGGTTGACCAAAGCACAAGCTGCTTTGGTTCCTCTACTGGCTCTCCCTCTTCTGCTCCATACGGTTTGCGTGGCCTCACGTTACTTGTCCCTCGCCACTCTGCGCTCCACTCTTTTATTTCCTCTTCATCTTTTTTGTCTTTTAGTGATCTCACTCACTTTACAGCTTCAGCTGTAGACACCAACATCTTTATCCCCAGCTGTGGTCTCTGTTCAGATCCAGGTATACATTTCATGCTGGACTCCAGACATCCCTACCTGGATAGCCCCCAGACTAAGTGTTGTTTTGAATTGACGTGGCTCAAATGAGATATTTAACTTGTACTTCTTTTCTTTCTTACTGTCTCCAAACCACTTCTTTCTCCTCATCCCATTACTATAAGTGATTCCCAGTTACCAACCCTGTTTTTAGCATCAGTTTTGACTCTTGCTCTGTCTCCAGATCTGGTCATTTCCAAAATTCTGACGATTTTATCTCCATGCCCTCTCTCACATCTGGATTCTTTTTTTTTTTTTGAGATGGAGTCTCACTCTTTCACCAGGCTGGAGTGCAGTGGCATGATCTCGGCTCCCTGCAACATCCGCCTCCTGGGTTCAAGTGATTCTCCTGCCTCAGCCTCCCGAGTAGCTGGGACTACAGGTGCGTGCCACCATGCCCAGCTAGTTTTTTTGTATTTTTAGTAGAGACAGGGTTTCACTGTGTTGGCCATGATGGTCTCAATCTCCTGACCTCCTGATCTGCCCGCCTCAGCCTCCTAAAGTGCTGGGATTACAGGTGTGAGCCACTATGCCCAGCTGATTGTTTTTATTTTTGTTGCAAGCGGCCTTATTTCTCATCTTTGAGTTTAGCAAATTCCAGGCAGCATTTCCTGTCCCCCTTCAACCTTCAGCCCATCCTTTAAAATGAACGTTGGCACGTTTTCTATAAAGGGCCAGATAGTAAAATATTTTCAGCTTTCCATGCTGCATAGTTTCTGTCACAACTCTTAGCTCTGCCACTGTAGCCCCGAAATGCCATAGAATACGTAAACCAATTGGCATAGCCGTGTTGCAATAAAACTTCATTTACAAAATAATTGGTTGGCTGTATTTGGCCTATGGACCATAGTATGCCACTGGACTAATCTTTTTCTTATTTTAAATAATTTTTTTTTTTTTTTTTAGAGATGGAGTCTTACTCTGTTGCCAGGCTGGAGTGCAGTGGTGCAATCTCGGCTCACTGCAACCTCCGCCTCCGAGGTTCAAGTGTTTCCCCGGCCTCAGCCTCCCGAGTAGCTGGGACTACAGGCGTGCACCACCACGCCCTGCTAATTTTTTTGTATTTTTAGTGGAGATGGGGTTTCACCATGTTGGCCAGGATGGTCTCGATCTCCTGGCCTCATGATCTGCCTGCCTTGGCCTCCCAGAGTGCTGGGATTACAGGTGTGAGCCACTGTGCCCGGCCTTCCCCATATCTTTTTAATAAAATAGAGACTAGGTCTCACTCTTTTGTCCAAGCTGATCTCAGGGTGCTGGGCTCAAGCGGTCCTCCTGCCTCAGCCTCCCAAATAGGTAAAACCACAGGTGTGCACTACCACGCCCAGCTAAAAGATTAATATTTTGTTACTTCTAGATTGGAAGACACCTGCTTGAGAGTTCAGTCTCACTTATACATCTGTAAACCTTCAGTTACTTCACATTTCTTAGGTCCCATTGTTCCGTCAGCATTTTGATTACCCTCCTTTAAAAAAGTACAATACAGACGTCATGAGTGGGTCAGTTGCTCCCCTTGTATTTCTTAAAATTTAGGTTGTCATCACTGTTTAAGACAGCTCTATCACCTTTTAACACCTTTTAGGACTCAAAGACTTCATAGTTGTGGGTCTCAAAACAAGTGTAAAAGGTATGGAATTGCATTTCTTTTTTTTTTTTTTTTTTTGAGACTGAATCTTGTTCTGTGGCCCAGGCTGGAGTGCAGTGGTGTGATCTCTGCTCAGTGCACCCTCCGCTTCCTGGGTTCAAGCGACTCTCCTTCCTCAGACTGCTGAGGAGCTGGGATTACAGATGCCTGCTACCATGCCCGGGTAATTTTTGTATGTTTAGTAGAGACGGGATTTCACCATGTTGGCCTGGCTGGTCTCGAACGCCTCATCTCAGGTGATCCACCCGCCTCCGCCTCCCAAAGTTCTGGGATTACAGGCGTGAGCCACCACGTCTGGCCTGGATTGGCATTTCTTAAGTCTAATGAGCTAATGTTTATTTTATGTCACTCACCACACTTCTGTTTTTTTTTTTTTTTCTCTTCTCTTTCCTACCTTTTTTTTTTTTTTTTTTTTTTTGAGATGGAGTCTCACTCTGTCACCTAGGCTGGAGTGCAGTGGTGCGATCTCGGCCTCCTGTGTTCAAGTGATTCTCTTGACTCAGCCCCCCGAGTAGCTGGGATTACAGGCGCCCGCCACCATGCCCAGCTAATTTTTGTATTTTTAGTAGAGATGGGGTTTCACCATGTTGGCAAGGCTGGTCTTGAACTCCTGACCTCAGGGGATCCACCGGCCTCTGCCTCCCAAAGTACTGGGATTACAGGTGTGAGCCACCGGGCTTGGCCTGGATTTGCGTTTCTTAAGTCTAATGAGCTAATGTTTATTTTATGTCATCCCACTTCTGTTTTTTTCTTTTCTTTTTTCTTCACTTTCGCACCTTTTTTTTTGAGATGGAGTCTTACTCTGTCACCTAGGCTGGAGTGCAGTGGTGCAGTCTTGGCCCACTGCAACCTCTGTCTCCTGGGTTCAAGCGATTCTTCTGCCTCAGCCTCCTGAGTAGCTAGAATTAACAGGCGCTTGCCACCATGCCTGGCTAATTTTTGTATTTTTAGTAGAGACGGGATTTCGCCATGTTGGCCAGGCCGGTCTCGAATTCCTGACCTTAGGTGATCCGCCTGCCTGGGCCTCCCAAAGTGTTGCGATTACAGGCATGAGCCATTATGCCCGGCCATTTTTTTTTTTCTTTTTTGAGAGAGTGTCTCACTCTGTCACCCAGGCTGGAGTGCAGTGGCGCCATCTTGGCTCACTGCAGCCTCAACTCCCTGGGCTCAAGTGATACTCCTACCTCAGCCTCTCGAGTAGCTGGGACCACAGGCACATGCCACCATGCCTCACTAATTGTTTTGAAAGTTTTGTAGAGACAGGATCTCACCATTTGCCCAGGCTGCTCTCGAACTCCTGCGTTCAAGAGAAGTCTGCCCACCTCAGTCTCCCAAAGTGCTAAGATTATAGATGTGAGCCACCACACCTGGCCAGATCACCCACTTCTTACTGGCCAAGTAGATCAAAGTAGCAGCTCCTCTCTTGACTTTTTGACCTTTATTATTTATTTATTTATTTATTTATTTATTTTTGAGACAGAGTCTTGCTCTGTGGCCCAGGGTGGAGTGCAGTGGTGCGATCTTGACTCACTGCAACCTCTGCCTACCGGATCCAAGCGATTCTCCTGCCTTAGCCTCCCGAGTAGCTGGGTTTACAGGCACCTGCCACCATGCCCAGCTAATTTTTATATTTTCAGTAGAGACGGAGTTTCACCATGTTGGCCAGGCTGGTCTTGAACCCCTGACTTCAGGTAATCCACCTGCTTTGGCCTCCCAATGCTCTGGGATTACAGGTGTGAGCCACCACGCCCAGCCTGTTCATTTGTTTTTTTGAGACAGAGTCTCACTCTGTCGCCAGGCTGGAGTGCAGTGGTGTGATTTTGGCTCACTGCAACCTCCCTCTCCCAAGTTCAAGTGATTCTCATGTCTCAGTCTCTCAAGTAGCTGGGATTACAGGTGTACGCCACCACATCTGGCTAATTTTTGTAATTTTTTTTAGTGGAGATGGGATTTCACCATGCTTGCCAGGCTGGTCTCGAACTTCCGGCCTCAAGTGATCCACCCGCTCGGCTTTCCAAAGTGCTGGGATTACAGGAATGAGCCACCCGCTCCCAGCCTTTTTTGATCTTTAAAGCAATGAAGTTATCAGCAAGGCAAGAGGAAAATGTATTTAATTCTGTGCTTCTAGGTGTTTCGAATACTGAATAGAGCTTGGCACTAGAAGGCATTAAATATCGATTTAACAAATGAAGTATCTCCCGACTGCCAGTTTTGTAATCTTCTGATGTATGGCTCCGTTCCTGTCACTGACCCTGCTGAAAATTCTAAATTAATCCCACACTCTTTGTTTTCTAGGCAGTTGACTATTTTTACCCATGCATAACAGGCTTTCTGTGATCCAGCCCAACCTTTCTGTGTAGTCTAATCCCTTGTTGCTCTCCTTTTTCCAAGACTGACTTATTTGTTCCCTAAGAGGTGCTTTGTTTAATTTCTTCCAACTTGAATTTTCTCTTGTTGTTCTCAATGTTTGTTGTTCACAGCTTTCCCTTAACTTTCCGCGGTGCAGCTTTTGCCTTCTCCATGAAGTTTTTATTGCCTGCTACCTTGCCCAAGAGGTGATCTTTCCTTTCTCTCAACTCCCACAGAACATTGTACATCTCTATGTTACATAAATTTTGTCTTGTATTATACAGCATAACCCCCTTCTAGGTGGTTAGCTCCTTGGACAAGGGGTGTAGCCATTTTGTTGTGTAAGTGCGTAACATAACACATTGCGTGTAAGCAGTTAATGAATGGCCTGACTTAACACATTGTATGTAAGCAGTTAATGAACGTTAAGTGGAATGAAAGTGGTCTTGAATTAAATTCTGGTAGAAAGAGCAAGTGATTTGTTGTAGAGTAGTAAGTGGGTTAGGATAAGCAGTTTTATCCTTCACTTTATTACTAAGGCTACCTGGTAAGTAACTTAACTTCTTTATGTTCTGGCATTGTCAGAGAAAGAAAATGTTTTGTTTTGTTTTTTTCCATCTACCTTTAGAAGAAGTGATGAGAAGAAATTAGAAAGCCTAATAAATTAGAAGGCTGGGTGTGGTGGTGCATACCTGCAGTGCCTGCTACTTGAGAGGCTGTTACAGGAGAATTGCTTGAGTGCAGGAGTTCAAGGCTAGTCTGGGCAACATAGTGAGACCCTGACTTGATAAAAAGGTAGAGCTTTTACATGCACTGGTATCAAAATTTGCATTTAAAAGGATACTAAATAATCCACATTTTGGAGTTGCCTTTTAGAGGAGAGTGTTTTCTTATGAACTATCTTGATACTTGAGCATGACCTTTTAGAAGACATTGGTCTAGAACTGTGCTATATGTTGGCCCTGGAGGTGGCCGTAATTCTCCTTGTTCCTTGCTTGTAAAGCTTTCTAGTGGTATTGAGAGATTACAAACATCATTATTGCATTTTTTGACGTTGCATTGAAATCGCCTGTTCATGCTTTGCCCATTAATTTATAGCCAGTGAAAAGCTGGTAAATATATCAGGCTAGCTAAATACAGTCTGTATTTACAGGCTTGAAAAGCTAATTGGAAACAGCAGTTTCCTATGAAGCATGAATAACATTGAAGAGAAGTGTAGTTTACAAAGAGTCAGGAGTATGACTACTCAGTCTAGCATGGCAATTATGTATGTAAATGAGTTAATTCAAAATTAGAGGACTCTCATTTCAGCTCTAGACTTCCTGATCAAAATAAACTTGAGAAATGAATTGTCTAATCTAGGCACTTGCTATTAGTGCCACTTGAGCAATTTTCTGGAGTTGAAACAGGAATCATATGTGTATTGAAAAGCCTGTGTTTCCAAGGCCATTTTTACTAACATTTCAAAGGTGATCTCAGGAAAGGTCTAAGCTAGTTTACAGTATGCCCATTTCCTGTGTAAACCATTTAATTTAAATGACTCTGCTTGTCTCACTGTTATGATAAATTTGTGTGGTAGATCGCAGCCTGTTAGCTATTACTGGAAGTTTTCTGCTTTTATTACAGGCCTCTCAAATAGGTAGGTTTTAACATTTTATTGGACCCCCTGCCCCTTCCCAATTTCAACTATTAAATCCTTAAATTTGTTGTTTTGGTTATGCAGAAGTTAGTTATCAGGTTATATGGTTCCCAATGAGTGAGGAAATTGGGAAGGTTTTGTGTTTTTTTTGTACTTGTTAACTAGAAATGGGTTTTGTAGTTTAGCTTAAGGGCCCCAACAGCTTGTTTGAGAAGACAGCTATGGAACTTGAGCTGTTTACATGTTTTTTAATACTGCGAGTGTATTAGGAAAATTGTAACAAGTCCTTCTCTTGTTCTTTAGGACTTAAGTGAGTTTAAAGAGATGACAACATGTGTTTTCCCCAGGTAAGCTTTCTTTGAGGATTTGTCTTTCTTTTAAAAAAGTTGGCTGGGCACGGTGGCTCACACCTATAATCCCACCACTTTGGGAGACTGAGGTGGGAGGATCACTTGAGCCTAGGGAGTTCAGAACCAGCCTGGGCAACATAGTGAAACCACATATCTATAAAAAATAAAAAATTAGCTGGGTGTGGTGGGATACGTGTGGTCCAGCTACTCAGGAGGCTGAAGTGGGCGAATTGCTTGAACCCAGGAGGTCCAGGTTGCAGTGAGCCATAATAGTGCTACTATCCAGCCTGGGTGACAGAGTGAGATCCTGTCTCAAAAAAAAAAAAAAAAAAAAGAGTCATTGTGACATACACAATACAAATAGGTATATAGTAATTTGTTAAAACCATTAGATCATGTTCATATAAGCTTGGAACTTATTTAATGTCTCCAATGTTGTGATGGCTTGCTTTTATAATTTATGATTGGTTTTGTTATCAAAAAATCACAGTTTGAACTGAGAGTGAAAGTAGACCAACGACTCCTTTTTTCTTATCTCTCATCTTGCTGTCTGAAGAACTGTTGAAGCCTCCTTGAGATGGCTCTTGTCTGTCTTGCATGTAGGATGTACCTTGTAACTATTGAAGTGTCCAATTGAGAGTGTTCAAGAGTCAGTCAAGAACTGTCCATCTGGCTAGAGATTTTGTTTTTCATCCACTTCAAGTCAGTGCCTTTTCCTGTTGGTGTTTTCCATAGTTATTATTGCCCCCTTGTTCTGATAGGTCATATGTCACATATCTCTGAGACATCATAGGTCAGCCATGTGGAGCCTACCGAACAAGTGTTTGTGTCTTAGGACCTGTTGAAGAGGGATAGGCGTGGTGTTCGAGCAGTTTCTCTTTCAGCTGGGCTTATTTCTGTCCTGTTACCCACTCTGTTCACATTTATATGAAAAAAAAAAAAAAAAAAAACAGAGAAATAGAGTTTTCATGTGGGTTTCTCCCCACCCTCCCCTTTTGGTGTTTCTGATCTCTGAAATAGAATAATAAGAAATAAAAACAACAGCGTGAAAGTACTGATTGTAGATTTTGGCCCTGCAGAAGAATTTATAGTTTACAAACCTGAGGAGTAGGAGTAGATGGTAGCAGTTTGGGAATGGTAGACCGGCAGCAGTATTTGAACCACGTAAAACCATGTGAGAGTATTTGACTCACCCTTGAGATTGATGGAGCCCAGGCTCTCTGAGGATCCAGGTGAATCTAGAACTTGTACTCCAAGTGTGGACTCTCCTGCAGTTGCTCAATGAAGTCGCTGATGATGGGACTGAGTACCTACTCCAACGTAGCAGGGATGCTGGTGCTGGGTTCAAAATGGCCAATGTGTTTAATTACTTTGTCTGTGTTTAAGTATTTTCTGTATTAAACATTTTATGTTTTAATTATGTTTTTTATGTATGAAGTATTTTAAGTAGCTTACATATTTGAGTAAAAGACATTTTAAACATTGATATACATTTTGTTTACCTTGTTAAAAATTCTTTTTAGACTCTTGGATACTAAATTGATGGCCAGCACACAACCTTTTAAGGTATTATTCATTTGCTACTTTATAAAGCGACTGCATATTACTGAGTGAAATGAATGCCAGAACAATATAGCCTTCTGGCAAAAGGTTTGGAGGTATTTAATGCATCTGTAAAGATCTTTATTCATTTGGTTATACTTTGTATATTATAAAAATTAAACTAGCTGCTTCTCTTTCACATTGAAAAAAACGAAGACTTCTGTGTTTCTTTAAAGAACACAAGGAGACAGTACTAGATGCTGTCTTTTTTTTGGGGGGGTCAGTGAATCTCTTTAATATATTGTTCTGAGATGATGAAATCTCATAATTCTTTGCTTCGTGGTTTGCAGGATATCATTAACAACACATCCCTTGCGGAATTGGAAAAGCGGTTAAAAGAGACACCTTTCAACCCTCCTAAAGTTGGTAAGAATATTAAACCGGAAACCCTCCAAACTCTTTGTAATAATTATTGATGTATATTGTAGAAGAAAAGCAGAATGGCTCTGGAGACCGTATTGTTCATTTATAGATTTTGGCTGAATTCACTTGCACGTACCGTGTGTTGAATTATTGTTTTTTGAATAAAGATGGTCTTTTAATTCTACATATATTTTATGTTAATGGAGTTGGGTAGCCATTCATTGAGAATTTTAGCAATTAAAGCTTCAAGGCTTCTATTTTCTAATAATATGGAATTCTCCTAAAACTTGATGTGCCCTTTTATTCTTTCATACATTATTGAAGCAGAGACAAAGAGCTAGTGATTAATCACCAGGGGTAGAGTAAAAAATATATTTTCCATCTCAGAAAAGCCCGAGAACTGGATTTACAGGTGAGATTAAGGCAAGTCCCCACCCTGCCTCCTTTTCAGCTGGTTTAGAGAGTAGAAACAGCAGCACTGAGGAAAACCAGAAGTAGGGAGATGAGATGGAGGTGTTTTGCCACCTCGGGCCACCACCAAGGTATGTGGAGAGCCTACCAGGTGCTACTTCCTTGGTCCCTGTTAACCTGATTGTGCTGCTGATACGGTGATTAGCGAGCCATTAGTTGTAGCCTGAAAACTTCTAAAGACATGGATAATAGGACTAATGGTTTAGAAATTGATAATGCAAAGTATTAAAGCAGCCAAGATTACAGTTATTTGCCCCTTTCTGGGTAATAGTCCAAGAAAGGAATTAAGAAAAGTGGTGGTGGGGCCATTGGGGGAGAAAACGTGGACCTTTTCTATAACAATATAATGGAAATAATTGATTTTGGAAAGAATGTGTCTCAGTTGATGATGGAGTGGAAGATATTACTTAGGTGGCTACCATGTTAAAAGGCTTTTTTTTAAAGGCATCAAGTCTAATATTTAATATGGAGTTAAAGAATTCTTGCTTAAAGAGCATTGTATTGACATAAAAACAGTTACAGCCTTTTCATTGTTAATTTCCATTTATGCTTTTGATTCTGTGTTATAGTAACCTTCCTGACATTCATTTCCAGAATGGTTCTAGGATATAATTATTTATGAGTTATAGTTTTATGTTATTATTTCCATATAAAATAGTGGTATCTGGTAGAGAATTCAGTCTAAAGCAGGTCATTCCTCTTATAGTTTATCTGGTCACATCTGTATTTATCAATGTCACAAAAGAACCATATTGTATATAAAGCGGTCTTTGCTGTAAAGTGGTTCCATGATCCAAGGCCAGCATTATAGCAAGTTCGATTTATTTTTGGAGTTGGTTGTGCTGTCACCTTTCGATCTCTAAGCTTGGGAACATAGTAGAGGACAGTAGTGAGTTGGAGCTGTTGATAGTGAATTGCAGTCTTCTCTTTTTTTGGGGGAGGGTTGCCTCAGGTATTGATAGATAACAGTTTTTGAGCACTTACTATGTACCAAGCACTAGGTAAGAGTTTAACTTATATTATCTTATCTGATCCTAACAATAACCTTTTGAAGAAGGTTTGATTATCATCTCTGTTTTACAAAACTGGAACCTTAGGGATGAAGTGACTTGCCCAAGGTCATACCGCAAATAAGTGGTGGAGCAGAGATTCGAACTCAGTGTGACTCCAGAGCCCATGCTCTTAATCTTTACTCTGGATCATCTATTGTGGCCTGATGTGACCATCTTGTATAAGGGAAGAATATCCTTTTCATGGCCTTAGAAAGCAAGCAGAAGAGGAATCATTGTCCTAGAGTGAGTTATGGATGATCATAAATAGCACCCACCAGTGTGGGACGAGAAAGCCCACGGCTGAGTCCTTTGTAATCTAACTGAGGCATTTCTGTATCCTAGACCAAAGCCCTCCTTTTCAGTGACTCTGTTATCTTGTATTTTAAGGTCTTATATAGAGAGAATTAAGGAATAGATAGCTTTTTTCTGCCTATTTAGGGTATTTCTCTAGCATATGCTAATGCAATTTTGATTGGTAGGGCAATGTGCTTACTAGTCTTTGTTTTGAGGAAAACTTTTTCCTTTTTTTTCTTAGAAAGTGCCGAAGGTTTTCCAAGTTATGACACAGCCTCTGAACAACTCCACGAGGCAGGCTACGATGCCTACATCACAGGGCTGTGCTTCATCTCCATGGCCAATTACCTAGGTACGCATTACATGTCTTTCAGTCAAACACGCAGTGATCTAGGGTGGATCTTACCTGTCTCCTGGCTTAGGCTGCTGTAATAAATTACTGTCGAGTGTGGGGCTTAAACAACAGACATTTATTTCTCATGTTCAGGAGGCTGGAAAGTCCAAGACCCAGTTGCCAGCAGACCTAGTATCTGGTGAGAGCCCACTTCCTGGTTTGCAGATGGCTGCCTTCTCCTGTCCTTACGTGGTGGAGAGCAGAGAGAGCAGAAGCTGTGCCGCCTCTTTTTTAAGAGTCAGGGTCTCACTCTGTCACCCAGGCTGGAAGTACAGTGGTTCAATCATAGCTTACTGCAACGCTGAACTCCTGGGCTCAGCCTCCCAAGTAGCTGGGACTACTGGTGTGCATCACTGTGCCTGGCTAACTTTTTAATTTTTTTATAGAGACAGGGTCTTGCTGTGTTAACCAGGCTGATCTAGAATTTCTGGGCTCAAGTGATCCTCCTACCTCAGCCTCCCAAAGTGCTGGAATTACAGGCTTGAGCCACCGCACCCAGCCTCCTGACCCTTCTTATAAGGGCACTAATTCCCTCGTGACTTAATTACCTCCCAAAGGTCTCACTTCCAAATACCATCGTACTGGGGAGGCTTCAACATATGAATTTTAGGGGGACACAAACATTGAACCTATAGCACTACCATTTCCTTGGGATCCACTCACCCAATTAAAAGTGGGAGGGTTTTGAGGTAGGAGTGGGAGGAGATGAGGGGAGGAGGAAATCTGCAAGAAAAACCACTGACACTTGCTGTGGTATGGTACTTGGTGCGTAAGAATACCTTTCACAGGCCGGGCGCAGTGGCTTACTCCTGTAATCCCAGCACTTTAGGAGGCTGAGGTGGGTGGATCACCTGAGGTTAGGAGTTTGAGACCAGCCTGACCAACATGGAAAAACCCTGTCTCCACTAAAAATACAAAATTAGCTGGGCATGGTGGCACATGTCTGTAATCCCTGGTCCTCGGGAGGCTGAGGCAGGACAATCACTTGAATCTGGGAGGTGGAAGTTTCAGTGAACCGAGATTGCGCCATTGCACTCCAGCCTGGGCAACAAGAGTGAAACTCTGACTCAAAAAAAAAAGAATACCTTTCACACTTGTTGAACCATGCTGTTAATTTAAATCTGTTTTGGTCTGAACTTTCAGGCTTGGTCTATGTGACTATGAATAATAATACCTCTCTTCTTTTCTTCATTAGGTTCTTTTCTCAGCCCTCCAAAAATTCATGTGTCTGCCAGATCAAAACTCATTGAACCTTTTTTTAACAAGTAAGTAATCAGAGAGTTCCAGTTTCCAAGTTCTCTCACTGTGGAACAGCCTCATATCTTGGGATGTCAGTTTGGAGTTATTGGGAGCTATAACACATTTTTAGATAAGCTGTTTTTCATCTCGAGTGACTCACATGTTTTTTGAAAGTAGAAAGTGACCTTTTGGGGAACAAATGTATTAAAAATATAGGCTTAAAAAAAAAAAAGAAAACATTGCTAGACGTAGTATAGTAGATCTCTTCCAAGAAAAAGAACTGGTAGTTCTGGCATTTAAATTTCCTATGAGGGGCCGGGTGTGGTGGCTCACACCTGTAATCCCAGCACTTTGGGAGGCTGAGGTGGGCAGAGTGCTTGAGGTCAGGAGTTCGAGGCCAGCCTGGCCAACATGATGAAACTCGTCTCTATTAAAAATACAAAAATTAGCCAGGCGTGGTGGCATGTGCCTGTAATCCCAGCTACTCGGGAGGCTGTAGTGGGAGAATTGCTTCAACCCAGGTGGCAGAGGTTGCAGTGAGCTGAGATTGCACCACTGCACTGCAGCCTGGGCAACACAGCAAAACTCTGTCTGAAAAAAAAAAACAAAAAAAACAAAAGAAAATTTCCTGGCCAGGCGCGGTGGCTCACGCCTGTAATCCCCCAACTTTGGGAGACTGAGGCAGGCGGATCATGAAGTCAGGAGATTGAGACCATCCTGGCTAACACGGTGAAACCCCATCTCTACTAAAAATACAAAAAATTAGCCGGCACGGTGGCGGGCGCCTGTAGAAAACATGATTTTCTTAGCTCTTTTATTTTTTGGGGCAGTGTTTGTCTTTGGAAATGTAGCCTTTGCTGTAGACCATGGAACCCACAGGTGATTGATGTTAAATATAGTTCTTTTTTTTTTTTTTTGAGATGGTGTCTCACTCTGTCACCCAGGCTGCAATGTGGAGTGCAGTGGCACAATCTCAGCTCACGGCAATGTCTGCCTCCTGGGTTCAAGCAGTCCTCCTGCTGCAGCCTATGGAGTAGCTGGAACTACAGGCATGTACCACCACACCTGGCTAATCTTTATATTTTTAGTAGAGATGGTGTTTCACCATGCTGAATAGGCTTCTCTCGAACTCCCTGACCTCAGGTTATCTGCCCACCTCAGCCTCCCAAAGTGCTGGGATTACAGGTGTGAACCACCGTGGCCAGCTAAATATAGGTCCAATTATGATTGTTCCCTTACATTTTTATGTACTTGATGTTAAATTCATTGTTCTGCAGTATTTTTCAACTGAGAGATGTTGACTCATTTGTATTATTATTATTATTTTTTTGAGTCACGGTCTTGCTCTTTTTTCCATGCTGGAGTGCAGTGGCATGATCTTGGCTCACTGCAGCCTCCACCTCCTGAGCTCAAGTGACCCTTCCACCTCAGTCTCTTGAGTAGTCATTTGTAAATATTTACACGCTGTAAATATTAAAACAGTAATCCTGCTTCTCCACTAAAGTCAGCTCCTTATAAAATCAGATGTTGGATGCAAACTGGGTTAGATGTGGGCTGCATCTAGTTTATCAGTCATGTATGTGACCAACATGCAGAGCAATCAAAATAAACTTTGATTAAAAAGCTTAGCTGGGCTGGGTATAGTGGCTTACGCCTGTAATCCCAGCACTTTGGGAGAACAAGGCGGGCAGATCACTCGAGGTCAGGAGTTCGAGACCAGCCTGGCCAGCATGGTGAAAACCGGTCTGTACTAAAAGTACAAAAATTAGCCTGTATTCCCAGCTACTCGGGAGGCTAAGGCAGGAGAATCGCTTGAAACCAGGAGGCGGAAGCTGCAGTGAGCCAAGATCACACCACTGCACTCCAGCCTGGGCAACAGAGTGAGACTCCCTCTCAAAAAAAAAAAGAAAAAAAAGCTAGCTGAGACTTTCTGTATTTCTAGATCAATCTAATATTGCTAATACTGTGCAGGACTATTATTGAAAAGAACTAGACAGTAAATGTGTAGGCTTATTTTGAATTGGGACATCTGTCCATTCAGAATTTTTTTGTAAAACCTAGATGCATACCAAGAGTAGTTGAATAGGAGGTGGGATTTGGGAATCCTTCTGTGATTATTTTTTTGGTCTATTTTTTTCCAATCTGTAAAGGAAGAATATTTTCTTCATCATTAAAGGAAAAATATTCCTGCAAGATTTGAAATACAAAATAAGAACTGTGTTTTTTTTCTTTCTTTTTTTTTTGAGATGTTGTTTCACTCTTGTTGCCCAGGCTGGAGTGCAATGGCGTGATCTCGGCTCACCGCAACCTCTGCCTCTCGGGTTCAAGTGATTCTCCTGTCTCAGCCTCCCAAGTAGCTGGGATTACAGGCAAGTGCCACCATGCCCGGCCATTTTTTTGTATTTTTAGTAGAGATGGGGTTTCTCCATGTTGGTCAGGCTGGTCTCGAACTCCTGACCTCAGGTGATCCACCCGCCTCGGCCTCCCAGAGTGCTGGAGTTACAGACGTTAGTCACCGCGCCTAGCCAAGAACTGTTTTTATTCCTCTTTTTTTTTTTTTTTTTTTTTGGTGAGACAGAGTCTCACTCTGTCACTTAGGCTGGAGTGCAGTGGCGTGATCTCAGCTCACTGCAACCTCCACCTCCTAGGTTCAAGTGATTCTCCTGCCTCAGCCTCCTGAGTAGCTGGGACTACAGGCTCGTACCACCACGCCCTGCTAATTTTTGTATTTTTAGTAGAGACAGGGTTTCACCATGTTGGCCAGGCTGGTCTCAAACTCCTGACCTCAGGTGATCCACCTGCCTTGGCCTCCCAAAGTGTTGGGATTACAGGCGTGAGCCACCATGCATGGCCTGTTTTTATTATTATTTATTGGAATAACTTGGTTAAGTATAGGCATTCATTCTTAACCCCCTTAGAAAGTGGGTTTTATGGCCAGATGCGTTGGCCTATGTCTGTAATCCCAGCACTTTGGGAGGCTGAGGCGGGCGGATCACCTGAGGTCAGGAGTTCAAGACCAGCCTGGCCAACATGGCGAAACCCTGTCTCTACTACAAATACAAAAAGTAGCTGAGCGTGTTGATGGGTGCCTGTAATCCCAGCTACTGGGGGGGCTGAGGCAGGAGAATTGCTTGAACCCAGGAGGCAGAGGTTGCAGTGAGCCGAGATTGCGCCACTGCATTCCAGCCTGGGCAACAAGAGTGAGACTCTATCTCAAAAATAAATAAATAAATGTAAGTAAGTAAGTAAGTAAAGTGGGTTTTCTGGACCAGGTGCCGTGGCTCATGCCTGTAATCCCACCACTTTGTGAAGGTGAGGAAGGAGGGTTGCTTGAGCCCAGGAGTTTGAGAGCAGCCTGGACAATGTGGCAAAACCCAGTCTATACAAAAAATACAAAAATTAGGTGGGTGTAGGGGCAGACACCTGTAGTCCCAGCTACTCGGGAGGCTGAGGCAGGAGGATCACTTGAGTCTGGGAAGAGGAGACCAAAAAGAAAAAAGAAGGAAAAACAATTGCTTCTTTTGACATCTCTTTCTATGTTAATACTGACCTTGTTTTTACTTACTTGCAGGTGATTTAGGATATTAAACCTTGATTTTTGTCATTTTTCATGGTTACCCTTGTAGAAAAACATTTGGTAGTTGCCCCCAACATTATCTCAAGCTGATGATTTTAGAAAAATATGCAAGATTTTCTGAAGATTAATTTATTTTGACACCAGTCTTTTCTAAATGTAACCTTTACCAAACATGCATACTCCTAACATAAATTTGGGTGGACATTAAACTGCCCACATATGCAAACAATATTTTATTTTGCTCTCACCAGACTTAACATTTAAAAAGTAAACCTCGAAGGGAAATAAACTTCACTTACGTCTGCATTATTCTAAATTAGCATTTAGTAGCATCAGTTATGCCATTTTGGGAAGCTTTATCAAGTCAACTATTGAGGAAATCCTGAGACCACTGTTGTTTAAGCAGTATGCAAAGACTGAATGTGATATGAGGTGTTTTTTTAAGCCATACTGGTCTAGAAGAATGTCCCATAAGGGTTTTGCATGGTGCCATTTTGTCTTTTTCATGGCCTGGGCACCTCCCATAGTCCTCCTTGCTTTTTTGGAATCAGGAGGAAAGTCATGAGAGAATTGAGCCATGGAAATCAGGATCACGCCACTGCTAATGACAGCCTGTGTGGAATGCACTCTGTTTATATTGGAGGCTGTCTCCTCAGCAAATGATTTACCTGCTTTTATAGCTTTGGTCAGTTTTAATCAATGCATTGAAAACCAAACTTAATGTTAAGATCCTTTGGTCAAATCCAGATCTAAAATCTAAGAGCTAAAAATGCTCTCTGCTTTTGCTTTTTATTGTACAACAGAAAGCACAAAATCAGACGTTTGCCTTATGTTTTGTTAACTGTCTTCGGTATTGTCAAGACACCTTGACCCTTTTATGAAGGTTTTCGGGAAGGTTGTTTTCTGTTTACCTCAGTTCTTAGAAAGAGGAAGAATAAGCAGGTCTCTTTTTTGGCTATCTTCAGTAAGCACTGGAATGTGAAAAGATGAGCTAGATGCCTGCAGTTTACTCTACAGGACTGCTTCCTTGTTTTGAATCTGAACAGGGTTCCGCTGGAAATCTAGGCCTTCCTGGAATGACACTGCTTTATGGTCTTTCTGAGCTACCGATGAGACAAGGAATGATATGCTCTTGGACAAATGTTTTCTCCTCTGTAAAATGGGGATAAAATGATTCACCTTCTGTATTGGTCCATTTTCATGCTGCTAATAAAGACACAACTAAGACAGGGCAATTTACAAAATAAAGAGGTTTATTGGACTTGTAGTTTCACGTGGCTGGGGAGGCCTCACAGTCATGGCAGAAGGTGAAAGCCACATCTCACATGGCAGCAGATGAGAAGAGAGCTTGTGCAGGGACACTCCCATTTTTAAAACCATCAGATCTTGTGAGATTCATTCACTATCACGAGAACAGTGCAGGAAAGACCTGCCCCATAATTGTATCACCTCCCACCGGGTTCCTCCTACGATATGTGGGAATTGTGGGAGTTAAAATTCAAGATGAGATTTGGGTGGGGACACAGCCAAACCATATAATTCCACCCTTGGCCCCTCCCACATCTCATGTCCTCAGAATTCAAAACCAGTCATGCCTTCCCAACAGTCCCCCAAAGTCTTATTTCAGCATTAACTTAAAAGTCCACAGTCCAAACTCTCATTTGAATCAAGGCAAGTCTCCCTTCCGCCTATGAGCCTGTAAAATCACAAGCAAGTTAGTTACTTCCTAGATACAATGGGGGTACAGGCTATGGATAAATACAGCCATTCCAAATGGGAGTAATTGGCTACAGGCTCTTATTACCTGTGTGATTTTGGGCAAGTTATGCAAGTCTGAAATCCAGCAGGGCAGTCAAATCTTAAAGCTCCAAAATGATCTCCTTTGACTCCATGTCTCACGTTCAGATTACGCTGATGCAGGAGGCGAGTTCCCATGGTCTTGGGCAGCTCTGCTCCTGTGGCTTTGCAGGGTTACAACCTCCCTCCTGGCTCCTTTCATGTGCTGGCATTGAGTGTCTGTGGCTTTTCCAGATGCATGGTGCAAGCTGTTGGTGGATCTGCCATTCTGCTGTCTGAAGGACAGTGGCCCTCTTCTCACAGCTCCACTAGGTGGTGCCCCAGTAGGGACTCTGTGTGGGGGTTCTGACCCCACATTTCCCTTCTGCACTGCCCTAGCAGAAGTTCTCCATGAGGGCCCCACCCCTGCAGCAGACTTCTTCCTGGGCATCCAGGCATGTCCATACATCTTCTGAAATCTAGGTAGAGGTCCCCAAACCTCAATTCTTGACTTCTGTGTGCCCACAGGCTCAATGCTGCATGGAAGTTGCCAAGGCCTAGGGCTTCCACCCTCTGAAGCAACAGCCTGATCTGTACCTTGGCCACTTTTAGTCATGGCTGGAGCAGCTGGGATGCAGGGCTCCTGGGCCTGGCCTGTGAAACCATTTTTTCCTCCTAAACTTCTGGGCCTGTGATGGGAGGGCCTGCCTTGAAGACCTCTGACACGCCCTGGAGACATTTTCCCCATTGTCTTTGGCTCCTCATTACTTACGCAAATTTCTGCAGCCAGCTTAATTTCTCCTCAGAAAATGGGATTTTCTTTTCTTTTTTTTTGAGATGGGGTCTCACTCTCTTGCCCAGGCTGGAGTGCAGTGGCACAATCTCGGCTCACTGCAACCTCTGCCTCATGGGTTCAAGTGATTCTCCTGCCTCAGCCTCCTGAGTAGCTGGGATTACAGGTGTGCGCCACCACGCCCAGCTAATTTTTGTATTTTTAGTAGAGGTGGGATTTCACCATGTTGGTCAGGCTTGTCTCGAACTCCTGACCTCATGATCTGCCCACCTTGGCTTCCCAAAGTGCTGGGATTACAGGCATGAGCCACCATGCCCGGCCAGGATTTTCTTGTCTATCACATTGTCAGGTTTCAAATTTTCCAAACTTTTGTGCTCTACTTCCCTCATAAAACTGAATGCCTTTAACAGCACTCAGGTCACCTCTTGAATGCTTTGCTGCTTAGAAATTTCTTCTGCCAGATACCCTAAATTATTTCTCTCAAGCTCAAAGTTCTACAAATCTCTATGGCAAGGGCAAAATGCTGCCAGTGTCTGCTAAAACATAACAAGGGTCACCTTTGCTCCAGTTCCCAAAAAGTTTCTCATCTCCATCTGAGACCATCTCAGCCTTGATTTCATTATCCATATCATTACCAGCATTTTGGTCAAAACCATTCAACAAGTCTCTAGGGAGTTCCAAACTTTCCCACATTTTTCTGTCTTCTTCTGAGCCCTCCAAACTGTTCCGGCCTCTGCCTGTTACCCAGTTTCAAAGTCACTTTCACATTTTTTGATAGCTTTTCAGCAGCCCCCTCTCCCGCCCCAGTACCAATTTACTGTATTAGTCTATTTTCATGCTGCTGATAAAGACATACCTGAGACTGGGCAATTTACAAAAGAAAGAGGTTTATTGGACTTACAGTTCCATGTGGCTGGGGAGGCCTCACAATCATGATAGAAGGTAAAAGGCACATCTCACATGGCAGCAGACAAGAGAGCTTGTGCAGGGAACCTCCCGTTTTTAAAACACCAGATCTCGTGAGACTCACTCACTATCAAAATAACAGTACAGGAAAGATCCGCCCCCATAATTCAATCACCTTCCATCACGTTCCTCCCACAACATGTAGGAATTGTGAGAGTTACAATTCAAGATAAGATTTGGATGGGGACATAGCCAAAGCGTATCATCTTCCGTCGAGGTTATAAGGATTGTATGAGATTTGAAAGGACTTTGATAGTTCCTAGAACTTAATAAGTGCCCAGCATATATTCTTTTCCGTTTCTTGAAATATAAGGGGTGCGGGGAGGATTGGGGAGATATTGGTCAAAGGACACAAAATTTCAGTTAGTAGGAATAAATTCAAGAGATATGTTATACAGCATGGTGACTGTAGTTACTAACAGTGTATTGTAAACTTGAAGATTACCAGAAGAGTAGGTTTTAAGTGTTTTCACTGCAAAAAGTGAGTATGTTAGGTAATGGATATGTTAGTCTAATTTAGCCATCTTACAGTGTATACATATTTCAAAACATGTTGTACATATCAATATATACAATTTTTAGTTGTTAATTAAAAATAAATAAATAAGGTTGGGCATGGTGGCTCATGCCTATAATCCTAGCACTTTGGGAGGCCAGGGAGGTGGATTGCTTGAGGCCAGGAGTTGAAACCAGGCAGGGGAACATAGCGAGACTCCATCTCTTAAAAAAAAATTAGCTGGGAATGGTGGCACATGCCTGTAGTCCCAGCTACTCAGGAGGCTGAGGCAGGAGGATTGCTTGAGCCCAGGAGGTTGAGGCTGCAGTGAGCCATGGTTGCAGCACTGCACTCCAGCTTTGGTGACAGAGTAAGACCCTGTCTCAAAAAAAAAAAAAGAAAAAATACAAAAAGATCTAACATGCTAGGAGATTCAGTAAAGGTAGAGGTGGTAGCAGAATGTGTTTTATGTTTTAGTTTAATGAAAAAGAAACTATGTTAGCTTGTGGACATAAAATTGGAGTGCAGTAGCAACAAATGTGAAGTGTCTACTTCTGCTAGTACCTACCCATTAGTGTTTGCTTATGAAAAATCAGATGATGATTGTGTCACATTGGTACGTAATAGAAGCATGATGGCTTTGGTTTGGAGCATTTTTTAAAGTTTTGTTTTTGAAATGAATATAACGCAGCAGTGTATGGAGGGTTGAATAGGTATACATAACAGCTGTATGTACAGATGGGAGAGGAAGGAACCTGTGGTGCCTGAAATAAAAGCACACCAGTGTTTTCCCTTTTTCTCCATAGAAAGCAATTGCATGCTGTTAGCAAATTGGGTTTTTCTTGTAATATGCATGTGCTTGACATTTAACATCAGAGAGATTTTAAACTGAAGAATTAAAGATTTCTTCCCAGTGTCAACTTATTTTGGGTGACCAAAAAAAAAAAGAAAAGATTTCTTCCCAGCCCTCTCGCCAGTAACGGACAGAACAAGGCTTTATTTGCTGCTTACTAGCACAACTGCCGTTCGTGCCCAGCAGCATGGCGTGCAGGGTCGCAGTGGGTTGTTAAGGGACCCCGTGTGTCAAGCTTGTCTCCCTGGAGGGTGCTGCCTGATCACCTGCAGGGAAGCCCTCGCTTAACCTTCTGCTGTCCAGCCTGTCCCTCCCTCATACAGAGGAGCAGTGTATTAAATTGAGTCTTACAGTAATTCCACCTCCCTCCTCCATGGGACTTCCAGCTTCCCAACATAAACATGAGTTTTAACATAGCTTTATTGTTGGTAAGCATATAGCTGTCAGTGTCACAACACTCCATAGGATTCATTTCCATTTGAATTTAAATATTTAAAAAGCCGTTTGATTGATTTCTCCAGTAGGATTGCTTTACTTCAGGATCTTGTGGAGCGTAGTATAGTACAGTTGAATCCCGGCTCTGCTCCTTATTACCTGTGTGATCTTGGGCAAGTTACTCACCCTCCCTGTACCTCAGCTTCCTCGTTTTTAAATTGAGAATATTAGAACCTGTTTGATAGGGTTGTTGTGAGGATGAAATGAGAGAGTGTGTGTAAAATGCATAGTGGCTGGTACATCATAGGCCTCAGTTAACTTCTCACTGCTGTCACTGCTGTGGTGACATAGTTTGAGACACTTCTCTGACTAGATGTGGGGGACAGAAGGAGGGCTGTTGGTTTGCATAGAAGATGTTGTATGATGCACTGTGTACATCCAGTAAACAGGACTTTGTTTTGAATTATTGAGCCTTGACCAGAAAGCAGAGGAGACCTCCCGCAAAAAACCTACATGTAACTAAATAATATGCAGGGAGAAGATTGAATATGTTACTGTTTTTTGTTTCTCCCCTTTGAATCATATGGTTAGTTCTTACTCTTAGTTCTGTATTGTGTTTTCAGTTTTAGACTTTTTTTTTTTTTTTGAGTTGGAATCTTGCTCTGTTAGCCCAGGCTGGAGTGCAGTGGTGCAATCTTGGCTCACTGCAATCTCTGCCTCCGCCTCCTGATAGCTGGGATTACAGGTGCCCGCCACCACTCCTAGCTAATTTTTGTATTTTTGGTAGAGATGGGCTTTCACCAAGTTGGCTAGGCTGGTCTTGAACTCCTGACCTCAAGTGAACCACCCACCCTAGCCTCCCAAAGTGTTGGAATTACAGGCATGAGCCACCGCGCCTGGAGTTTTAGACTTTTATTGGGAAAAGGAAGTAAAGAAATATATCTTCTAAGTGAACTATTAGAAGCTGTTTCTTTCCTTTTTTAAATTTTAACTTTAATTCTTTTCTTTTTCTTTCCCTTGAGACAGGGTCTTGCTCTGTCATCCAGGCTGGAGTGCAGAGGCACGATCATGGCTCACTGCACCCTCAACCTTCTGGGCATAAATGATCCTTCTGCCTCAGCCTCCCAAGTAGCTACCAAAGGCGCATGCCACCATGCCTGGCTAATTTTTTTTTTTTTTTTTTTTTTTGTAGAGGTGGGGGCCTCATTACGTTGCCCTCGCTGGTCTTGACCTCCTGGGCTCAAGCGATCCTCCAACCTCAGCCTCCCAAAGTTCTGGGATTACAGGCATGAGCCACGGTGCCCAGCCTCTTTCCTTTTTCTTTTTTCTTTTTCTTTTCTCTTTTTTTTTTTTTGAGATGGAGTCTCACTCTGTCGCCCAGGCTGGAGTGCAGTGGCATGATCTTTGTTCACTGCAACCTCCGCCTCCCAGGTTCAAGGGATCCTCCTACCTCAGCCTCTTGAGTAGCTGAGACTACAAGCATGCGCCACCGTGTCTGGCTAATTTTTGTACTTTTAGTAGAGACAGGGTTTCACTGTGTTGGGCAGGCTGGTCTCGAACTCTTGACCTCATGATCCGCCGCCTCGGTCTCCCAAAGTGGTGGGATTACAGCAGGCATGAGCCACAGGGCCCGGCCCTCTTTCCTTTTTCTTTTCTTTTTTTTTTTTTTTTTTTTTTTTTTTGAGACAGAGTCTCGCTCTGCCACCTAGGCTGGAGCGCAGTGGTGTGATACCACCTCCCAGATTCAAGCAATTCTCCTGCCCCAGCCTCCTGAGTAGTTGGGATTACAGGCACGTGCCACTGCACCCTGCTAATTTTTGTATTTTTAGTAGAGTCAGGGTTTCACCATGTTGGCCAGGCTGGTCTTGAACTCCTGACCTCGTGATCTGCTCGCCTTGGCCTGTCAAAGTGCTGGGATTACAGGCGTGAGCCACCGCACCCGGCCTCCTCTTTCCTATTTCAAAACCACTTTATTGAGATATAAATTCACATACCATATAGTTCACTCATTTAAAGTGTATAGTTCAGTGGTTTTTGGCATATTACGTTATTAATTTTTTTTAATTTGGTAAAATATACAACTTTTGCTATTTAACCATTTAAAATGTACAGTTTGATGGCATTAATTACATTCACAATATTATACAACCATAGCCACTGTTTCCAGAACTTTTTCGTCACCCCAAACAGAAACTCTGTAACCAGCAAGCCAGTAACTCCCTATCTTCTGCCTCCCCTCAGCTCCTGGTTACCTCTAATCTGTCTATGAATGTATCCTTTTGTGAACTGTTCTTTTTGAGCAACTCATTGCTTCACTGACATTTTAATTTATTAAAACAATGATATTTTGCATCACCTGGAGCATTTTTCTTTTGTAATTGTATTACTGCCTTATGTTTAGATCACACCTTGGGCACATAAACTTTAAGATACATAGATGTGTATCTGTGCAACATCTCAGCTAGGGTGGCTTATGCATAAGGCAGCAGGAGCATAAGGGAAATAGCTGAGGCTTCAGGGTGGGTCGGTTGGATTGATGCCACCAGACGGGAGATTTGTCTTGCCAAAGCTAGGTTTCTAGTCTTTCAACTGTAGATCATAATCTCCACCTGGTTGGGCAGCAGCGCTGATAAGGCTGTTTGGTGTTGGGTGTGGCATGTAGAAGGTGTGCAGAAAGGGTGGTTGTTACTGTGACTTACACTGTAGTGAACTTGAAGAAAATAATGGAAATCTTGTTTCTCATTTCATTTCGTTTTTTTAAATTCTTTTTTTTTTTTAAATTTGTATATATTTTTTGAGAAGTCTCCTCCATCGCCCAGGCTGGAGTGCAGTGGCGTGATCTCGTCTCACTGCAACCTTCACCTCCGAGGCTCTAGCAATTCTCATGCCTCAGCCTCCTGAGTAGCTGGGATTACAGGCTCAAGCCACCATACCCGGCAAATTTTTGTATTTTTAGTAGAGACGGGGTTTAACCATGTTGGCCAGGCTGGTCTCGAACTCTTGGCCTCAAGTGATCCGCCCACCTCAGCCTCTCAAAGTGTTGGGTTTTCAGACATGAGCCACTGTCCCCGCACTTTTTTTAAAAAATTTAATTTAATTTAATTTTTTTTGAGATGGAGTCTTGCTCTGTTGCCAGGCTAGAGTGCAATGGCGTGATCTCGGCTCACTGCAACCTCTGCCTCCCAGGTTCAAGCGATTCCCCTTTCTCAGCCTCCTGAGTAGCTGGGACTACAGGCGCGTGCCACCATGCCCTGCTAACTTTTTGTATTTTTAGTAGAGACAGGGTTTCACCATGTTGGACAGGATAGTCTTGATCTCCGCCCGCCTCAGCCTCCCAAAGTGCTGGGATTACAGACGTGGGCCACCGTGCCCTGCCAGCGCCCGGCATTTTTTTAAATTATTTTTTTTGAGACAGGGTCTGGCTCTGTCACTCAGGCTGGAGTGCAGTGGAGCAGACATGGCTCATTGCATTCTGGGCCCAAGGGATCCTCCTGCTCCACCCTCCAAGTAGCAGGGAGTACAGATGCATGCTACCACACCCAGCTATTTTTTTTTTTTTTTAAGTTTTTCATACCAGCCTGGCCAATGTGGTGAAACCCTGTCTCTACTAAAAATACAAAAAAATTAGCTGGGCATGGTGGCGGGTACCTGTAGTCCCAGCTACTCGGGAGGCTGAAGCGGAAGAATCGCTTGAACCCGGGAGGCAGAGGCTGCGGTGAGCCGAGATCGTGCCACTGCACCGCAGCCTGGGCAACAGGGCGAGACTCCGTCTCAAAAAAAAAAAAAAAAGGTAAAAATAAAAAAAATAAAGTTTTTCATAGAGATGAGGTCGCGCCCTGTCACCCAGACTGGTCTTGAACTTCTGGACCCAAAAGATTCTCCCGTCTCGGCCTCCCACAGTGCTGGGTAGGTCTTCATTTTATGAAAGAAACACAGCAGGCGGTGTGTTCTGTGCTGAGGACCCTTGGGTGACAGTCTCTCTGTGTTGATAGAAGCAAAGTGGCCCACATACGTGATGCCAACAAAAACTTTTTAATTGAGAATGGCAATTTAGATATCTTCTTAAGAAAACACTTTATAACTGTCTTTGCATCTTAATTTTAAAGGTCTTGCTGCAAAGTTGGGTTGTAAGTGAAAAGAAAATACCTACCCTGTGTGTTATTTGCACTAATTTGTGTTGAGCCTTCTGACGCTGGTGAGGCTGTGTGATTTGTGAGGCATTAGGGTCGAGAACACAGCCTCCTCCATTGTCTGCCTGTGCCGGGCACATCCCTTCTCATCCCTTTCCCAGAAGCACCTGGTGATGCCAGAACCGAGGTCAGGGAAGGCAGGAAGGAGGCCACTTATAGCAGTGGTGATCATGGGCCCCTTCTTTCTTATTGGCTGGCTTTCCCAAGAACTTGGTAGTAGTTATCCTTTAATTTTATATTAATGTGCTTGCATGAGGGAGTAACAAATCTTTTAAAAGATGATATCCTGTGCCCTGCAGCTTTTACCAAAAATGGGTATGAACCTGGACTAGGCAGCACAGCTTATCATAAACTGGCTGCATGTGGACAGTGGTATGATTGTTGATATTACCCTTTAATCATAAAGAGCCCAGGAAATACGTCTTTAAAAAATAGTCTCCATTTTCAACCTCTTCTGGATTGTGTAAATTTTGGAGTCAGGTGCCATGGAGGAGTGAAATTTTAGCACTGCAGATGCTTCAAGCCAGCCTCCCAGATTCCAGAAGGCTTGAAGCCAGTTTTTCCCTAGTTCACAAAATATATTTTCCCCTAATATACAAGATGCATTTTTTCTTCCTCACATACTTTAACCAAAGCCATTTATTTTTCCTCAAAGTCTTGTTTATTTCGTTTTTGGCTCCCCAAGTTACCATGATAAAAAGAATCTCCATGAATTGGCTTGGTTTGATTACCCTCAAAGTTTAATGCACTCACTGATTTTCACAAAGTCAAAAGACAGGGCACATTAAATTACTGTGAAGCCTTGAGTCTGGTTTTTTAAGACTGGAAACAAGTGCTACTTCAGGGAAGGGACTGCTTGCCTCAAGTTGATACTGCCTTATTTAATTTCTGCCTTGTGATCTTGATTGCCACTTCTGTGGCAGCATCAAAAAACTGCTTTTTAAAGAAACCTTACAGGCCACCCACCCAGCAACCTGTACTTGGTATGCTAGCCCTGCAGCACTGCAGGGGCAGTCCACGTGCTGAGCTGTTCTAGTCTTGTGTTTGCTCTAGTTACTTTAAAGTACATTTCTCTCTGGCTTAATAGCTTGTTTATTATTATAATTTAAAATAACTTGTTGAGGTAAAAGGAAATCAGTCAACCCTTGGATGTATATTTAAGCAACTTGCCTCCTCTGTAGTAGGGTATTGGATTAGTGTTCTGTAGGGTATTGGATTAGTGTTCTGTGGCTGCTGTGACAAGTTACTGCAAGCTTGGTGGCTTAAAATACCAAGTGTTTTAGGTGAATACATCTCTCATGGTTCTGGAGGCCAGAAGTTTCAAATCAAGTCATCAGCATTGCTGAGCTCCCTCCAGAGGCTCTGGGGAAGAATCTGTCCTTGTCTCCTCTGGCTTCCAGTGGCTGCAGGCGTTCCTTGGCATCCCTCTGCTTAGGGCCACATCACTCCAGTCTCTGTCCCCATGGTCACATTGCCTCCTCCTCCTCTGTGTGTGTGTCCTCTCTGTCTCTGCCTCTCTCTTATGAGGACACATATGATGGCAGTGAGGCCCCACTTGTATAATCCCAGATAATATCATCAATCCCAGATATTATCATTTTAGTAGATGTTAATATAATAACATCTACTAAGATTCCTTTTCCAACTAAGGTAGCACTCAGAGGTTCCAGGGAGTAGAAAGTGGACATATCTTTTTGGAGGCCACCATTCAGCCCACTGTAGGCAGGTTAGTAGTAAAGTCAGCATTCTTAGCTATTTCCAGCCTTGCATTGGTCCTGGCTTGGAGCAAGTGGGTAATAGTTATTTCCAAGACTATTTAGCATTTAATTTGCAGTGTTCAAGGATTAGCAGTATACTCTAAGAAATTTGGGCTACCTATCAAATAGCTTATCGATTGAACACCTTCCACTATGCACAGTATGTCACCTGCATTGACTGTTTTTTCTAAAGGCAGCCCTCATAGATAGGGGAAAATGTGCCCATTTTAAAGCCGAGACATCTGCCTAGGGCCCCAGGAGTGGCAGAGTCAGGGATAATCAAGCCTGTGCTCCACTAAGAAGGGATTCTTCTTCCATAGCACACAGTGTCTATAAGGGACAATGCTGTAGTTGGTGGCATATCTTTTTAAGAGACAGTGTTAGTGTCTTTGAAAGAAGATTTCCGTTTCTCTCAATGTTTGGCCTGAGCACAGACTGTAAAAGATGTTGACTTAGACTGTTGGATTGTGTGGGGCTTGTTTCCTCTGACACTTTACAGTATGTTGTTTTACAGGCCCTGCAGGCATTGCCTTTGTATAATGTTTAATTTAATGTTTTTAGTTGATGTAATTTGATATGCTTCATTTGGAGACTGTTGAAATGAGCTGCTGGTTTTGTTTTTTTCTTCCTTTGTTTTTTTTTTTTTGCCTTTGTTTCTAGTGTATGTATTTAAGAAAGGATATGAGTTGGCTTCAGGACAAATGTTGAGTAACGCTCTATTTGTCAAAACAGCAAGTGGCTAGATTGAAAACTGTATTCCCCCCACCTGAGTGAAATTAAAATAACTGATGCCACAGTCACTCCCATCTAGCCAGTGGTTACCCTTATTTTACACAGGAGCCTTAGTGAGCAAAATAAATGAGCTTATTTTGTGAGAGATGTCTGCATGCTTCCTACCCTGGATGATAAAATTAGTTTTTTATAGCACATAAATATGTATAATGATGAGCCTTGCATACAGGGTTCTTATGAAGTGCTTTTACTGCTCTGCCCTGAAGGAAATACCAAGACCGTTTGCAAGTACAGTAGAGCTGCTGGTCGGTTAAGGTTTCAATTTCTCTTTAGAAGGCTTGGGACTTGGGGTGAGCCGCAGATTAATTCTGTGCTCAAATTGGGTTGAGATGAGATTGTATTCAACATTTCTGTATCCCAGTCTGTAGTGGTAGGAGAGGGGTACAATTTTACTTGGAAATCTCTTTTTTGAGAAATCGGAAGTGTAGTCTTGAGAGAAGCAGAAAGCAGATGGACACGAATGCAAATTTTTCACTCGGGGAGTGAAAATACTGAGTTCTTAGGAGGAAGGATAAAGAGTTTGGGGGCTTGAGGTTTTTCCTTTTGCTAGGAAGAGAGACCAGAATAAACTCTGTTCTTCTTTATTAACACATGTCATGACATTAGAAGTCTGTCTAGATCATCCAGGCCTGTGTGTGTGTCATTATGCAAACTAAACCTCTGTGTCCCTACACCTCTGAGGCCTCGCCTCACCCTGAGATGCTGATTCACTCGTTTTCCTGATGGTGATCACGGTGTGTGGGAGCAGGTGTGCCTGGCAAGCCCCATGCCCAGGTAGCAGCTTGCTTTGCACTACAGTCGTGGGAAGGTTGTCCTTTTGATCTCCGGCCACATGGCTCTCTTCACTGCGTGTTGTTCCTGTTGCCTTGAAAATTCGCTCTACCCAAAGCTCTTCCTCAGACAGCAACCTCATTTTTTGTATCAGGGCTCCACGCCATCACGTGAAGCTATAAGTTAATCAGCCCTTTGAGTATTATAAAAAAATGTTTCTGGGATGTTGTATCCTGAGCACTTGCTTACACTTGCTTCTCTTATATACACAAGGGCTTTGACTAGTGGTTTAGGATGAAAACCCTTGTCCCTAGCTGCTCCCGCTGGTACTCTAGGCTTACCATTTCACAGGGAGGCTATGGAGACAGCTCAGGTTAAAAGCCACGTGGGAGAGAGAGAACAGGGCCTGCGTGTGTAGGGCGGGTAGTGGGAAGCTTAGGGTCGGCCTCCATGGTGGCCAAGGGCAAGTGGCTAAACTTGGAAGAATCTGCCTCCCATTCTCAGTACAGGGGGACCGATAACTTCCAGACAGGAGAGGATCAACTGAGGCTGAACAGGCCATGATAAATGTTACTTTAGTTAGGAATTTTTGTCCTTAATTTTTTTTTCTTTTTAAAACACAAAAATCCCACTCATAATTCCTCAGCCCAGAAGAAAAAAAGCTGTCCTCTTAGAGAATTTCCTGCTAGTTTGTGTTCTGTGTCTATTTCATTTACTAATTGAGATCAGTGTTCCTCATTTGCTGATTGAGATTATACTAGTTATATAATTGTATAACTAAAAAAAAAAAAAAAGCCAGGTGCGGTGGTGTGCACCTGTCATTCCAGCCATTTATGAGGCTGAGGTGGGAGGATCACTTGAGACTGAGTTTGAGTCTTGCTTGGGCAACATAGACCCTGTCTCAATTTAAAAGATACATATTTAACCTGCGTGTCCTGCACATGTATCCCAGAACTTAAAAGAATTATATACACACACACACACACACACACACACACACACACACACACACACACAAAGGAATTTTCAAACACATTAAAACTCGTGGTCAGCATCATGTAGACAGCCTTCAGTGGCCTGCCAGCCAGATCTGTCATGGTACACTCACAACCTTCCTTCGTGGCTGGAGCTCTTGTCAGTACATGCTTGCCTTGCACTGCACTGGCTCCAACACTAGGCGTGACCATTTTTTGCTAACTGCTTCTTAAAGTGGCCGCCTGTCTGATTCACGCTCCTCCTCTGCCATCAGTTTTAGGACTGGAAAGCCTGCTGCCTCAGGAGCAAAACTAAGTATTTCCTTTCCTTTGTGAATCAAATCTGTGATTTTGTAGATAGATTTGGTAATGTAGAATTTGAAAGAACTATAATGATCTTTTCAGTTCTCAGAGGTTTGAGTCTCCATCCAAAGTATTCCTGAATCACCTTTAGGACTGCTTGCATGCATTTTTGAATATCATACTTCGTTTTCTTGAGCATAGCTGCGTGAAATGGGTTAATAGCAGCATTGTTTTGCAACCCACTTAATATTCACCGGACTACTAGGGAATGGCTTAGATAAGCCACAGTCCAAGGCAAGCCATTGTGTCATCATAGAATAACCTTTGATCTGTGCTTGTACTTAACATAATCTGTGTCTGAAGCTTTGTGGTAAGGGTGGAGGATTTTGCTAATGTTAGAGGTGTCTGATTCTTTTGTATTGTGTGTGTTACTCCCTCAAGTGTTTGCTAATCTTTAGTGCTGCATTAGTGGCTAAAGCTTAATTTGTGGCCAATTCACAGAAACAGGTTAGACTTTTGCTAATGAGTTGCCAAGAGAGTAGTTTGAGTAATTTTTTTTTTTTTTTTAAATCTACTTAAAAACAAGAGTGGTAGCTGTCAGCAGTAATTTCACCCAATTTATCTCTTGCAGAGAACCTAGTTGCATGCTACAGTTTGGCCTCCTGGTTTCAAGGAGTGGTAGAAGGCTTATGTTACTGCCTTCTGGATTTTGAGGTAGTCCTTGGTATTTAATAGTTTTATGTTTTTCTTTTTTTTATTCATAGTTTTTTTTTTTTTTTTTTTCGAGACAGAGTCCCGCTCTGACCCCCAGGCTCACTGCAACCTCCACCTCTCAGGCTCAGGGGCTCCTCCTGCCTTAGCCTCCCAAGTAGCTCGGACTACAGGCATGTGCCACCACACCTGGCTAATTTTCTGTATTTCTTTGTAGCAGTCATGTTGCCCAGGCTGGTTTCAAACTCTGATCTGCCTGCCTTGGCCTCCCCAGGTGCTGGGATTACGGGCATGAGCCACTATGCTTGGCAGTTTTTTTCTTTTTTAAAATTTTATGTGTCAAAGTTTTGTACTTTTCTTTTCTTTTTTTGCGATGGAGTCTCACTCTGTTCCCCAGGCTGGAGTGTAATGGTGCAACCTCTGCCTCCCAGGTTTAAGCGATTCTCCTGCCTCAGCCTCCCGAGTAGCTGGGATTACAGGCGTGCGCCACCACCCCTGGCTAATTTTTGTATTTTTAGTAGAGATGGGGTTTTGCCATATTGGCAAGGCCAGTCTGGAACTCTTGACCTCCAGTGATCCACCTGCCTCAGCCTCCCAGAGTGCTGGGATTACAGGCGTAAGCCACTGTGGCTGGCCAGTTTTGTGTTTTTCTACGTATTTTATTTATGGTTTGTTCATTTAATTGTTTATTTATTGTGTAGACAGGGTCTTTCTCTGTTGCCCAGACTGGAGTGCAGTGGCATGTTATAGCTCATTGCAGCCTCAAATTCATGGAGTCAAACAATCCTGCTGCCTTAGCCTCCTGAGTAGCTGGGACTACAGGCACGAGCCACCTTGCCCGGCTAATTTACTTTTTGTAAAGACAGGAGTCTCACCATGTTGCTCAGACTGATCTCAAACTCCAGGCCTCAAGTAATTCTCCCACTTCTGCCTCCCGAAGCAGTGGGATTAACAGGGATGAGCCACAGAATGATTTAATATAAACAAATCATTAAGACTAATATCTTTTGGAGAAGTTGGCACAAGTCATTATCCAGCTGATTGCTGCATCATCTTTAGTGGTAATTAACAACACCACATTGAATATACTGTTTTCCTGTTAACTCGGTGATTCTCAGTCCAGAGTTTCTGAGTCAGGAGTCTTGGATGGCGCTTGGGAATTTGCATCTCTAACAAGTTCCCAGGTGATGCTGATCCAGTTGGCGGGGAAGCACATTTTGCTAACGGTTCAAGGTTCTATATTCTAGAGTTATATATCTGAAATGAAATTCTTCAGTAACTAATGAGCCTTCTTAGGCAGCCTGGGACACAGTGTCATCCCGCCCTTTTCTTTTTTTTTTTTTTTTTTGAGACGGAGTTTTGCTCTTATCACTTAGGCTGGAGTGCAGCAGTGCAATCTCGGCTCACTGCAGCCTTCGCCTCCTGGGTTCAAGCGATTCTCCTGCCTCAGCCTCCTAAGTAGCTGGGATTACAGGCACCCGCCACCATACCCAGCTAATTTTTGTATTTTTAAATAGAGACGAGGTTTCACCACATTGGCTAGGCTGGTCTGGAACTCTTGACCTCAGGTGATCTACCTGCCTCGGCCTCCCAGATTGCTGGGATTATAGGCGTGAGCCACCGCGCCCGGCCTATACCGCCTGTTTCACAAAAAAGTTTGGAGGGTGGCTTTTTGTGAGTGCCACCCAGCACATGGGTAATGGAGATGAGGTGGTGGCTCTTTGGAGCTAAAGGTATTGTGTAGCGTATGCTGTGTAGCCTGTGAAGAGACTGAGTGGAAGTGACCCAGTGTATTGAGCAAAAGATCCTGGTATGCTGTGCTTTACCCTGGAGTCTTTCCAGACTTGTTTGAAAGCCAGGATAACAAGCACTGCCAGTGATATACTCATACAACATTTAAAAAATGACAGATTCCACAAAGGTTAAAACTTGCTCTATGACATCTAGAATGTGAACTTGAGTTACACTGTTTCTTAGGATAGAATTCTTTTGTAAAATTAGCCATTGTATTTAATGGGAATTTTAATTTTAGTGTTTGATAAAGTTAATGTCAGTCCTTTAGAGAATAAGTGGGGAAATAATATTTCATCAGAAAGCTTTCAGAAATGTGGCAAGATACCCGCACGCAGTCTTGAGGGTCTTTACCGTGTTACACCCTCTCGGATCTTTGCTAAAATAGAAAGAACGTTTCGTGCAAGTGTTAGTCTGAGTGTCTTTTTGATATCTGCAGATGAAAGTCCTTCTGGGAGAGATTGTTCTTCAATACAGTTCACAGTGATGGAACATCCTTTCATGTCTTTATCAGCATTTCTGCTTGCCTAGTGCATTTCCTCATATGCTAGGATGAAAACTGTCAAGTTGGATGAGGCATATGTGAAGTATTTTATCAAATCATTCCAGGGAGTCAGTGCAGGCCATTTGACAGCCAGCTGGGATGAGGCATGCCTATATTGAAATGTTTTAATTTTACTTCAGAAGGGCAGAGATGTTACCAGAGCAGTGGCTTCCAAACAGCATGGCATAAGGACGGTGGGAGGCCGTTGGGAGAGTTTACTTTGGTTCAGTTCCGCAGACACTCAGCCACAGTTTTAGAGTCAGTTTCACAATTGCGTGGCGCTCTCCAGAGCCGCAGTCTGCCAAGTCACACAGAGTTGGTTTTCGTGTTCTTCCGGGTTTTGGAGCTATTCAGTTCCCTCTAAACCCCAGATGTGAAGGTGAAGGTATAGGGAAAGAGTGAGAAGTGCTATTAATAATTCATTTGAAAGGGGTTTCTGTGTAAGGTAATGTGGAGTAAACAAACAAGATAGTGTAGGATTGACTACATTAAAAAATAGCTTTTATGGGTACAAAAAATAGAATGAATAAGACCTATTTGATAGCACAACAGGGTGACTATATTTGGTAATAACTTAATTGCACATTTTTAAATAGAGTGTCGTTGGATTGTTTGTAACTGAAAGGATAAATGCTTGAGGGGATGGACACTGCATTCTCCATGATGTGCTTATTTCACATTGCATGCCTCTATCCAAACATCTCACGTACCCTACAAATATATACATCTACTGTATACTCATAAAAATTAAAAAAAAAAAACAAATCTTTTGAGTGTTTTAGCTGAGAATAAATTTTTGCTTACTTTAATCAGAGATAATATTGAAAATTCAGGTGAAATATTAGAGAACACATAGCTTATATATTGACAAAAAATATTTTTCAAAAAAATTTTTTCAAAACATCTAAATGGAAAAAAATAAAATAAAGAAATAAAAAAAAAACAACAACATCTAAATGGTAAGAGAAATTGGGAGAGCCTTCTTTTTCTTTGTTAGTATAATCCTTCCTGGTATTTTTACAACACTGAGTTTCCTAAATTTGTTGTTGAGGTCCCATGACTTTAGCAATATAACAGAATTGTAAACAGAAATACAAGAATTGCAAATTCGAGTTTGTGGTTTTATATTTATATTTTTATATTTATATTTTTCTCCCTCCCAGCCAGGTGAGGTAGTGCACAGTATACGAAAGATTAATTCAGATGGCATTTTCGGTTGGCTTTTTCTAAGAAAGTCTCTAGTTATTTTCCCTGGGCTTCTCAGTTCTGGTAGCCTTTAAAGTTTAAAAAATGATCGTAAAAGGAATTTTGAGAAACAAAGCTCAAAGTTTCCCAAAGCTGTTGGTGGGAGAGGGGAGGGTATTTTTTATTCTTGGCTTAATGATATAAATATTTTATAAAGGTAAAATCATAGTATAAAATTTTGTGCCTTTTTAAAACTTAGAATTATAAGTTATCCATGTTTTGACATTTTCGTAGTTATTTTGGTTGCTTAATATTATATTGAAATTTTGAACTATAATTTACTGACCTCCATGTATTATCAAATCTTGAGGTTGATTTTGATTATTGGCATATTTGATGGTATAGCAGTGAACATTTTGTTGATTCAACTTTTGTTCTTCTCAGTTATTTTTATGGTGCTTGATACGTTTCATTAACTTTTTTTTTTTTGAGACAGAGTCTCGCTCTGTTGCCAGGCTGGAGTCCAATGGCGCAATCTCGACTCACTGCAACTTCTGCCTCCTGGGTTCAAGTGATTCTCCTGTCTCGGCCTCCCAAGTAGCTGGGATTACAGGTGCTCGCCACCATACCCACTAATTTTTTGTATTTTTAGTAGAGACAGGGTTTCACCGTGTTGGCCAGGCTGGTCTCAAACTCACTAATTTTTTGTATTTTTAGTAGAGACAGGGTTTCACCGTGTTGGCCAGGCTGGTCTCAAACTCCTGACCTCAGGTGATCTGCCTGCCTTGGTCTCGTAAAGTGCTGGGATTACAGGCGTGAGCCAGTGTGCCCAGCCTTCATTAACTTTTAAAATTAATTTTTTAAAAAATTTGGTGTTTAGAATTGGAGACTATTTCTAAATTTACTAAACGGAGAACTGAAAATTATATGAAGCATGACTAACAATAACAAGAGTTATTCCTAGGTTAGTTAACTTATCTAACTAACTAGCTCACTAACCTAGGAATAACTTTTGTTATTATTAGGTTCTGGTAGGCGAAAATAATGATAGTTCCAGTGTGTATCGT
Source organism: Homo sapiens (assembly GCF_000001405.40). Taxonomy (NCBI): domain Eukaryota; kingdom Metazoa; phylum Chordata; class Mammalia; order Primates; family Hominidae; genus Homo; species Homo sapiens. The sequence continues at coordinate 14,557,918 of NC_000016.10, read as the reverse complement.
TTATGCTGGAAAATAATATTTAAGAAAACATGATAGCTGCCCTCACTGAGAACCCACCATGCTAGGTGCTTTATGTATCTTCTTGTCTTCTGGCATTGCAGGGAGTATTGATTAAATTGGTTAAAACAGCTTACAAAACCAGAATAGTACACTTGAGCCTAAATTAGTGAACTAAAAATAAATTTGGTTTCTTAGCCATAGAATTTGGTTTATTAAATTGTAGGCCAGACAACAAATTCTCAAACCACAGAGTACTATGACTTCGTTTTTTCTGACATTAACAGAACAGTATTGTTCATGCTGATGGTTCCATTTGTAAACTAGCTTTTGCCCTGCTTGGCTTTTTTTTTTTTTTTTTTTTGAGGCAGAGTTTTGCTCTTGTCGCCCAGGCTAGAGTGCAGTGTTGCTATCTCGGTTCACTGCAACCTCCGCCTCCATGGTTCAAGCGATTCTCCTGCCTTAGCCTCCCGAGTAGCTGGGATTACAGGTGCCTGCTACCATGCCCAGCGAATTTTTGTATTTTTAGTAGAGACGGGATTTCACCATGTTGGCCAGGCTGGTCTTGAACTTCTGACCTCAGGTGATCCACCCTCAGCCTCCCAAAGTGCTGGGATTACAGGTGTGAGCCACCGCGCCTGGCCCTGCTTGGCTTTTGAATGCCTGGTAATAATGTTCCTTAACTGTGGGTCCGTGAAGCCAAACTAATTGCTTCTTGGGCAGATAGATTGCCTTTTTAATTTGCTGTATAATGTTGTCTCTACCAGAAATGCATAATATATTGTTATCTAAGTAAAACTCATTAAAATAATCTTACACACAACAGAATGCATGATATTTTGTCCATAATCTTGCAAATAAAAGAAAATTGAATGGCATGACAGAGAGTTGTAATTTACAAGCACTCTTTTATAAGTGCCTTTGTACCCATTTTGGAAGATAAACATAAAATGACTGCTATGATTTATATTAGTGTGATAGTTTTCTTTACCAAGGATTGTTTTGTTTGGTGCTTTTAGTGTGTTTTAAATGATAATAATGATGTGGGCTTTTGAGACAGTCACTTATTTCAGACTCCCAGAGAGATTAGCATTTATCCAGTGACTTTGCATTTCATTAAAAAAAAAGAAACCTGTGTTGTCATTCTCAGCTCACAAATGCCCATTGTAAGGGTTACACTTAGAATTTTTAGGAACACTTGTTCATAGATTGGTAAGATGGGTAATATTTATTTTCTTTCTGTTTACTTGGACTAACACGACAGCTCTGTGGAGGACTTTCCCTTGACTCTTTGATGATTAATTTTGTTCATTTAGCTAATATTTATTGAGCAGCTACTGAGTGCCAGGAACTGTTGAGGATGCCAGTTTGTTGCTTGTTTGTTTTTTCTATTTGTGATAAATATTTGGCCCAGGAGAAAAATCTCTGAAATGAATTTCAGAGCTTTAGAAATGATTTTACATGGCTGGTGCAGTGGCTCACGCCTGTAATTGCAACACTTTGGGAGGCTGAGGCAGGTGGATCACTTGAGGTCAGGAGTTAGAGACTAGCCTGGTCAACATCGGGAAACCCCATCTGTACTAAAAATACAAAAAATTAGCTGGGCTTGGTGGCATACGCCTGTAGTCCCAGCAACTCGGGAGGCTGAGGCGGGTGAATCGCTGGAACCTGGGAGGCAGAGGTTGCAGTGAGCCGAGATTGTGCCGCTGCACTCCAGCCTGGCGACAGAATAAGACTCCGTCTCAAAATGATAATAATAATAATAATAGTAATAATAATAATTATAAAGCCAGATGTGGTGGCTCACGCCTGTAATGCCAGCACTTTGGGAGGCAGAGGCAGGTAGATCACTTGAGGCCAGGAGTTCAAGACCAGCCTGGCCAACATGGTGAAACCCCGTTTGTACTAAAAATACAAAAATTAGAGCTACTCAGGAGGCTGAGGCAGAAGAACCACTTAACTGGGGAGGTAGAGGTTGCAGTGAGCCAAGATCACACCACTGCATGCCAGCCTGGGCGGCAGAGTGAAACTCCATCTAAAAAAAAATAAATAATAGAAATAATTTTACAAATAGAGTGATATCAAGGATCTTCTACAAAAGATATAATAAATGCCTATTAAAATTTTTTTTTTCTAATTCAACCTTAAAAATGCAAAATGCCTGTCTTTTAAAGGAAATTGCCCATTACTTGTTTGTCTTTTCTTCTTGTAGGTTATTTCTTATGAGGGTCATGGATATCCCCTATCTAAACTTGGAAGGACCAGACTGTAAGTAAATTTTTATTTTCTTATTGCATCTGTGCATTTAAGTGTGTGGTCTGGAAGGGATAACAGGAAAATATTACTAAAGAAAAAGCTTTTTTCACTCAAAATTGGGCTGTGATTTTGTGGTTGATATGAATAGTATGCTTAAGTTAATGGGACTCTTGGGCATTCATTAGTCATTTCTTCATTTATGTTTTCCAGTTTATGCATGAAATGAATTTTAGAAGCATGTATCTTCTCTATATATTTCATTTTCACTCAGAATTCTGATTTCATCATTTTCTATAAGTATTTATAATAGATTTTTAAGATATGCTAGCTGTCAGTTATCTTGGTAAAATTTCTGTTTTCCAGTTACTTGAGTATGTGTATATTTGAATTTAGTAGGTTGATTTCTGTTTTGTTTTGTTTTGTTTTATTTAAAAAACGTGGAAGGTCTATGGGAGGTGGTTGCTTTTTCTTCTCCTCTGCTTTTTTTCTGCTATTTCACTGCTCTTTTTTACCTTAATGCATGTCACTGGCAGGTGGAAGTGGGTGAACTATACTTGGTGACAATAATTGTTGCAATGATAGTTTGAGGACATACTGTTGTGTTGCCCTCCACATTAGACTGATATTTTGGTCTGTCATTCTCACAAGAATTCTGTATGCTAAATATTGCCATTCCCAGTTTATAGTCCAGAGTGGTTAGAGTGGTTAGATCTCTTGCTTAGAGCTGCACAAATAAGTTCTAGGTTTGGGATTAGAAAGCAAGATTATGACTCGGGATTGCCTTACTTAACAATTAGTCCATTTAATTTGGACAGTGCTTTTTTTTTTAACTAAGTATATTAAAATGGGAAAGTTAAATGTTTAGTGAAGTGAAACTTCATGAACAGAGCAGCGTTTTTTTTTTCTTCTAAATAATTTGCACAGTTGGGTGTGGTGGTTCATGCTTGTAATTCCAGCACTTTTGGAGACCGAGGTGGGAGGATCACTTGAGGCCAGGAATTCAAGACCAGCGTGGGCAGCATAGCGAGACCCCCATCTCTACAAAAATAAAATTAAAAAATAAAAAAATTAGCCAGGCACGGTGGCATGCACCTGTAGCCTCAGCTGCTCAGGAGGTTGAGGTGGGAGGATCGCTTGAACCCAGGAGTTTGAGGCTGCAGTGAGCTATTATTGTGCCACTGTACTCTAGCCTGGATGACAAGGCAAAACCCTGTCTCAAAAAAAAAAAAAATTAAAAAATAAACAAATAATTTGCACAGGAACTTCATGAGAAGAGAAGATGCCTTTGCATTGGGTTCAAGTTGTTGTGGGTTCTGTAAAGTATCAGAACCTGAGGTCTAGATTACCATGGCAGAATCCCACCAATCCTAGGCATACTTTTAGGAGTTGTTTGGTAATCATGAGGAATTCATAACAGTTCTCCAAATTAGCTCAGACTTAGTTTCATCAAAGAGTCACTGGTTTACTTGATCACTTTTCACCCATCAATATTTCATCATAAATTTGTCTTGTAGTGCAGCCTAAACGTGATCATGTTCTCCATGTGACATTCCCCAAAGAATGGAAAACCAGCGACCTTTACCAGCTTTTCAGTGCCTTTGGTAAGTCGCAAGTTCAGATGTACTTTTTAGGGTTTTGCTATTCATTTGGTATAGGTGGTCAGAAGTAGAAAGATAGTTTTGGCCTGCGTATAAAAGAATGTTAATATTCAAGGTTTTAATTTCACTCTTTGAATTTTCTGGTTTAGGATACTGTTATCTTTGTGCTAATATCATCTGAGAAACTTTTAATAGCACCTCACAATACAGAGCTATTAATTCATGGAAAGCAAAACACCGTGATGAGGACTGTCCTTACTACTGACCAGGGAAAATAAGCTGTGGCTAAGCATAAATAATTTTTAAGATTAAACTCACAGGGTTTGTGTGTTTCATAATGGCAGGGGAGGTCTTCTCTGCTTTAGATTAATCAAAGTGACAGATGTTTGGGTAGATCAGGATTTGTGATACGTGTATGAGGTAGGGCAGTCCTTCTCTTTCCTTTTTTACCAGGTCATGTGATTAGGTTCGTTTGAGCAGTCTCCTGATAAGTGTTTATGAAGACCATTCTGATTGTAAACCCACAGCAATGCCTCTTATTTTAACAAACGAAGCATTTAAGCTATTCTCTTTGGAAATTCTTGGATAAAGTGAAGGCCACAAAACCTAAATGTCCAGTAGTAAGAAAGTTTAGTAAATGTTTATGTATCTTCTAGTATGTAGCCATTTAAAAAATATTTGAGGAGTTTATTAAAAGAAGTTAAAGTGCTTGTATTTTAACGTTTAGAGTAAAAAGCAGATACGAAGTAGGCTTTCCATGTAACTTAACACCATTTTTCATTTTCTTTCTTTTTTTTTTTTTTTTTTTTTTAAATAGAAATAGGGTCTTCCTGTGTAGCCCAGGCTGGCCTCGAACTCCTGGGCTCAAGTGATCCTCCCGCCTCGGACTCTCAAAGTGCTGGGATTACAGGCATGAGCCACTGAGCCTGATCTATTTTTTTCTTATCTTTTTTTTTAAATTGATATTTTAGAATAGTAGACTTTCACAGCAGTGCCTCCTGCACTGATAATACAGTACACCATTTCTGCATGTAAATATTTAAAATAAGTCAGAACGAACGTTAAGGCATATAAAGTTACTTTAAGTACTAACACTATTATTATTATTATTATTTTTTTGAGACAGAGTTTCGTTCTTGTTGCCCAGGCTGGAGTGCAATGGCGCGATCTCGGCTCACCTCAACCTCCGCCTCCCAGGTTCAAGCCATTCTCCTGCCTCAGCCTCGCGAGTAGCTGGGATTACAGGCATGCGCCACCATGCCCAGCTAATTTTGTATTTTTAGCAGAGTTGGGGTTTCTCCATGTTGGTCAGGCTGGTCTCAAACTCCTGACCTCAGGTGATCCTCCCACCTCGGCCTCCCAAAGTGCTGGGATTATAGGCGTGAGCCACCGCGCCCGGCCTCTAACACTATTTTCAATAAGATTATGTGTAAGCATGGTGGTGTGTGCCTGTAGTCCCAGCTACTTGGGACACTGAGGTGGGAGGATTGCTTGACCCAGGAGGCAGAGGTTGCAGTGAGCTGAGATTGTGCCACTGCACTCCAGCTTGGGCAACAGAGTGAGACTCTGTCTCAAAAATAAAAAAAAGAAATAGTTGTGTTTTTGAACCTATGTGGTCTCTGATTTTTGTTAGTGGTCTTGATAGGAAAATAAGTCCCTAATCCTAGTATTGCACTGAATGATGACAAGCCCCAGGGTTTAATCTGGAAGGATCTTTCTATTGTGTTAAATTTCTAATAGCGTCTTTTCCCCCTGGTTTGTCTCTTCTCTTGAAGTTTTAACGTAAATAACTGCTGTGGTAGCCTTTGAACAGGCTAACTCTCTGTAGGGCTGAGATTTTGATCACATTTTAAATAAGCACCTTCTCTCTCTTTAAAGATAGACTATACTGAAATATGTAAGATACGCGCATTAAATCTAATAGCTCTCCACATGGTCAAATGTTCACTTTACTTTTAATTTGCGATTGCAGGTAACATTCAGATATCCTGGATTGATGACACATCAGCATTTGTTTCCCTTAGCCAGCCCGAGCAAGTAAAGATTGGTAAGTGTTTTGGATTTCTGTTTTGTGTATTAAATACAGTGAGAGGTTGCCCTCCCACTGCCCCCTTAATTTAAAAGCTATGGGCTCAGTCAGCTTACACTCATTGCTGCCTCGTTTGTTTTTGAGATTGTCTCTGAAATAAATGAAATAATTAGTAAGTATCATGTATAGATGAGAAAATAAGACAAATCTCTTTTGATTCATTAGGTATGCTACATAGTATATTTTTTCATTTACCTCCATTCTGTTCCTTTCTCATTGCACTTTTTCTGAAGTGAGTTGCAGATTTACTTTGAGAATGAGAAGTACCTGTAATAAATTAATACTTACATTGACCTGTTCATCTCTGTACTTTCCCCCCATTTGTTGATACATATTTGAGATTTATTCACTCCATTAAACTTGTATCAAATACTTGTTGTTTTTGTTGTTGTCATTGTTGTTGTTGTTTTGAGACATAGTCTCGCTCTGTCGCCTAGGCTGGAGTGCAGTGGCGCAATGTCGGCTCACTGCAACCTCTGGTTCTCGGGTTCAAGCACTTCTCCTGTCTCAGCCTCCTGAGTAGCTGGGATTACAGGCGCGCAACATGATACCCGGCTAATTTTTGTATTTTTAGTAGAGATGGGGTTTCACGATGTTGGCCGGTTTGGTCTCAAACTCCTGACCTCAGGTGATCTGCCTGCCTCGGCCTTTCAGAGTGCTGGGATTACAGGCATGAGCCACAATGCCCAGCCTTGTTTTACAAACAAATAAACTGAATATTTTATTTGCTTTTAAAATATGGTTCTAGGCTGGGCATGGTGGCTCACGCTTGTAATCCCAGCACTTAGGGAGGCCGAGGCAGGCGGATCATCTGAGGTCAGGAGTTCGAGACGAGCCTGGCCAATAAGGTGAAACCCTATCTCTACTAAATATGCAAAATTTAGCTGGGCGTGATGGCTGAGGCAGGAGAATTGCTTGAACCCGGGAGGCAGAGGTTGCAGTGAGCCAACATCCGCACCCACTGCACTCTGGCCTGGGCGACAGAGTGAGACCCTGTCTTGAAAAAAAAAGGAGGGGATTCTAAAAAGATGGAGCACCCCGTCTCTTGTAGGATCCTAAATAATTTTGATATTTTGATATTAACCATCAATTAAACGTTTTGTTTTCTTAAGATGGGAAGTTTTTGAATAAAATATTGGTGAAAATATGTATTGTTAAGCTGTATATTCAAGTAAATTTCAAGCACCATGTTGCTTTGATAATGTAAAAGATGTGAAATTTTTAAGTGATGTGTTTGTTTTTTACTTTAACAAAATGCCGCACAGTAAAACTATAATTCTGATAGTAGAACTGGTGAGTAATTATATATGAAAATTTCTGCAAATATACAAATTCAGATCACAGTATTTTGGCATTTTTCTTTCATTATCTGACTGTTGCAGGAATCCAGGCCATGCTGTAGAGGGGAAAAGCTTAGGCTTTTGGAATCATACTGCAGCATCACTTAACAGTTGTGTGACTTTGGGTGCCTTATTTAACCTTGATGAACTTCTGCTTATCTCTGTAAACTGCGCATAATAGTATGGACTTTAGTGTTATTGTAAGGATTCCATGAGATTAAGTAAATGAACCTTGGCATGGCTTTGAGCTTTTACTGTGGTTCTTTAATAGCAGATTTCAGGGTGGAATGTACTCAGGAGCATCAGACACCAGGGATAGTGGTGGATGCAGGGTGTGATTGATGTTGCTTGTTAAATATTTTAATTTTTGCATAGAGATTTTTTCTGTGATCCATTTCCCCACTATCCTTAGAAAGATGGTTTAGAGAGAATCCAGAGGGATTGAATTATTAGAAAGCTCAAGATAACTTTAGGTGGGGGTGGGGACCTTGAGGTTACAGTTACAGTGAGGCTTCAGTGTGGCTGCAAGAAGACTGAGTTCAAAGTCCTGACCTGCAGTCTAATTCAGCTTCCTCTGCTCACTGTACACTCTTCAGCTCCTTTGCTAGCCACACTCGGTGACATTGAAGCTGTGCAGCCCGATAAAAGGAGTTTTCACAGACTGACACGGGGACTAACTTTGGCTCCACCACTTGTCAGCCATGTGTCTTTGGGCAGGTTATGTAAACCTTCCGAGCCACAGGTTCCGTGTTTGTTTAAGAGGGAGATAATAGTTACTTGGCATGATTGTTGTGAGGATGAAATGAGATCATGGATATTAAGTTGCCAGCAAAGAGCCCCATACTACACAATCAGTGCTTGACCCGTGGTAGGTAATTATTAAAATAGCTGCTTGGCCTCCCTTGCTGTGAACAGTGTGTAAGAGTGCTTTGAAATCTGTAAAACATGAGTTAGTAGCATTTATTTGAAAATACAAGCATGATTCCTTGCTTGTGTGTATGGGATGTCAAAGTTTCTTTTAAAATTCCTGTTATACCACCATATCTGATGTCAAATAACAGTTGCTCTCTTCTTTACTACTGGACAATTCTTAAAACAGTAGCTTTTAAGCTAAGTATTTTATTCCGTGGTAACTCTAATCAGGGAGCTACATTTCAGAATCATGTGTAGCCATAGAAGCACTCTATTGTCTGATTGCTCATTGCATTGGTTTCCTGAGGGCAGTGTTGGGTCCCTCTTGTTTGGCCCTGAGTCCTCTCTCATACCTGACACACACTGCAGCATGAGGAAATAAATGTGTGTTTGAATAGGGAATATGGGGAATAGGCCAAGATGAAATTGTGATATTTTACCTTTTTTCCTCCTAGGTTAAGTAGATCACTGTTCTCTTGATATATGCAGCTTTGCTAGTAAAGTTTAATTTTCCGGTATAGTCTCTTTTCTTATGCAAAAGACAACTCTTAACAAAATACTTGGCAATTTGAGCATGCTGTGCCTCTGACAACATTTCCTTTGCCAGAAGAAGCCATCTTTTATGCAGTCATCACCTCCCACCAGAACCTGACTATGCCCTCCTTCCTGCCTTATCTCAGCTTCAACATCAGTTTCTCCAATGTTTCCTTCCCCTCCCCTCCCCACCTTCCCCCCTCTCCCTTCCCCTCTTCTTCCCTCCCCTCTTCCTTTTCTGAGACAGGGTCATTTCTTTTGCCCAGGCGAGAGTGGGGTGGCACAAACTCGACTCACTGCAGCCTCCACCTCCTGGGTTCAGGCAATTCTTGTGACTCAGCCTCCCAAATAGCTGAGATTACAAGCATGCACCACCACACTGGCTAATTTTTGTATTTTTTGTAGAGACAGGGTTTTGCTATGTTGGCCAGGCCGATTTCGAACCCCTGGCCTCAAGTGATCCGCCTATCTCAGCCTCCCAAAGTTCTGGGATTATAGGCATGAGCCACTGCACCCGGCCTCTGATGTTTTCTCTGGCTCTCTTTGTAGGGTATTGAACCTCATTCTCTGTGCTTTCATAGCATCTTGTATACCTTATTATATTGTTTTCACAGATAGACTGTAAACTCTTTGAGAGTAGGGACCATGTCTCAGTCACCATTGCGTTTTTAGTGCGTAAAGTGGTAGTGTCTGACATTAGTAAGTAAATGTTGAATATTTATTGAATTGCATAAATGATATTCATAGTATTGTGACTTGGAAATGCCTTTTTGCATGTGATGGATGTAACTAATGTCTCTGCTCTTTAGCTGTGATTTCTAAAATTATGCAGATGTTTCACTGAAAGACGGTGTGAAATTTGTTCTTTATAATGGTGATTCTAATGATAAGAAGGACCCAGGGTATCTGATGTGCTGCAAATCCTATTAATTTTTTTTTTTTTTTGAGACGGAGTCTTGCTCTGTCACCCAGGCTGGAGTGCAGTGGTGCGATCTCGGCTCACTGCAACCTCCACCTCCCAGGTTCAAGCGAGTCTCCTGCCTCAGCCTCCCGAGTAGCTGGGACTACAGGTGCGTGCCTCCACTCCCGGCTAATTTTTGTTTTGTATTTTTAGTAGGGACAGGGTTTCACCGTGTTAGACAGGATGGTCTCGAATGCCTGACCTTGTGATCTGCACTCTTCGGCCTTCCAAAGTGCTGGGATTACAAGCATGAGCCACCGCGCCCGGCCCCTATTAATGTTATCTTAAACAAATTACTTATTCATTTCAGTGGAAACAGAGCGCCTCTTAGGTCAATAATGTAACATTGAGAAAATCATTAAATGCCTATTTATATAGCAGCTTATAATGGCTTCTTTGGCTCTGTTACAAACTATTTCTGATTTACATTTAAGGAGTTGCTTTTTAACTGACACTTTTTTTTTTCTTTGAGTATTACTAATTTTAATCAAGATTTTTAAAGCCATTTTTGACTTTTTTTGGGAGACTGGGTTTCACTCTGTTGCCCAAGCTGGAGTGTGGTGGCATGATTATAACTCACTGCAGCCTCGAACTCCTGGGCTCAAGCAGTCCTCTTGCCTCAGCCTCTTGAGTAGCCAGGACTATAGGTGTGCACTCACCACACCCTGCTAATTTTTTCAAAATTTTCTTGTAGAGATGGGGCCTTGCCATGTTGCTCGGCTGGTCTTGAACTCTTGGCCTCAAGCCGTCCTCTCTCCTTGGGTTCCCAAAGTGCTGGGATTACAAGTGTGAGCCACTGTGCCTGGCTATTTTCGACATTTTGAATATGAAAGTTCTCTTTTATAGGAACCCTTTTTATACTAACTACTAAAACCCGTCTACTGAGTGCCATTCGGTTTCTGTTGCTTTTCATTTGCTGCTGCTGGGAAGCGGTTCCCTGCTGGCTTTGGGGTGTTTGGATACGTGGTAACCCATACAAGCTGTGCATTTAGCATTATTCCCCCTCTGGCTCTTCAGATGAAGCAGTACATGGCCAGTGTGGGACTTGGTGCCATGGAAAGACCACTTACCTTCACCATTTGAGAATTTTTCTCAAAGTAGTCAAGCAGGAAATCTTTTTTTTTCTTTTTTTTTTTTTTGAGACAGGGTCTCTCTCTGTTGCCCAGGCTGAAGTGCCGTTGTGCGATCTTGGCTCACTGCAACTTCTGCCTCCTAGGTTCAAGCAATTCTCCTGCCTCAGCCTCCTGAGTAGCTGGGATTACAGGTGCACGCCACCACACCTGGCTAATTTTTGTATTTTTAGTAGAGACGAGGGTTCACCATGTTGGTCAGGCTGGTCTCGAACTCCTGACCTCGTGATCTGCTCACCTCCCAAAGTGCTGGCATTACAGCGTAAGCCACTGTCCCTGGCCAGGAATTCATCTTTAATGGGCAAATCTGAATAGCTTGTTTATATTTTGGATTTTTATATTTCTAATGTAGTTTTATTAAATGGGGAAGAGCTCAACAATATTTCAAATGTAGTAGAACTTTCTAGCCATACTCTCAATATTTAGACATTGTTTTGAGTGTCTTTAAATGCATCGTAGGACATTGTGTCTCTGAATATAATTTTTATAGAAATGGCTTTAGAAAAAGAGCTTTTTCACATATTTTGAAAGCTGGAGATTGGAACACACACAGTAGATACTGTAAGAAACTTTTTAAAAGCAGAAATTGATAAAGACACTTTAGAAGAGGCAGGAACTCAACAGTTATTTTGGGTCATAAAAAGTTACCCAGTAATTATAAATAAAATAAAAGCCCAAATTCAGATAGTTGTATGAATTCCTGATACCCTGCCTTAGAAGCTTTTTCAGGATGATTTTTGGGATGAGGGAAGACACTTGGCTTTGCCTCAGTCTAAATTATTGAGTGTGCTTATGTTAAATTGTGTTTTTAAAAAGCACAGCTTTTGATTATGCTGAACAGATAAATATTAGAATTGTAGAGACAACTCTTTCAGGATGATTGTTCAGCCCTGAATTTGCTAAAAGGCTGCTTATAACTTTGAACTTTACCTGTGCTTTTTATTATCCTTTTGATGTTTGCAGAATCTGTAGTGATAACTGGTTTTTATTCGTGATATTACTCATTTGTGTCTCATTTTTCCTTGTTCATTCCAGTCAGCTGTTACCATTTTGTTGATCTCTCTCAAGAACGCTTTTGGCTGTGTTCGTTTCTCTGTATTGTTTGATATTGTCTATTTTGTTGGTTTCTGTTTTTTTTCTCCTTTTACTTGCTTGGGTTTACTTTGCTCTTCTTTTCTCAGTTTCTTGAGCTAGAACCGTATGTGATTGGTTCTTCTTTTCTTCTTTTTTCTAAATTCTTTTTAAAAAATTTAAGCCTGGCGTCCTCGAGGTTGTTGGTAGGTCAACATATTAATATCTTACTGATTAGCCAGTGATTGGTAAGAGGTGGTGCTGAAACACCTTGAGCTGGTAAAGCTTTAACCCTTTGCCAGCTAAGTTAGGGAACAGACTCAACATTCCGGCAGCTTACAAGTCTGCCCCAATGTTTACTTTTGTCTGGACCTCTGTCCTCTGTGGGCGCACAGGCCTTATGGTCAGCTAGCTATGTGTACATAGCTAAGACTCTGCAAGTCATTGACTTGAACCATTTTCCTTTTCTAACAGAAGCATTTAAAGCTATAAATTATCCTCTAAGTACTGCGTTAGTTGTATGTTAACTGTTTATTTATACGTATGTTTTAAATATCATTAAGTTGGAAAAGTTTTGTGATTTCTTCTTTGATCCTGGATTATTTAGAAATGTGTTGTTTCATTTCCAAATGCTTAGGATTTCGTTAGATTTCTTGTTACTAATTTATAATTTCATTCTGTTGTGACTAAAGATTTCAATAGGATTTCAGTCCTCTTAAATTTACCAGAATTTCCTTTATAGTCAAGCATAAGGTCTATGTTTTTGAACATACTGTGTGCACTTAAAAAGAACATCAATATTGGTTAGTCTTATTCATATATCCTGCATCCTTTTTTTGATGTTTTTCTTTGAGACAGAGTCTGGCTCTGTCACCCAGGCCAGAGTATGATCTCGGCTCACTGTAACCTCCACCTCCTGGGCTCAAGCCATCCTCCCACTTCAGCTTCCTGAGTAGCTGGGACTGCAGACACACGCTAGGATGCCTGGCTAATTTTTGTATTTTTTGGTAGAGATGGAGTTTCACCATGTTACGCAGGCTGACCTTGAACTGTTGAGCTCAAGCAATCCTCCCACCTCAGCCTCCCAAAGTGCCGGGATTACAGGCATGAGCCACTGTGCCCAGTCTTATTCTATATCTTCACTGACTTTTTTAGATTTAGTTGTTATATCAGTTTTTGAGAAGGGTTAAAATCGCCTGTGATTGTAGAATTGTCTGTTTACCCTTTTAATCTTGTCAATTTTCATGTCATGTATTTTGTGGCTGTATTATTAGGGGCATACGTATTTATGATTGTTTTGTCTTTCTGATAAACTGGCCTCTTTATAAAATGTTCTCCTTTATCTTTTGTAATACTATTATTTTTAAGTCTACCTTATCTGATATTATAATCACTTCATCCTCCTTATGTTTTTTATATTTGCCTGGTATATTCTTTTATTATTATTTTTCTTTTTGATACAGAGTCTCATTCTGTTGCCCAGGCAGGAGTGCAGTGGTGCGGTCTCAGCTTACTGCAACCTCCACCTCCTGGCTTTAAGTGATTCTCCTGCCTCAGCCTCCTGAGTAGCTGAGATTACAGGTGTGTGCCACCATGCCCAACTAATTTTTGTATTTTTAGTAGAGACAGGGTTTTGCCATGTTGCCCAGGCTGATCTCGATCTCCTTGCCTCAAGTGACCCACCTGCATTGACCTCCGAAAGTGCTGAGATTACAGATGTGAGCCGCCACACCCAGCCAAACTGGTCTTTTCCTTCTATTTATTCTAGACCTATCTGTGTATACACAAAGTGAGTCTCTTGTAGACAGTGTATAGCTTGGTTTTGGTTTTCTTTTTTTTGAGATGGAGTCTTGCTCTGTCACCCAGGCTAGAGTGCAATGGCATGATCTTGGCTCACCGCAACCTCCACCTCCCGGGTTCAAGCGATTCTCCTGCCTCTGCCTCCCAAGTAGCTGGGATTACAGGCATGCACCCCCATGCCTGGCTAATTTTGTATTTTTAGTAGAGACGGTTTCTCCATCTTGGTCAGGCTGGTCTTGAACTCCCGACCTCAGGTGATCTTCCCGCGTTGGCCTCCCAAAGTGCTGGGATTACAGGCGTGAGCCACCGTGCCCAGCCGGGTTTTGCTTTTTTATTTCTTCTGTTGACTCTGAAATTTAATTGGAGTATTTAGTCCAATTTAATGTCCTTATTGATATGGTTAGGTCTGTCATTTTAAAATTTGCTTTTTGTTTGCTTTCTCTGTGTTTTGTTCTTTTGTATACCCCCTTTTCTGCCTTCTTTTGGATTATTTGAATTTTTAAAAAGAATTCTGTTTTAATTTCTCTGCTGGCTTTTTTGTTTTATCTTTTTGCATTATTTTTAGTGGTTGCTTTACAAATTTAAATATCTATCCATAACTTTTAACAGTCTTCTCAGAGTTCATATTATACCATTTCACATAGAATGTAGAGACCTTACAATCATATAGGTTCATTTACAACCATTCCTTGTAGTCTTTTAGGCTTTAATTGGGCATATGTATTACATCTGCATTCATTATAAATCCCAGAAAGTGGTGTTACAATTTTACTTTAAACTCTCTATGTATTTTAAGAAATAAGGAGAAGAAAATATTTAGTCAGATATTTACCATTTTCAGTGTTCCTCATTCATGCCTGAAGATCCAGGTTTCTTTTTTGGTATCCTTTTCCTTCAGCTTTGTGAATTTACTTTAGTATTTCTTGTATTGATGGTTTGGTTGGCAGCTGATTCTCTAATTTTTTCTTTATCTGAAAATGTCTTTATTTTGCCTTTATTCACACAGGATATTTTCACTGGATATAGAATTCTGGGTTTTTCTTTCAGTGTTTTAAAGCTGTAGTTCCACTGTCTTCTGGCCTCCATGGTTTAAGATGAGATGTTTGTGTCATTTGAATTGTCATTTTCCTGTATATAATGTGTTAATTTTCTCTGGTTATTTTCAACATTTTCTATTTACGATTGGTTTTAGCAGTTTGAATATAATGCACGTAGGCGTAGCTTTCTTTGCAATTGTCCTGTTGGGGTTGGCTGAACTTATTGAGTCTATAAATTCATAGTTTTCACAGGATTTGGGAAGTTTTTAGACATTATTCAAATAATCTTTGTGTTCCATATTCTCTTTCTTCTCCTCTGAGACTCCAGGTACCCACATGTAGGAGATCTTTTGATGTTTTGGTATTTCCTAATGCTCTGTTCCTTTTTTCTGTGTTCGTTTCTTTGTCTTCTTCAGGTTATATATTTTCTGTCTATCCACAGGATCACTGACTCTTTCCTCTGACATCATTTTTCTGCTATTAAGCCCATCCAGTGAATTTTTATTGCATATATTGTATACTTTAGTTATGTATTTTCATTCAGTTTATTTTTTCTGTTTCTCTGTAGAGAGTTTCTTTTATTTCATTTGGAGCCTATGTTTCTGTTTTCTTTTCTTTTTTTTTTTAATTTTTTTGAGTTCCTGGCCACTTAGTCTTTATTTCTTTACCTCATTGAACATAGTTATAATAGGTTGTTTAAAGTCCTTGTCTACTGGCTGTGGTGGTGCACATTTTTATTCCCAGCTACTAGGGAGGCTATGGTGGAAGGATTGCTTGAGCCCAGTTTGAGGCTGTAATGAGCTGTAACTGTACCACTCCACTCCAGCCTGAGAGATACAGCGAGACCCTGTCTCTTAAAAAAGTTAAAAAAAGAAGAAAAAAAAAAAAGCCCAGGTGTGTTGGCTCATGACTGTAATCATAGTACTTGTAGAGGCAAAGGAGGGAAGATTACTGGAGCGTAGGAGTTTGAGACCAGCCTGGGCAACATAGTGAGACCCTGTCTCTACTAAAAATAAACAAAATTAGTCAGGCATGGTGGCATGTACCTGTAGTCCCAGCTACTTAGGAGGCTGAGGTGAGAGGATCCCCTGAGCTCAGGAGGTCAAGGTTGCATTGAACCAATATCACGCCACTGCACTCCAGCCTGGGTGACAGTGCAAGACCCTGTCTCAAAAAAAAATCATTCTCTAATAATTCCAACATCTGCATCATCTGAGGGTTGTTGATACCTGTTGTTGGGATGGTTTCCCTTGAGAATGGGTCATGTTTTCCTGGTTCTTTGTATATTGAGTAATTTGGGATTGAGTAATTTCATTGGTTTCCTGGACATTGTGAATGTTCTCTTGTGGAGACTCTGGATTTAGTTACATTCCTTAGAAGAATGTTGATATTTGTATTTTAATTTCAGCAGGTAATTGGCCTGGTGCAGTGGCTCACGCCTGTAATTCCAGCACTTTGGGAGGCTGAGGTGGGTGGATCACTTGAGGTCAGGAGTTTGAGACCAGCCTGGCCAGCATGGTAGAATCCCGTCTCTACTAAAAAATAGAAAAATTATCTGGACATGGTAGCATGTACCTGTAATCCCAGCTACTCAGGTGGCTAAGGCAGGAGAATCACTTGAACCCAGGAGGCAGAGGTTGCAGTGAGCCGAGATCACACCACTGCACTCCAGCCTGGGTGACAGAGCGAGACTCCATCTCAAAAAATAAATAAATAAAAATGAAAAATAATTTCAGCAGATAATTAACTTTGTTAGACTCAAACTACAAACTTTTTCATGGCTGTGGTGGGTTGTGGCTCAGAACTTAGCTTAGATTGCTCCCAGTTTGCCACATGCATGGTTTAGGGTCAACCAGAGACTTGGGCTGGGTCTATATACCAATATGAGTTTCTTCTTCTTCTCTAACTTCCTGTTTTCCAGAATTCCTTCCTCACTCTCTATTGCCCCTGTTTGCCCCTAAGCTTCTTCCATAAGGACTTCCTTACCTTTGATTTTTTAAAAAGTTATTTAGTTTCATGACATACCCTGCATGTAGCATTCAAAACCTGTGCTTTAAAAAAAAAAAAAAAAAAAGATGTTTCGCCATGATGTCCAGGCTGGTCTCAAACCCCTGAGATCAAGCGATCCACTTGCCGCAGCCTCCCAAAGTGCTAGGATTACAGGCATGAGCCACTGTGTTTGGCCGAAATCTGTGCTTTTTAGTTGTAACCCTTATGGCATCTATTTTTTTGTTTGTTTTTTCAAGACGGAGTCTTGTCCTGTGGCCCGGGCTGGAGTGCAGTGGCGCGTTCACAGCTCACTGCAGCCTCTACCTCCTGGGCTCAAGCAGTCCTCCTGCCTCAGCCTCCTGAGTAGCTGGGACTACAGATGTACACCACCATGCCCAGCTAATTTTTTATTTCATTTAGAGATAAGGATTTGCCATGTTGCCCAGGCTGGTCTTCAATTCCTGGGCTCAAGCCACCTGCCTGCCTCAGCCTCCAGCAATCTGCCTGCCTCAGCCTCCTAAAATCTTGGTATTACAGCTGTGAGCCACCGTGCCTGGCTGGCACCTATTTTGTGATCCAGACCTTCCTTCCATATCACATACCATGCTTAAACTACTTTAATAACATTTTCAGAAAATCTAATGTAAATGCATCAAAAAGCATGCCTTTAACTGATTAAAAGTGACTCAAGTTCATTTCCTTTCAGATATATATATGTATTATATCTGAAATACAATATATTGATATATATTTGATACGCTGTCCAGACATAGTAGTGTCTTTGCTTCTACCTTTGGTGCCTTTTGTAGTTGGCCAGTGTGTTACTGTTTATTTATTCTTGTCACAGAGGAAATGCACAAAATATTCAATAAAAACCAAAAAATGAATATTTTTCACATGAATGTTAATTTTCCTAATCTTAAACTGTATGTAGAATTCGTTTACAGTAGTGATCTTGAATTCTAAATGTGGCAATAGATAAATGAGTCAAACTATGGCATGACTTTTAAAAATAAGATTTCTGTTAAGCTTATTTTGGAGGAGGATATATGATTTTTATGCTGTAAGTACAGGATCCTGGAAAGCATGTTCAGTTGTCCCTTGGTATCCATGGGGGATTGGTTCCAGGACTCCATGCAGACTTCAAAATCCAGGCATGTTCAAGGCCTTGATATAAAATGCTATAATTTTTGCATATAACCTGTACATATCCTCCTGTATACTTAAAAACATCACTAGATTACTTACATGCCTAACAATGCAAATGCTATGTAAGTAGTTGTTATATTGTATATTGTTTAGGAAAAATGACAAGAAAAAAGTCTGTGTGTTCAGTACAGACGCAATTTTTTCCCCCAAATATTTTCCATCTGAGTCGGTTAAATCCACAGATGGGAAACCCACAGATATGGAGGGCTGACAGTATTTCTTTTTAACAGGCAAGATTTTTACAACAGTGGCTTATAAAATACCTCAGTCTGCTATAGGAGAATCATTATTAGTAAGACATGTGAATGTATGTTTTGTATGGATGGATACCTTCTGATTAGAAAACTTGTAAAAGCAACTGACTTGTTTTTCTCTAAATCACTTAAGTCATCAAAAGCACCATGGAAATGTTTAATAATACTGACTGAGAATCTTATTGTTTTCTGATATCCCTAATGTGTTCAATTTGGAGAATTAGCCGTCTTATGTATCTCTGCTACGAAATGTTCATCAGACAGATTTAAGAGCGTGACAATAACTTGGACTCTCCCTAATTAGCATTCTTTAGGGCATTAACTGGTATGAGAATAGAGCAAAAAGCTTTCTGAGTGCCAGAGAAGGATTCCCAAGTCCTTGATACAGCATTAAAGCGGCTGTTGTGTCCTGTGGCAGTTAGAATGCAGCCAGGAGAAGGGGAGCACTTGTGCTCTGGAGACCGAAGTTTCATATTCTGTTACATTGTTTCTTATCCATATTACTGGCACTTGATTTTTATGTTTTAGGGCAGCAGTCTTTGGCACCAGGGACTGGTTTTGTGAAAGACAGTTTTTCCACAGAGCTAGGTGGGAGCAGGGGTAGGGAATGGTTTTGGGATGATTCAAGCACATTACATTTATTGTGTGTTTTATTTCGGTTATTATTACATTGTAATAATGAAATAATTATACAACTCACCATAATGTAGAATCATTGGGAGCCCTGACCTTGTTTTCCTGCAACTAGACAGTCCCATCTGGGGGTGATGGGAGACAGTGACAGATCATCAGACATTAGATTCTGGGAGTGCACAACCTAGATTCCTCATATGTGCAATTTACAATAGGGCTCATGTTCTTACGGGAATCTAATGCTGCCACTGATCTGACAGGACGTGGAGCTTAGGTGGTAATGCGAGCGATGGGGAGTGGCTGTAAAAACAGATGAAGCTTTGCTAGCTCACCTGCTGCTCATCTCCTGCTGTGCAGCCTGGTTCCTAACATGCCAGGGAACATAGATCAGTACAGATTGGCGACTTCGGTTTTAGGGCCTATGTTAGCTGGACCTAAGAATGTTTGCTTTATGATGCGGTTTCAGAGTATTGAATAAATCTCTCTAATTTAATTGCAATGTCATTTGTGAAAAATTGCTTTCATTGTGCTCTCTCACCCCCTTCAAAAATTTGAAGTACATCAATCTCATTGAAAATGTGAAAAAAAGGCCAGGCGTGGTGGCTGACACCTGTAATCCCAGCACTTTGGGAGGCTGAGGCAGGCGTTATCACTTGATGCCAGGAGTTTGAGACCAGCCTGGTCAACATGGCAAAACCCTGTCTCTACTAACAGTACAAAAATTAGCTGGGCATGGTGGCGTTGCACCTGTAGTCCCAGTTACTTGGGAGGCTGAGGCAGGAGAGTTGCTTGAACCCGTGGGGCAAAGGTTGTAGTGAGCCAAGATCATGCCCCTGCACTCCAGCCTGGACGACAGAATGAAACTGTCTCAAAAAAAAAAAAAAAAAAAGTGAAAAATATTTGAAAATACAAGGAAAACAATTCAGCCATGATCTTACAACCTAGTAATGAAGTAAAATTTTGGTATTTCCTGTTTCTTTACTCTGCCTAGATAAGTATTTTCATATTATTTCCCCTTTAATTTTAGTTGACACATGATCATTGTACGTACATATTTATGGGATTCAGAGTCACATTTCAATATATGTATACAGTATGTAATGATCAAATCATTAGCATATCCATCATGTCAAAGATGTATTATAGTTTTGTGTTGTGAACATTCAAACTTCTCTCTTCTAGCTTTTTGAAAATATATAATAAATTATTATTTAACCACATTTACCACATTCACCTTCCAGTGCTGCCAGAACATCAGAACACATTCCTCTTATCTCACTGTAATTTTGTAGGCATTAACCAGCGTCTCTCTATCCTCCTCTTCCCTCTACCCTTCCGCGCCTTTAATACTCCCAATTATACTCTCTACTTGAGCTCAAAGCTTTTCGGCTCCCACATACGAATCAGAACATGCATTTGCCTTTCTATGCCTGCCGTATTTTGCTTAAGCTAATGTCTTCTAGGCTCATCTGTGTTGCCATAAATGACAGAATTTCATTCTTTTTTTTGGCTAAATGGTATTACATTGTGATATATACCACATTTTCTTTATCCACTCATCTTTTGATGAACATTTAGGTTGATTCCTTATCTTAGCTATTGTGAATAGTGCTGCAGTAAACATGGGGGTGCAGCGTATGCCTTTGACTTTGTTTCCTTCAGATAAATTTCCACTAGTGGGATTGCTGAATTGTATGGTAGTTCTGTTTCTAATTTTTTGAGGAACTTCCACGCTGTCTTTCATAGTAGCCATCCTAATTTTCCATCCCACCAACAGTGTGTAAGAGTTCCCATTTCTCTACATCATCGCCAGTCTGTGTTATTTTTTTGTCTTTTTTATAGTAGTCATTCTGACTGGGTTGAGATGGTATCTTACTGTTGTTTTGATTCACATTTCCCTGTTGATTTAGTGATGTTGAACATTTTCTTATGTTTGTTGCCATTTGTATGTCTTCTTTTGAGAAATGCCTTTTCTGTTTCTTTGCCTACTTTTTAATTGGATCATGTGGGTTCTTTGCCATTGAATTGTCTGAGTTCTTGTATATTCTGAATATTAGTCCCTTTTTGGATAGTTTGCAAATATTTTCTCCCATTCATCGGGTTGTTTTTCATTCTGTTGATTGTTTCTTTTGCTGTGCAGAAGCATTTCAGTTTAATATAGTCTCATTTTTCTGTTATTTTATTGTTGCCTGTGCTTCGAAGTCTTAGCTGTAAAATCTTTGTCTGGACCAATGTCTTTTAGCATTTGTCTAATGTTTTCTTCTAGTAGTTTTATAGTTTTGAGTCTTATGTTTAACATTTTTAATACTAATTGGGCTGAGACTTGAAATGCATTTTTGGATCTGCTTTTTTAATTAATCATGTCACAAGCGTTTCACATACCACTTATTTTTATTAGAAAAATTTAAAACTACATAGAAAAGGAAAAAGTTGTTTAATACCCCTCTCTTTATTAACAAAGATAATTGCAGATTAATATTTGAGATTTACCTTTCAATTGTGTATATAGTATTTAAGTGTACGATACATCTGCAGGATCAAGATCGCACAGCACACTTTAGAAAGCAGGTACCACTGTGCCTTATTTAGTGCCATAGTCATAATTCACTCTCTGGAAATACTTTAGGACTCTGGTGATAATAGGAAACGCAAAGCAGTGAAATTAATCTGCCAGTTTGCTCTTCGGCCACTGAGAAACTAAATATAAGGATCCTTATTTCTGAGGCTTTTAATGTTTTGTCGTTGTTTTTGTCAGTAGATATAATGAAATAGTTGATTAATATTAGCTGTGCTAGTCTTTACATGTTGACATTGTTTTCTCGTACATGATTCCTGTTCCCTACAACCTCACAGTTTTAAAAAATGAAATCTGATTTTAGCAAATTTAAAATATAAGTGAAATGTATTTGGAGGACTTTGTTATATAAATGGCTAATCCAGAATATAATATTATTTTGTAACTAAAAATGTTACCAATAAATCTTTCAGGGTGATGGAACTATAGATGGATTTTATGTTCTTATGTTTTCTTCTATTTTCTGATTTTTCCATAGTGAATAATGTGTAATACAATTTTTAAATTTAAGACTAAAAAAGCATTATATGCTTTTTTATTTTTTAAATAAGTAAAGGAACACAGCAAAGGGAAACATCTTGCTTTTAAAACTCTTAATATGGCTAGCAGAGTACAGTAGTCCCTCCTTATCCATGGAGGATACATTCCGAGACTCCAAGTAGATGCCTGAAGCTGGAGATGGTATGAAAGCCTGTATGTACTCTGTTTTTCCTATACATACATACCTATGATAAAGTTAAATTTATAAATTAGGCACAGGAAGAGATTAACAATAATAACCGACAATGAAACAGAACATTTATAACAATATTCTTAATAAAAGCTATGTGTATGTGCTCTGTTTTTCTCAAAATATCTTATCATACTCTACTGTAGGAAACAAACTTTGGAAAGCAAAATCATAGATAAGGGGGAACTAACTGTAGCCCTGTTTTTGTTGCTGACTGTAATTATTTTATGGCATTGTTTTTTCTAATCATGAAATGTATAGCATTAGTTTCTCTGAATTTTCCATCAACTTTTTGGTTTAAATCTGCTATTCTGAAAAAGAATCTATTAAACATTTTTGATTTGTGATGTTTATTGATAATATTTCCACTGTTGAGTATTTGTACAACTTGTCTTTTCTTAGAAAAGATGTAATTTATATATCCTGGAAAGAAGCCCAAACATCACTTTAATACCAGAGTGAATGTTACTTCATTTTGTTTAGCAAAAACACTAGCAAATGCTAGACCACTGGAGTGTTAGGTAACTTAAAATTGATGGCAGTGGTGACCTGAGCACCTCAGACCAGGGGTTTACCCACATCTCATCTAGTACTCACTAACATCTAGGTTAGTGAGTACTTTCAGGTGATAAGATTATAAAAAGTAAACATGACTTAAAATAGTTATTTAGCCAGGGTGCGATGGCTCACGCCTGGAATCCCAGCACTTTGGGAGGCCGAGGCGAGCGGATCACCTGAGGTCGGGAGTTCGAGACCAGCCTGACCAACATGGAGAAACCCTGTCTCTACTAAAAATACAAAATTAGCCGGGCATGGTGGCACATGCCTGTAATTCCAGCTACTTGGGAGGCTGAGGCAGGAGAATCGCTTGGACCCGGGAGGTGGAGGTTGTGGTGAGCCGAGATGGCGCCATTGCACTCCAGCCTGGGCAACAAGAGTGAAATTCTGTCTCCAAAAAAAAAAAAAAAAATTTAGAAATGAAACTTTACATTATGCAGTCCAGCTATTAATAGTAGGAATGCCTTTCATCCTTTCCGCTTGTGAAGTGGAGCGATGTGGGGAACTTCACAGAAACTTGTTTTCAAATTGCATCAGAGGCCAAGGAGCAGCTGCTACTCCTCCTATGTAAAGGAACACAGAAAGACACTGTCATATAAAATAAACTGAAAATGAGATTTTTCCCATCAGTCTTTTTTTAATATTATGTAATAATTTAGAGGGAAGAGAAACAAATGATCGTAGCATATTATGTAGGGGGGGAAATGAACTCATTATAGAATATCACTAATTTAAATAATTGTCTATTAATGCCCCAAATAAGTTTGAATCGCTTTTAGTGCATATTGAAGTTCACATTTAGGTATGCACTTCTGTGATTATATTTTAAGATGGAGGGTAAGCCTCTTATTTCTTACTGATTTATCTTTGTATAGTCTAGATACCATATGTTTATATGCCCTGTGTTCTTTATAGTAACAACAGAATAATTAGGAAGGTATTTTGCAAGATTTTTGAAACAATGGCTTTCATTTGAAACCTGCAGTATTATTCTTTAAGTATTGCCTTTTTTTTTTTTTTTTTTCTGAGACAGGGTCTTACTCCAGTTGCCCAGGCTGGAGTGCAGTGGCGCGATCTTGGTTCACAGCAGCCTTGACCTCCCGGGCTCAGATTACCCTCCCACCTCAGCCTTCTGAGTAGCTGGGACTACAGGAGCATGCCACCATGCCTAATTTTTTGTATTTTTAGGAGAGATGGGGTTTCACCATGTTGTCCAGGCTGGTCTCAAACACCTGGACACAAGCAGTTTGCCTGCCTCAGCCTCCCAAAGTGCTGGGATTACAGGCGTGAGCCACCACGCTTGGCCAATATTTGCCTTTGTACTGTTGAAGGACTGAGGGACTGAATTTAGATGTGGAAGATGAAATAATTGGCTTTCCATTCAAGGAATCAGTGTCTTGTGGTGCAGGCAGGTGTGTAGACAACCAGTGCATCAGTGGCTACTGAGTGTTGTGATAAAGGGAAGATCCTGGGGAGAGTGAACTGGCTCAAACTGGCAGGAAGATGCAGAAGAGGGTCACCAGGGAAGGCTTCCGAGGAGGCGATGGTGATGCCTGTGCTCACCCTCCGGTCATAAGTTGGAGTTGCCTAGTAGAGGAAGGCTGAGAAACCTGTGGTGGATTGTGGGACCAGCACATCCTTTGGCATGACTGAAACAGAGGGCACGTGGAGTGGAGCAGCTGTGGGGCAGCGGGGAGCTAGAACGTGGAAACATGGATTTTACTTGATTTGTTAAAAATCAGAGTTTGGAACCTCTCCCTCTCCCTCTCCCTCTCCCTCTCCCTCTCCCTCTCCCTCTCCCTCTCCCTCTCCCTCTCCCTCTCCGTCTCCCCACGGTCTCCCTCTCTTTCCACGGTCTCCCTCTGATGCCAAGCCGAAGCTGGACTGTACTGCTGCCATCTCGGCTCACTGCAACCTCCCTGCCTGATTCTCCTGCCTCGGCCTGCCGAGTACTTGCGATTGCAGGCGCGCGCCGCCACGCCTGACTGGTTTTCATATTTTTTTGGTGGAGACGGGGTTTCGCTGTGTTGGCCGGGCTGGTCTCCAGCTCCTAACCGCGAGTGATCCGCCAGCCTCGGCCTCCTGAGGTGCCGGGGTTGCAGACGGAGTCTGGTTCACTCAGTGCTCAATGGTGCCCAGGCTGGAGTGCAGTGGCGTGATCTCGGCTCGCTACAACCTCCACCTCCCAGCCGCCTGCCTTGGCCTCCCAAAGTGCTGAGATTGCAGCCTCTGCCCAGCCGCCACCCCTTCTGGGAAGTGAGGAACGTCTCTGCCTGGCCGCCCATCGTCTGGGACGTGAGGAGCCCCTCTGCCTGGCTGCCCAGTCTGGAAAGTGAGGAGCCCCTCTCCCGGCCAGCTGCCCTGTCCGGGAGGGAGGTGGGGGGGTCAGCCCCCCGCCCGGCCAGCCACCCCGTCCGGGAGGGAGGTGGGGGGGTCAGCCCCCCGCCCGGCCAGCCGCCCCGTCCAGGAGGGAGGTGGGGGGGTCAGCCCCCCACCCGGCCAGCCGCCCCTCCCGGGAGGTGAGGGGCGCCTCTGCCCGGTCGCCCCCCCGTCTGGGAGGTGTGCCCAGCAGCTCATTGAGAACGGGCCATGATGACAATGGCGGTTTTGTGGAGTAGAAAGGGGGGAAAGGTGGGGAAAGGATTGAGAAATCGGATGGTTGCCGTGTCTGTGTGGAGAGAGGTAGACATGGGAGACTTTTCGTTTTGCTCTGTACTAAGAAAAATTCTTATCCTGTTTATCTGTGACCTTGCCCCCAACCCTGTGCTCTCTGAAACATGTGCTGTGTCCACTCAGGGTTAAATGGATTAAGGGCGGTGCAAGATGTGCTTTGTTAAACAGATGCTTGAAGGCAGCATGCTCCTTAAGAGTCATCACCACTCCCTAATCTCAAGTACCCAGGGACACAAACACTGCGGAAGGCCGCAGGGTCCTCTGCCTAGGAAAACCAGAGAACTTCGTTCACTTGTTTATCTGCTGACCTTCCCTTCACTATTGTCCTATGACCCTGCCAAATCCCCCTCTGCGAGAAACACCCAAGAATGAACAATTAAAAAAAAAAAAAAAAAAAATCAGAGTTTGAATCTTGTGCCTTGTATAAACTTTGCTGTCATGTTGGTTGGGGGGATTTATTTATTCTTGGTTAAAGCAAGTTTTATATTTTAATTTAATTTAATTTTTTAAGACAGGATCTCACTCTGACAGGGTCAAGCTGGAGTACAGCAGTGCGATCATAGCTCACTGCAGCCTCGAACTCCTGGGCTGAAGCGATCCTCCTGCCTTAGCCTTCCAAGTAGCTGGGACTATAGGTGCATGCAACCATGCCTGCCTTTTTTTTTTTTTTTTTAAAGAAATGGGATCTTGCTATCTTGGCCAGGTTGAATACAAGTTTTAAAATAAAATATTACATCTAACCAGTTTTCATTGAGAAGTCTGGGGCTTTTGAAAGAATTTCCAAGTATTGAGTACGAAGTTGGTCAACCAAATAGAGCTGCCCTTGGAAAGCATGGTTGTTGTCTGGGGGGGCACCCTCATGGCACTCTTTCCCATGTGTGTAGGATGGCATGGTAGCACAAAGTCAAAAGTAGATGAAATTGACGGACGTACCCAAACAGTTTCTATGTATTTTTAAGCATGGTAGAAGGTTAGTCTTTGCATGTACTCTAGTTCACAGCCTTTTCTAAGAGGCTGAGGCCAAATTGAATTTATCTGGGAACCTGCCACATCTATAAATGCTACATAGGGTAATAAATGGGCCATTGGCTTCCAAGAATCAGTGACAGTGCACTTTAGTTCCTAATTTAGAGTTCATGAAAATTATCCCTTGACAAACAGATTGTGAAAAAGGAAACCCTATTAGATGGATTCATCTGTTTTTTTTTTTTGAGATGGAGTCTTGTGCTGTCACTCAGGCTGGAGTGCGGTGGTGTGATCTCACCTCACTGCAACCTCTGCCTCCCTGCAACCTCTGCGTTCTGGGTTCTAGCAATTCTCCTGCCTCAGCCTGCTGAGTAGCTAGGACTACAGGCACTAACCACAACGCCTGGCTAATTTTTGTATTTTTTGATATAGATGGGGTTTCACTCTGTTGGACAGGCTGTTCTCAAACTCCAAGTGATCTGCCTGCTTCAGCCTCCCAAAGTGCTGGGATTACAGGCATGAGACACCACGCCTGGCCTGCCTTTTGACAAATGTAAGCTGTTGTTTCCACAATGATGTGGGAGTGAGTCAAGGTGGGGGATGGATGGATGGATGGATGGATGGATGGATGAATGAATGAATGCATGCATGAATGAATGAATACAGATAACAAGTGTTTTTGTCTTCAGAGGAAGAGGCAATGTCAGTCTGTCCCACCCAGTAGACTTGGCTTCTCTGCATGGGGGCTACATCTTAGTCATTATTCTACATCCTTGGCATTTGGAATGGTGCTGGCACAGAGCTGGAGAGGGCTTTGAGGAGATGCCCTGGTACAGTCCTTGGGAAGGGGCCAATTCTGGGATAGCCGAGAAGAGAGAGGAGCATGGCACCCAACAGAGTGATGAACGAAGGCGGAAGTTTACGACAGTGTTCACCCAGTGAGGGTTGCACTCCCTCACTGGGTTGTGAAGTCATTTGAATGAATGGTGACCAGCATTTTTAATAAAATGGAAGAAGTTAGAAAATGTCAGTGTGTCTTATATAATATAGTTTTTTTTTTTTAATGTAACCTTTTTTTCAGGGTTCTGTACGTACAGATGTATGTGTGTGTACTGGGTTATAATGCACATGGATTTCTTGTTGAGGGTTATGGTAAACAGAGTTTGAACTCAGGCACTTCAGGAGAAACACAGATTAAAGTCCTCATTTAAAGAAGAATTACTCTTTTCCAGGTGTGCAAAGCACTGTGGCGGGTGTTGGTGGGCTGGGGGGAAGCAGAGGTAACTGGCAGAGCTCTCCCTCCTCAGGTGCTGCCTCTCTCTAGAGTAGCCTGGGGCTTGGGATTCCTGTGGACAGCTTCAGGAAGAAATGCTCATTCCTTCACCCTGTGGTCTCCACAGGTCTGGAGGAGACTTCTGTGCTGCTCACCAAGAGAAGGATGTCGTGATTAAAGCACAGTCCTCTCTCTGTCCACCTTGCTTGGCTCTCCTTGAGGGAGCAGGATGAATAGCTTACCTGATGAGCAGAATCAGGAAGAGTCTGACACCCAAGGGCCATTTGACAAGTGGATGGGGCCACTGCATTGAAGAAGGCAGGCCTGGAAACCAGCTGCTGGGGTCTCTTGGAAGCTGAGATTAAGGAATCGTTTAGAGTTCAGAGGCCTCTTGCAGCTGTCATGATGGGGTCTCGTGGTCTGGATTTCTGGATTTCTGTAGGGATGGTATCACCTATAGGAGGAAGCCCCATTTGGACCTCACACTCAAGATCCTTCTCCAGCACAGTCTACCAAGGAGTCCCATGCTTGAGGGGAACAGGAAGGGGATGCCGAGTCCTCATGGGCTCCATAAGAGGATGATAGTCCTCGTTAGAACCATCAGAGGACGATACTCCCTACCTGCCAACGAGTACCAGTGGGAGTGGTTGTTGGGCCAGTGTCTGATACTTTATTGCTGGCCATCAAATTTGGACTTTGTGAACAGCAGAGAACCTTTTTGCACAGCCAGGGGGATGGATGTGACTCTGATGACATGATAAGGAATTTCTTTCATAGGGCGCAGTGGGCTTCAATGTCAGGGCTGAGAGGCTGGAAGTGGCTGCAGTGTGCCCAGAAGTGGAGCAGTAGCCAGTAGTGACCTACAGTTACTATTCCATTACTGATCTGTGAGGGTGTTTAATTGCTACTGACATTGTTCGGATTTTATGGAAACTAGATTTTCAACTTTGCCATCCATCTGGCTTACAAAACTTGAAATGCTCCAGATGTGACTTTGTATCTTAATTCCTTTTCACCAACCAGAAGGTGGTGCTGTCGTGCTGGCAACCAATCTACCTTTCCAACGCCAAGTAAAACATTGAAATGCTTATTCATGCTAAGTAATGTGGACAGACTTAGCATTCGGATTCGACAGCGTACCTCTCCTGTAGTTGTGGGGAAGCCTTTAGAGTCCGGAGCTGGAGAAGCCTGGCAGAGGGGCCTTGGTTAGGCACTCGCTCAGGGCCACCTTTGCACTCACGGTGAAGTGACACTTTTATAGGAGTCAGGGCGAAGATGTCTGCTGAGTGCTGCTTGATCTGTGTCCAGTCTTCCATGAAACAGTTAAAGAATTATGACTAGAGATGAGAGAAGTTTCTGTAAAGAGAAAATGTTTTTTCTCTCGTTTCTTGCAGGGAAAGATCTCTACCTAGAGGAAAACTCATGAATCCAGTTTATAAGAAATACTTATAAAGTAATCATTAGTAATTAAAGTGATTAATTGAATACTCAACTAGTTGAAATATCCAAACAATCTCTCGAGTTATTTTAGCCGCTTGAAGGAAATAAAATCGGTGGTGTTTGATGTAACCTGAGTCCTTAGCTCCAGAGGTTAAAGTGGAGAAGAGAAAATTCATTTTACCAGGCTGGGGAGAATTCAGTGAGGTTATGAAGGTAAAGTTCTCGACATAGTGCCTGGCATTAGCTGCTCGGTAAATGTCCACTTTCCCCCCCACATCAGTCTATTCAGAAATCCAGACAATAAAATATCACAGAGTCAAGTTTGTAAAAAAGATGTATTGCTGCATCATGGAGACTGTGTGAGTGTGAAGCTCTTGGTGTTTGTATGATCGGCTTGCAAAATGACAGCATGTCCCTCAGGTAGGGCCATGTTTGTTGCCCTAAGTGACTTGCAGGTCTTCACCTGTCTGTACCTTTTAAACAAGAGACAAAACCTGCTGCCAGAATGATTTTTAGTTGTCTTTCCTTTTCTTTCCCATGGCTTCCTACAGTTGGGTTGCCGTTCTAATTAATCTCTTATCAGTGCAGTCAGGGGTCTCCTTTGGAGCCTCTTGTGGGGGTCCCACTTCAGTAGTTACTAGAGCAGCTTTCTGTTACAGAGGTTAACTTTTGAGTAGGTTCATAAGGAATGTGAGAATTCCACAGGCACAGGAGAAGTTTGCTGTAAGGTGAAGTTGTACTCATTAGGGCTATGGATTTATTCTGACACTCAGTTTGAGCAGCTGGTTTGGGCATGGTTTTAAAAATACAGTCAGTCCTCATTATTCACAGATTCTGTATTTGTGAATTCAGATATTCAATTTTTTGTAACCCACAATTCAGTTTTCACGTGCTTTTGTGGTCATCCCCAGGGATATGCAGGTTGGGAAAATTTTGTATTGCCCAACATGTGCTTCCAGCCAAAGCTGAAGGAGACTGCACTCTGCCTTCCAGTTTCTGCTCTTGGGCTGTAAACACGGCTCCTTTTCACAGGCTTTTAGTGCCAGTTTTTTGTTTTGAATTTTTGTCCTTTTTATTAGTGATTTTGCTGTTGAAAATGACCCCAAAGCATAGTGTTAGAGGGATACCCAGTGTTCCTGAATGCAAGAAGGATGTGAGGTGCCTTACAGAGAAAACACGTGTTAGATGAGCTTTGTTCACACATGAGTTAAAGTGCTCTTGGCCATGAGTTCAGTGTTAATGAATCAACAGTATATTAACTAAGATGTCTTTAAACAGAAACACACATAAAACAAGATAATATATTGATCGGTTGATGAACATGTGATCAGAGGTTTGTAGGACCCTAATCTTGTATTTCCCTAGAAACAATGACTCAGCATTTGCTAATTCAGCTTTCATGACGTCAAAAAGAAAAAAATTATGACAGATTTTGTTTAAAAATCTTGATTGGCTTTATTTGCAGTTCTGGAATGGGACAACAACTCATTCCATAAAATAGAATGAGCGTTCCAATGAGCTGGGCAGAGGAGGTTGGTTTTATAGATAGAGAAGGGTTGAAGAAAGCAGAAACAGAAAACAAAAAGCAGATTGGTCATTTCATAGTTGCTTTCCTTGTAAAGGTTAAAGCAGAGGGAACTCAATTTATCATGTCGTCAGGTAAAACTGGCTTGTTTGGAGATTCAGCTGTTTACTCTCATTTGGATTCCCCACAAGGTCATATAGAGAAATTAGTTTCAGCTTGGTGACATGGAACTTTAAGAGTGACTCCATTTCAGTTAGGTCTGTTGGGCCTAGTGCAGGAGCTCAGTCCAAACCATTGACCTCTATACATTTTATTTAACAATGGAGACTTTATAGAATATAGCTGCAAGACTGGAGTGTTTGTTGTTCTCTGCCTTCCTTTCTTCACCAGGGTGTTTGACCCAAAGCCATTAGGAAGAGGATTTCTGGGCTGTCTACTTTTTATTTGCTTTTAAAGGAGAGGTACTCACCTCAGAGCTTCAGGAGAGTCATTCTGGTTCTTGCCTGACAAGAGAAATGCCACAAAAATGGGCTGGCTGCAGGGAGGCCCGGCCACTCCTGGCCCAACTTTAACCCTGGCACAGTGACCGTGGACGGCTCCAAGTACTGGATAGTTAGGCAAATGGAGACATAGGATGGCTACAACTGTTGAATTTGACTTTAATTGAAGATGATGTTGCTTTTTTCTTTTCTTGATAGTTTATTTTCTGCAGATGAATCTCCTTATTGTGGATTACACCCTTGACTTTTCCTTTGTGTGATGAGGTTTGGGAAAACCAGGGATGTATGGTTTACTTTGCCAGCCTGTTCATTTCAGCTGCTTATTAACTTGCATCTTGGCCCCTTTAGAAGGAAGCGGCCTGAGATGGGAGCTGAGTAAAAACAGTGGATGAGGCCGGGCACGGTGGCTCATGCCTGTAATCCCAGCACTTTGGGAGGCTGAGGTGGGTGGATCACGAGGTCAGGAGGTTGAGACCATCCTGGCTAACATGGTGAAACCCCATCTGTACTAAAAATACAAAAAAATTAGCCAGGCGTGGTGGCAGGCACCTGTAGTCCCAGCTACTTGGGAAGCTGAGGCAGGAGAATGGCGTGAACCCGGGAGGCGGAGCTTGCAGTGAGCCGAGATCGCACCACTGCCCTACAGCCTGGGTGACAGAGCAAGACTCCGTCTCAAAAAAAAAAAAAAACAGTGGATGATTTATTTAATTCTTTTGGCAAGTTCTTGGGAAAAGTAACATGTAGAAAATTTGGTTATAGGTGGTGGCTCATGCCTGTAATCCCAGCACTTTGGGAGGCTGAGGTGGGCGAATCACTTAAGGTCAGGAGTTTGAGACCAGCCTGGCCAACATGGTGAAACCCCGCCTCTAAAATACAAAAAAAATTAGCCGGGCCTGGTGGTGCACACCTGTAATCCTAGCTACTCGGGAGGCTGAGGTTGGAGGATTGCTTGAACCCGGGAGGTGGAGGTTGCAGTGAGCCAGGATCGCACCACTGTACACTACAGTTTGGGCTCCATCTCAAAGAAAAGAAAAAGAAAATTTGGTTGAAATCATGGTGAGAACACTCAGTGTCCTTCCTATTAGGCAATCTTTCTTTTCACCTCTGTGCAAATAACAGTATAGTCTTTTCCTGGTGGAGCCTACAATTAAGGAGAGTGTTGCTTTTTAGGTCTGTTGAGTGAACTGAATCTCTGGATTCACTGAGCGGCTCTGTCATAGGCTTGCAGGGCCCCTTTGCAGGTAGGTGATAATGAAGAGAGGGTGCCATGAACAGGAGGGACAGGCTGAGGGAAGGGTCCTGTGTCCCAGCAGAGCACACAGCCTCCATGCCATTGCCTTCCCTCATCTCCTGGAAGCTTGATTCATGGTCCCTGTTTGCTTGCTGTGCTGACCTTCATTTGAATGGAATGTTTGTGCACCCCACCTTGGTCTGGGAATAATTGGGTTCCCTGCCTTGCCATCATAGAAGGGTTGTCCCTTCTGTGACCGCTGCATTGAGGGTTACAAAATACCACATCAGTATTAAGTGCTGGAAACTGATGAGTCTTGGACAACTTCAAACTAGGCATCCTGAGTTTTCCAGAGACATCCTTATCTTTCAGGTGGGAGGGAGTCATCTGTTTCATTTCTTGGGGAACAGCCTTTATCCTTTGATGCATTTACTTCCTCATCTGTAGAGAGGCGCATTTACTAGCTTAAGAACTTAATCCGGATCTTTTTCTTAGAGATCTTCATACTGAAATTCCATTGCAAGATTATCTGTAAGTATTCTGGATAACTTCAGACAAACTGAAACAAGGAAATTTAACACTCCTCATATTTCGTAGTAGTAGTAGTTGTTTCTGTTATAGACTGTTTTAAAATCTGTCATTGTTTAAATCCTTCTCTTTTCTCATGAAATTATATCCCCATTCCTCCCTATTAGATATGCTGGGTTGGACTATAATATTTAAAAGAGAGATTCATCTTGATATACAAAGGAAATAAGAGTTTCATTTTATATGTATGATATTCTGTGTTGCCTGGTAATAGAAAGATTTAGTGGATCTGAACAAGGAAAGACACATAGAAACCATGAAGCAGGATCCGAGTGGCACTGATGGCTGTATTTTGCTGATGTTAACTACTTGGAGAAATTTTTACAGGCAGTTGATTACTCAGTTTTCATATTGTTTCTGAGATATTTTAATTGAATAATGTTTGGGAAATTATATTCTAGTGGAGATAAAATATCTTCAGTAACATATTTTAAGTAAATGTAAAGAGTTTCCTTTAAATTATCAGTAGGTTTCTAATTTTAGTTAAAGGAGCTTTTCCCCTCCTTGTCTTTCCCCACTTCGAATGCTTGCAAGCAGTTTGAAAAGTGATTATGTTCAAGCTTGATCTTTGTCTTCTTATCTTGATAAATCGAACACTCTTAATGCTGCAGTTTAGCAGCAGCAGTGAACAGCTGCCCCTAGGAGTAAAGATCTTTTTCATAATTCATGTTTGGACAGGAAGGTGTACCTGGTAATGAATCTTGATGATCTAAACCGCCGTGATGGACCAAGGGTATGATGGCATACTGGTTTGCCTTCACACTTTGGCTGTTCTTCGAGAGCTTACTAATAAGAAAAAACAAACAAAATAAAGAAGTCATAACCAGGTAGCTGTCTTGGGGAAACAACACTCCATGAAATATTTTAAGTGTCTTAGGGTAAGAAAAGTGAGAATTTTAATACATCACAGGTTAGAATCAACTACAGTCATATGCTACATAATGACATTTCAGTCAACTATGGACTGCGTATACTACAGTGGCCCCATAAGATTGTAATACCATATTTTTACTATACCTTTTCTGTGTTTAGGTAAACAAATACTTAACCATTGTGTTACAGTTGCCTACCGTATTCAGTACCATGCTGTGCAGGTTTGTAGCCTAGGATCAATAGGCTATACTGTATAGCCCAGGCGTGTAGTAGGCTACACCATCTAGTATAAGTGCTCCCTATGGTGTTCACACAGCAATGCATTCCTCAGAACATACCCCTTCATTAGGCAACAAGTGACTATACTTAGGTTGTTTAAGGACCTCCCTGTCCTCTGAATGACTGAGCCCTTTATGTCCCTAATCCTTCTGTCATTTCTGGGAGGCTCAAAGAGGCAGGCAGGTTTTGTTTTCCTTTGGTTAGCTGTTCTGTCTTTGACATTAAATGTAATAATCATTTCATATTCTGTATAAGTCTTTAGACTTTTCTGTATCTGATCTCTACGTATGTACAGTATTAATTTTAGGTCAGCAGGAGGATAGACTTCTCTGACTGTGTTCGGAGAAATGGGGCAGAAAGCAGAGATTGCTCTAATTTGCATCCTGTCCTGACTGTATTTTCTGATTGTATTGCATTGTGTTAGAGAATGTGGTTAAGACAGTGTGTGCTATCTGTTGAGTCTTGCTTTATGGCCTAGTCAGGTTTTGTAAATGTGCCACGTTTGTTTGAAAGTACATTTTCTAACTGTTAAGTGTAGGGTTTGTCAGAAACGTCCCAATCTTCTGTATATTTACTAATTATTTTTGTTTGCTTGACACGAGTTTATAATTGGGGGATATATATATGTATATGTATAGTTTGTGTGTGTGTGTGTGTGTGTGTGTGTGTGTGTACTTGTTAGTTTTTCTTTATAATTCTGTCAGTTTTTCTTTGCATAGTTTAATGCTGTTTTTCTAATTAGTGGTTTGTTGTTTGGGGTTTTTTTGTCCTGAACTCATTTTTGTCCGATAACTTTATGTCAAGGTTTTCCTTTTTTGTTAAGTATTTGCCTGATACATCTTTTTCATCCTTTTACTTCTGAATTTCTTTCTGAGTTGCTTTGTGAGTAGGTTTTTATGTGTCTTTTGTGAAGAGCATCTATATGTAAATTTGCTTTTCTTTAGTCTGAGAATCTGTCTTTTAAATGGTGAATTGGGTCCACTTATCTTTAGTATTACCAGGTGTTTTCTTTGTTCCTTTTTCTTAGCACCCACTTGTGGAGCAGGCTTGAGATGAGATTTCTCTTTACAGACCTTTCTCTCCCCACCCCAGGCCATGGACAGGGAGCTTTGGTTGCCATTTCTCTGGGCTGGTTGTTGTTCTTGCCTTCTTCACTTGGAGGGGGCAGCCTTTCTGTGTGCCCATCTTGATGCAGGGACCTTGTTCCAGCTTCCTGTGCCACACAGGTCTGAGGCCATGTCTGGGTCTTTGTGACTTCTGGATATTGTCCCCTGTACCTGGTCTTGTTTTCCCCTTTTTTCCACCAGGGCTGCCCCAGCCCACTCTTTCTCTTAAGCCCTGGCTTTACATTTTCTCTTATTTCTCCCCTTCCTGCTTCCCTCTTATTAAGAGACCAAGTCTCACTGTGCTGCCCATGCTGACCTTAAACTCCAGGACTCAAGCCATTCTCCTGCGTCAACCTCCCAGGTAGCTAGATTTCAGGTGTATACCACCATGCCCAGCTCTTTTCTCTCTTATTTCTGACACCTGAGATTTGTGCATTTAGGAAAAAAAGTTCTAATTATCCTTTAATACTCCTTTACATTCCTAGTGGGAAGAGGCTCTACCTTAGCTCAGCCCACCTCCTCACCTGCACCCCAATTCTGTTTGGTTCTTGATGTGCAAATGATGTTTGTGGCTAAAGATCTCTCTGTAGTATTGGTGTTTGAGCTTTTCTTGTTTTTACCTGCTGGACTATTTTTACCTTTGACTTAGCTCCTTAGTAATACAGTCATAAGCTTAGTAACAGGGGCCACCTTCTGAGAAATGTGTTGTTAGGCATTTTCGTTGTGTGAACATCGTTGTGTACTTAAACCTATATGGTACAGCCTACTGCAGTCCTAGACTACAAGGAGTAGCCTGTTGCTTCTAGGCTGCACACCTGTACAGCATGTTACTGTACTGAATACAGTAGGCAGTTGTAATACAATGGTATTTGTATATCTAAACATAGAAAAGATACAGTATCATAATCTTATGGGACCACCATGTATAAGGGGGTCCACTGTTGACTGAAACGTCAATAGGTGGTGGTTACGTGTATTTTTTTTTTTTTGAGATGGAGTTTGGCTCTTGTTGCCCAGGCTGGAGTGCAATGGCGCAATCTTGGTTTACCACAACCACCACTTCTCGGGTTCAAGCAATTCTCCTGCCTCAGCCTCCCTCCCGTGTAGCTGGGATTACAGGCATGTACCACTACACCCTGCTAATTCTGTATTTTTAGTAGAGATGGGATTTCTTCATGTTGGTCAGGCTGGTCTCAAACTCCCAACCTCAGGTGATCCGCCCGCCGCAGCCTCCCAAAGTGCTGGGATTACAGGCGTGAGCCACCGTGCCCGGCCCGTTACATATATTTAACAAATATTCCAAATGGAAAGCAAAAGCGTTCCTGTGGCTGTGAACTGATGTTCAGTGGAGTGGCTCTGTGTGTTTATTTCCTGACATGTGACTTTGCACAGGCTTTACCACATGTCAGAGATTTGCCGGGCTGGAGGATGGGGTGACG
Source organism: Homo sapiens (assembly GCF_000001405.40). NCBI lineage: Eukaryota > Metazoa > Chordata > Mammalia > Primates > Hominidae > Homo > Homo sapiens. The sequence goes on along the minus strand of NC_000016.10, from coordinate 14,521,352 downwards.
CAGGGACCTGCAGGCCATAGAACTTTTTGGCAACCCTGGTTTACTTTCAGAGAACGGCTGCAAGAGGTTGAGTTTGGAGCCTCATCTTCATTATTCTAAAGGGAAAAGAAGGGGAAATTCTCTGTTGTCTGTCAAGTACTCTATTTTGCTTTGTTTTTCTTATGAAAAAGAAAAGGGAATGTTTAGGTTTGCCAAAGTGTACATTACAGAAGCCCTTGATAGAGCTGAAAAGCAGTGAAAGTGAAAATGATGTTCTGATAAAAATCTTTTACCTTACTGAAGCTATTTGGAGAAACTAGACTAGAGAATTAAAGGATAAAGCATTGTGTAACCAGAGAGGCCAACACCATGATTGTGGCAGTGGCCAGTCTCCTCCATGCTCTGAGGGAGAACCTGTTGCACTCATGTTGTTTGTTTGGTTGAACTTTTTATTGTGGAAAAAAATGTCCAAGACACACACACTATAAAGAAGAATATAGTGACAAGTCTGTACTCACCCCCAACCCCTTCAGCCACTTAATCGTGGCCAGTCCTGTTTCATCTCTACGAACACCTGCTCTCTCACTTTTTATTTTGAAGCATATTTTAGATCCATATTGTATTCACTGGGAAATATTCCAGTGTGTCTCTTAAAAACAGATTTTTTTTTTTTTGAGACAGGGTTTCACTCCCATCACCCAGTCTGGAGTGCAGTGGTGCGATCTCCACTCGCTGCAACCTCCACCTCCCAGGCTCAAGCTGTTCTCCTGCCTCAGCCTCCCTAGTAGTTGGGACTACAGGTGCATGTCCCTGTACCTGGCTAATTTTTGGTAGAGACGGGGTTTCGATATGTTACTCCTAAGCTCAAACAGTCCACCTTGGCCTCCCAAAGTGCTGAGATTACAGGCATGAGCCACCATGCCTGGCCCACAGATTATTTTTTTAAACATAGGTACAATATTAGTATTGCTCCTAAAAAATAAATCATTAATATCTTAAAATGATAAACTATTGATAGACTGTTAAAATTTCAAGTTATCTCACAAATGTCATGAGTTTATCTTTTTCCACTGAAGTCAAGATTCATATAAGGGCCACACATGGTGGTTGTTGAAATGTCTGTGGTGTCTCTTAATCTATCAGTGTGTCTCTCTTCTGCCCTCACCCCCTCGTTTGTTGAAGAAGCAAGGTTATTCGTCCTGTAGCATTTCTTACAGTCTGAACTTTACTGATTGTATCCACTCCCCACCTCTCATGTTGTTTTATATATTCTTTTGTCCTCCTTTTTCATATAAGCTTGTTGTTAAAGCTAGAAGCTTGATCAGAATAAGAACTGATGTTTTGAGGCTGCAAGACTGCTTCACAGGTGGTGATGTGTTCTTCCATCAGGAAGCACATCTAGTATCTAGTATCTCTCTTTTTGTGTGTGATTTATTGGCTGTGTTAATGCTTAACCTAGATCCATTATTTCATTAGAGACTGCAATATGGTGATACTGTAATTCTAGCATGCCTTTTTCTTTTATTAGTTGGAATATATCTATAAAGAGAAACTTTTACTTGTCTGCTATGTGGTTGGCAATTGGTATAGGAAAAGCAGAATTTATGTTTGATTCTTGCCTAAAAATGGACAGTAGTGGCCAGTTAGTTTGTTTTAGTATCATCATGGACTTATGGACATAATGACATAGAGAAATCTATAATATGATTTAGTCAGTCACAGTTTTGACCCTTACTAATGCTCCAGTTCTCCCAGTGTTGCAAATCAGAACCTCTTGAGGTTGGCCGATGAATTCTTTTGACTGGCCCTCTGAGATGACAAGATGTTCCAGGCTCATCTTGTACATTCACTTCCCCAGACCTGGAATCAGCACTTCTACAAAGAGCTCTGGTTCCTTTCAAGGAAAATGGCATTTCGAGACCTCATTCTGGGTGCTAGAGTGCTCATTGTACTGGGTTGGTTATTGTTTCTGAGCTTTACAACAGACAGAGCTCAGAAAATGTTCTTCCTCCCCTCCCCTCCCCTCCCCTCCACCCTCCACTCACGTCCCCTCCCCTCCCCTTCCCTTCCCTCCCCTCCCCTCCCTTCCTCTCTCCTCTCCCCTCCCCTCCATGCCCCTCTCTTTTCTTTCAGATGAAAATACATCATGAGTTCAAACTGATATTTCTGATACAACATCAGGACTATAGGTTTTCTACTTAATCTTTTTTGTCCTAAATATATACGTTCTTTCTCTCATAGCAAGAATCCTGGTTCTCAATGACACTGGAGATGGTAGAAATAGAATATCATATAATCATTCAGTTGCTTTATCCCATGGTACACACCCCACAGCCTCAGAATAACAAAACCAGTGCATTCGCCACCGATTTAATAATCGAGGATGGCTTAAGATTTGTCTTTTGCAGTTCTTTCCACCTTAGTGTATCTCTAGGGGTGCACAGTCTGATAGCTTCTGGAACATTCCCTGTCTGTGAGCTTATGCCCCCAGTTGGAGACATTGGGTTCATTTGTTTTCTTTTATTTTCATTTCTTAGAGATCACTTTTAAAAATATAACTGTTCTGTAATTATTTAAAATATTGTCGTAGTTCCAAAGTCAAATTTAAAAGACAAGGTGTACTATATTGAAAAAAGTCTAGATTTTAATTCCTGTCTCCTCCATCCTGTTCTCTCCCCACCTTAATGAGTAACTATTTAAAAGTAATTTTTGTTTTGCTTCATCCTTCCATTGTTTTTCTTAACATAAAAACATAAGTATACATATTTATATTCTTCTGTTTCTTAGGTAAATTGTAATCTGCTATATTTACTTTTTTCTACTTTGCTTTTTTTATTTTACAAGCCATTCAGGAGATTACTGCATAGTAGTACGACAGTAGTAATATGGCATAGTGTGGGATTTTGCTTTGCTAGCCAATCTGAATTTTTTTTTTTAAATTTTAACACATAAATTAAGCCCATTTAAATGTATTGGTATAGCCAATATGTTTGGCCTTGGCTCTGTCATTGTTTCATATTACATATGTATGTATGCAATTCTTTAATATGAGTAGTCTTTTTTTTTTTTTTTTTTTTTTTTTGAGACAGGGTCTTACTCTGTTGCCTAGGCTGGAGTGTAGTGGTGTGATCTCAGCTCACTGCAGCCTCGACCTCCTGGGTATATGAAGTAGTCTTTCTCTGTGGTCTGTTTTATTTATTCTCTATCTCTTTTAATTTGTATTATTTTTATTATTTTTGAGGGTTTTTTAAAAAAGAGCAAATTAAATTTTTGTTCTAAGGGCTACATATGCCATTATGTAATACCATAGCCACTCCCCATGTTTTTCATTATCGATTATTTTTCTAATAGGAATATTGAAATTAGATAACACCCCCTCAACATCTGGTTTGAAAATATATCCTTTTGGCCAGGCATGGTGGCTCATGCCTGTAATCTCAGCACTTTGGGAGGCCGAAGTGGATCACTTGAGGCCAGGAGTTTGAGACCAGCCTGGCCAACCCCATCACTATGAAAAATACAAAAAAATTAGCTGGGTGTGGTGGCGCACACCTGTAATCCCAGCTACTCAGGAAGCCAAGGTACGAGAGTCACTTGAACCTGGGAGGTAGAGGTTGCAATGAGCCAAGATTTTGCCACTGCACTCTAGCCTGGGCAACAAGAGCAAAACTCTGTCTCAAAAAAAGAAAAAATAACCTTTTATTTTCTGTTGACTTATAAGGCAATCTTCAGGCATATTCTGTTTTTTAGCATATAAGCATATGGGCTCTTCACTTATAAGGCAGTCGTCAAGCATATTCTATTTTTCAGATGTCCTCCTCGTTCTAAACCTCATTTTTTGAACACATAATGGTTTAAAACAATACTTACCTGTTTCCCATAATTCCATAGGTTGCCTAGGCAGTTCTGGTCTAGGCCAGACTGGCTGGGATTGGATGACGTCAGTCACACTTCTGGTGTCTCAGCTGGGATTACTGGGACAGTGGGAGCCTCTCCCCATGTGGCCCCTCATCCTGTAGATGGCTAGTCCAGCTTGTCCACATGGTGACCAAAGGGTTCCCAGCAGCAAGACAGCACAAGCTACCCTGCAAGCCTCAGTTTGCATTATGCTTGTTAATATACCTTCAGCCAAAGCAGGTCTCATGCCAATCTTAAATTCAAGGGGAGCAGTAAATACACCGCACCTCTTGATGGCAGGAGCAGAAAAGTCACATTGCAAGGGGCATGCATAAAAAGGAAGGATTTTTTTTGCCATTTTACAGTCTGCCACAAATAACGTTATACAGTACTTCAGTCTTGTCTCTTTTTAGTCATTGTCTATTGGTACCCTACTATGACCAATATTGAAATTAGCTATAATCTCTTATTTTCCCTGCCTTCCCTCTTCTGTGTCTGATTTAGAAAAATACCCTTTATTAGCTGTAAGGAAGTCAGCACTCTTATTCTACCTTCTTGTGTGCCCTCTTCATTCTGTCCTTTTCTTTTTAAAATAATTATACCATATTTACATTGTCAGAGCAAATAGCCATTGTATACTCTATGCTAACGCTTATAACCATCATTTAGTCTCTGTTTTACAGGTAAGTGTACATTTAATTCTCACTCTCAGTTCCTACGATGATGTTTGTTCCATGAGTTTGGTCATCTACTACATTTTTTTGGAAGAGTCATGGGAAAAGTGCTCCCTGAGTTCTTGAATGTTAGTTTGTCAGAAGCCTTTGTACTTGAAAGTAGGCTCAGCTAGGTGTAAAATTATATATGAAAGAACCCTTGATTCAAATGTTCTTTCTTTGAGAATCTTAAATATGTTCCATTTTATTTTGGCTTGAAATGCTTCTCTCAAAGTGTGATGGCAATCTGACTTTTTTTTCTTGACTTACTCTTTTTGACCAGATGCGCTGAATTTTTTTTTAAGTCTCCTAGTTTTACTGAAATGTATATTTTGACTAGTTGTTTTGGATCCGTTTTCGCAGATGTATGCGGTATAGCCTTTCAGCATGCAATATTGAGCCTTTTTTGGTTATCTGAGCAAAGTTTTCTTGAGTTGTAATTTTCAGCGTTGTTCTGTTCCCTTGCTTTTGTTTTTGTCTATGAAAACTTCTATTATAGCTATTTGGATCTTTGCCCATCATCTGTGTCACTTTCTTTCAAGTCATTTTTAATTTATTTAATTTCTAATTATCTAATTTAATTCTTTTTTGGTTTTAAAATTTTTTATCTTTTAATTATCTGTTTCTCTTAAGGCAAGTTGTGTTTTTTTATTCTTGTATTTTTTCTAATTTGGCCCTCATAAAACAATTTTCCTTTTTATATCTAATTTTTTTTGAGTGTTAATGTTTTCTTGAGTACTGTGACCTCATTTCTGAGATTTCCTAATTCTGATTTAATGTTCATTCTGTTTGTCTGTCTATCTATCAATTTACTTATTTATTTTTAGTCGAGTATCTATCTGTTAACCTAGGCTGGAGTGCATTGGTGCTATCATAGCTCACTGCAGCCTCAATCTCCTGGCCTCAAGCAATCCTCCTGCTTCAGCCTCCTGAGTAGCTAGGACTACAGATGTGCGCCAGTATGCCTGGCTAATTTAAAAAAAAAAAAAATTAAGACACAGGGTCTTGCTGTATTGCCCAGGCTGGCCTTGAATCCCTGGGCTCAAATAATCCCCCTGCCTCAGCCTCTCGAGTAGCTAGGATTATGGGTACAAGCCACCATGCCTAGCCTTAATGTTCTTTCATATATTATTATCTTAAATCTTTTAGTTGATTTCAAAATATTAGGTACAGCTTTTCATCTCTTTTTTAGGCGTGTCCTTCTGTCATGCATTCATTGGCCGTAGGGAGAATTTTTTCTGCCACTGCTTTATGGGATTTAAATGCAGTCCTCTTCACTTACCTCTAGTGGCTGTTTTCCTTTCTTTTTACTGCTAAAATCTCTGAGGAAACATTAAATTGACAATAAAATATTTCCATCTACATATGTTTAAGGTCAGTTGTTAGGCCAGTGAAACCAGTAAAACTGCAACAAAATATACTGTAGAATTTGCTACCTGAGGTGGAATTCATGTTTATATTCGGGACATCTGTTTAAAAAAAGTTAGCAGCCAGGAGTGGTGGCACAAGCTTATAGTCCCAGCTACTCAGGAGATTGAGGCAGGAGGATTGTGGAGCCCAGGAGTTCAAGTCCAGCCTGGGCAATATAGCAAGATCCCATCTCAAAGGCTGATCAGTAAGAGACAAAAACAAGTATATGTTCTGGAATTTGGTGAAGAAATGAGTAACCAGCACAGTGACACAGTGACAACGGCAAGTTTGGTTGAGGGAACAATAAGGAACAGGCAAGTGTTGATTCGTAAAGATGTTTGTTCTTTGGGCCACATACTGTGTTACTCCCCACAGAGAAGTTACATGATGGAAACTTAGCTTCACCTTGGCATCTGTGATAATTAACAGCTTGATTTAACGTAGCTTCCCCGTGCAGCCTTATTTATGCCATGGAGTGTCTGCTATATGCTTGCTTATTCCAGACCATACTCCACAGGTCCTCAGGTGGCCTTTTCACTCACTGCTTCCTCCCTTCTCCCTTGGGAAGCTGGAAGACAAGCTGGCCACGTGCTACAGGGCCTTCTGGCCGAATTACAGATTTTGCTCTTAGTGAACTATCTAAAAAGTTACTCCAGTTCATAGCCATAAGGTAACCTTTTGGGCCAGAACTCATAAAATATGGCATATTTTAAGTATGGTATTTTATATTACAAGTATGGCATATTTCTGAGGAAATATCTTTCCTCAGATATTTAGTGATTCAGTCTCCCTCACCTCACCTCCATCAAATGATTGTTCAGAATTTCTTAATGATGTTGTGCCTTCAACTGCATTTAAAGTGACTCTTGGCCAGGCGTGGTGGCTCATGCCTGTAATCCCAGCACTTTGGGAGGCTGAGGCGGGTGGATCATGAGGTCAGGAGATCGAGATCATCCTGGCTAACACGGTGAAACCCTGTCTCTACTAAAAATACAAAAAAAACTAGCCAGGCATGGTGGTGGGCACCTGTAGTCCCAGCTACTCAGGAGGCTGAGGCAGGAGAATGGTGTGAACCTGGGAGGCAGAGGTTGCAGTGAGCCGAGATTGTGCCTCTGCACTCCAGCCTGGGTGACAGAGCAAAACTCCATCTCAAAAAAATAAATTAATTAATGACATTACATTAAATTAAATAAATAAAGTGACTCTTATATCCCCCCTTCCTTGCTATCTGGTTTTCTGAAGCACTGATTGTTTCCTTTTGTCCATACCCCCACCATTGTCTTGTTTCCTTGACTAGAATCTGAGGTTCATGATATGTCCCCTGTGCCTACAACAATCCCTTATGTGCACTAGTGCTCAAATGTTTGTTGAATTAATGCATGTGTGCCGGGCACTGACCTGGTACTGAGGATACTGTGGTGAACAAAACAGATGCCCTGCCCTCATGGAGTTTGCAGTCTAGTGGGAGAGACAGAAATTAGTCCAGTAAAGGGTAGAAAGTGCTTTGAGAGGGCAGAACAGGGTAAACGGACCTCGTCTGCGGCAGTCAGGGAGGCTTCTCTAAGAAAGAGAGTTTTGCTCCAAGAAGTGAAAGAATGGTCAGTGAGAGCTTTGTGACAGTGGCAGGAATGCTCCACGATGATGAAGCGCCTTTTCTAAAGGCTCAGCCACAACAGGGAGAAGGGCCGACAGGTTCCAGGAGTGGCAGAAGGCCAGTGCCAAGCAGTATTGTGCGGGCAGGGGAGGGAGCAGGAAGCTGGAAGACAGGTAGGCCATGTGCAGAGCCTTCTGGCCCAGTTACAGATTTTGCTCTTAGTGAACTATCTAAAAAGTAGCTCCAGTTCTTAGCCATAAGGTAACCTGTTGGGCCAGAACTCATAAAGTATGGTACATTATGTGTAATGAAGACAGGATTTTATAGGACTCCCAGCACGAAACGCTAATCATTACTGGTAGAATCCATGGGCCATGGCTTCAAAATGGTTTGAGAGAACAAAGCATAGCTCAGGTAAAATGAATATATATAGTAAATAGTTCATGTTTGTATTATATATGAGCAGTTTATATTACGTTAATGATTTTGTTTTTGATAATTATACTTTATTTGCTGAAGTTTTGAAAATATTTTTGGCCAGGCGCAGTGGCTCATGCCTGTAATCCCAGCACTTTGGGAGGCCGAGGCGGGCAGATCACTTGAGGTCAGGAGTTGGAGACCAGCCTGGCCAACATGGTGAAACCCCGTCTCTACTAAAAATACAAAAACTAGTCAGGTGTGGTGGCACGCACCTGTAATCCCAGCTACTCAGGAGGCTGAGGTACGAGAATCGCTTGAATCCTGGAGGTAAAGGTTGCAACAGTGAGCCAAGATCACGCCACTGCACTCCAGTTTGGGTGACAGAGCGAGACTCCATCTCAAAAATAATGATAATATTTCTTAAGTGCTTCTGGTAGAGAAACATTTATTTGAGCTGTAAGATTAAAAAATAAAAACCACAACAAAAACCGCTTAAAAATGTGCAAGAAGAGTGCTTGCTTTTATTGCTGATTTTACCTGAACGGTCAAATTCTGTAGAAACGTATGGATAAACATATCAGAGGCAATAAGGCAGAGTGGAAAGAACTCCATTTTTGGAGTCCCATAAGGTCCCACTTGGATTTCTGGGGTCCCACCCTTGATTTCTTATCAAAGGTTTCTGAGCCCAGGTGTCCTCCTGAGTAAAACGAAGCTGAAGTAATACTTTGCATGCACATCTGGAGCAAGACAGTGAGCCTCCTCCTCATAGACACACCATTCCCCCAGGTGTCTTTAGAGCAGACCTCACAGGATGGATCAGGTTGGGTGAGATGATTTTTTTCTTTTTTTGAGAGAGTCTCACTCTGTTGCCCAGGCTGAAGTGCAGTGGTGTGATCTTGGCTCACTGCAACCTCCACGTCCCAGGCTCAAACAATTCTCGTGCCTCAGCCTCGGGACTACAGGCGTGCACCACCACACCCAGCTAATTTTTTGTATTTTTAGTAGAGACAGGGTTTCAGCATGTTCACTAGGCTGGTCTCAAACTCCTGACCTCAAGCAATCTGCCTGCCTCAGCCTCCCAAAATGTTGGGATTACAGGCGTGAACTACCACGCCCGGCCAGGACGATTATTAATACAACACTTAGCACAGTCATGACAAGTCAAGGAGTTCTCAACTAAATGGTAATTCTTAGCTACACAGTGGAAGATTAAATTCTTTGTCATACTGACTTTTGTACACAATGCCTTTTTAACTTATGTCTTCCAGAAGGAAGGAAAAAAATCACTTTATTTTTAGACCCTAGAGACTTTTCAGAATTACTTGTGAAGTAGGTTATAGATGTATTTAATGTCCAGGCCTGGTGACTCACACCTATAATCCCAGTGCTTTGGGAGGCTGAGACTGAGGACAGTTCAAGACCAGCGTAGGTAACACAGAAAGACCTTCATCTCTACAAAGAAATTTTAAAAATTAGCTGAGCATGGTGGCACACACCCATAGTCCCAGCTACTTGGGAGGCTGAGGCAGGAGGATTGCTTGAGGCCAGGAGTTCGAGGCTGCAGTAAGTGAAGATCGTGCCACTCTACTCCAGACTGGGTGAGATGGTGAGACCCTGTGTCTAAAATATAACATAACATAACATAACATACCATAACATAGTGGATGCATTTAACCTTTCGGGTATACATGGATCTCTGCTTGAAACTGCTACACCCAATAATTTAGGAGGCAGAGAAGAACCGTATGTCTCAGTCTCATATTTTTGTCATGATTTGAGCTCATTGAGTCAAGCTTATATTATGTGTGATGTATTGTTGATTAGCTGTTCTTTCTGACTAGTGTAGGAATTTATCTGCTGCCTGAACACTTCCCAAGTAATTTTTTTTTTTTAATGAGCCATCAAATAGGATGTGGTTTGGGGTTTCTCAGCAGTGGGAATGGATTTGTGTTAATCTGTCTAGACGCTCTTTCCCTGTCCTTTGTGAACAAACAGTGGCATTCATTTCTGAGCAGGGTGTTGAGGGTATAGCCTTGTGTTCATCGAACAAGCCAAGCTATCTCATCCTTGACCTTTAAAAGATAATGAGACCTTGGACTCATCACCCTGTGTCAACTCATGGAGGTAAACAAGCTAGTGCTTAAGGCTTTAAGCTAGCAGTGAGTTTTTAATTTTTATTTCTTACATTTTTTTAACAAGGGAAGACTAATGTATAATTTAAAGGAAATAATTTCATAGATGTGATAGTGGAAGAATAAGAACTTTTGATCTGATTTTGTGTATTCATGGGGCTCTTTAAAAGGAGAAATGATCCAGAAACTACCTTGATTGAGCAATCCTATAGTTGGGTGGCATTCAGAACTTTTGACATTGGTGAATATTTTTTCCTCTGTGGCTCAGTTTTTTTCTGAAAAGAAAAATTGCCTCAGAAACATTTTCTGCTGTTTTTATAGATGTCTTTTCTTCCTTTGCCTTGTCTTTCCCCCTCCTGGTTTAGCGTAACAGAAGAGTAAGTTTGGCTAGGTGATAAGCATTGCCTGCATGGCAAAGTCAAAACACCATGTCACATAGATGGGGGTGGCAGGACTTCTGTCCTGGGCCTCATGCTGTTGGCAGCCGAGGACTGGAGCATGGAGATCTAGGCTCAAAACACACTTCTCTGGCATGGACTTCAAAAAAGCAGAAGGGTAGATTAAGAAACTAAGTCCAGCTAAAAGTTTGGGTTTCCTTATTTGTTGTTTTAACTAAGTAATTATTTTCTTTCTCTTTGAGTCTCTGAGTTTTTTTCTTTTTTAAATCATAAAGATTAATTTTTCTTCCATACTTGTGGATTAAACAAATTTTTACAAAGTCCTATATAATTTGTGGTTCAGTGTAGGCACTTAATTATTCCTAAGTTTATAGCTTCCCCATTCTTCATTTTTTTCCCACTAGAATTCGCCAAAATGATAGAAAAATAACAGTACTGGGTACATTGGATATTTTATATGTAATGATTAAAAGAGCCACCTTGATGGCAGTTTACAGTTAGGAGAATATGTAGCTTTACTCAGTTTTTCTGCAGTTTTTGTTGACTTATTTTTTGGCAAAACTAATCACCCCATGCTTTGAAAACGACCCTGACATTTTCCTTTTCTTCACAAATGAACATATTCCCCCAGCCTTTGCTGTTCTTTCCTTTGAGGAGAGTCTCGGGCTGCAAAGATGCCTGAAATGCCCTGGCAGCAACACCCAGTAGAGGACAGGAGGAATCTTTAGGTGATCCGGGAATCCTTCTCAACGGGAACATCCTACCAGTTGTTTTTGCCATTGTTCTGTTGGGGTGTTTTTGTTTGTTTGCTCTGGGTGAGGATTTAGTCCTCTCCACCGAAAGATAATTGTTAGGAGTATGTTAGAATCAACCAGGCCCTCACATTTTTGTTTTCCAACTCTGGTGAGTTGCGAAACCCATTTCTGAGGGATCCAAAGCAATAACAAGGACACTTACCCATTATCTTCCTTTTCTACTAAAAGAAATTCAGTGCCAAAGATGTATTCCTTGAAGAATAGAAAAACATGGAAAGCTTTCCAGGGGTTGAGGATGTACTGATTATATGAAGCAAGTTTTACACTTTGCCCCAGTACTTGTTTAGTGCAGTTAATATGTAAATAAAAGTATCTTTCAAGTGCTCTTAGAAATTGGTGGATTTGACCAACTGTTAGAGTTTAATATTGGTGGGTAGACTTTGAATGTTGATGAGAATTGATCTTCATAATTTGTTATCTATCTTATGTGATGGATGGGGTTTAGGGCTTAAAATTTGCATCTTCCAAAGGTCCTTTCACATGAAAAAGGATTAGTTATTAAACTGCTTTACCATTTCAATAAAAATTTAAAATAAACTGTTAGCCAAAGAAAAAATCACTAAATAATCATGCAGTAAGTCACACTTGTTAAATAAAGCCCCATTTCTTTCCCTTCTCTTCACCTCCAGCTCAGTAGCTCCTAAGTGCGCTGTTTGTTCTTTCTGTGAGCCAGCAGGGCCAGCTTAGTGGTGATGTTGCCAAGAGATTATCTATGGGTGGGTAGGTGGTGTCTGGATGCCACATCAGGGGCTGATGAGTAAGTCTAACAAACAGCTGACACGGGGTTTATACTTTTCTTAGGCAACTTCTCAAACAAGCTGTTTACCATAAGCCAAAAACATCTTACCTACTGTAACCTTGTAGGAGAGAGATACCTTTCTCATTGCAAAGGGGCGTCTTTCTTAAGAGTCAGTCTCAGTGGGTGACGTCACCTGAGTTATTTTAATTATTTCAGAATAATTTTATTTATTTATAATTTAATTGCTTCTTTGGAAATTTTACCTTTTAAAAAATTTTTTTACCTTCTGGATTCTCAGGATAATTTTATTATTCTCAGAACCACTTACTTTGAATTATATATATATATATATTTTAAATTAAGAGACTGGGTCTTGCTGTGTTGCCCAGGCTAGTCTTGAACTCCTGGCCTCAAGTGATCCTCCCACATCAGCCTCTCAAAGTGCTGGGATTATAGGCGTTAGCCACCATGCCCCGCCCCCTGAGAATAATTTTTAAATTATCTTTTTTTTTTTTCAAGTTTCCACATACAACATTGAATAATTTTAAAATTCTATCAAATGTTGGAAATTGTCAGCCTACAATGTTGATTTGCATACATTCAGAAATTATAGGGATTTCTATATTTTTGATATATCTGTTAGCCTTAAGCCTATAGTTATTTTAAAGTTTCGTTTTTATAAATTCTCTCTGGTTATTACAGAGTGTCTCACTATGGGAATGTGAGCCTGCATTTCCCCACACTCACTTTTTAGATCCTCTAAATCAGGTCACTATAATAACAAAAATCTTATATTATGTTCTGAGTCCAGGAATGCTACACGTTTTATCTTTTATTTTTATTTATTTTTTAAAAAATTTATTTTGCTACTATTATTTTTTATGGTGTAGAGATGAGGGGGTCTCACTCTACTGCCCAGGCTGGTCTTCAATTCCTGGCCTCAAGCAATCCCCCTACCTTGGCATCTCAAAGTGCTGGGATTACAGATGTGAGGCACCATGCCCAGCCTGCCTATTTGTCTGTCTTATCTATGTATCTATCCATGTATCTATCTATCTATCTATCTGCCTGCCTGCCTGCCTGCCTATGTTATTTGTCTATTGACCTGCCACTTTAGGATAAAAAGTATTTATAAAAATAAAACAGGTACATATTTATGACAGAAAATTTGGAAAACACACAATAATGAAACATAATCACCCAGAAATAATTATGATAACATTCTGGCATATTTTCTTACAGTATCATTTTCATTATTTTATGTAGGTGTAATCATACTATAGATGGACTTGAAGATTTGCTTTTCTCATTAACAGTTGAGAAATGTTCTCAGGTTGTTTAAACTCTGTGAAATCATTTTAAATTTTAACTGACTGCATTAGATAAGCCATCAAGTTGATATGCCATAATTTATTTACTCAATAGTATTCTTATTATAGGATCTTTCATTTATTTTGTATTTTTACTACAATTTTTATTACTCTCAAACCTCTTTGGGCGTAGGAATTTCGTATGAAAGAAAGAGCTGCAAATGGGAAATTAAAAGTCTCTAGAATTTCACTTGGCCTCTTTTTTTTTTCCCCCTGTCACCCAGGCTGGAGTGCAGTGGTGCAATCTTGGCTCACTGCAATCTCTGCCTCCCAGGTTCAAGTGATTCTTGCGCCTCAGCCTCCCGAGTAGCTGGGACTACAGACACACACCACCATGCCTTTTTTGTATTTTTAATAGAGACGGTTTTGCCATGTTGGCCAGGTCGGTCTCATACTCCTGGGCCCAAGCTATGCACCCACCTTGGCCTCCCAAAATGCTGGGATTACAGGTGTGAGCCACCACGCCTGGCCTTCACTTGGCCTCTGTTGATTACATGATAGAGTCAGAGAGCTGGTTTCAACAAAGTTTCAGAATCAGAATTTCTTCTTTTTTTTTTTTGAGACCGAATTTCCCTCTTGTTGCCCATGCTGGAGTGCAGTGGCACCATCTCAGCTCACCGCAACCTCCACCTCCCAGGTTCAAGTGATTCTCCTGCCTCAGCCTCCCGAGTAGCTGGGATTACAGGCATGCACCACCACGCCCAGCTAATTTTGTATTTTTAGTAGAGATGGGGTTTCTCCATGTTGGTCAGGCTGGTCTCGAACTCCTGACCTTAGGTGATCCGCCTGCCTCGGCCTCCCAAAGTGCTGGGATTATAGGCATGAGCCACCACGCCTGGCCCAGAATTTCTTATAGATTGTCAGATCACCCTCTAAAAAAGGTTATATTAGTTACGCTTCTCCAACATTAAGTCTTTTTCAAAACCATTCTTACTGGCATTTCTTTGATTACTACTGAGAGAGAATGCATTTTCTTTCCTTTTTTGTTTGTTTTTGGAGTTAGACCTCATGCATTTTATTTTTTATTAATATTTTCTCCCACTCTTTTTCTTTTTTTAAAGGCAGTGAGATCTCACTATATTGGCCAAGCTGGACTTGAACTCCTGGGCTCAGGCAGTCCTCCTGCCTCAGCCTCTCAAGTAGCTGGAACTAAAGGCTCGTGCCACTGCATTCAGCTTCACTTTTGATTCTGAAAAATTTCAAACCTATAGACAAGTTGGCAACATTCTATCATATTTGCTCTGTCTCCCTCTCTGCAGACACACACATATATACACAAGCATAATATGTACATATGTGAACATGTATACATGTATTTGTTTTTTATTGCTAAACTACTTGAGAGTCAGAGACATAACAGTTTGCTTAGAAGTATTTTAGTGTATTTCTCTTAAGAACACAGGCTTTTTAAAAATATTGCCCTAATATATTTATCACACTCAGGAAATTTAACACTGATATGATTTTGATATGATCTAATGTCCATGCTGTAATCAAATTTCCCCAAATGTCCTAATAATGTCCCTTACAGTTTTTCTATTTTTATTTTTGGATCCAAGCTCCAGTCAAAGTCTTGTGTTACTTTTAGTCATCATGGCTCTTTAGTCTTTAGTCTCCTTTAATCTGGAATAGTTCCCCAGCCTGTTTCTTATTTTCACAAGATTGACATTTTTCTGAGGAGTTCAGATCAGTTGTTTTACAGTGTCCTTCAATGTGTATGTTTCTGATTGTCTCATGATAAGATTCAGATTAAATGTTTCTGGCGGGAGTACCACGTAGTTGATGTGCTCTTTTCAGTGCATCACACTGAGAGGCACATGGTATCAGTTTGTTCCCTTATTGCTGATGTCTGGTTTGACATCATTTAGGTAAATAGTGGTCACAGATTTTTCCATTGTAGCCTTCCTGCTTTGTAATAAATAAGTACTCTGTGAGTAATACTTTGAGACTGTGAAACCCTGTTCCTCAGTAATCTTTCATCCAGCAGCATTAATGTCCATTGATGATTTTTTTAAAAAATGGATTGCTTTTAAAATTTTGTGACCTCTTTGTGCAAGGATGTCATTCAAATTTTAGTTCACATGTTGCCAAAGCTGACACTAGAATTATTTTCAGAAGTTTAATTGGTTGATATTATTTTGTGAATTGTGTGCTTTTCTTGCTGATTTATAAGTACACCTACATCATGATTATTATTTATTACATTTAATGAACCATTGGTTATTAGGTACAAGACATGGTTCTGAAATCCTTATAATTGTATGAACCACAGGTATCTTCCCCCTCCCCTCATTTTATAGGAGAAAATGATGCTTAGATTAATCCTGAGTTTTGTATTTTGCAAATACTTGTCCCAATTTGTTGTACAGTTTTGTGTGTGTATGTGTGTGTGTGTGTGTGTGTGTTTTAAGAGACGAGATCTTGCTTTGTTACCCAGTATTCACAGGTGTGATTATAGCACCCTCCAGCTTCAGCCTTTAACTCCTGGGCTCGAGGTCCTCCCACCTCAGCCTCTGGAGGAGCTGGGACTACAGGCGTGCGCCACTGTGCCCAGCTATTCTTAATCTAGCCTATGTTGCCGAACCAAAGCTTTACATTTTCCATAGTATATCTGTCAGTTTATTCTTTTATAGTTTCTGGCTTTAGTGTCCTATTCAGAAGCATTAACATTTAATTTATTAGGAATGAGGTTTGTTCACTTGCCTTTCAGTAAGTAAGATTGCCAGATTTCACTTAAAATAGCTGTGTGCCAAATATTGTATGATATACTAAACAGTGATATGTAATTTATCTGAAATTTGGCATCTTGCATTGTTATGTGGTAACTTTATCAGTAAGACTTTCCCTGACCACTTAATTTAAAATCACAACCCACATCTCAGTACTGCCTGCTTTTTGTTTTCTCCATAGCACTGCACGTACACTGTATATTTTACTTTTTTGTTTAGTGTCTATATCTCACCACTAGAATGTAAGATCCATGAAGTCAGGCTTTTTATTTTAACTTTTAAATGGAGGCTTAACATACATATAGGAAAATACCCATATGAAACTGTACTGCTTAACGAATTGTCTTAGGAGGGCAAAGATTTTTTTATTCTAAGTTTTTCTCAATGCTTAAAATAGGTGATCAGCAAATATTTGTTGATTGAGTCAATGGTATAACCTATGAGAGAGGCATTCATGTTACTTTTTCCCAAATAGCTAGCCAGAGAATTTATTGATTATATTTTGTTTGGTTATTATTGCTTTGAAAGCGTATTTTTTCTCCCCTCTCCCTACTTTCTCCCTCACGTAATTTTTATTTATTTTATTTATTTATTTTTTGAGACGGAGTCTTGCTCTGTCACCCAGGCTGGAGTGCAATGGCGCAATCTCTGCTCACTGCAACCTCCGCCTCCTGGGTTCAAGCTATTTTCCTGCCTCAGCCTCCCGAGTAGCTGGGATTACAGGCTCATGCCACCATGCCCGGATAATTTTTTGTATTTTTATTAGAGACAGGGTTTCACCATGTTGGCCAGGCTGATCTCCAACTCCTGACCTCGTGATTCACCCACCTCGGTCGCCAAAAGTGCTGGGATTACAGGTGTGAGCCACCGTGCCGGCCTCCCTCAACCTCACATAATTTTTAATGAATATGAATAGCATAATTATTTAACTATTCTCCTACTATTAAACATTTGTTTGTGTTTTGAAGACATTTTTAATTTAAAAATTTACGTATCCTTGTGCATTAAAAATTAGTCCTCATTTCAGATTGTTTTCATAGGATGATTTCCTAAAAGAGGAATTACTAGGTCAAAGGATATGATCCTCTCTAAGCCCCTTCTCGTTTAGACAGAACACTCACTGACAGTCAGTAGACCTCTCTGCTGAAGAAGGCACACACAAGGACTGTTGATATCATGCCCTTGGTTCACTGCTTCTAAGAACAATTTACCACCATCTGCTAGCAGAGTAGGTGGTCATTACTTTGTATCTTCCTTGACATCAGCTCCTTGCAGCATTGTATGATTGAAACATCTTGAATTTGTATTCCAGTTCTCCTTATACCAGCTGCAAGACTATGGACAAGCCATTCAACAGGGTCTTCAGTTTTCTGTATAAAGTGAGGGTAACAGAGCCTACAGCATTGGCAGCGTGTACTACCTGTGATATAATCTCAGGAAATGATAGCTACCACCCTGAGGCAGGTGACCGTGCTTCTCAAAACCTGCCCAGTCAGTGGTCCAGACCATTTTGGTAGATGCACGGGTGACCACTTCACCTTGGCTAAGAAATACTTGTAGGGCAAATGAGGGCCAGAACCTGAATTTATAGGACAGGATTCCCACCTTTCTGTTGTGTCCACAGGTAGGTAGGGAAAAGAGCAGTATCATAATCCCTTTCAAACAGGAAATTTATTTGAACACCTTCTCAGCTTAGGCTGCCCTCATCTTTCCTTGCATGACATATTCATGATACGTGCGTTTCTATCACCTTTGCTAAAAGAAATAGATACTGCATTACGCTTTTCTCATATGAGTCAGCTCTTTTCAGAATTGCTTCTAACCACAGAGAACTCCTTACAGCTCTCTGAGTGTTGTTTGTGCACCTAGAATACAAATTGACATGTATAAACTACCCTCATGTGGACATTACATTCACCTCCTTGCTGCCAAGAAGAGAAGGTGGAAGTCTCTTTTCCTTTCTGGTGTTCTCATTCCCCAGAAAGGAGAATCCATTCAGCTAGTATCAGTGCCTCTGTGGGGGGAGGTTCTTCTCAAACAACACCAAAGCAGCGTGGATAGGAGCACTCAGGGGCGCAGCGGGGTGAGGGGGGCAGAAGGTGAAATATCTCTACCGTCTTATGTTTTATTTAAACCATTCTCACAATTTAAAAAAATGCTATTCTGCAATATGTCCATTTTACTTTAATATTAATTTGTTTTAAATTGCCAGATTAATTATTTAATTTTTCCTCCCTGATCTCTGGTAAAATCCATGCCCTAAGAAGTTAAGCCGTGGTTCTTCAGTGGCTTGTAGTAATTGCAAGCCCAGGGCTGTTCGGAAGCAGAGAGAAGTAGCTGTATTAGCTGTTCTCTCCTGAAGAAATATCACTGGAGGTATAGAATAGCTAAAACACCTTCCTTGTCTTCAGAGAACTAGCTTGGGTACATGTGACCAGAGGACAGGCACAGAGGCTTAGATCGTATATTTGCTAGGTACCAAGTAGAGTTACATCATAACATTTTGAAACTTGTGTGAATTCAAATGTACTTGATGTGGCTAATTATTTTTTAGGGTGTGAGACTGGTTTTGCTTGTCACTTCACTCAGCAAAAGTATTTATCCTTATCCCAGTGAGTTGGAGATGAAATGGGAGATGTAGATTCTGCCCCTTCCTTGTGAATATCAACTTTCACACTCTTCTTGTAGCAAGCTTCCTGCTGGTTATAAACCATGTGTGTTCACACATGTGTGTACATGTGTGTTTAATAACATGGTGCTCACATGCAAGCCATCGTCTTCCTCTGATGTCCTAGAGGAGAAACAGTAGTGTGTTCTGACCCTGGAGGAAAAACCAGCTGTGTTGGCTTCACTGAGAGACGCATGTTCTCCAGTGTGAAGAAAGAAGTTTCAAGGGTAATTTTAACTAAAGGCAAAGTTCAGCTTTAGCGTCCCCACCCCTTGCCCCATGCGTGAATACTCTGTTGTGACTCCAGTCTTAGATGCTTTCCCTGAAGCCAACTGTGGAAAGCATCTCAGTTCAAAGATAAGAAAACAGTTGCCCAGAGAGGCATGTGGCCTTCCAGTAGTAGAGCTGTCTACCCCAGAGTGTACACACTCATTCCATTGTGCCTTCTGCTCATATGATGTTTGTTAACTCTTTTAAATCCTGAACCAGTCAAAACCACATTTTTTAAAAATAATCTAAACAGCATTTAGCTAAGGCCTCTAGAGAGCTGAGTGCAAGGTGTGCCTGTGCTCTTTCCAGAAACGGCAGTGATTTATGCCTGCACTCTGGCTTGAGTTGTGACAGAACAGGCTCCAATGGGTGTGTGTTTAGTGCCTTGTCTGTGATTTTCAGGATACATTCAGGTAGCTGCTTCCTAATGCATTCCCCAAAGAGTGTGCTTGTGGGCAGAGCATGTGCTGGGGAGGAGGGCCAGCTGTGAGCGGGGGAACAGATGACTCAGCATTCCAGCGGGCTGCCTGCCCAGGAACTCTCACCATGATGGCTTTAATAACATGGTGGCACATTGCCTGGTAACCTGAGGGTTGGTGGGGTTTGTTTCTACCTACTTTACCGAAAAGCCCTCTATCAGCTGTTGGCCAACCACATCAGGGTGGGGTAAGATATAAACTTGGCTCTGCAAGCTGACTTTCTTTTCTATTTTTCATGCCTCTGCCTACATTTTAACATTCATTCTCTTTTTCTTTCTGTTTTTTTTTTTTTTTTTTTTTTTTTGGACAGTCTTGCTTTGTCCCAGGCTGGAGTGCAGTGGCGCAATCAAGTGATCCTCCCACCTCAGCGTCCCAAGTAGCTGGGACTATAGGCGCACACCACCACTCCAGACTAATTATTATTATTATTATTATTATTATTATTGTTTTTTTGTTTGTTTTTTGTTTTTTTTTGTAAAGATGGGGTTTTACTGTTTTGCCCAGGCTGGTCTCTAACTCCTGGGCAGGCTCAAATAATCCAAAAGTGTTAAGATACAGACGTGAGCCACTGCACCCAACCTGCTCGCTTTTCTCTTCTCATTTATATACTATGTAAAGGTGGAAGCTGGATAGTTGACTTCCATATCATGTCCTCAAGGGAATTAGTTACTGAACAGATGGTCTTTTTTATATTAGTTAAAATTATTTTGTTTGCAATTCAGACCTCTGGACTATTTCCCTGGGTGCCTCATAGCAGAAGAATCTGTAGCCATGGACCTCCTTGCCACAGATTTGATTTTGGTGGAACAGATCTGGATGTATGTAGCCTTAGAAGCAAGCTAGGCTTTTTCTTTTCTGTTGGTAAAGGCCTCTAACTGCTGCCCTAAGCTGACATAGGGCACAGGGTACTATCTGTGAGCTCACTGGAAAAATGGGGTTTGTGGAGCTTTATAGCTGGGTTCCATGAAAGCTGCTTTCAGGTACTTTTTTTTTCCTCCATCAAAATCTTAGCATATGCAAAGGCAGTAGAAGCAAATTTATTCATTGGACATGCTTTAAAATGAGACTTTACTTATGTTAGAGGTATTAGATGTAGCACTTTAGAATTAGAATCTAAAGGGTGGTAATATTTTTTTCTAGGGAAAGAAATGTAGAGAGTACTTTATAAAATCCACAAGTGTAGGCAGGCTTGGTGGCACGTGCCTATAGCCCTGGCTGCTCGGGAGGGTTGCTTGAGTCCAGGAGTTTGAGGCTCCAGTGAGCTATGGTCACACCTGTGAATAGCCACTGCACTCCAGCCTGGGTAACATAGTGAGACCCTGTCTTAAAAAAACAAAACAAAACAAAAAAAGTAAAAGATAAAGTTTACAGAAACCATTCTAGCCTGGGCACAGCAGCTCATGCCTGTAATCCCAGCACTTTGGGAGGCTGAGGCAGGAGAATTCCTTAAGCCCAGGAGTTCAAGACCAGCCCTGGCAATGTAGCAAGATCCCACCTCTACAAAAAAAATTTTTAAATTACCCGGACATGGTGGCAAGCTCCTGTAGTCCCAGTTCCTTGAGAGGCTGAGGTGGGAGGATTGCTTGAGCCTGGGAAGTTGAGGCTGCAGTGAACCGTGGTTGTGCTACTACACTCCAGCCTGAGTGACAGAGTGAGACTGTCTCAAAAAACAAAGAATGAAAAAAAGCATTCTGTGTTCTTCTCTCTGTATACCTGACTTTCAGAAGTTGTTTTTCAGTTTCCTAATTTGTGTTGAGTATTTTGACATTGTAGGAAACTCTCAGGTCATTGAGAATTTTAAAATACAATGTTATAAAATATTCAAAAATACTTTGGCATGTGATAATATCACACTTGCCATTGTATTAATATTGTTTTTATTTAAAACATTTTTTGGAGACAGGGTTCCCTTTGTTTCCCAGGCTGGACTTGAACTCCTGGGCTCAAGTGATCCTCCTGCCTCCTCCTCCTGAGTAGCTGGGATTACAGGCACGTGCCACTGCACCTGGCTTGTTTTAGTTTTTTACATTTCTCTCTTTTGGCTTGACTTTTTTATCTAACCAGTTGGTTTTTACAATGAATGTTTAAATAGACAAAAAAGCTCTACACTTTTAGAATGTAGAAAGCAAAATGAATATTTAGAACAATTTAGAGATTTAATGACTTGAGTCTGGAAAGCTGAACAATGTCAATATCACTTTTTTAAAAATCGTATTCTCCTGCTGGCAAAGAATTTCACAGATCCTTTTAATGTCCAGGAGTGGTGAAGAACTTGTTACTTCTTTGAATTTTGGGAGTTGCCACCTTCTATTAATAAAAGCAGTTCCTCAGCAAATGGGAAAAGTTCGCTCTCCCTGATTCCCCTGCAGGCTCACTGTCTCCTTCCACTTCCTCTCTCTGTCCCGCTCTCTCCCTCTCCCTACTTTCTCCTTCTCCCATCCCCCTGTATTACCTGTGTTAGACTCAAGAGTAATGTCACTCAGCATGCTTCCTCTCCTAGCAGCCTAACCTGCTCCAGTTCAGACCTGAATGCTGTCTTTAGGTCTGGTGTCAGCAGCAACAGCCCCCGTAACAGGGAAGCAGCTTACTTAAGGAAAAAGAAAATAAAGAGCTGGAATAGTCCTCCTAAGATCCCAAATCCACAAGGAAGTGATGTGGTCATTTAAAAGCAGAAACAACAATACAAGTGTAGAATCATTGTGTTAAATGCCCAGGCAGGATGGGACTTCAAAATCAAAACAATTCTTACTCAGATTTGCGCCACCATTTGGGGACATTTGGTGACCTTCAGGGTTTCAGCGTGTAGGGTCTAGACAGAACTCACCAATGAAATAAATTAGTCATTGAGCACATCATCTCATCAAGGCAAAGCGTAAAATTGATGTGGAAAATAAAAATAACATCCTCATTCTTTATCCATTTCCCTTTTGGAGAAGTGTAACTCTTTTTCGAAGTCAAATATTGCCAGTTACAACAAGTAAATTTCATCGTCCCAAGGCAACCCATAGTCTGGAGAGAGGATTTCATTCCCTTCCTTTAAAATAAACTGTTCTCTCTCCACAGAGGATGGGAAGCACAGGCACAGGGCTCCATGAAGGCACGGAGGAGCTGGCCTGGTGTTCAAGGAGGTGGTGTTGGCATTTTTTCAAACCTTCTTGGTGGTGACAGATCGTGTATGATGTGTCCTGGAGCTGCTCTGCATCTGTAGGTGGATTGCAGGGCTAGCAGGTGGGAAGAGGTGAGAGGCAGGCCTAGGAAGAGGACTCATGTTCATAGCGCAGCATCCTGGCACCATCAGGAAAGTGCTGAGTGCTTCCAATGCTAGGAGCATGGCAAGGGACGGTTAAAGGGAACCAGAGACAAAATTGTCCCATTTACTATTGATACGGAATTTCTGTGACTCTCTAATAGGTTGGGAGAGGCTGCTTTTGGTGACAGACACCCTCCCTCCCAGGGGCCATGACTCACCTCGCAGGTGAGCTAGCTCAGCTCTGCCTGGCTGCCCATCATTCTCTTTCTCTCTCCAGTTCCCCTCCTCTCCTCCGGGGTTTCACTGGGTTAATGAATAAGCTGAGTCATGAGGTATAAGTAAATTCTTTTTTTTTTTTTTTTTTTTTGAGATGGAGTCTCTCTCTATTGCCAGGCTGGAGTGCAGTGGCACCATCTTGGCTCACTGCAACCTCCGACTCCCTGGTTCAAGCCATTCTCCTGCCTCAGCCTTCTGAGTAGCTGGGATTACAGGCACATGCCACCACACCCAGCTCATTTCTGTATTTTTAGTAGAAACAGGGTTTCATCATGTTGGCCAGGATGGTCTCTTGCTCTCATGTCCTTGTGATCCACCTGCCTTGGCCTCCCAAAGTACTGGGGTTACAGGTGTGAGCCACCGCACCCGGCCAGTAAATTCTTTTATCAGATGAAAACCACTTCAAAACATCCACAGAGACACAGTTAATGAAAGTGTAAATAGTGCAGCCCTTAATGAAAGTGTAAATAGTGCAGCCCAGCAGCTCCTATATTAGCTTATACACAAACAGACTAAGCTTTTCAACCACTGAAACCTGTAAGCCTTAAAATATGTGCTGCTCTGTCAGGCTGTTTGCGTATGTGGCTATGGGAAGTAGAAGAAACATGGAGCACTGTGCTTTATCACCGTATCACTAATGTTGTGGCAGATTTAATACTTCATAAACAGCCCAACAAGTTGCCAAAGTTAGCTAGGTCCAAAAGTGTTGTCTTGATGCAGGTGGTGTGTGTGCCTATTAGGTATATATTTGTACCTGGCATCTGAAGTTCCTGAGAACTAGTCCAGGTGAAAGGACCCAACTTGAATCTGTAGATGCAGCCACTACCTCCAGCCAGTGCTTCAGTTACACGCAGGCTGTGAAGAGATTGTGTCCTAAACGTTCTTTTGTTGATTAACCTTTTAGAACACAAAGCACATTGTCACATAGAAATGCTGTTTTGAATGGTGGGTGTCAATGAGCTGTGTTGTGTTATAGAGTTCAGGTCAGGCAGGGCTTGTTTAGTGGGTCAGGAAATCAATGCTGGTAGATACCAGCATTTAAAAAAAAGAGGGGAGAAAGTCGAAGAAAAGGACGTATGAGAGTGGGTTTCATGTAGTAAAAGTAGGTATTGTTTAGTGATACTGTTGCAATTTAAAACCTATTGCAGGCTGTATGCTGGCATTAAATTGGGAATCCCTCAGGCAGGGGAAGGGGCGTCAACAACGGGTTAAATACTGGCTGTGCACGGCAGTCCAGCACGGTGACATCAGGCAAGTTATTTTAACATGTCTCAGGCACTGTTCTGTCGTATTCAAAATAAGACTGCTTTACAGGGGTAGGATTAAAGATGGAAGAAAATAGATTAATGTTTTAGGATATAGAATAATGTATTAGGATTAGAGATAGTAGAGAACCTGGTGCTTAGTAACCTCCCTATAAACCATGATTGGTATCTGTTTGTACTTCTTTGTAATATGTAATAAGCAGACCTTAAAGATATAGTATTAACTAAGCCGTGTACTATTTAGTCTTCCCTGGAGTGGAATTTATTCAGAGTTCTTGACGTTTAGGATCTGCCATTTCACATGATCTAGCAGATCTTTGATTTTACCTTAAATTATTCTTGTGTAGTTGAGACATCAATCTTAATTTTCTGCCATGAAGTGTGAAGAATGTTGTAAATTGCTTAGGTCTTTCAGCTGTCTGTCAACTTCCTCAAGACTGTTAAGTATGGAATTGCTTCCCAAGTCTATTTTAAGTTGTGTTTCATCTTTTAAAAAAAGAAGGGTTTCTTCTTTTTTTTTCTTTAAGTAATAGTTCTAAACTTTTTGCCAAACTCCCATCTGCTTCTACTTGATGCCATCATAAATTCCTTCTTACCTTCTGCACTTCACTACCCACTTTTTAAGCTGCTGTGTCAGCACTTGGGAAAGCCCTTTTTTGTGTTGGGCTGGGTGTGAGCGCAGAGGCTTTGTTGACTGCTTTGAGGGGCAGGTTAAAGTTGTCATCAGAAGCATGCGTCAGGGTCAGGGAGCTCGGGCTTCACACCCCAGCCCTGCTGTCAGAATCGCCATCTTCAGCAGGCCACTCAACCTCTCTCGGCCCCTGTTTGCCTGGCCATGGAAGGAGAATTGTTACCCACTTTGTGGGGTGGTTTTGAGGAGGAAAAGAGCATTGGGCAGATTGTTAGCACTAGTTGGAAGGTCACATCTCTGGCAGGGACCTTATCAGGTACCAGCTCCATGGCCTCTTCTGCTCTTCCTGTCTTCCCAGGTTCCAGCCCTGGTGCTTTTGGGAAGATCCCTCCCCTCCCCTGACCTCGACCCCTCTTCAGAGGAAACAGTGAACTTCCAGGTGCGACTTCCTGCCCCCAGATTCACAAAGCTGTCCGCGCACACACCTCCCTCCTTCTGTGCCTCTGTCAGACATGTGTCCCCACCATGTGCTCCAAGTCCCTTCTCAGGGGCCTTGTGCTACATTTTATCCATGCCCACCCATGGGCAGAATTCCTTCCACCTGTTCAAAAGAACTCCCACAACCCCAGCTCGCCTCTTCTCCCAAATCTTTCCTTCCTTTTCGGAATTCGAGGCGTCTGCAGTCACCACCCTTACCGTGGTTCCTCGCTCACTCTCCTCTCGCTGTGGTCCCCACACCACAGAGCCTGTTCTTACTGAAGACCCTCTGACCCCTTTGCCACACCCACCAGGCAGTCTTCTCACCTTGCCTGAGTGCTCAGTACTCTGACCTCTGTTTTTTGGAGACAGAGTCTTGTTCTGTGGTCCAGGCTGGAATGTGGAATGCAGTGGTGTGGTCATAGCTCACTACAGCCTCAAACTCCTGGGCTCACGATCCTCCTGAGTAGCTGGGACTACAGGTGCGCACCACCATGCCTAGCTAATTTTTTTTTTTAGTGGACATTGAGGGGTATGTGTTGCCTAGGCTGGCCTCAAACCCGTGAACTCGAGTGATCCTCTCGCCTTGTCCTCCCAAAGTGCTGGCGACTACGGGCATGAGCCACCATGCCTGGCCTCTTCTTCCTCCTTGAAGCAATGTTTTCTTAAATCCCTAGGTTTGCCCTTCTCCTTTTCAGGCCACAGCTTCCCAGGCTTTCATGACTGCCCTCCCCATCCATACGAGGATTAAAGGCCGGTGCTCCTAAGTTCAGTCTGGAGGCTTCTGTGTTTACTCTGCACCTTCTCCTCAGCAATTCCATTCTTTCTCAGGGCTCACACCACCTTCATGCCAGTGATTC
This sequence comes from Homo sapiens, assembly GCF_000001405.40. NCBI lineage: Eukaryota > Metazoa > Chordata > Mammalia > Primates > Hominidae > Homo > Homo sapiens. The sequence goes on along the minus strand of NC_000016.10, from coordinate 14,494,980 downwards.
CCAAATGTATTCTCTCTGCCCATCCCACATTTCCACCGATGTTTCCCAGGTACTTCAAAGCCACCATCTACCCCATTCCTGTGTTCCCACTATCTTGTTCCCTGGTCCCAGATGGCACAACCCTGCACTGCCCAGGCTAGGACTCGGAGAACTGTGTAGTTTCTCTGTGTCCCCACCTCTTCCATCCTAACAAGCCACCGCCCTTTCTCTCCATATTTATTACCCTGGCGTCCTGCTGATCTCCCGGAATCTTTGTCAGGAGGAGGAGATCTGACCACAAGGCCCTCCTGACTGAACTCCTCAGTGTGGCGCTCCTCTGCGCATCGTTCCGGCTGCACCGCCGGCCCTTCTCCTGCTTCCTCCTTAGGATTCACTATTACGGTCATTCATCCTTAGTCTAGACTGTGTTCCTCTCTCAGATGAGTCACCTCATCATATTCCTTCTGCCTGGATCACAGTTCCCCACCTCCAGAATTTCTACACTACCTGCTCTCCCAACCCTCAAGTCTCAAGAAAGACCTGAGTGTCTTTTCCTTAGGGAAATTTTTCTGAGCCCCAGGTGTGGTCATTTCCCCATGGGAAACTCCAGAGCAAGCTCCTTTTCTAACCCTCAGCCCGTGGGTGATGGTCTGTGCTCTCTTTCTCTCCTTGAGTACTGGGCTTTGTCTCTCTGATTTCACTCTCAGCCTCAGTTGCCTAGTTTTAGAAGATAGTTTGTTCATGAATGAATGGATAGATGAATAAATGAACAAGTGAGATTGAAATATACAGGCGTTCATTAATGTCCATGAGAGACTGGTTCCAGGACCCCTGAGTATACCAAAATTCTCACGTACTCAGGTCCCCCAGTCAGTCCTGCAGAACGTGTGGGTATGAGAGGCCCTCCGTGTAGGCAGGTTTCAAATCCCTCAGAGACTGTGTTTTCAAGATGTGTTGGGTTGAAAAATAATCTGCATATAGGCGGACCCATGCAGTTCAAACACAGATTGTTCGAGGGTCAACTGTATTTGTTTGGAAAGTAGTTAGCATAGTTCTTTACAAGCATTATAGTAAGTACTTAGTAAATGGTGGCTTTAATAATTTTTGACTGACTTTTCAGCCTGAAACCATGAAGAAGAAAAAGAAAAACACCAGGCTGGCTAATCAAAGCAGGGTTCCTTAGTGACATCATTCATTCAATGCTGAGGCAATTGGCTTGGGCCATAGGAACTTACAGCCTAAGCAGTAGCTCTTCCACCTCTCAGTCAGCCTGTTAATAGCTTGTATTTATTGTCGCCTTTGCTGCTGCCCCTGCTCATGTTGAGATTATCATTTCCCACCTAGATACCTGCCTACTTGGTGTTGCTCTACCAGTCTTTTCGCCTCCTTTACTCTTCCTTCAGATTGCAGGCTTCTTAGGATCAGGGAATCTCTGCTTCCCACTGCTGCATCCCAGTACCCAGTGCCAGTGTTTATTGAATGAGATGGCTGGGCACAGTGGTTCATGCCTGTAATTTCAGCCCTTTGAGAGGCCAACATGGGTGGATCGCTTGTGCCCAGGAGTTTGAGAACAGCCTGGACAACATGGCAAAACCTTGTCTTTACAGAAAATACAAAAATCAGCCAGGTGTTGTAGCATGCACCTGTAGTCCCAGCTACTCAGGAGGCTGAGGTGGGAGGATTGCTTGAGCCCAGAAACTCGAGGCTACAGTGAGCCGTGATTGCACCACTGCACTCCAGCCTGGGGAACAGAGCGAGAGACCCTGTCTCAAAAATAAATAAATAATAAATGAATGAATGAGATGAATGTTTTAACAGGTGGTTTCAGGAGAGTTGGGAGAAAATCAATTAACTAATTTTGGTCTCGGAAAATTTTGAAATTTATAGTTCAGACTTTTAAATAATGGTTTCTTTTTTTTTATTGTTGTTTGAGAATATGCAGAGCAATGGAATGTCTTATATTGGCTTTGGCAAAGTTCTTTTTGTCTGAATTATATATTTGTGATTTAACAGCAGTAACCTTGTTAATTAAGCACCCACTGTGTCTCAGGCCCTGTGATAAAAGCTTTGTAAGGTAGGTGGAGATGTCTGTTTTATGGATAAGGAAAGAGAAGTCCAGGGAGGCAGGTAACTCACCCCACACAACTTAAGGTTTGGGCAGGATTCTAACCCAGGCCTGTGTGGCCTCAGAGCCTGTGGTTTTCCCATTTGACTTTGTGGCTTCCGTTTGGGTAGGTTTTAAATAATTAAACATCACCATTATTTTCATGTCTAGTTTGTAAAGACTGTTTTCTTTGCTGCTTCCGTGGCCTCAATTGGAGAACTGTAAAGTGAAGTGACACATGGGAACAGTGGCCAGTGTGCATGCCTGTCCATATTTAATTGAGGGGAAGGATGGGGAGGTAGCAGAGTAGAGGGCCTGACTTGCTCTAGGTAACAGAACCAAGATCACACTCTGCCCTGTTCTGCTACATCCTAGTTGGGTGCCGATGGAACTTTCTCTCTGCCTCGTCAGTGAAGCACTGATAACAGCACCTGCCCTCACCATGGTGAGGGTCCAGGCGGTGGGATCTGTGGAAGCTGTCTGTAAACACCTCACGGCTCTCCCAGGTTCCTCTGCACTCTGTGTCTCTGTAAGCATAGCCCTCTGAGCCTGCTTCCTTTCCTTGATTCATTTCCTTTCCTTTCCTGAGTGCATCTCATGGGTCAGGCGCTGCCATGGAGGCCCTGAGAAAGCAGAGAGGAAGGAATGCCGTCCTCCACTATCTTCCCTAGTTTTGTCTGTCCCCTTTACGGGGCTCAGATCTCTTTCACTGCCCTAGTTTCTACTCTTTCAGCCTCAGGACTTTTTAAAAAACATAATTAGCCTTTGTTGGAGAAACACCCACGATATGAAAGGAAGCATGAAGGACAAGGAATCCCAAGCTCTGGCTCCCAAGGGTGTGAGCAGGCAGGTGGGTTAGCCTCTGCTATCAGTGACGGTGGCCTGTTTCCTGCCCAGGCAAAACTACCCGTTCGAGCCAGAGCCAGGGCCTCCAGTTTCCAGTCCAGGCACTTTTTTCACATACCAGGCTTCAACATGGGATTTTTAACTGAAAAATGTATAAGTTTGTATCCTCATTCTGGCTTGTTTTTTCTCTTGAGTGGAGACAGGCTGCCAGCAGACATAAAAGCTGTTTTTTATTCATTCATTCATTTATTTGTTTACTTATTTATTTTCCTTTTTTTTTGAGATAGGGTCTTACTCTCTTGCGCAGGCTGGAATATAGTGGTGCAGTCTTGGCTTACTGCAGCCTCAACCTTGCTGGCTCAAGTGATCCTCCCACTTCAGCCTTCTGAGTAGCTGGGACTATAGGTGTGCACCACCACACCCAGCTAATTTATTTTTATGTTTTATGTTGTAGAGATGGGGGTCACACTATGTTGTCCAGGCTGGTCTCAAATTCCTGGGCTTAAGCGATCCTCCCACCTGGGCCTCTCAAGGTGCAGGGCTTACAGGCATGAGCCACTATGCCTGGCCTGAAGTTTTGTTTCTTCCTATGATCATATGTTGAATTCCTGGAAAACTACTATGATAAACCCTAGGTGCTACAGAAATGAATAATGTATAATCCCTTCCCTCAGAGAGCACCTGGTCCTGTTCAGAAGACAACAGCTAAATGTGGGAAAACAGAATTGAGATGAGAGGGCTGGACAGAGCTGGGTTATTATTGAGGCAAACTTGCTGGTACACCAGTTGGGTGTACCAGCAAGTTTGCACTTTATCTTGGATGCCGAAGGGTTTAACAGAATAGAATGGATCATGTCAGCAGGGTAAGGATGGACTAGAGAGGGTGGAAAGGAAGGCTGTCATTTTCTGGGCTTGCCTCCCCATTTTTACTTCTTTGGGCATGTTGGAAATACCTTCATTTTACCATGTTTCTGTTAGATCACTGATTCCTGTTTCCAACTTAGTATCTGCCTAGTTCCTTAGATGGGTTAAGGGGAAATACATCTGAGATCATTTTTCTGAACACAGGAAAATGTTCATAATGACCATTAGGGTTGGGTGTTTCTGTTTTCCTTGATTTTTAATATCTTTCTTTAAAGATTTTTAAAGCTTGCCCTTTTGCAAAATCTGATAAAACCCTCCATTCTCTTATCTGGTAAATTGGAGAGGCTGTCCATCTGTTGTAAATTTAAACTTGATCAAACTTTATGGAATATGAAAAAACTTTTGTATTTAATATATTCATATTTAAATAAGCAAACAAACACAAAGCAACCTTTAGTGTCATCCAGGCTTGGGGTGACAATCCTGAATGACAATGTGGTGATTTAGGGCCTCACGCTGGTGGGTGCTCTGAGGGGAATAAGGAGAGGCCATCTTAAAGGGTGTCAGAGAGGGCGTCTTTGACATTAAGGCACACACTGGCATTAGAGGAGTAGGATTTGGGCCTGTGAAGTAGGCAGAGGCCACTCTTGGCACACATCACTTCTGATTGTGGAGTAACACACCAGGTTATCACACAGGGACTCCTTCCAGCGTTTGCACAAGGCTGTTGGGTGGAGAGATGGACACACTGCTTCCTTGCAGACAGATGTATGCCTGTGTTAACTCTGCATGACACAAACCGGGTGCCTTCCAGTGCATGTGGTGTCGTGGAAAGAATGTAGGCTTTGGTTGGGGTCCCAGCCTACACATGTAATCTTTGGGACCTTGGGCCAGTCCCTTTTTATGAGTCTCAGTGTCCTTATCTATAAAGCCAGGATAATGCTGACAGGATTTTCTGTGCTAACAGAGGAAATAGCCAATAAATAGTTCTCTTTCTTTGTTTTATTTTTATTTATTTATTTATTTATTTGAGACAGGGTCTCACTTTGTCAACTTGGCTGGAGTGCAATGGCACGATCTCAGTTCACTGCAACCTCCACATCCCGGGCTCAAACAATCCTCCAGCCTCACCCCTCCAAGTATCTGGGACTACAGGCATGCCTGGCTAATCTTCGTATTTAAGTAGAGACAGGGTTTCACCATGTTACCCAGGCTGGTCTTGAACTGCTGGACTCAAGTGATCCGCCAGCCTTGGCCTCCCAAAGTGCTGGGATTATAGGCATGAGCCACCATGTCCAGCCCTCTTTGTTGTAACCATTGGGTTAATACGAATATAGGCAATTCCCTTAGACATTGAGAACTTGATGTTTGCTGAGAGTGGCCATGGCAAAAAATGCAGGACTAATGGTGTGTAACTGCTTCAGCAGTTTCCTAGTACACTCTCCCCACCCACAAACAGTTGCTACAATAAACTGGTTTCAACCCTCTAAGAAGCAGACTGCAAAAATGCCCTTAGCCACCGAGCAAGGCTGAAGTCTGGCATCTGAGTTGCAGTACGCATTTACACCACATGTGTCCCACTCAGGGGCTCCACTTCCATGTGACCGAAGACATTGAAACAGGAGTAAGTTTGAGCTAATCTTAAAGAGACCTTCTCACTTAAGCAGATTGTATTGGAAATGGCCTTTAGTAGTTGGACAGGGTAAAACAATGGAAAAGCTAGAATTTTTTTTTTTTTTTTTTTTTTTTTGAGTCTCTCTCTGTCGCCAGGCTGGAGTGCAGTGGCACGATCTCGGCTCACTGCAACCTCTGCCTCACATGTTCAAGCGATTCTCCTGCCTCAGCCTCCCGAGTAGCTGGGATTACAGGCGTGCTAGAAATTTTGTTTGTTTAAAATGTAATGCACATCTGTGAAACCACCACTCAACCAAAGAATTAAAACATTACTAATAAATTACATCTACCTATTGCTCTTCTCCTCTCTAGTTCTCCTGATTCCCTTCCAGTACCAGCTATTCTACTGAAGTTTGTGCTGATCATCTTCTTGCTATTTTTTGTTCTCCCTCTCATACACACCCCCGCCATGTGTGTATGTATGTGTGTTGCGGGGCGTGAGGGGGATTGCATTTATCATTCACCGTTACATCACTGAGATTCATCCATTTTATTCTGCGTAGCTGTAGTTCACTCATATTTTCTCTTAGACAATATTCCATTTTGTGAATATACTGCAGATTTGTCCATTTACCCAAGGATAAGGATTTGGAGCCCTCTTTCTCTTTCTTTTTAGCTATTATGAACAGTTTTTTTTTTTTGGAAACTATTGTATTGATCTCTTATTATTCGTGAGTGAAATTGCAGGGTCATAGGAAGTGAGAATGATCATCTTTAAGTGAGAACACTAACTTGTTTTCCAAAATGGTCGTACAACCACTGGGGATCCTGTTGCTCCACACCTTCCCAATAGTTGTATTATCAATGTTTTTTATAATTTTTGCCAACGCAGTAGGTATAGAATCATGTCTCATCATAGTCATGATTTGCCTTTGTCTGTGGCCGAGCATCTCTGCATATGTCCACTGGCCTCACACACCTCCCTTCTGTGCGGTGACCGTGCTTCTCATGCCTTGTGCCCACTTTTCTGCAGTTGTTTCCTCACTAGTTTGTGGCTATTTTTATATATTCTAGTGCTAATCCTGTCAGTTGAATGTCTTACAGATATCTTCTTCCAGTTTATAGATTGTCTTTCTTCTCTTTAAAGTGTCTTCTGATGGACAAAGGCTTTAATATTAATGTAGCCAAACTTATTGATCTTTTCTTTTATGCCTGTCCTTTTTTCTATCTTTGTAAATTCTTCCCTACTTCAAGCTCAGAAAGATACTCACTTATATTTCCTTTTCAAATTCTCAGAGTTTGCTTTTGACATTTCAGCTCTTCATCCATCTGGAGTGAATTTTTCGGCATGGTGTGACTAAGAATCCAATTTCTTTTTTTTTCCCCCCCATGGATAAACAATTTTTCCAGCTTTTCCTTTTCCAGGCAGTTCTGTCAAAAATCAAAGTTTCACAGATATATACGTGTTTTTCTAGGCTCTTAGAATTCTGTACCATTGGTCAGTTTATCTCAGCACCATTACTCCACTGTCTCAATTCCTATAGCTTTACAATAAGCTTTTTTACCTAGTAAAGCAAGTCCCCCTTCCCATTCTTTTTTAGAAATGTCCCAGCTATTGTTGGCCCTTTTATTCTAATTTTAGAATTCATCTTTCAGGTTTCCCAGAATAACTGAGGTTTAATTGATGTATAATAAAGTGACCGTCTTTGGTGTACAGTTCTGTGCCTCAGCAAATGCATGCAGTAATGTAATCAGCACTGCAATCAGGATATAAAATAGTTCTGTCACCTTCAAAATGCCCTCCCCTTCTTTGTAGTCAACTTCCTCTCCCGTTCCAGCCCCAGCACCAGCCCCAGGCTCTCACAACCACTGTTGTTTTCTACCGAGATTTTTTTTTCTTACTTTTAATTTTTTTCAATATTTAATTAAAATGTTGGAGGCCAACTCTGGGCACACTGCCTATGAGTTAGCCCTGTTCCACAGAAGTTGTTTAAAAAATAAAATAAAATGTTGGAATATTTTTGCTGGAGTTGCAGTAAATCTATAAGTCAATTTAGGAAGGAATCTACATCTTATGTTGTCTTCCTCTTCATAAACATAATGCATCAACTTAGTTGGAAAGTCTTTGCTTGACAGTAGTGGAAAGTTCTTTAAAAAACAATAAAGTCTAAACATTTTAAGTAATTCCTTAATACAGGAAGCATTTTATAAGCTAATTGTCAACCTACATAAACAAAATGCATATAAATACACAGCAGGCATGTGGCAGTATTAACATTGTTAAAATGTATATATAAATGCCACATCCTGGTTTCAAGCCAGCTTTGTTGCTTACCTACAAGACCTCAGGCAAGCTGTTTAGTTTCTCCGATGCTCAGTCTCTTTATTTGTGTGGTGACTAGAACATCCGAAGATTAAATGCTATGCTGTGTGCAGTGTCAAGAGACAACCGCGTTGATGCTGCCTTCGGATCCTCCGGCGAAGACTTCCACCGGATGCCCCGGGTGGGCCGGTTGGGATCAGACTGGACCACCCCGGACCGTGCTGTTCTTGGGCACAGTGAAGCCGGAGTGTTTGAGACTCTTATGTGAGGGAACTGCTCCCACTCACCTCCAGGGAAACAGGGAGGACTCTTAGCACATTTGGTTCCCCAGTGGCTTTCACAAAGTGGCAAGACCGATAGATTGCCTTGAATCATTTCCCTGACAAATTTGGAAAAGGTTAGTTTTACCCAGCAGCCTGCTACATGCTGCTTCTGACAGGCGAGCTGGAATAGCTGGAGGACACAGTTGACAGCCAATTCATTTTGCTGATTCATCCATTAGAGGCGTGGCTTTGAGCCAGAGCTTGGCTTCTAGATTAAAGGCCGAGAGCTGCAAAGCTGCTGGGACTCAAGGAATGCTGGTAAATTATTGCCACGTGGAGGCCAGCAGTGAAAAGCGGACTGTTATTTATTTCCCCTTTTAAGTGATCCTAAATTCCAAATGTGCTCAGATAAATCCCCTCGCCATGGTTAGGGAGTTGTTTGTAACATTTGTCTATCAGCTGGGAGCTGAATTATTGAAAACTATCAGATATCATTAAATAGATTAACTCAGCTCGCCTGTGACCCTGTCATCACCTTTGCTTTCATGGGGAATATTGACCCAAGCCTCCTCTCCTACTTGGTAATCCAAATTAAACTTGAGAGAAGGATTTTTTTCGAGATAGGGTCTTGCTGTGTTGCCCAAGCTGGAGTGAGTACAATGGTGCAATCGTGGCTCACTGCAGACTTGACTTCCTGGGCTCAGTCAATCCTCTCACCTCAGCCTCCCTAATAACTGAGACTATAGTCTGAAGCCACCACATCTGGCTAATTTTTGTGGTTTTTTTTGTGTGTGTGTGGAGAATGGGGTTTTGCCCCATTGTCCAGGCTGGTCTCGAACCCCTGGGCTCAAGCAGTCCTCCTGCCTTGGCCTCCCAGAGTGCTGGGACTGTAGGCATGAGCGACCACACCTGGCAACAGAGGGATTATTGCAGATGTCATCCCTTTTGGGTGTGCTTGCAAATCAAAATAAACCTTTTAGATTAAAGAACGCAATAGCCAGGCCAGGCACGGTGGCTCACGCCCATAATCCCAGCACTTTGAGAGGCCGAGGCAGGCGAATCACTTGAGCTCAGGAGTTCGAGACCAGCCTGGCCAACACGGTGAAACCCTGTCTCTGTGAAAATTACAAAAATTAGCCAGGCGTCGTGGCGCACGCCTATAGTTTAAGCTATTCAGGAGGCTGAGGCACGAGAATCACTTGAACCCGGGAGGCGGAGGTTGCAATGAGCCTAGATGGCGCCACTATACTCCAGCGTAGGCGGCAGAGCAAGACTGTCTCAAATAAATAAATATATTAATAAAAATAAAGAACTTTCTTAAAAAAAAAAAAGAATTGAAATAGAAGAAAATCCAGGAGAATGCTCATTGGTTAACAATTGGTACAGAATAATGATGGTAGAACCAATGGGTTCTCATATGTCCACATTGATAGATGAACATATTTTAATCTGTCACAAGCTTAGGGAGTGACAAGCTTACAGCGAAATCACCACTACATAAATCTGGTATGTGACAGGGTGACCTTTAAGAGAGGGTGGAGATTGTGTCTTGATTTACCAAATACCTGACATAGTTCCTGGGACAAAAACACTCAGTAAGCAGTTACCACATGGAAGAATGGGTGGACAATGGTTATTGGATATGAATTGTTGGGAGGCTGGGTAAATGAGTGAAAAATAACAGAAATATGACACATTCAAAGTAAGAAAAATAACTGTTCCAAGGAATAAGATTTTCAGGAAAGGATCCTATTTCTGTGGCTCTCTGATATGAGTAACTTTACTCAATAGCACATCTCCAGAACTGCCTGCTTTCACCGCTTATCTCCTGAGTGAGGCAGAGTGTGCTGTTTTCAGCTCACATTTCAGTAACCCACTCCACTTCTTTGGGAGACATTGTATAATATGAACATTCTCTAGCACTTTCTTTTTAGAGACGGGGGTCTCACAGTGTTGCCCAGGTTGGTCTTCAACTACATAGGCTCAAGTTATCCTCCCGCCTTGGCCTCCCAAAGTGCTGGGATTACAAGTGTGAGCCACTGTGCCCTGCCTCCCTAATACTTTGAGGGTTTTTTTTTTCTTTTTCTCTTTAACTCTTGAGTGAATATTTTAAAAGTACACAAACTTCTTAGTAAAAATTTGTGTTTTCTGAAGAAGTAGAGTTTTTTCCTGTTTTGTTCTGTTTTTTAGATGACTAAATATTTAGGGCATGACATTCCGGAAACCTTTGTTGCACTAAGTTTTAGTGAAGTCTGGCCTAGTTGAAGATTAAAATGTGTCAGGTGCCGGATGTGGGACATCTGCCTCTCATACAGTTGTCTTTCCCTCTGTTTTAAGGTCCCTGGTAAACTGGAGTCCCTTGTCCAGTGCCGACGTGCCCACAGCCTGCATGCTCGTCACCAGCACTGCATTCTGCTCTGCATTCAGTCACATCATTTTTATTGAGAACTATTCCATATCCAGGGGTTTTCTAGGTGCAAGTAGACAGATTCTGTTTCTGACATCATGGCGCTTTGCAGCTACCAGGTACAAAGACTGCCCTGAACAGCGTGGCCAGGCTCTGATGGTCTCACTGCCAGTGTGGGTAATAGTTGTTGGCAGTGATAGTGGGCTAGGAACGCATATGCCTAAACTGGAAGCCAGAAGTAGCAAATGGGCACCAAGAGGCCACCATTGATCCTCACTCCCATGCCGCCATCGTGATCCATCCACAGCAGCCTCAGAAGAGGGGGCAGCATGGGATCAGAACACAACTGACCTGGCCTTAGTCTGAAGCATTAACACCAAGGGGGGATTAAGCCCCAGTGTTCAAGTACTGCTGCCAGCCAGAGGCGCATTACGGAGAATTAGCAGTCTTTAAGGCAGAAGGAGCAGAGGCATGTCCTAAGTATTGTGCAGCTGTCTTAAATTTGCAGAGTGCATAGGAGCTAAGTTATGAGGAAGCAAAGGCATAAGAATGATGTAATGGACTTTGGGACTCCAGGGGAAGGACAGGAGGGGGTGAGGGATAAAAGACTGCACACTGGGTGCAGTGTACACTGCTCAGCTGATGGATGCACCAAAACTCAGAAATCGTCACTGAAGAACTTTTCCATGCAACCAAACACCACCTGTTCCCCCAAAACTATTGAAATAAGATAAATACAAAAAAATGCATATGTAGTGTAATTCCAGTTATAGGTAGCTCAAGAGAAGGCAAAATTAAGCCCTGATGATAGCAGTGGTGACAGCAAAGTTTTCAAGTTGAGGAAGATAATGCCATAATTGTACTACACATCTGAGGCGCCTTCGTCCAGTGAAGGAGGGGTGGGAGTCTGTCTAAAAACAGGCATGAGGGTGAGGGGGATGTTCTTTATCTTAATTTGCGTGATGGATGACATGTGGGTGTACAAATTTGTTTAAAACTCATTGTAACAGAACAGGTAATAAAGCCTGATCATTTAAAAAAATTAATAAAATGAAAATAATAAAGCACCTCCAATAGATGCAGAGTAATAAGAAGGACCCTGGTATTAGGGTTTGAGGAACCTGGTTTTGCATCTTATCCCTGCCATTCACCCAGGGATGGTCTGCAGCAAAACCCTGACCTCTGTGATCCTGCTTTCTCACCAGTAAAAACATTTCCTCTCTTGCAAGCGTACTATGAAGATTAGATATAATGCATGTAAAACACTGCACACAGACATACCGGAGATCTTCAGTGTGTGACACAGTAATCGCCACCACTGGCAATATTGCTTTTTGTTGTCATTTTATTTTAGGAAAATAGTGAGGGTTTATAGTTTTCCCTTAGTGGTTTTGTTTATTTTCATTTTGTTACTCTGAAAATGAATAATATCCAAATAGTAATGTTGGCTGCAAATATTTTGAAAATTAATATTTTACTTATATCATTACCGGTTCTTTACAGTTTACAAAGTACTTTCACACTGAAAATGAGATTGGGGAGCAATGGCTTTTTTTTCCAGGTGAGAAAACTCAGACTTGGAGAGTTTGCAGGTGTACCCAAGGTCATTTGTCTTCCAGGTGGCAGAGCCAAGGGTCAGACCTCAGGCCTGATGGGGCTCCTTTGACCACCTTAGGCCACATTTCAAAAGTGTCATCTTTGGGGCTAGGCCAGACTTTTGTAAGCATTTTATTTTTTTTTCTTTTCCTTGTAGCTGTCAATACCAGCAAATATGCAGAAAGCTATCGGATCCAAACCTATGCTGAATATATGGGGAGAAAACAGGAAGAGAAGCAGATCAAAAGAAAGTGGACTGAAGATAGCTGGAAGGAGGCTGACAGCAAACGGTTAAACCCCCAGTGCATACCCTACACCCTGCAGAATCACTATTACCGCAACAATAGGTAAGAGCTCTCAGCTGTTAATTTAAAAGGCCAGAGTTCTAGCAATGGCTTTTCTTGTTGCTTCTCATAGGTTTGTAAGTACTAAATCTGACTTTTGGGAAAGATGGCCTTTCAACTTTTCACATCATATCAGAAGTGACTATGACCTGAATTTCCTGTATTTTAGAGACTGCTTTATAGACCATAGCCATTTTGGTTAACCCTCACAAAACCTCTTTGAGGTAGACAGGAATTTTTTTTTTTTTTGAGACAGGGTCTCATTCTGTTGCCCAGGCTGGAGTGCAGTGGCACAATCACAGCTTGCTGCAGCTTCGACCTCCTGGGCTCAAGTGATCCTCCAACCTCAACCTGAGTAGCTGGCACTACAGGTACGCACCACCACACCTGGCTAATTTTGATTTTTTGTAGAGATGAGGTCTCGCTCTATTGCCCATGCTGGTCTCAAATTCCTGGATGCAAGTGATGCTCTTGCCTTGGCCTCCCAAAGTGCTGGAATTACAGGTGTGAACCACTGTGCCTGGCCCAGGATATGTCTTACTCCCATTTTAGGGTTGAGGAGATGGAGGCTTTGTGTCTTGTTCACCAGTTCTGTGCAAGAACCAGGATTAGAAGTGAACTTGTGTGTGTCTGATCCCTTGCTCTTCTCAGTACTGCTGCCTCTGCCTGATCTCCTGAGCTTTCAGGTCCTGTAGATACTGAACCAGGTGCCTACTGTAGAAAGAATGCTTGACTCACACTTCCTTTTATCACCCATAATCCTCCCTGCAGAAGATAAATGCTGGCAACATTTGGTATCTTTGTGAAACTACAAAACACAGGTATAGAAAATGGGAAAAATGTGTACATACATATGTTCATTATAGAAAATTGTGAAGTTTAGAACAATGTGAATTAACAAGAGAAAAAAATTAGCCATAATCCCAACACCCAGAAGCAATCACTGTTAATATTTCAGATTGCCCTCTGTACTTTAAAAATGGTTTTTTAGAGATTAAAAAAATTGAGGTATGATTAAAATAAAATAAAATGCAGAGATCATAAATGTTTAGTTCAAAGAGTTTTAACAGTTGGATACACTCATATAATCTCCAACCAAAGCAAGATATAGAACATTTCTATTTCCCTTGAATTTCCTTGTGTCTGTTTTCAAACAATCCCAAATTCCCACTACAATTCCCATGACCCTAAGCAACCATTTTTAAATTTTTACCACTCTAAGATTAGTTTCACCTATTCTTGGAATTTATAAAAAATAGAGTTGTTTGGCATTGTGTTTAACTTTTTTGCTTAATATATTTTTAAAATTCATCCTTGCTATTGCATCTCAGCAGTTTTTTAATCGTTGAGTATTTAATTATGTAAATATGCAGCATTTATTTTACCCCCATTCTCTTGATGTTGGACATTTGAATTGTTTCTAGTTTGGAGCTATTATCAGTAAGGCTGCTGTGAATGTTTCAGTAAGATAATTTTTTTGTCTGCATATGTAGGAGTAGAATTATTGATTTTTAGGATAAGTTTGTGTTAAACTTTATAAGAACAAAGCAACAGCTCTTCAAAGTGGATATAGCATTTTATAGTACAAGTTTGATATGCCATTTTATTGTGTGAGTTTCAGTTGCTCCACATCCTTGTCAGCATTTCATGCCGTCAATCTTTTATGTTATTTATTTATTTATTTATTTATTTATTTATTTTTTGAGGCAGGTCTTGCTCTTTTTCCCAGGCTGGAGTGCAGTGGTGCGATCTTGGCTCACTGCAGCCTCTCTCCTGGGATTAAGTGATTCACGGGCCTCCGCTTCCCGAGAAGCTGCGACTACAGATGTGCACCACCACACCCGGTTAATTTTTGTATTTTTAGTAGAGACGATGTTTTGCCACTTTGGCCAGGCTGGTCTTGAACTCCTGACCTCAAGTGATCCGCCTGCCTCGGCCTCCCAAAGTGTTGGGATTACAGGCGTGAGCCACTGCACCTGACTGTCAATCTTTTAACTTTAGTCATCTTAGATGGAATGAGACAGTATTGCATTGTGGTTTTAATTTGCATTTCTCTCATGACTAATGATATTGACGACCATTTAATGTTCTTGTTGACCAATGAGGTGGCTTTTTAAGTCTCTTGCCCCTTTTAAAATTGGGTTGTTTGTCTTTTCGCTATTCACTTATAGTTCTTGTATGTAGTCTGGATACATAGCCTTTGTCAGATATTTTTGCTGCACGTGTATTTTTTCAATTCTGTGGTTTACCTATTCATTTCTTTGTGATGTTTGTAAATGAGCATATATTTTTGATTTGTTCTTCTTTTCTTTTGAGACAGAGTCTTGCTTTGTTGTCTAGGCTGGAGTACAGTGGTGCAATCTCAGCTCACTGCAACCTCTGCCTCTCAGGTTCAAGTGATTCTCGTGCCTCAACTTCCTGAGTAGATTACAGATGTGCGCCACCACGCCCGCGTAATTTTTGTTTTTTTAGTAGAGACAGGGTTTCGCCATGTTGCCCAGGCTGGCCTCGAACTCCTGGCCTCAAGTGATCCGGCAGCCTCGGCCTCCCAAAGTGCTTGGATTACAGATGTGAGCCACCAGACCCAGCCAAATACTTTTAATTTTCATAAAGTCTTGTTTATTAAGTTTTTTCCCGTTTATTGTTAGTGAATCCCCTCCTCCCCCAAAATCTTTGTCTACCCTAAGGTTGCAGTGATTGTCTCTTTTTTTTTTTTTTTTGGTAGAAGGTTTGTAATTTTAACTTTTACATTTAGGTCATGACCCATTTCAAATTAATTGTGTATGTGGAGTAAGATATGGAAATCAGGGTTTATTTTTTTCCATATGACTATCTGATTCTTCCAACAACATTTTAACAATTTGTTTAAAAGAGTTTTCTTCCTTCATTGGTTTGACTCACTACCTTTGTCAAGAATCAACTGATCGTGTATGTCTAGGTCTGTTTCTGCTCTCTTCACTTCCAGTCAGTTATGTTTTTCCTTATGCCAGTACCACACTATCTTATTACTGTTGGTTTATAGTGTCTTAAAACCAGAAAGCATATACCCTCTAACATTGTTCTTTTTCAGATTTCTTTGGCCATTCTAGATCTTTTGCATTCTATATAAATTTTAGAATAATCTTGCCAGTTTCTTCAGTAAGCCTATTTTTTAGTTTTTACTGTGGCGATCTTGTATATTTTATGTTAGTTTTCTTCCTAAGTTTTTTTTTTTTAATAGAGATGGGGGTCTCACTCTGTCATCCAGGGTAGAGTACAGTAGCATGATCACAGCTCACTGCAGCCTTGACCTCTTGGGCCCTAGGAGTCTCCTGCCTCAGCCACCCAAATAGCTGGGACTACAGCCACTTGCAATCACTCCCGGCTAATTTTTAAAAATTTTTTTGTAGAGACAAGGTTTTACTGTGTTGCCCAAGCTGGTCTCGAACTCCTGGGTTCAAGTCAACCTCCTACCTTGGCCTCCTAAAGTGTTAGTATTATAGGTATGAGCCACCAGGCCTGGCCTGGAATTGTTTCTTAAATGTCATTTTCAAACCGTTTGCTCCTTTTGTATAGAAATACAATTCATTGTTGCCGGGCATAGTGGCTCCCGCCTATAATCCCAGCACTTTAGGAGGCCAAGGCGGGCAGATGACCTGAGGTCAGGAGTTCAAGACCAGCCTGGCCAAACACTGTCTCTACTTAAAATATGAGAATTAGCTGGCCGTGGTGGCAGGTGCCTATAAGCCTACTCAGGAGGCTGAGGGCAGGAGAATCACTTGAACCCGGGAGGCGGAGGTTGCAGTGAGCCGAGATCACGCCATTGCACTTCAGCCTGGGGGACAAGAGCGAGACTTCATCTCAAAAAAAAGAAATATAATTCATTGTTATATATTGACTTCATATTTTGCAACCTTTTTAAATTCACTTATTTGTTCTGATAGGATTTTTTAAAATATTCCATAAGGTTTTCTATGTGCACAATTATGTTGTATGCTGTTAACAAGTTTTACATCTTTTCCAGTCTTTATGTCTTTTATTTATTTTTCTTGCCTTATTGCACTGACTAGCACCTTTAGCTAGTCAGTGGTTAAGTAGAAATAGAGAGAGTGGATATCCCTGCCTTGTTTCCAGTATTAGGGAGGAGAAGTTCAATGTTTCCCCATTAAGTAAGATTTTAGGTTGTTCATATACATTATTTTTCAGGTTTAGGAAGTTCCTTTCCATTTCTAGTACGTTAAGAAATCATTCAACATCACAAATGGATATTAAGTCTTTTCAGGTGCTCTTTCTGTGTCTTTAAAACTTGTCTTATGGGTTTTGTCTTTTATTTATTTATTTTTAATATTTCTGAGACAGGGTCTGTTGCCCAGGCTAGAGTGCTGTGGCATAATCATAGCTCACGGCAGCCTTGAACTCCTGGGCTCAAGGGATCATCCCACCTCAGCCTCCTGAGTAGCTGGGACTATAGGTGTGCACCACCACACTTGGCTAATTTTTTTATTTTTGTAGAGACAAGAGTCTCACTATGTTACTCAGGCTGGTCTTGAACCTTTGACCTCAAGAGATCCTCCCACCTCCCAAAGTGCTGGGATTACACGTGGGAGCTGTGCACCTGGCCATCCTTTATTTTGTTAATATTTTGATTTATACTAATTGATACTTGAATGTTTAATCAGATTTGTATGCCTAAAAGAAATCCCACTTGGCTATGAAGTATTATCCTTTTAATATGTTGTTGGATTTGGTTGCTGATATTGTGTTAAATATTTTTTGCATCTCTGTTCATGAGGAATATTAGACTGTAATTTTCTTCCCTTCCCTTCCCTTCCTTTCCCTTCTCTTCCCTTCCCTTCCCCCTTTTCCCTTTTCCCTTTTCCCTTTCCGACGGAGTCTCGCTGTGTTGCCAGGCTGGAGTGCAGTGGCGCAATCTCGGCTCACTGCAACCTCCAACTCCCTGGTTCAAGCAATTTTCCTGCCTCAGCCTCCCGAGTAGCTGGGATTACAGGCATGCACCACCATACCCAGCTAATTTTTTTTCGATTTTTAGTAGAGATGAGGTTTCACCATGTTGGCCAGGATGGTCTCGAACTCCTGACCTCGTGATCCACCCGCCTTGGCCTCCCAAAGTGCTGGGATTACAGCTGTGAGCCATCGCGCCCAGCCTGTAATTTTCAGTCTTTGTCGAGTTTTGGTATCAGGGTTATGTTTTTTTTTTTTTTGAGACGAACTCTCGCTCTGTTGCCAGGCTGGAGTGCAGTGGTGCAATCTTGGCTCACTGTAACCTCCAACTCCCTGGTTCAGGAGATTCTCCTGCCTCAGGCTCCCGAGTAGCTGGGATTATAGGCATGTGCCATCACACTCAGCTAAATTTTTGCATTTTTAGTAGAGACCAGGTTTCGCTCTGTTGGCCAGGCTGGTCTCGAACTCCTGACCTCAAATGATCCACCTGCCTTGACCTCCCAAAGTGCTGGGATTACAGGTATGAGCCACCACACCTTGCCTATTTTCTTATACTTAGCGTTTGCATCGTATATTTTTGTTCAGTCTTTTACTGGTAACTGGTTTGTCTTTACAATGAAAGTATGTTTCTTATAAATAGCATATAGCTGGCTCTTGCTTCTGGCAATCTCTGCCATTTATATTGAATTAATGTTGAGGACAGGTCTGCCTCCCATCTTGTGGTTTGTTTCCTGTTTGTCCTGTTTGTTCTGTGTCCCTCTGTTCCTCTTATTCTACTGCCTTTTGGTTGAATTATGTATTATTTAGTATTTGCTGATATTTTATCATCCTGTTTTATCTTCTCTATTGACTTTTTGCTTATACCTCTTTGTGTTGTTTTTTAAAGTCGTTGTTCCAGATTGGTGGTTGGTAAACTACAGCTCTCAAACCAAATCCGGCCCACGTGGCTCACATGTTTTTATGAAGTTCTGTTGGAACACAGCCTTGCCCATTCATTTATTTTTTAATTTTGTTTTATTTAAATAATTTTTTAATAGAGATGGGGTCTCGCTATGTTACCCAGGCTGGTCTTGAACTCTTTGCTTCAAGTGATCCTCCCACCTCCGCCTCTCAAAGTGCTGGGCTTACAGGCACGAGCCACTGTGCCCAGCCCCCCATTCATTTACATATTGCCTGTGGCTACTTTTGAGTTACCATGGCAAAGGTGGGTAGTTATGACAGAGACCTTATGGCCCCCAGAACTCAAAATGTTTACTCTGTGGCCCTTTAGAGAAAAGTTGACCCTTGCTCTGGAATTATACTGTCCAAGATGGTAGCCATTAACCACATGGCTATTGAGTGCTTGAAATGTTGCTAGTCCAAAATGAGATGGGTTGTGAATATAACTACACACCAGATTTTGAAGAATGTAAACTACATTAGTCATTGTTTACCTGCAGATTATATGTTGATAATATTTTTGATATATGAGGTTAAAAATATTAAATTAATTTGACTTCTTTTTCCTTTTTAAATGGTAGATATTTGAACATTTTTAATTATATATCTGGTTCACATTATATTTCTATTGGCCAAGCACTACTCTAAGATTATAATATGCATCTTTCAAGTATCAGTCTGTCTTTTATTTTTATTTTCTTTTTGTTTTTGACTGTCTTCAAGTAAAAAATGTACTACTTCATGAACATTGTGAGACTCTTAACAGTATATTTCCAATTACTCCCTTCCCCAATCCTTTGCGATCTTTTGTCTTATATTTTACTTCTACATATTGTGTAAACCCCATGGATACATTAGTGCTTTTATTCATTTTCTTTCTTTTTCTTTAAACTGTTATTAGTCTCTTAAATAAAATAAGGGATTAAAGTATGGGGGAAATGGCATAGATATAAATGTAAAAATTCAGGCATCCATAATTAGAAAGGTACGATTAAGATTTGGAGGGCGGCACTATGGTCGAGAGGAAGACAGGCACTGCTCTGTGACTCACTTCTATTTGCTTTAGAGAATTGACTCTGAGCCCTTGGCAGAGCTGGTCAGAGCAGTCGAGCTTCTACACGTGGCTATTAGCAGTGCTGCTAGAGATGAGCATCCATTTCTTTTGCTGTTTACACTGGTATTGTAGCAGTGTGCTTCTTTTCTTTCCTGTAATAGATTCAGTGTCCAGAATATTCAAGCATTTTATAGTTAACCGGAAAAAAGAGAGGGCTTGGGTTCTGGAGAAACTGGACTGAACATAGTTTGCTTTGAGAGGGAGGAAGATTTGGTTTGGTGGTGTGGGATCTGAAGAAATACAGGGTAGCATAGTGTTTGGAGAATACTCCTCTACAGTGGATGCTGAAACATGTAAGATCTCACTAATAGGTACTCAGTCCCCATAAGCCAACACCAACACTCGCAACTTTCCTGAAAGATAGGTGCTATTACTATTCCCATTTTATTAATACTGTAATGTTCTCTAATTAAAGGGAATGATTTTCTAAAGCCACTTTGTGCTGATAGAGATTTTAATCAGTCATGCCCTTTGGTTACTTGCTCTTTGGTTTATCTCAACTGATGGGAAAATCCCATTGGCCAGTCTCTTCCCTCTAGCCTTTCCTTTCTATGAGACTAAATTTCAGCCTTCCTTGAAAATTGAGTAGCTCTCCGAATTCCTGCTAGGTAGGAAATGCTAATGCATATATCAAAGCTGTGGTTTTTGGATTCCACATGGTTTTCACCTGCAGCTAGTGGTTTCTGAAAGTAACTGAATATATGTATTACATTAGAAGGTGAGGAAAAAGCCCTTTAGGAAGGAGAATTCTAATTCACCAGATCATATTCCAGGACCCATTGCCTTGTCAAAGTGCTTACACATTTATTCATAAATGGGCTTGTGGAGCAAGTGTTTTCTGTCTTCCTACTGAAAAATCCTTAGAGACAACAGAAGCCATAGGGCAGAGTGGACAGAGAACTGACTTATCAGGCAGCCAGAAGCCAAGGGTTCCAGCTTAGGCTCTGCCACCACCTAGCACCTCGGAAAAGACTCTTCATTCTCTCTTCCCTTCAGTAAATACCCATCAAGAGCCCAGCGTGTGCCTCTGTTTTCTCATCTTAAATGAGGCATTTTGGTGGAAAGAATGCTGACGTCCCTTCTGGCTCTTAAATTCCAAATGCTTTTATATTGTGCACAGTGTGTAGGGCATGACATGGAAATTGATAAAAACTCGTGAGACCCTTTGATTCTCTCAAATAGCAAATGGCAGTCTCTTCTAAACCTGAAGATTAGAGTTTTGAAAATCCTTATAGTGGAATTTTTAGTTTAGGAACATACAGTAAATCAGTGTCACAGGTGAACCTATGAAAGCTCTTTATGACGCTACAATAATAAAGACATGTCAAATAAAAAGATCATTGGCTGAGCACAGTGGCGCATGCCTGTAACCCCAGCACTTTGGGAGGTCAAGGCTGGAGGATTGCTTGAGTTCAGAAGCTCGAGACCAGCCTGGGCAACATGACAAGACCCCATCTCCAAAAAACAAACAAACAAACAAACAAAAATTAGCCAGGCATGGTGGCCCATGCCTATAGTCCCAGATACTCAGGAGGTTGAGGTGGTACAATGGCTTGAGCTCAGAAAGTCGAGGCTCCAGTGAGCCATGATCCCACCACTGCACTCCAGCCTGGGTGACAAAATGAGACTCAGAAAAGAAAAAAAAGAATCATTGGCCCTTTTAGTGGAGGCCGCCCTCTAAATTTCCACCTACCAGCTATATACTAGAAGTTTTTAGAAGGTCCTTCTCATGGTTTCAACAAAATGGTTGGAAACTACTAGCACTGTGGCAGAAGAATGTGTACTCAGCCCGTTTTGCCGTCTTTGTCTTGGCCCTGTGCTTAGACATTCATCACTTTGAGTGGGTGCCTCTCACCTTGAGACCCACAACTGTCCACTGCTATTTCAAAATGTGTGTCTACAGCGCAAGCAGTGGCCCCTTTGACCCTTATGGCAGCTGGCTGTCTCACGCAGTCCAGGAAGCTCTGTGTTGACTCTTCCTTGGTGCTTCTCTCTTGCCCTGGGCCTCTTGGGACACCTCCGTTCTGCTCTAACTGCCTCTTCTGTCCCTAGTCTTGCTTTTTCTGGGGAAATTTCCTGTTGTTTAGCTCTTGTTTGCTCTAGGTTCTATAGCTAAGGAGCAGAATTTACATCTCTATCTTTATCTTAACCAAATTATATTTTTACAATTTGCTTATCCCTTGGGATAGAGCCTTAGCTTTTGGAAAGGACTGTAGATTTACCTAGTCTAGCCGCCACAGCAAAATCTCTCTTATATTTGGGCAGAGTAAATGTTGGCAAATTCAATGTAGATCTTATAAGTTAAGTATATTTTAGCAGAGAAAATGTTTCCCATGACACCTTTGAAACCACTGAAATGATAAATGCACATAATTTTTAAAAATTCGTGTAGTACACTAGAGTGTAAAATGAAGGAGGAAAATCTTCATTCCTCACTCGCAGCTTCTCTTCCCAGTGGCAGCTCCTGTTATATTCTTTTGGTGGTTTCTGTTATTCCTTTAAATACCTCCATTTCTTGACTTACCAACTTTGAACAATGTATCCTGATTACTACTATAAAAGATTTGGAATTTAGTATGTATATTCTGCCTTCCGTCTCTTTCTGCCCTCTTCTCACTTTGATTAGTTATTATTTATAATATTTACTACTTTTTGTATCTATACTTTTGTGCCCTCTTTATAAGTTGATCCCAAGAGATGACAATCAGGATGCAGCGTGTATAATATTATGGTTGTATAAATGTTATCCTCTGTAGAGAAAAAAAGTTGCATAAATGGGACATTGAGAAGAAAGTGTATTCCTATGTCATTAAAACTTTGCTGCCCAGAAGAAACTTTCAGCCATCCCAGCGGTTTTTGTGTGGACTTTTTTGAGGGAAGTAATTTTCTTAAATGTTATATTGTTTTGCATGTATAATGTTGCTGGATGTAGAATTCTAGATCCCAAAACTGTTTTCTCTCAGAACTTTAAATACATTGCTCTTATTACTAGAATCATTGATTTGCTTTTGGCAGGTGCCATGTTTTTTGTGCCTTCATGTTCTAGCAGCAAATCGAGAGCTTTTCCTGCTAACCCGCCACCACCTTTCCCTCCTCTTTGCCAGTTTTGGCTAGGTCTAGTTGGCTTTTAAAGGGCTATGCTAATTTCAGACTGGAAAAGTGGTAGAGACCTTTAACACCTGTTCTAAATTATTTACTTTAATAAGTAAGGAAGAATTTCCACCACCCCCACTCATTCCTCCCTCTGAATTCAGCTACTTTGCACCTTACCAGCTGCACACTTGTAAGAAAGGATCAGCCTGTTCTCAAAAGAGTATTTTAAAATATTCAAGTAAATATTCAGCATAAAACTAGAGTCTCGTTAATGTAAAATGCAGAATTTTAAAGTGTGCAGTTACTAATAAAATAGAATGATTAACCAGGAAAATTGATTTTACCATGTAATGTACACAAAGACATAAAACTTGGTTTTTAATAAAGATGTGGTACACCTCTAACAGATGTCCCCTCTGGCATATCTGTCTGGTTGGGTATCCAGGAAAGACGAATGAATGTAGTTTGTCTCCTTCCTTTGACATCTCTTGGACCAGTAGGTCAGGACACGGTTGCTTTCTTTGAGAGGGGATAGTTCAACAAGATTCCTGAGAGTAGCATCACATAAAGAGATGTGGACAATTTGGATAAGCAAAATGTGGCATATGCTTACAGTGGAATATTAATCAGCCTTAAAAAGGAAGGAGATTCTAATACATGCTTCAATTTGCTTCAAGCAAATTGTAAAAATGTAATTTGGTTAAGATAAAGATATAGGTGTAAATTCTGCTCCTTAGCTATAAAAGCACCTTGAGGACATTATGCAAAATGAAATAAGCCCATCACAAAAAGACAAAACACCAGATGATTTCACTTATATGAGGTTCTTAGAGTAAGTCAGATTCATAGAGACAGAAAGTAGAGCGGTGATTGCCCCCACCTGAGGAGAGGTGGGAATGGGGAGTTGTTTAATGTGATTCAGTACTACAGGAGATTGGTTGCCCAGCAGTGTGAGTGGACTTAATGCTGCAGAACTGTACGTTTAAAATGGTTAAGACACTAAATTTTATGTGTACTTTACCGCAATTTAAAAAAATTTTAAAGGGATTCAGACAACTTGGAATACTATTTTAATAGTAGAATTTTACATGAAACCTTTCTTTTGATGGTTGAGAATGGAGAGAATGCTGATGTGAAACCTAGAATACTTAAAAAATGTAAATAGAGAATTATGAATTATTGATAATTCATGAGTGAATTATCATATAATATGAGTTATCACATTTGAGTTCATAATTTTCAGTTACTGCTTTTCTATTTTATGCTTTATTTATTAAAATGCCTTTTAGATCTGGCCTTTCTCGTCTCACCTGTTGTATGGGCTGTAACACATCTGGCAAATGGATGGATTGATTTTTAGATGAAGGTCTGCTTTAATCGAGTGAGAGTGTGAAGTGTCAACTCTACAGACTTTGACAAAAGCACAGCTGGGGAAGCAGAACAATTGTGTTTATTAAAAATTACCTGTATCAGCTGGGCATGGTAGCTCATACCTGTAATCCTAGCCCTTTGGGAGGATGAGATGGGAGGATTGCTTAAGGACAGCTTAAAGACCAGCCTGGGCAACATAGCAAGATCCCATCTCTAACAACAACAACAACAAAAATCAAAAAATTAGGCATGGTGGCTCATGCCTGTAAACCTAGCTACTCAGGAGGCTGAGGTGGGAGGATTGCTTGTGCTAAGGAGTTTGAGGCAGTGATGAGCCGTGATTATGCCATGGCAACAGAGCAAGACCCTGGGCAACAGAGCAAAGAAAATATCTATATGTATTTTTTAAAAATAATTCAAACTCAGCCAGGCCAGATGCCTCATGCCTATAATCCCAGCCCTTTGGAATGCTGAGATGGGCAGATCACTTGGGCTCAGGAGTTCAAGAGCAGCCTGGACAACATGGCGAAACCCTGTCTCTACAAAAATTACAAAAGTTAGCCGGGTGTGTTGGTGTGCCCCTGTAGTCCCAGCTGTGGCGGGAGGCTGAGGTGGGAGGATTACTTGAGCTGAGGAAGTCGAGGCTGCAGTGAGCTGAGATTGTACCACTGCACTCTGGCCGAGGGTGACTGAGTGAGACCCTGTCTCAAATAATAATAATAATAATAATAATAATAATAATAATCATCCAAACTCTAAGATTTCTATAGTTTTTTTAAATTTGTAATTATTTCATTAAAGTTTAGGAGATTTTAGCAATGACTTAGCTTTCTTTAAATTTGAAAACATAGAAAGGTTTCTCAGTGTCTCCAATAAAATTCAGTATTTCCATTTAAAGGCTCCTGTATGCAGAAATTTGGAACTCAGCACTGAAAGCCTGCTTTCACCTCACACATTAAAGCACTGTGTCATCTCAGGATTTTATTTTAAATAACATGAAGCTAAGTTTAACATCACCTTATACTTATATGACCTTTGTTGTGTTAGAACGCTTTCATGTTTCATAATAGCAGTAATATTTGAAAATTGTTTTCTTTCTATACCTTCATGTTATAACCATAATTAAAAGTCTCATTATCATCTATGTTTCTAACAATGTGTTATATTATTGAGTACTTATCTTCATGTAATAGTATAATTTTTTGTGATAGTATAAGGTGCTAATAATTGAAACAAATTGCCCTCAGCATACTTAGATGTTAGGAAAGTGAAATACTATTTTTTCCATGTCTGTTACCTAAATGCAAAACAGATTTTCTGTTTGAGTTGCCCATATCATGTGCATTTAGGATTAGTCCTGTATAATTTATAGTGGTGTTAGCGGAAATAAAGCATAAAATGTATAAATCCTGTATTTTAATTGCCAGATGTAGAAATCCTTAACATTTTCCTCGTAGTTCTTTTTTTTTTTTTTGACACTTTATGCTTTTTAAAAATTCTGCTAGTACATCATAAGCCAGCAGAAACTGCAGCATGTTTGTGTTTATTTAGGGGAGGTTGGTGGATGAATGAAAAATGACTGCTGTGGCCCAAAGCCAAGTTTGTCCTTGTACTGATAGGTGGTTCCATGTTTAAATACGATCTCCAGATCTGAGGGGCCTCCTTTTTGGCCATTCAAGAATCTCTGAAGCAAAGATTTTTCATTTCATTCAGCTTGCTGATAGTGCAGAAGCCAAAGGTTTGCAAAATGAGAATTTTCTAGAATCTCCCTTTTGTGCCTCTTTTTCCCAAATGCAAAAGGACTCAAATCTGTGATGGGTATATGGGTGTTTACTATAGTTTTGTTTGTTTTGATGGAGTTTTGCTTTTGTTGCCCAGGCTGGAGTGCAGTGGTGCGATCTTGGCTCGCTGCAACCTCTGCCTCCTGGTGCGATCTTGGCTCATGGCAACCTCCGCCTCCCGGGTTCAAGCGATTCTCCTGCCTCAGCCTCCCAAGTAGCTAGGATTATAGGCATGTGCCACCACACCTGGCTAATTTTGTATTTTTAGTAGAGACCGAGTTTCACCATGTTGGCCAGGCTGGTCTTGAATTCCTAACCTCAGATGACCCACCCACCTCGACCTCCCAAAGTGCTGGGATTACAGGTGTGAGCCACTGTACCAGACCCGTTTTTTTAGGTCGTTTTTTTATGTGTGTTTTTTTTATTTCTTTGTTTGTTTGTTTTAGTGTTTCAAATGTTTTATCTTTATTTTATTTTATCTATCTATCTATCTATCTATCTATCTATCTATCTATCTATCTATTTAGTAATGGGATCTTGCTGTGTTGCCCCAGCTGGTCTCCTATTCCTGGGCTCAAGCGATCCTCCCACCTCAGCCTCCCAAGCAGCTAGGATTGCAGTCACACATCACTGTGCCTGTACTGTATAGTTCTTTAAACTTTCTATATATTTGAAGTTTTCATAATAAAATGTTGGGGAGGAGTAGAACTGTGAAACTAGAAACTTGTGTACATTTCCAATAGAGTAGGGCAGTTGAGGTGGTTCTCAGTGATCCACAGGTTCCGAACAGAATAATTAGCTAATGCCCATGTGGCTGATGGCTTACCTGCCCATCAGCAAGGCTGCTGGAACACTTTCCTCCTTGCTGCCCAACACTGGGGACCATCCTATACAAGCTATTCTTGCTCCTTGTGCCTCCTTACTGCTCTTCCTTCTCTTTCCCTCCTCTTTTTCTGATGTTTTTCATTGGTCTTCTCTCTGAAGACCCACATCAGTGTCTTCTCTAAAAACATGGACCGACTGTCCACCTTTCCCACCATAGGAAAGGGAGGTGACAGAGAAGGCACTGGCATTTACAGAGTCTCTCATGTGCCAGGCACCATAACACACACTTTTCTATTTTGTTTTGTTTCTTAATCTTCACAGTAACCCATTTTTTAATTGAGGAACTTGCTCAGAGTCACAAAACCAATCAATAAATTCAAGCCCTCCTCTCTCTCTTCCCAAATCCCATTCATGCTCTTTACAAAATGCCTGCTCCCTCCTAAGATATCCATTTATGATCCTTCCCTTCGACTAGAAGTGCCTTGTGAGATGCCTTCTGTGCCACCCAGAGTCCTTGGGAATTCTTTGCCTTTGGGACTCTTGTAAGAAGTGAAAAGAAAAAGTCAGGGATTGTCACGTATTCTTCTTAGTGTTCCCGCACCTAGCAAGTAATACCTTGTGGCCACTTGGAAAAACGTTTAAATAAATGAATGAGCAGGAGATCCTGTACCACACTTGGAACATGTCTTCCCACTCACTGTCCTGCTCAGAAGGCCATGCAGACTGTTTTCTTTCTTTTAACAGTATAAAGTCGTGTTAGGAATGTTTTCAATTGCTTTGCTTACAGTAAGGCAGAGAGGAATGACATTCTTTTGATAATTGCACCATAATCTACCTTATTTGTATTGCCTTACCTTTTGTTCAGACTGAAAGAGCCACCTGAAGGTAGGAGTATGTACATGCCTTGGAATATTAGGTCTGAAGACTTTTCATGCCATTTTTTAAGGGAAAATAATTTAAAAGGTAATCAATATCATGCAATGCTGCAGAAATCAGTATTCACACCACTGTTTTCTGAGTATTACATTAGGTGTCATCTATTTGATAAAGAGAATTGGGGAATTCTTGTGAATGACCATGTGGTACATTGGTTCATCTTCGTAAATTAATGACTCCGAATTCTTGGCAGATTAGTTTCTAGTTTGCTATAATTGCAAATTAACCCCGGAAGAGTCTTCACAAACTAAATCAAGGGGCAAGAAGCATTGTGTTTCTTGATGTTACAGCTTTTGGTAGGTGATTCCTTGTTCTGAGGGGGGCTGAAATGACATTCTCCATGTGATGAGCAGCCTATCAGGTGGGCCCCCCATTTCTTCTCCTTCTGGTAATGCCATCATACCCTGTTCCTTCATCACATTAAATTGTTAGTGCTAATGATGCCTTCATTTGGAATTTGCCTAAAAATCTGACATGAATGTCCATTTAGGATTGCTAAGTTAATGACATAATGAAACTGTGAGAATTTAGAATAGACTTCTCCACATGGTTGATGGCTTCCTCTTATTTCTGGTCATTTGCCTGCAGGGGCATCAGGAAAAGCGGGGTGCACAAGCGGAGAGGAGAGAGGAGTAGGTGGATCCTTCCAGGCACCTACCTCTTTTTTTTGGTCACTGTTTGTGAAGGAGTAGTATACTTCCAAATTTGACCCTGCCCAGATGCCATTAGGGGATTTTCTTTTCTTCTCAAATTAGTGTTAGTGGGTTTATAGGAAAGCCGGAAGGAACCAAAAATGACAGTTTCCAAAGAGATGGAACATCTTCAGAAACATACAGGGTTAAGATATAAAGTTTGTTGTTTAGGTAACTGGCTTTGAATGTTTTCTTTTGTGTCATTTCTATCTGCAAATGTTAATGATTGTGGAATGTAGTAATACCACAGTAACTCAGATGGATGGAGGTGAGGATAGATGGGAGGACATTTTTGAAGAAATGTAATGTATTCTTTTAAGGAATGGGTGGGTGGTATCTGTAACTGTGTAAGCAAAAATGTTACCTGATAAACATGGACTTGTGGAGCCAGAAGGAACTTGGAAGTGATCTGGTCCATCCTCTGTCACGTTACAAATTTACAAAAGAGGACTGGAGGCTCAGAGAAGCTGTCATATTCAAGGTCATAAAGCCAAATCGTAACAGAGCTGAGTTCTGTATACCCTTTAAAGACAAGTCATGACTTAACATCGCAGTAGTGATTTTTCACATATTGAGTGAATCTTTGTGAAGCCCTTGACATTTAAAAAAAAATATTTTCAATGAAAGCTATGAACATTGTCTTTAAAAGCCAAATAGTACAAAAAAAGTTTATAATAAAAAATGGCAGTCCTCTGCTACCCTCATCCTGTCCCTCAGAGACAACCACTTTCAATTCTTTCTTTTGATATTTATTTTCTCAAATAATGTACTTACTGCTACTTCTTCATTTTTTTTAACTTTTATTTTAGGTTCTGGAGTACATGTGCAGATTTGTTATATAGGTAAATTTGTATCACAGAAGTTTGTTGTACAGATTATTTCGTCACCCAGGTACTAAGCCTGGTACGCAATAGTTACTTTTTTCTGATCCTCCTCCCACCCTCCACCCTTAAGTAGGCCCTAGTGCCTGTCATTCTCCGCTTTGTGTCCATTTTGGAGGAACAAAGTGCCTACTTATAAGTGAGAACATGCAGTATTTGATTTTCTGTTTCTGTGTGAGTTTGCTAAGGATAATGGCCTTTAGCTCCATCCATACTTCTTGATTTTTCTGTTTATCTTTTGACTTACAAATAGGATAGGTAAGGATTCAGCTCTGTTGCTCTCACCCACTCCAGGTTGCTTCCTTTCCCCACCCTCAGCCTTCCTCCAACTTTGTTCTCTTTGGTCTTCTTTTTCATAATTGTTTTGGCTATTCTAGATCCTTTGTATTTCCCTATGAACTTCAGTATCAGCTTATAAATTTACATAAAAGCATCTGGTAAAATTTTGGTTGGGATTGAATTAGGATATATAATATTTTCTTTTAACCTATCATAGTCTTCCTTCAAGTTATACCAATTCACATATAGCATAAGAATCTTACAGTAATATACTTAAATTTCCCAGCTCCCAACCTTTGTGCTATTAGTGTTAATAACATTTATATGTTATTAACAGCATGCAACATTGTTATATTTCTTATTTAGTCGGTGATTTTCTAAAAGAATTAAGTAATAAGAAATCTTACGCTGGGTGCATTGGCTCACGCCTGTAATCCCAGCACTTTGGGAGACCACATTGGGAGGATCACTTGAGCCCAGAGTTCGAGACCAGCCTGGGCAATGTGGAAAGACTCTGTCTCTACAAAAAGCCAAAAAATTAGCCGAGCTTGGTGGCACCCGAGCTTAGTGTCACATGCCTGTAGTCCCAGCTACTCGGGAAGCTGAGGCAGGAGGATCCCTTGAGCCCAGGAGGTTGAAGCTGCAGTGAGCTGTGTTCACACCACTGCACTCCAGCCTACGTAACAGAGAGCAAGATCCTATCTCATTTAAAAAAAAGAAAAGGAAAAGAAATCTTATCTATTTACCCATGTAAGTATTTCCTCATTCCTTTGTGTAGTTCTATACATATTTCCATCTGTTATCATTTCCCTTTTGCCTGAAGGAGTCAACCATGTCTTATGGCAAAGACCTGCTGGTGATGAACTCTTTCAGCTTTTTTGTTTGTTTCATTTCTTTAGAGATGAGGTATCACTATGTTGCCCAGACTGGTCTCCAATTCCTGGGCTCAAGTGGTCCTGCCTCAGCCTCCCAAGTTCTTTTGTATGTATAAAAATGTCTTTATTTCACCTTTTTTTTTTTACTTTTATTTTTCCAAACAGAATCTTCCTCTGTTGCCCAGGCTGGAGTGCAGTGGCGCAACCTCAGCTCACTGCAACCTCTGCCTCCTGGGTTCAAGCAATTCCCTTGCCTCAGCCTCTCAGTAGCTGGGATTACAGGTGTGCGCCACCACGCCTGGCTAATTTTTGTATATTTTAGTAGAGATGGGGTTTTGCCATGTTGGCCAGTCTGGTCTTGAACTCCTTACCTCAGGTGATCTGCCTGCTTCAGCCTCCCAAAATGCTGGGATTACAGGCGTGAGCCACCACACCTGGCCTCACCTTCATTTTTGAAAGATATTTTTGCTGGGTATAGAATTCTAAATGGACAGAGTTTTTTTCTTTCATTCATTTTAAGATACTGCTCCACTTTCTTCTCACTTGCATTATTTCTCGACAGAAATCTGTTGTCATCCCCATATTTTTTCTCTGTATGTAATACAACTTTCTCTGTGGCTACTTTTTACAAGTTCTTCTTTATCATGAGTTTTGAGTAATTTGGTTATGATGTGCCCTGGTAATGTTTTCTTCAAGTTTCTAATCAGCTTGGGATTTACTGAGCTTCTTGGATTTCTGGATTTATAGCTTTCATCAAGTTTGGACATGTTGGGCTGGGTGCAGTGGCTCATGCCTGTAATCCTAGCACTTTGGGAGGCCGGGGCAGGTGGATCTCTTGAACCTAAGAGTTCACGACCTGCCTGGGCAATATGGCAAAACCCTGTCTCTTCAAAAAAATACACACACAAAAAAATTAGCTGGACGTGGTGGCACATGCCAGTAGTCCCAGTTACTAGGGTGGCTGAAGTGGGAGGATCACTTGAGCCTAGGGAGGTCAAGGCTGCAGTGAGCTGTGATTGTGTCACAGCACTCCAGCCTGGGTGACAGAGTGAGACCTTGTCGTCCCCCCCCCCCCAAAAAAAAAAGTTTGGACTTTTTTCAACCATTATTTTGAAAGATTTTTTTTCTTTTTCCCGCTCTCATTTTGTCTTTTAGGGACTCCAATTACTCATGTATATTGAGGTGCTTGAAGTTGTCCTCTAGGTCACAGATGCTCTCTTTAATTTTTAAAATTCTTTTTCTCTGTGTTTTATTTTGGATAGTTACTATTGCTGGGTCTTTATCTCAGACATTGTAATTTTCATTTCTAGAAGTTCTGTTTGGTTTGTAGCTTATCATTTTCAACATATGGAGTGCAGTTATAAATACCCTTCAGTGTCCTACTCTGTTAATTCTAACATGTGTATCAGTTCCACATCACTTTCAGTTCATTGATTACTGTTATTGTGGGTTGTGTTTTTCTGCCTTTTTGCATACCTGATAGTCTTTGTTATTTTACTTTTTTCTTTTTTAAGCTATCTCCTACAGGAAGGAAACCTGGTAGTCTTTATATTATAAATTTTACCATATATTATAAATTTTACCTTGTGGTGTACTAGATATTTTTGTATTCCTATAAATGTTCTTGAGCTTTGTTTCCAGTATGTCGTTGAGATATTTGGAATCAGTTTGATTTTTTCAGGTCTTACTTTTGTAGTTTGCTGGGTCTGGAGCAGTGTTCATTGCCTAAGACCTTCCAAACTAGTCTCCCCAGTGCTGTGATGTATGTGTTTTCCCAAGTTAGCTGGTGGGAACAGGCGTTGTTCTCAGCCCTGTGTGAGCACCATATATTGTTCCCTTGAATCCTTTTGGATGGTTCTTTCCCCAGCCCTGGGGAATTGCTCACCCATTATGTGCTGATCAGTCCTCTGCTGAATCATCGAGGAATTCCTGTGCAGATACCCAGGGTTCTCTAACCAGTAAACTGGGGCAGTCACTGGGTTCACCTCGTTAGTTTCCTGTCTCTCAGGGATCACTGTGCTTCCTTGCCCAATGTCCAGTGCCTTCAGAACCATTGTTTCATGTATTTTGTCTGATTCTTTTGGTTGTTTTGGCTGGGTAGGTAAATCAGTCTATGTTATTCCATCTTGGCTGGAATGGAAGTTGCTCCAGTGTCTTTTGTGTCTTTGCATTCAAACATGCTATCCAGAAATCTAATGTCAGTTTTATTCAAGATCCTTTTTATAGAGCCTCTTTTTTCTTTTCTTCTTCTTCTTCTTCTTCTCTCTCTGTCTCTCAATCTGGGCCTTTCTGGAATTTTCGAGAATATTCTTTTTTCTCTCCCAGTGTTTTGAAATTCCACAGTAATGGGCCTTGGAAGTGTTATGCTGGGTACTCCCTGTGGGCTGTTACAGACTGAAGACTTGTGATTTGTGACTTGTGTCTTTTATTTTGTGGGAAATATATTGTTTTATTTCCTTGACAGTTTTTTTCTTTCATTTCTCTCTTCTTTCTTTCTGGAACTCCCGTGGTTAAATGTCGGTTTCCTGGATTTATCCTCTAATGTTTTTGTCTTTGTTTGTTCCCTTCTATTGTCTTTCATCTATTTGTTCATTTCTTGGACATTTCTCTGACTTTCCCCCTTCAATACTTTCATTGGATTTTTTTTTCTTTCAACTCCTATTTTAATTTCTAAGAATTCTTGTCTTCACAATATTCCTTTGAAAGAATGCATACAGCTCTTCCTTGTTGGATGTAGAATTATCTTTTATGTCTATAAGGACATTAATTTTTCAAGTAATTCTCTGTGCATGGTTCTGATATGCATGGATTTCAGTCACCAGGTTAGTTAAATAACACCAGTCCCCCAATAATATGATTCCAATTTCAGTGACTACGATGTGTTAACTGTGAGTAATTGAATAAAGTATAAACTTCACTACTAGCTCTTCAGTCCACTCATCCCTGTGTAGAAAACAGATGCACATCCTAATCTGTCACCAATCAGGTCACTTCTTTCAGAGTCTGTGTGTCTGCACATTCATTATTCTATTCACTCAGACAGCAAAACATGTCATTATGTTGTCTCCTTGTTTCTCAGTGATAAACCCAGGCAACATTCTTTTCAAATGGATAATCAAAAGAGAGAATTGATCAACCAAGATGAAAGTGTCATAAGGAACCAATAAGTGATAATGTTGGAAGTGAAATTCAAATCAAAACAAGTAGAATTATAAAGAAGAATTAGCTGACCACGGGAATGTTGACACTGCTGCCATTTGAGTTACTGTAAATCTGCAGCCAGAGGAACTTAACGAAGGCAACTTATCAGCATAAATGAGGAAAGTGGTTGTGACAAAAAGGATGAAGATGTCCCAGAAGAAGTAACGCCAGCACAAACTTTCACATTAAAGGAGCTCTCAGAGATATTTCACTACATTGAAAGCGCAAAGGATAACCCACTGGAAGCTGATTCACACTTACAAAGGAGTACAACAGTTCACCCAGGCATAGAAGAAACACTCACTGCATATCATAAGTTACATGGCAAGAAGAAGGCACACACTGTTTAAACTACCCTGAATAAGTTTTTTTGTTTTTAACAAAAGCTCATACTTTATTCACATTTCCTCGGTTTTTACCTAATGTCCTTTTTCTGTTTCAGTTTCAGGATCTCATCTAGGATACCATATTATATTTGGCCATCATATCTCCATAGGCTTCTTTAGACCACGATGGTTTCTCTGACTCTCCTTGTTTTTGATTACCTTGACAGTTTCAGGATGAAATTGGCCAGCTAATCTATGGAATGTCCTCCAACTTGAGTTTGTCTGATATTTTTCTAGTGGTTAGACTAAGGTTATGGGTTTTGGATGGAAGACCCGTGATGAAGTGCCATCCTCATCACTTCATATCAAGGGAACATGCTGTCAATGTGATTTCTCACTTGGGATGTTAACCTTCATCACCTGGGTTGAGGTGGTGTTTGCCAGATCTCTCCACATGAAGTTACTGTTCTCTCTCTTTCCACACTCTGCTGTTTGAAAGGAAGTCACTGTACACAGCCCAAGTCTAAGTGGTGGGGAGTTATGTTCCACCTCCTTGGGGGAGGAGTGTCTGTAATTATTCTGAACAAGAGATTTGTCTCTTATTTGTTATTTAGTCATTGATCTATATCATTATATAGACATAAGTTTTATACAAAGAAATAAAACACTTTAATTCTCAGTGGTTTCTGATGCTTTAAATTGCAGTGTACTAAATGTTGTGGCTTTACCTTTTGTATGTTTGTTTGTTTCTCTATTTTTAACCCAGAGTCAGAGACTTAATAATGTTTTGACGAAAGTTTCTAAAGGTCACAGAAAAATCCATTTTTCTTTGATTTCAAGGTGAGTGTAGAACACCTTTAGAGTGCAAAGGACAACCCTTTGGAAGATGATTCAAACTTACAAAGGAGTACGAGTGTAGAATACTCACCCTTCCGTTGTCCAGATGTTTTTATGATCCTGTACTACGTGCAAAGCAAGGACTGGCTGTAGTTTGTAAAGTTTCCTTCAGCTCCCTACTCTGTGCTTGTTTCCTCAGAGTTCCTTTATTTCTGTCTGTATATTGGTCTGTTTTGGTTTTTGTCTGTCATGTTGGAAGCTTTCTTTAAATATTTGGCTGTTCTTGGCCATCCATTATTTTTTAAGAATGAACTAAAAATTGATAAGAAGCTCTGGGTGTGGAGGCAAATCTTATTGATGGTCTTTCTGTGTAGGATGTTGAGGTGAAAAATTGGCTTTATAATTAATATGTCTTTTCTCTGAGGCTGATTCAGTTCCTTTATGGCTTACGCTTCTTATATCTACATGAGAACTCTGCCTAGATAAGGTCACAGAGATTTTCTCATGTTTTTTAGCAGTTTTTAATTATTCTCAGTTTTATATTAGATATATGATCTATTTCAAGTTAATTTTTATATACGGTTATGAGGCATGGGTATGAGTTTATTTTTTGCATATAGATATGCAATTATTCCAGCACTATTTTATGAAAAGTAAATTACTGAATTACAACTCCTTAGTCAAAAATCATTTGGTCATATACGTATGGGTCTATTTCTGGACACTATTCTATTCCATTGATCTATATGTCTGTTCTTTCACCAATACCATACTGTCTTGATTACTGTAGCTTTGTAGTGAGCCTTGAAATCAAATATTGTACCTTTAATCTTGTCTTTTCTATATAAAAGTTTATTCTATTCACTTTTCCACAAAAGTTTTAGTCAGTTTGTCAGTTTCTACAAAAAGTCTGCTAGCTCTTTGATTGGAATTGTGTTGAACCTGTAAACCATTTTGAGGAGAATTAACATCTTAACTACATTGAGTCTTCCAACCCATGAATGTAGTGTATCTTTTCACTTACTTGGGCTTTCTTTGATTTCTCTCATCAGTGTATTATAGTTTTCAGCATGCAAATTTTGCATATGCTATACTGGAGTTGTCCCTTAGTATTTTACCTTTTGATCTATTGTAAGTCATATATTTTTAAAGTTCCACTTCCAGTCATTTATTGCTAATATAAAGAAATATAATAGCTTTTTAATTTTGACCTTGTATTCTTAAACCAACCTTACTTACTCACTTATCAGTTCTAATAATTTATTGTAGAGTATTGGATATTTTTCGTTTGAGAAATTCTATCTACAAATAAAGACATTTGCATTTATCTCCCCAGTACAAATTTTCCCATACACATTTTCTTTCTCTTGCCTTTATTTCTCTGGCTAGGACCTCTAGTACATTGTTGAATAGAAGTTGTGAGAGCTGACATCTTTATCTTATTCCTGATCTTAGGAGGAAAGCTTTCAATCTTTCAACGTTAAATATGAATTAGCTGTAAGGTTTCAGTTTTTTTTAGAGATTGATGCTCTGATTTTCAGCTTGGGGGATACAAACCTAACTGCTGTGCTCTGGGTACAGATTGGCAGAAGGGAGCTGGACAGCCTCACTCCTCGGTATGTGGGGGATGGCTACCCCATTTCGTCAGCTCATTTCGCCTCACTGTCACTCTTCACCATTGTACCTGGTGCCGCTGAGCCTGCGGAGATCGCTTTCTCCAGAGTATAAACCTCCTATCTAGCTCCTACTGGCCTGGGGTGATACCAGTGCCCTGGCTTCCCTGGGGTAGGGGATCCTATTACAGCCTTGCTCCCTCCTGACATGGCTCCAGTCCTCATCACCTGCTCGTTTTAGGAATCTAGGGCCTGGTTGTGCTGAGATTTTGCATGGCTTAATTGGGTGAATCTGCCTTTTGTAGAGCACTCAGATTTCTGTTTCTGCCTCTATGCAGAGCTCTTTGCCACTCTTCTCCCTGCTTTTCCTCTACAAAGAGAGTGCCTGCAAGGTGAGCTGATACCCCATTCTCTGATGCTGCCTCTCCTGTTCTCTTTTCCTCCATAGGTGTTATCTTCTCTCTGCAGATAAATAGTGTGTTCAATCGCTCATGTTTAACTTCCTGGAAATTTTTAAAAAGTAGTTTATTTTCTGAAATAGTTGGCCTTTTGGTTTGCAGGGATGATGTTTTGTTTTTCTTATAGCCTTGATTATGTTACTAATTTGATTAGTAAGTCCTTTGATTGAAGTCAAAAGGTAAATTTTAGTACAAAAGTAAATTTGATCCTAGCCTCTGAAAATTTCAGATGTTCTAAATTCAGGTCCAACTAATTGTATATTGATAATATATTTTACATTTAGAAATTATTATTAATGTAGTATCTTTCATGTTTGCATCAATCTTTTCTGTGTTAAAGTGAGTTGACAATAGGGGATTGTTTGAAATATTCAAAATAGTTTCTTGTGAAAAGTATTTCTTATTGAATGCTATTGATTCTTTGTAATGTTGAACTAATTTTTTTCTTAAGCCTCGTATTCACAAGTAAGCTTTATGTCTAGGATGGAGCAGATACACAATGCATTCATGTTTTCTCTGTCTCTCTCTCTCACACACACACACACACCCACACACACACCCCCACACACACACCCCTATTCCACAAGAGATGTCCTTATTACCAGACAGCTACCATTCAGACCTTATTTAATGTTAAGTTTGTTTACAGACTCTTTTTTTTTTTTTTTTTTTTTTTTTTTTGAGACAGAGTCTCACTGTGTCCCCCAGGCTGGAGTACAATGGTGCGATATTGGCTCACTGCAACCTCCGCCTCCCAGGTTCGAGCAGTTCTCCTGCCTCAGCCTTCCGAGTAGCTGGGATTACAGGCATACACCATGATGCCCGGCTGTTTTTTGTATGTTTAGTAGAGACGAGGTTTCACCATGTTGGCCAGGCTGGTCTCGAACTCCACCTCAAGTGATCTGCCCACCTCGGCCTCCCAAAGTGCAGGGATTACAGGTGTGAGCCACTGCGCCTGGCCCCAAGACTCAAATTCTTTATTAGAAATAAGAATCCTGGTTTATCAGTGATCTCCGAGGGTTTGGCTTCTGAACTGAGCATAGGTTGTCCAACATCCTCCCCTCTCCCACCTAAATTGAGCCCCAAACACAGAAACAGTCATGCTCATGGAATTCGAATTCACCATGAAAGTTTGTGAACACAATAAAAAGGCATTTCTAGCTCCCACTTACCGGATCTCTCCAGTTCATTTTGCTGTGTGAGGTAGTTTGCACAGTGGGACCTTCCCTCAATCCCTTAGCTACATCTAGTAGGGAATGTGCTTTCATTCAGCCTAGCAGGAGAAGCTGCCCATACACTGGAATGTAAACTATGTTCATATTATTTCTAATTCAGGATAAAATAAGCAATTTGTTGTTTGTCACTTGCATTATTGCTTTTAGGGAGGTAGCTTTCACTTATTTCATTTATTTTATCCATTCAGCAAACCTTGGCCAAGGACTTACTCTATGCCAGGCCCTGTGCCAGGTACGGAGAGCACAAGCAGTGTAAGAGCCTGCTCTCATGGAACGTACATTCTAGTGACAGAGAGAGAGAATAGATAAGTAAGGACATAAATAAGAGGCAAGGCAGAGGCGAGTAGGAGGAGGAAAATAAAACAGGGCAGAGGAATGAATGTGACAAGGTAAGTGGCTGTTTCGGCTCCTCCGTGGGGATGGTGCGGGGGTCTCTTTTCTGTTGAGACCGGCACAGTGAGGAGAGCTGGCCCTAGGAAGATGGGAGTTTATAAAGCAGTGCCAAGAACATTGAACTTGGAGTGCAATCTCAGAGCCACCTGCCCAGCTGCAGTACCTGGGGGAGGTCATTTACCCTGAAGATGAGGTTTCTTGTCTGCAAAATGGGAGTGTACATGTGTCCAGCTTAAAAGGGTCATATACAGTTACCAAATATGAGAATGTTGCAAACAGCAGCTCTTTAAAATGAAAGGGTACTGTTATTTTATACAGCGCATGAACGTTCCAGCCAACTAAAGGACTTGCTCTACCTGTCTTTAAGACTTACTGTAGGCCAGGCATGATGGTTCACGCCTATAATACCGGCACTTTGGGGGACCAAGGAGGGAGGATCAGTTGAGCCCAGAAGTTCAAAACCAGCCTGAGGCAACATAGCAAGACACCCCCATCCTTACAAAAAAATTAAAAATTAGTCAGGTGTGGTAGTGCATGCCTGTAGTCCCAGCTACTCAGGAGGTAGAGGTAGGAGGATCGCTTGAACCTGGGAGGTTGAGGCTGCGGTGAGCTGTGATTGCACCACTGCTCTCTAGCCCAGGTGAGAGAGCCAGACCCCATCAGTTTAAAAAAAAAAAAAAGAAAACTTACTGTAAAACTGTAGTAGTACAGTGTGGGGCTGGGTAAGGAAAGACAGATAGTGAAACAAAATAGAATAGAGAGTCCAAGAATACAACCACATATGTGTGATCAGTTGATTTCCCATAGTTTTTCCATGCAGGAATTCCTTCTTGGCATTTAGAGACATTTGTCTCTTATTCCAAATTGTGAGAAAAATGAGTCAAGAAATCAGGAAAAGGAAATATTCTGCGAGAACTAAAATTTTAACAGCCAACATGGGCATTACTAGTTTAAAGGAATTATCCAGCATCAGGTCAAAGGCAAGAGCACAGTCAGCGACACATGGAGTCAGAGATTAAGGTCGTCATTTCAGAACCAGGACAGCAACATGTAGGAGAGAAGGGGTCACATTCCAATCACGTCATTCTTGCTTGTCACTGTCACCATATTGCAAGTGTATGTTTATGGCCCTGCCTGCTATTAATAGTGAGTCATTCTTCTCAATAAAAATCTATTGAGTTTTGCACATGAGTATACTTTACAAAATCCTCCAAGTCTTGTTGGAAGATGTAAGTTTTGGCAGCAGCCCTTAAGTTGGTAGCTTTGAAGCGTGATTCCTGTGTAGTGCTGTTAACCTTGCTAGGATAGCCAAATGTTACATTATCTTCATAGAATCCAATAATGTTCACTGGTGTTTTCCAGTGTTTGAATATTTAATGTAGGCTACGGTTCTTTGTAAATACTTTTACAGGAGAAATGTAAAGAGAAGATGTGTGAATATGATTGTGGAATACTCTTAATGTGAAATCAGCTGATATAAAATTTGAATTAGGAAAAGCAGTATCAATTTTAAGAGCAAAATCAAGGCAAGCAGACAAAATATTTTCAACACTAGGAAAGGAATTGGGCTTATATGAAGCCGTATATAGTCTAAATCCTAACTGCAGTTGGCTTTGGACACCACTCTGAAGAGTTTGACCAACTCTTGACCAATGTTCAGCATAAAATGAAAGAAGCTTTTCTACATTTGGAATATTTTTCACAAAACAAATATTAGTTAATACTTGTGTGTTTTAAAGTATCATTTAAGAATAACTTTTAAATATTTGTGGCATCTTTCAATTTTTAAATGATATTTGGCATTCATTTGGTGCTACTGTGTTTTTAATGTTTTCTGTTAACAAACGTCTATATCAGGTAGAGGTTATTTTTATGTGTTATTGAAATACGTGCTTTTCTCACAGTGTATTCATTCATAATAATAACCTGTGCATATATTATTATATCTTACTTTATAGAACTGACCCCTGAAGCTTTCAGTATAAGTGTATCACATAAAAGTGATTTGCTATTTATAACTCATTATTCAACAACATGTAACACAATGCTATGAAAAATGCAGAATATTTTATGATTTGGGAATTCTGAATTTCTCATTTCTGAATCTTGAAGCTAATGACTGTTGAGAATTTGGAAAAAACAAAAATTCCTGACACAGGTGCTGGTAATCCAGTAGGCGAAGGAAGGCTTTGTCTACATACAGTACTGAAACAACTGGGTAACTATGCCAGAAACCACATTTCTGTTCTTATGTTACACCACATTTAAAATGAACTTGAAGCGACTCATAGAACTAAATGGAAGAACTAAAATGATAACCACTGGTAGAAGAAAAAAATGAAAGGAGATCTTAGTATCTTGCATTAGGCAGAGATTTCTTAGATATGACAACAAAAGCATGAGCCATAAAAGAAAAATGTTGATAAATTGGACTTAGTCAAAATTAAATATTCTTTTCTTCAAAAGATACTATTAAGAAACTGTGAAGAGAAGGCACACACTGTGGAAAAAAATTTCTTTTCCTTTTTTTCTTTTAGAGGTGGGGA
Source organism: Homo sapiens (assembly GCF_000001405.40). Taxonomy (NCBI): domain Eukaryota; kingdom Metazoa; phylum Chordata; class Mammalia; order Primates; family Hominidae; genus Homo; species Homo sapiens. The sequence goes on along the minus strand of NC_000016.10, from coordinate 14,454,304 downwards.
TTCACCATGTTGCCCAGGCTGGTCTTGAACTCCTGAGCTCAAGCGATCCGCCCACCTTGGCCTCCCAAAGTGCTAGGATTACAGGCATGAGCCATCATGCCGGGCCAAAAATTTTCAAACTGCGTATCTAATAATGTAGTTGTATCTACATACAAAATAGTTGTATCATGATCATATGTACTCTTATAATATATACTCGGCAATTCAGAAAACAACCCAGTTTTTTGAAAAGGGGGATGAGGTCAAAACATTTCAACAGATTCTTCAAAAAAGATATACAAATGGCCAATAAATAGTTTGGCAGTTTCCTGTAAAGTTAAACATAAATTGCAAATGTATTTTTATATATCACCCAGAAATCCTTCTAGGTATTTATATTTGAAAAATAAAAACTTATGTTTTTAATAATAAAAGCTAGCTTTTACCCAGATGTTTATACCAGCATTATTTGTAATGACAAATAGTTGGAAGCAGCCCAAATGTCCATCAACTGGTAAATGAATAAATTGTGATCCAGCCATACTATGAAATAAAGTACTAATACTAACAGCCATGTGACTGACTCTCAAAGTATTATGCTAAGTGAAAAGAGTCAAACAAAAGACTAAATATTGTATGATTTCATTCACATGAACTTCTGGAAAAGGCAAAACTATATAAATAGGACTATAAGCAGATTAATAGTTGCTGTGACAATGTGGATTGAGTGCAGAGTGACACGAGGAATCTTTTTAGGGAGAGGGTATTGTTCTATATCTCAATTGTAGTAATAGTTACATGGTTATAAGCAATTCCCAAAGTTAACCAAACTGTACATTTAAAATAAGTGAATTCCATTGCATGTAAATAATACCCTAATTTAAAATGGGGAATATGTTCATGTAGCAGCTAGATTTTTGTTATTGCTTCATGGAAAAAGGTATTTGTAGGGGTTTGAAAATACGGCCTTTCTATAAGCAAACATTTCTTTCTACTAAAAGGAAAAAGTACTGGAGATGTTCACCCTTGTGGAATTTGATGGATAGTTGACAGCGACTTAGCTTTTAACAAAACACTAATCAAAGTTTAATGTTCAATTTTAACATACCAAGTTGTGTCTGTGACATTTTATTTTTTAATTAATCACCACTTCTTACAGTGGATTTAAATGTCCACTTCTTATTCATTATAAACTAGCTCACTTTGTACATTATAAATCTGTATGCAAAATGAGGTCATACAAATGGGAGATTGTTTTGCCTCTCATTTTACCTTTTGACTTTTAAAATCAGTTAATAAAAGAATGCCTCATCAACATGCAGGTATTGAGAGTGCTACACACACGCATGCACATACACACACATGCACAGCAGTACCTTCCAAATATATAAAGAATCACATTTGTAAAGGCAGTGTTACATATATCTGGTTTTTAATGTATAATTAAAACTTTTATTTAAAACTGCCGTAGTTAAGTTATATGGGATATAATCACAGCTTTTATTTTTATTAGAGGATGGCAGGTCTTACATACATATAGATACAGAAACATTATATGAAATAAACTAATTCCACATATATCTGAGAGCTTTCTCAGGCAGGATGCCCAATAACCATTAGCCTCTCCTAGGAAGCAAAAGACTTACTTGAGAGCAGAAATACAGATTAGCAATTAAGAAATATGCTGTAGGGTGGGTGCGGTGGCTCACGCCTGTAATCCCAGCACTTTGGGAGGCCGAGGCAGGCAGATCTCCTGAGGTCAGGATTTCAAGACCAGCCTGGCCAACATGGTGAAACCCTGTTTCTACTAAAGATACAAAAATTAGCTGGGAGGCTGAGGCATGAGAATCACTTGAACCATGGAGATGGAGGTTACAGTGTACCAAGATCACATCACTACACTCCAGCCTGAGCAACGGAGCAAGACTCCGTCTCTAAATAAATAAATAAAGTTGTAAATTAATTGAGAAACTGTTCAGGAAAATGCTTTGTAAACTTAAATGTTCCATAGAAACAAGAACCCTGCAGAAGCACATCTGGCAGAGTCCCTGTTGCATAGCAGTCAGTTGTTTATGGAGAGGAGCATTACAAATGCATGGGTCTTGTTGGCCAAAAATACCATAATCTGTGGTTAGGATACAACCAATGTATTCTAGTAAGTGCCTTCAAAATCATTGCTTGAAGTTAATGCTAAAATTAGTCAATCTCCATGTCCGTAGAATAGCCACATGATGTTGAGATATGAAGTGGTTGTTGTTATTGTTGTTGTTGTTTGAGACAGGGTCTCACTCTGTCACCCAGGCTGGAGTGCAGTGGGCTGGTCATGGCTCACTGAAACCTCAAACTCCCAGACTCAAGCAATCCTCCCACCTCAGCCTCCCAAATAGCTGGGACTACAGGCATGCCACCACTGTGCCTGGCTAATTTTTTGTATTTTTTTTTTTTTTTTTTTTTTTGTATTTTTTTTTTTTTTTTTTTTTTTAGAGACGGGGTTTCTCCACATTGCCCAGGCTGTTCTTGAACTCCTGGGCTCAAGCAATCCTCCTGCCTTGGCCTCCCTAAGTGTTGAGATTACAAGTGTGAACCACCACACCTGGCCAAGATAGAAGTTTTGACAAAACTATACTCCTATAAAGACACAGGGAATTAACGTTACCCCAGAAAATTCCCTCATTTTCTACCAGTCAATCCCTACCTACCCTCCCATACCCACCATTCTTCTGAATTTTTTTCTCTGAAGATTAGTTTAGCCTTTTCTGGAATTTCATGTAAATGGGTTTATAAAATACCCACCCTTTCCTGTGAAGGCTTCATTCACTTAGAATGTTTGAGATTCATCCGTGTTGTTGGAGGTAACAGTAATTCATTTTTTAATTGCTGAATTATATTTCGTTGTATGAATATAGCCCAGTTTATCCATTCTCCTGTTGATGCACTGCTCCTAGTTTCAGTTTATTATAAAAAATAAGATGAACGAGTTAAAGTCCTCATGAGACAGAAAAGCAGAGTTTATGGGAAGCATGGAAAGGAAAGAACAGTAAACAGGGATTGGGAACATTCCCGGAGGAGAGTGATGTTGAGCAGGAGGAGATGGGCAGTAGGGTCTTAGCATGAACGGTAACATTGAAATGGGCAGTGTGGGATGTATTTGGGCCAGTAAACTTCTGGTGGGATGACGGGCATGTGGGAGAGTACGGACGATGAACTTCATTAGGTAAACCTATATAGTCTCTGCAGCTTGGCTGCCTAGTGAAAGATAGGCCAGGAAAGCAGATTGGGACCCAGATGATAGAGGATCCTGGATGCTGTGCCAAGCAGTTTAAATTTAGGTTTATAGTGGAGAGTCGGAGTTTTTCTTTCCTTTCCTTTCCTTGTCTTACGTATTGATGTAGACTCATGGATTGCTATTTTTTTTTTCAATGATTCAGAATTTATTACTGCCCCCTAATAAATTAGAGGGCACACATTGTCCCAGATTTTCCCAGTGGGAGTCCTTTCAAGCTAGTTCCTATTTCCCTGTGACATGCCTAAAAGTTTTTTACTTCTTGGTATTGCAAAATATTTTAGACTCATTTTATAATTTATCTCCCTTGAGCCTGGAATCATCCACTTATTTGAGGAACCCTGGTTCCTTTTAGTAGGGTATTAGAAACTAAGATCTGGACAATAGATATGCTCATTGCTACTCTGGTGTCTCTGCTTCTACGTCCTTTCTGTAGACAGAGCTGGGAATTTTGTGCCTGGATAGATACAATTATCTATCCCTGCATAAATATACGTATATATATATGTGTGTGTGTGTGTGTATACATAAATATGAACACATATACTCATACTTATTTTAGAAATCACAAGCCTAAACCCGTATCTCCAATTTCAGTCTATCCTCAGAGGGTTCTTCCTTATCTTCCCTTATTCTAATATTTTTATGTCTGTCTGCCAGAAACATCAGCACATTTACTGATTTACCCAGTGCTATCATGCAGCTAAGTGTTTTCAGAATTGCTTCACTCATTCTACTACAGAAGCAAGCCTACTAAGGGGTTCAGGATTTGTTTGCAATTCTCTCCCACACCCTACTCAAGATTGGGCATACCAGCTTCATAAGTTGTTCTTTTGCACTTTGCTTTTTGCACATATTTTACTGGAAATCTTTCCATAATCATTTTCGGTTCTTTGAGATCTTCATTCTTTTTGGTAACTGCTTAGTAGTTCATTGATTGTATGTACTGTTGCGTATTCAACCAGTTTTTTATGCTTAGACATTTAGGTACTTTGCAGTATTTTGCAATTCCAAATAATGCTGTAATGAATAACTTGTACATGCATATTTTTGCATTGTAGGAGGTATATCTTCTAAATTCCTGGAAGTGTATGCAGTTTTGTTAGATATTGCCACATTCCCTCCATAAGAATAAGTCATGCGATTTTGCATTCATACCAGTAATGTGAGAAAGGACCCATTTCCCCAGTCTACTAATGGAGTATATTATCAAGCTTTTGAAGGTTTTTGCCAGTCTAAAAACCTAGTGGGTGAGAAGTGATATTTCAGTGTTGTTTTATTTTGCATTATGAATGGAGTTGAACATTTTTTCATGTGTTTAAGGAGTGTGTGTAATGAGCTGTTTATTCATACCTTTTTTAGTTTTCTATAGGACTTTTGGTCTTTCTTTTTCTCTTCAAGTTTGAGTTATAATTTATTAGAGACATTAACCCTTTATCTGTGATACATGTTGCAGATATTTCCTCGTGGTTTGTCATTTGTCTTGGCTCACGTTATTTATTGCCCTGCAAAAGATGTTTACATCTATGAGGTCACATTCATAAATCCTTTATTATGTCTGGATTGTGAGACATGGCAAGAAAACCTTTTTCTACACCTGGATTTTGGAGGCATTCACCCGCGTTTTGTTTTAGTACCTGTAAAGTTGCCTTTTTTGCATTTAGATATCTAATCCATTAGGCATTTATTCTTTTATATGGTGTGAGGAATGGTTCTAATTTTATCCTTTTCTGCTTGTCCCAACACCATTATTTTAAAGTCCATATATGCCTCAGTATTTAGAGATACCACTGTTATCATACAGTAGATTTCTAGGTACAGTTGGGGCTATTTCTAGACTTTGTATTTCACAGAGTATTTTTAATGCCCGTGGTTCTAGCTGAGTTTTCATTAAACATTTATGTATGTCTCAGAGGCTACCAGGTTCCTGAATTTACAATGCGAAGGAATTTTTAGGCCTCTTCCCCTTTCGTGATAGAAGAACCCTTATTATCTTCTTGTACTTCCTGAATTTTCTAAATTTTCTGAAATCAGCCGAACTTTTTCTAGTCTTTAAAAAATCTTCTTAAAGGTATTACCAGTTTTTAAACAGGAAACTTCAGCATACATTTTTAACAGCCACCCCCCACTGCCGAAACATTACCATTAATATCCTCCCTTATAGTCCCTCAATTAGATGTTTCAGAAAGCTGTCTATAATAGAAATGAAAAAGAGGACAAATGAAAGGCTAGCCAGCCAGTCATAGGAGGAAGAGTGCTCCAGCCTCTTCTGCTTCCCATGCCTTAGAGAACCACCAGGAAGGCAGTGTGTTCTTCTCCTCTGTCCCCTGAGTGTCCTATCAAGTGCACTTGGCAGATTCAGGGAAGATGTTGAGTGCAGGAGTAATGTGGAGGAACTTGAATATTTAGGTAGCCAGAGTTTTTTATGTGGAACATTTTAAACTATTCACTTCCTGGCTGGGCATGGTGGCTCACGCCTGTAATCCCAGCACTTTGGGAGGCCGAGGTGGGCAGATCACTTGAGGTCCATTGTTCCAGACCAGCTTGGCCAACATGGTGAAACCTCACCTCTACTAAAAATACAAAAATTAGCAGAGGCCGGGCGTGGTAACTCAAGCCTGTAATCCCAGCACTTTGGGAGGCCAAGTTGGGCGGATCACGAGGTCAGGAGTTCGAGACCAGCCTGGCCAACATGGTGAAACCCCATCTCTACTAAAAATACAAAAATCAGCCAGACTTCGTGGTGCATGCCTGTAATCCTAGCTACTCAGGAGGCTGAGGCAGGAGAATCGCTTGAACCCGGGAGGCGGAGGTTGCAGTGAGCTGAGATTGTGCCACTGCACTCCAGCCTGGGGGACAGAGCGAGACTCTGTCTCAGGGAAAAAAAAAAATTAGCCAGACATGGTGGCGGGTGCCTGTAATCCCAGCTAGTTGGGAGGCTGAAGCAGGAGAGTCACTTGAATCCGGGAGGCGGAGGCTACAGTGAGCCGAGATCACTCCACTGCACTCCAGCCTAGGTGACAGAGCAAGACTGTGTCTCAAAAATAATTAGATTAGATAGATAGATAGATAGATAGATAGATAGATAGATAGATAGATAGATAAAATTTAAAAGTACCCACCTCCTAGGAAAAGCTGGTAAGATCATTTTATCTCTCACTTCCCACCCTCCCCATGTGCTTGAATGGCCTCTCCTAAATAGAATGCCTTGAATTTATTTGAGGCTTTCATAACTTGGGGGCTATAATAAAAAAATCTCTAAGACCCATTTAGAGGAGAAAGGACTCACTGGCTATGTGGACGCTGTTTTTATCTAGTTATATTTAAGGGAACATTTTCGTAAGGAAAAATCAGGACACATAATCTGATTTAATTCAATATGTCAAAGCCTATAAAGCTTTCAAAATGAAACATTTAATTATACATTTAACAAGTCATCTTTTTGGAAAGGAAGAAGATTACATGAAGGTGGGGTATGCTCTGTAGCTATGTCCAAGTTTTAAGCAGTGGGATAGCAGACTGATTGAAGAATTCTTCAGTTCTGCTCTTTATGCATTAGGCAGTCATGAAGAGAATAATGCTATCTTCTGATTTAATGTAACCAAAACTATTATTTCATTATATTATCTCTACTATTCTATTCTACTATTCTGTTACAATAGTTTTATCAAAATAGAGGCTACTTTACGGATTTGTTCTTGAGCACTCGGATCAGCTTAAATTTGTGTATATCTATTTACAAGCATAATTTAGGACTTTTTTCTGAATAAGCTTGTTATAGGTAAACTTTCAGACTTCAGTTCATAATAAGGTCTTTAATTTTTACACACAGGCAGCAGCTGCCCATGTTGTTGATGGCTGGCTGAGTGTTAATAGAATTAAGAGTATTAAAATATTTTTATAGACTAGTCTTCCTGTAACTCTCAGCACCTTTTATGTTGTTCCACTTTTTGCATTTCAGTTTTACAGCTCCCAGCACAGTAGGAAAGAGAAATTTGAGTCCTAGTCAAGAGGAAGCTGGCCTGGAGGACGGAGTGTCAGGGGAGATTTCCGACACTGAGCTTGAGCAGACCGATTCCTGTGCAGAGCCCCTCTCAGAGGGAAGGAAAAAGGCCAAGAAATTAAAAAGAATGAAGAAGGAGCTTTCTCCAGCAGGTTTGTATTGGATCTTGCCGAAGTTCTGGGGCCGTGGACTATTTAAATGCTCTAGAAACTCCTATTTTGGGGGAGAAATTATAGCAAGGCTTCACTTGGTGGCAAAGCCCATGTAGTCTTCCACCAAAGCAGATATTTTTAGGATCAATTTAATTTAATTTGAGGAATCCTAAAAAGCTCTGGCTCGGGTAGCATAAGGCCTGGGGGGTCTCCTTGTTAAAGATGGCTAGTCTATTTTGGTAATCTCTCTCTCCTCCATGGTGTAGAGGTTTTGCTGATGTGTTTAAAGCAGCCTCAATATTTAAAATGTGCATTTAAATGTGCGCAGAGGCCCCTCCTACATGTTATTTTCAGTAGCAGCGTTTTCACTGTTTCCAGCAAAACCCCCAGGCAACCTGGATTTCTCTCCGAAGCAGAATTATATAAGAAGCAAAGGAAACAGGAAATTAGCACCTGTTGAGAGCCTACTACATGCTAGACGCTGTAGTAGGAGCCATTTCTCTCCTTATTTCATTTAATTTTCACCGTAGCCCTGAGGTGGGAATCATCATCCTTATTTGATGAAGCAGATGCCTGGGCTCAGCGAGGCTAAGTGTGCGGGGCCATGCTGCGCTTAAGAAGCACAGCCGAAAGGCAGACCCAGGTCTGCCTGAGCTGAATCCCATGTCCTCTCCACCCCGCAGATGTGCCTCACTCAGCCCTTCATGCACACATGCCACACAGGGCCACAGCAAGAGGCCAGAAGGGCATCTTGTCAGTCAGCACATGGAAAAGGCCATTCCCTGCTGCAGGGGGCGGTCCAGCAAGGCAGCAGTCACAGTGACAGTAATCATAGCCACTGCTTATTGAGTGCTTATTACTGGAGCCAGGACAGTGCTTAATGTGTAACTGAAATTCTTTCATTTAAATCCTTGAGACAGTCATCATTATCCATTTTACAGTTAAGAAAACGGAGGCCCAAAGGGTTATGTGAGTTGCCCAAAGTCCCAGAGCCATTAAGTCTGTCCTACAAGAAAGCTGGTGAGGCCAGGCTCGGTGGCTCACGCCTGTAATCCGAGCACTTTGGGAGGCCAAGACGGGTGGATCACTTGAGGTCAGGAGTTCAAGACCAGCATGGCCAACATGGCAAAACCACGTCTCTACTAAAAATACAAAAAATTAGCCAGGTGTGGTGGCGCATGCCGGTAGTCCCAGCTACTAAGGAGACTGAAGTAGGGGGACTGCCTCAGCCCAGGGAGGTCAAGGCTACAGTGAGCCAAGATTGCGCCACTGCACTCCATCCTGGGCAACAGAGTGACACCCTGTCTTACATACACACACACAAAAGAAAGTGAGTGCTTTTAACCAAGGTTATGTGTTGAGAGACACTGACCCAGACACAATTATAATCATTCTCCTTTGTCTCACATCGTGACAGTTGTCACGGTTAGCAGAACTAACAATCAAATCAAAGGAAAGTAGTAGTCAAGTGGTGGAACTTGATTCATACCCAAGCTATGAATGCACTGTTTTAATTAATCCCCTTTTGCATGTGGCCCGATCTGACTGTGGGGAGTTTTCTGAATCTCATGGATATTAATGAAATCAGACAAGTAGCAAAAATGTCACATATGCTTTTTGTACATTATGCTGAAGCTGAATTTCAACAGAAAACTTAAACTTGTGTTTGAAGCCTGGATTGGATGTTTTAGCTGTCTCTTGACTCTGGGTGTCTCTCTTTACTTACCTCCTGTCCTTTCCCTGACTTAACTATTGGAGGGGGCCAGGCATGGTAGCTCACAACTATAATCCCACCACTCTGGGAAGCTGAAGCAGGAGGATGACCTGAGCCCGGGAGTTTGAGACCAGCCTGGGCAATATAGTGACACCTTTTCTCTACAAAAAAAAAAAAAAAAAAAAAAAAATTTAAATATTAGCTGCACGGGCATGTAGTCCCAGGTACTCAGGAGGCTGAATCGGGAGGATCGCTTGAGCCCAGGAGTTTTGACTGCAGTGAGCTATGATCGCATCAGTGCACTCCAACCTGGGGGACACAGTGAGACCTTGTCTCAAGAAAAGAAAGAAGAAAAAGTATTGGAGAAGTTTTAAATCTGTAGCATCCTTAGTCTTCAAATTTCATACCTTTATTACCACTGTCATGTTTCGTGTGCTCAACAAATGTTAAAATAATGAATGTCAGCATGATTTCTAGAGATCGTACTGAGCAGGATTTAGAGGGGCAGGGGGGTTTCCCCACTTGTATTCCTGTCCTTCATAGCTGTCTCTTCTGGATTTTTTTAGTTTATTACTCCTCAGGGACAAGCTTTTCGTTTTTCCCCTCTATATCAGCATAATCTGAAAAATATTAAAATTAAAATAACTAATAATAGACTGCATTAATAGATTAGTTCCTTTTATAGCTTTCATCATTTTAAGTGAAAACTTTCTATAAGTTATTTAGGGTTTTGAATTTATAATACTGTAATTAAAATAAGGGTTTTTTTCCTCCCATTGACAGTAAAGCTGTCACTGCCACAAGATTTGAGCTAAAAAAAAAATTGTAGATTTTGTACTTCTTTGTCAGTGCTGCCAAAAAAAAAAGAGAAAGAGACATCTTGACAACTTTTAATTGAATCAGAGAACTTGAGTGAATCGAGCTTTCTTCTGGAGCACCATTCATCGAGCAAGACCCCTGACGGTGCCAGGTGGAAACTTAATGGATCCTTTCCACCTGGTTTGTTTTCAGTGTTTAATCCTATTAGTATCAGCAGGATATAGGTCAGGATATCAGGTGCAGAACCTGTGGAATCAGCCAATTTGGCTTGCTCATTTACTTTAATAAGGTCCCATAATGAGTGAGAGTACAAAGTTCAAGCCCTGTTGAGGGTCTGCATTAAACTCTCAGAAGTATTTAGAGTGTGCCAGGAGCCGCGAAGGTCTGGTTCGGGTGGTGGCGGGAACTGTATTAGAGTGCTAGGCACGGCGCGACAAAGTCTGTCCAACCCAAAACGGTGCTGAGGCGTTGGGTGTGAGCTCCAGTACTCAGAAAAGCATCTCAGCAGGTACTCAACAGATCCTCAGGGGCTTGGGGGCCCAGCACTGGCAGTGAGGGCATGAAAGACATAAAAGGGCACTACCTGTGGGTATTTTCTGTTCTCCAAGGAGGAAGTAGCAAAAATTAGGACGCTGGAATATCCTATGTTGTAGCAATCCCAGAACAACTGATGCTCAACAAATACCACACAAAACAAATTTTTTAAAATTTAATCTTACCGGGTACAGTGGCTCATGCCTATAATCCCAGCACTTCTGGAGGGCGAGGTGGGCAGATCACCTGAGGTCAAGAGTTCAAGACCAGCCTGGCCAACATGGCGAAACCCCGTCTACTAAAAATACAAAAATTAGCCTGGCATGGTGGTGCACACCTGTAATCCCAGCTACTTGGGAGGCTGAGGCAGGAGAATCGCTTGAACCAGGGAGGCAGAGGTTGCAGTGAGCTGAGATCATGCCATTGCACTCCAGCCTGAGTTACAAGAGCGAAACTCTGTCTCAAAAAAAAAAAAAAAAAGTAATCTCTTTATATCTGTTCTTTTTCTTTTAATTTTTTCTCTTTACCCAAGCACATGAACTCATAGTATACATTTTGATATCGAAGATACACTAAGAATTAAGTACTAGACCCAATCCCAGATAACAAAATGACAAAAATAGTGGAAGAAAGGACTATTTATTGGGTTTATACTATTAGACAGAGTGCTAGGAACATCCTTTATTGTCTTGTCTAGACCTTTTAAACATGCAGTAAGGTGCAGATACTCTTTCCCAGTTGTACAGAGGAAACTGAGGCTTAGAGTTGCAGACTTAAAAGTATCTAACTGACATGTGGGAGGCTGGGGAAACTCATCCAGACTTTAGAGGAAATGAAGGATTCATTACAAAGGTGAATGTTTCTTGCAGCTGTTCTAGATCAGAAACAATTACCAATCTAGACTTTCATGTGATAAAGTCACTGGATAGAAATCCAAGCGGGCTGGGCATGGTGGCTCACGCCTGTTAGTCCACCACCTTGGGTCAGGAGTTCGAGACCAGCCTGGCCAACATGGCGAAACCCTGTCTCTACTAAAAATACAAAAATTAGCTGGGAATGGTGGTGCTCCCAGCTACTTGGGAGGCTGAGGCAGGAGACTCGCTTAAGCCCAGGAGGCTGAGGTTGCAGTGAGCCCAGATGGTGCCACTGCACTCCAGCTTGGGTGACAGAGCAAGACTCCAAGACTCCGTCTCAAGAAAGAAACAAAGAAAGAGAGAGGAGGGAGGGAGGGAGGGAAAGCCAAGTAACCAGTCTCCTTCAGGGCTTCTAGTTTATGTGTATACTATGTACTCAGCAAATATTTTTCTTGTAAGTATGGTTGTTTCAATCCTATTTTCAGGAGGTGAATGTACAGCATAAGTCCCCTCCTTTTTTGTTGATATGACTGTTGATTGGTAGTGCCAGCCACTTTCCATCCAAGCAGTTCTAGGTACATACTCGGTACGCAAAGGAAAACTACTCTGCATGCCATTAATGCTGGAATAAAATGTCTTCAGGAAGTGTGGCTGTTTTCCCAGGTCATGTTTAATTGAAGGATTTCTGTCACATACTTGTTCTTGTTGATGTGTTCCTGGGACCTGGAGAAATTGCCCACCCCCTCACTTCTCTGGAGAATCTCAGGGCCGCATGGATGGTCTGATGCTGCCTGGGCTGACCATTGTGAAAATACTGCTGGCTGGTCCCTAGCAGCAGGTTCCATCAGCACCTTAGTTAGATGGTGTTTACAGAGGCATGCCCAAAGGAGATACATTGACTATTCCCGGTTATTTTTTGTCCTGTAAATAGAGACATTGTTCAAAGTCTTTTTTCCCCTAACATTTAAAACAACATGTTAGGCCTTTTAAGTGTTTGCCAAAGAACCTGGAGTTTTATTGGAGTCTTGACTAACCTGCTGAACTTTTCAAGCTGAAACCCTAAGGGTTACAGTATAAAAATTTAGAACCTAATTAGAGCAGCAGTCTCCTCATGCTGTTACTGGTCTCCTTAAAGTCAGAAACAAGATCTACAGCTGCTGCTGTCGGTCACCTGAGAGACCAGGCTGAGGCAGCCGAGCGGCCTCCCAAGGAGCCTTTTAATTACTATGTTCAAGTGTGGTTTGCAGTGAACGTGGCGAAGGAGGTGTGGGCTGCTGTGCAGTGAGGCAGAGGCAGGGCACTCAGTGCGCATTTGTGCCCTCCCTGTTCCTCCTGGCAACTCCAAGATGTCATCAGCCTTGCAGGGAGGGGGCTCACCTTCTTAGTGTGGGAAACCGGCCCCAGGGCGTACCCCCTTCAGCGTTTCCTAGTTAGAAACTTGAGTGCAGCTTCCCAAAGGACCTTCCTGTGTACGGATGTCCACTCTGTGGAAGAGGATACAATGGGAAGCTTCCAGTGTCCTGTGCAGCTTCTTAGAATCCGTTTGGGATTCACCTGGAAAAAGCAATGCCTTACCCCTTCAAGTTTCTCCATTTCAACTCCAGTTAGGTAAAGGGGAGAAAAGCAGAAATATTCACCTTTTGTGTTCCCCGTCTTTTAATTTTTTGTTTTTTTGGTTAATAAAAATAATGTACTCAGCATGAGAATTTGGAAAATGCAGAAAAATAGAAGACAATTAAGCCCCCAGCCCCCAACTTGATGCTGTGGTAACAAGCATTGTTGCTCTGCGGCCAACCTCATACCCTGTATGCAGCTTGTATCCTGCCTTTTCCCCTTTTAGAAACTCTTGGCCAAATAATCTTAACTATAAGCATAGTATTTCATATTAAAATTTTGTTGGTTTTCTTTTAAAACATTGTTTTTAATATCTTGCGCCAGGTCAGCTTCAATAAGATATAATTGTACCCAATGAAAGTCATCACTTTCAGGTATACAATTTGATGAGCTTTGACATCTGTGTACAGTCATATAACCACCACTATGATCACGATATACAACTCCATCACTCCAGAAATTTCCCTCATGCCCGTTTGGAGTTGATCCTTCCCCCAACCCCCACACAGATCCCAGCAGCCATTGGTCTTCTTTCTGTCCCTGCGATTTTGTCTTTTCCAGAATGTCATATACCTGGAATCATGCGATAGTTAGCCTTTTGAGCCTTTCATTTAACTTCTTTCATTTAGCATGATGCATTTGTGATTTGTGGTGGTGCGTGTATCCTCAGTACACTCCGTTTTACTGCTAAGTGGTATTCCACTGTATACAGGTATCACTATTTATCCATCACCCAGGGGAAGGACATTTAGGTTGTTGCCAGTTTTTGTCAATCAAGAATCAAGCTGCTATAAATATTTGTGTACAGGTTTTTTGTATGAATTAAGTTTTCATTTTCTTTGGGTAAATATCTAGGAGTGGGGTTGCTGGGTCATATGGTAACTGTATATTTAACTTCATAAGAAATTGATACACTCTTTTCCAAAGTGGCGTCACCATTTTGGATTTCCCCCAGCAGTATACAAGGCTTCAGCTCACTCTGCGCCCTCACCAGTACTTGATATTGATACACACCCCTTTTGCTTGTTTGTTCAGCAGTTCTAATGGGTATGTAGTGGTATCTCATTGTGGCTTTGGTTTTTATTTCCCTAATGACTAATAAGCATCTTTTCCTGTGATTTTTTGCCATCCAGATTTCTTATTTGGTGAAATATCTTTTCATTTTTTCCCTTTGTTCTAGGGTTGTTTATTTTCTGACTGCATTTTGAGAGTTCTTTATAGATTCTGGATACAAGTCCTTTTAAGCATTTTACAAATATATTCTTCTAGGTTGGTTTTTCTTTTCATTTTGTTGTTGTTGGTGGTGGTGGTTTGTTGTTGTTGTTGTTGTTGTTGTTTTCGAGACAGTCTTGCTTTGTCGCCCAGACTGGAGTGCAGTGGCACGATTTCGGCTCACTGCAACCTCCGCCTCTCGGGTTCAGGCTATTCTCCTGCCTCAGCCTCCTGAGTAGCTGGGATTACAGGCGCCTGCCACCACGCCCAGCTAATTTTTGTACTTTTTTAGTAGAGATGGGTTTTACCATGTTGGCCAGGGTGGTCTCGAACCCCTGACCTCGTGATCCACCGGCCTCAGCCTCCCAAAGTGCTGGGATTACAGGCGTGAGCCACCACAGCCAGCCTCTTTTCATTATTTTAACAGTGTCTTTTCAAGAGTAGTAGTTTTAAATTTTGATGAAGTCCAGTTTATCAGATTTTTCCCCTTGGATTTTGCCTTTGGTGTCATATCTAAAAAATCTTTGCATAACTCTAAGTTGCAAATATTTTCTTCTATGTTTTCTTCCAGAAGTTTTACAGTTTTAGGTTTTACAATTAAAATGTACAATTCAAGTTAATCTTTGTATATAATGCAAGCTATGGATTAAGGTCCACTGTAGCAAAAGGCAGGTGTTTTTAAGTATCTCCCTCCCTCCCTTCCTCCCTCCCTCCCTCCCTGTCTTCTTTCCTTCCCTCCCTCCCTCTATTTTTTTTTTTTTTTTTGTGCGACAGTTTCACTCTGTCACCCACCCAGGCTGGAATGCAGTAGCACTATCACAGCTCACTGCAGCCTTGATATCCTGGGCTCAAGTGATCCTCCCACCTCAGCCTCCTAGGTAGCTGGGACCACAGGTGTGTGCCACCACACCTGGCAAATTTGTAAATTTTTTGTAGAGGCAGGGTCTCCCTGTGTTGCCCAGGCTGGTCCCAAACTCCTGGGCTCAAGCCTTCCCTCATCAGCCTCCTAAAGTACTGGGATTACAGGCATGAGCCACCACACACAGCCAAGTATCTGTTTAAAAAGAAAAGTTGTTCCTAAATGATTCCTTACACTCCAGTAAAACAGGGCTGTGAAAATGAGTTCTGTGGAAAACTGACCATAGCTGCTGCTTTTTAAAAACCATACCTTCTTATCTGCCAGTTTTGAGACTGGCCGTTTGTTGATCTACAGCTCTCCCTTTCTGGAAGGTGCTGGAAAGAACGCTGTTAGTGGCCTTCATTTCCCCTCTGGTCCGGGTCTCCTGTAGATGGCTCCTACAGTTCTGGCCCCTTTGTACACATCATTCTCGCTCAGCAGCTGTACAGGTAGACAGTGAAAACTAGCATCTTTTTGATTATAGACTGTTGGCTTTCTGGGGAACAGCCATGTTCCATGTTGGATCAGCTTATTGATTAGGGGAAGAGACCTAGCGTTCATTAAAAACTTACCCAGCAACTTTGCTGTATCACAGAAGTCCTATACAGCATAAAATAGTACTGGGTCCATCTTAGACGAAGCAGTGAGACCTGTTCAAGGTCATCCAGCTAGTAAAATGGTCCAACTTGACTTGCCTTACTCCAGAACTTTTTGCTTATTCCATTATTTCCTGTTAGCTCTTCATGGAACCACTTCCTGTGTGTCTGGTGGCTCACTGTGCACTCACACACCCCCCCCCCCAACTAATGGCAGGTGCAGATTGGCAGGTGCAGATTACAAGTATTGCAGTGCAGTTGCTTTTAGCAATTTATCTTCCTTTTTCCTCTGAGCTGGATTTAATTTACTTCAGTTCCCCACATTTGGCATTGTAGCTTTTACCTTTAGAATGGCTAATTGGCTACTGCAATATTTCTTTCATATGTGAATTATAAAAGTGCCCTTAATGGATGTTTCTTTTCATACAGTTAGGTGTTTATTGTATCATTGTGGGACTGGGAAGGCCAGGCTAGCTGCAGGTTATCACAGGCCCCTTGCAGTACTTCACTGGACCCCATGAGTCCTTTTCAGTGGATCATCTCCTGCCCATCTTCACTTCTCCAGAGTGGTCTCGCCATCTTTACTGGGTGTCCCAGAACGTGCCTGTTCAGAGCGATGAGACCCAGGGCAGAAAGAGTCCGGTTACCCTTTCCCGGTCTCCTCACCCTAACTCCCTGGATCTTATCACAGTAAATGATCAGAAGTAGAAATTCTCATGTTAGCTGAAATTCTCTTCATGTTTTTTCTTGTGTTCAGACCTCGTTATTTTTAAGCATCCCTGTTACTGATGATAACCACTGTGAACTCAGTGATATGATTCCCTAGTTTGTAAGACACTGCACCCCCTCTGTATTTAAAAGTTATTTCCCATTGGAGGTATCATCAAAGACTTCTCTCCCTTTCTAAAATCTTGGTGTTAGCAGCTAGAAGAGAGACTGCCAGTTTCCCCCGTCAGCCCTACTTTATGACTTAATGCATGGCACCACTTGTGCAGCTGACGCCTGGTCGGGCCACACTTTCCATTATGAACATGCTCTTTCCTGACTTCCCTCACATTCGTTGAAGTCCAGTCCCAGCTCAGTTGCTGGCCGCAGCTGCTCGTATTGTAGAAAGTGGCATGAATAAAAAAGAAGGGCTTCTGACATTGGGGTGAAACTTTGTCACTGAAGAGATCTTTTCAATCCAAGAAGAGGACCCCAGCCAGCTTCACCGAAGCTGGAAAAAGCTGCAACCTTCTTTTGCCCCTGTTGAGATATTGGAACCCCCACTGGTTGGCTTCCCTCTGCCCTTCAGCTGCCCACCTGAGATTTCTCACCTAGGCAGAGCCACAGCACAGCACAGAGAAACTCAGTTTCCAGGGACTTTGGCAGGGATGTTGGTGCTGTGGGAGGATTCAGACCCCATCTCAGCCACTTGCTAGCTCTGTACATCTGGTCATATTACCCCACTTCTCTCAATCTGTTCTTGCATCTGTAAAATGGGGTAGTGTTACCACCTTGGTGGGCTTTTAATGAAGATTATATGAATTAAATGCCCGCTGTATTGCCAACAAAGAATCCAGCATGGTGTTCAGTGAGGAATACTGTGCATGGCTACAGTTTAACTCCTGTGAAATAAATAGATAGATGCTGGAGGCAGGGAGGTGCTTCCTCCGCGCCCCCATGATGTTTCTGTGGTTTCACTTTCCCATGCTGGGCACTGCCCTCCCTAGACAAGACCTGTCTGTGGACTCTTTCCAGCGCAGCTGTTTAGCCAGACGCTGGCCCCGTCTGCAGCCGTCACAGGCCCTCTGTCTGTCTGCTGGTCATGTCATGCTCTCCTCAAGGTGCCGTCCTGGTCCTGCTGTTCATATTGTTTTGTTCTTTCCCACCAGGAAGCATCTCGAAGAACAGCCCTGCCACACTCTTTGAAGTTCCTGACACATGGTAACCAAGACCTGAGGGCAGCAAACCGCTGGTGCTGTCGCTGTGAGCAAGAGCCGGCTGGCACATTTGGAAGCCGCACTGTATTTAACTTAATCAAATGTGGTATGGGAGGGGTTGGAAACCAAGTTGTCTCCTGGGGGGGAGAAAACAGGTTTTATTTTTGTGGCTGTGGTTTTTTCCCCTTTTTAATCTAACTGCCTGTTGACATTGACACTCATCACGGTTGTAGGCTGTCATGAATGTGTACGTGCTTAACCAGTGAATTCCGTGTTGCTCTTGTGAGGCCTTTCCTGTCATGACCCAGTGTGCTTAAGAACCTGCCTGATGGGGAGTGTCGGCTGTGAAATCTGCAAAAAGAGCTGACATTCCAGCTGCTGTGATCATGAATTTGGGGGTGTACTGTCCTGCCTGTGCATCTTCTCGCACTGAGATTTTGAGGCAGTTGCAGCCCTCGGTTAGTCTCCCAGTGGAAAAATCGGTTGTGCCTCCCTGCTTCCCACCATAGCTGCCTGAAAACATGACGCTCTCAAGCTTGTCCTTCCTTCAGGAAGATGTCCACTCATGCCCACCCATGAGAGGGCTTGCCGTATGCCCTGGCCTTTGGGCATATTTATGTAGAGTTCCTTTCTCCTAAGACGTGAGTTTCTCATGGGGGATGTACGAGTAAAAAGGTTAACTTCTGTTCTTATGCGTGGCGCTGTGTTCACTTTCCAGAGTCTCTGTTCGTTTGTTTGGATGGCGGTCTCGGGGTACGGCAGCGTGTGTGCGTACGTGTCTGTGTGTGTGTGTGTGTGTGTGTGTGTGTGTGTGTGTGTGTGTGTGTGAAATCGTGCAAATCTACAACATGTCCCAGCCCATTCTCCGTTGAAACAGATCACAGCAACGACAAACGCTCATGGCGCTGCTTTGCTCCACCCGCTTCAGATAGATCATTGTTAGATATTTCACATTTTTGTATGGTGGAAATAAAAATGAAAAATGTATTTCCAAAAGATGAAAATTAAAAACATTTTCATAGGACTCTGGTTTTCTCCTCTCTTTTTTTTTAATAAGTGAATGATGTTTTCGCTCTCTAGTAATACACAGATAAATTTCACACTCCTAAAAAAATCTGCTAAGCCACTAAGGCTGATGTTCATGGATTTTTTTCTTCTTCTTTTTACCCCTAACTGCTATACCTGCCACGATGGATCGGCTCCTCAGTACCGAGCTGAGCCCTGGTGGTAAGTGGCCTTGTAGGAGGGTGGGAGGAATGAGGACCCTTAGCACTCACACTGGAATCCCAGGGTGTTATGCAGATTCCGATTTGTAAGACAGTTTCCCTAATCAAGAGCCTCTGTCACACCTGTAAGCTGAGACGGGAGGATCACTTGAGCCCAGGAGTTCAAGACCAGCATGGACAACGCAGTGAGACCCTGTCTTTAAAAAAAAAAAAAAAAAAATTTTTTTTTTTTTTTTTTTTAAAGCATGTTAACTTCTCTTCCCCCTTCCTGCTCCTCTCCCTTCCTACAAAACTCCCTGGAGTTTTGTAGCCACAAAGTTAGAAACCCAGGCTTGGCAGGAAGGACTGCCCACCCCTCCTAGAGTAGTCAGCACACACGGCTCAGTGGAAAGTGTGAAGGTAGGATGGAGACAGACAGTAAAGGAGGGTGTATGCAGGAATGTGTAGAGAGGGCTGCCGGACTGCCGAGTCAGCAGCACTCACGGAGAAATGAGGAGAGTCTGACCCTTGATTTTGAAAGAAAAAGAGGGGGCCCAGCGCAGTGTCTCACGTCTATAATCCCAACACATCGGGAGGCCAAGACAGGAGGATCACATGAACCCAGGAGTTCGAGACCAGCCTGGGCAACACAGGGAGACCCCATCTCTACAAAAAATACAAAAATTAGCCAGGCGTGGTGGCGCATGCCTGTGGTCCCAGCTACCCGGGACCGCAGGAGAATCGCTTGAACCCAGGAGGTGGAGGTTGCAGTGAGCTGAGATTGTGCTGCTGTACTCCAGCCTGGGCAACAGAGCAAGAATCTGTCTCAAAAACAAAAGGAAAATAAACAACTTCACAGGGTAGTTGTGAGGATTAAATGAAATTACGTACAATGCCCAGCACGCGCAAGTACACAGTAAACTGTAGTTATATTTAAAGATTATGCTTTTGATCTGAAATGCTTACTGCATTCGCTTCTATCAGTGGGAGCAGACATAGTCACTGGAATTTGACTTAGAATTAAACACCCAGAGGAGCTTTCATACATGCCCAGACCTTTATTTTCTCTGCTGCATCAAATGACTTAAAACAGGTGAGCTGTGGCTCATGCCTGCAATCCTGCCACTTTGGGAGGTGGAGGCAGGTGGATCGCTTGAGCCAGAAGTTCAAGAGCAGCCTGGGCAACATGATGAAACGCTGTCTCTACAGAAAATTTAAAAATTGGCCGGGTGTGGTGGTGTTCGTCTGTTGTCTCAGCTACTCGGGAGGCTGAAGCAGGAGGATTGCTTGAGCCTAGGAGGTTGAAGCTGCAGTGAGCTGTGATTGCACCACTGTGCTTCCAGCCTGGGTGTCAGAGCAAGACCCTGTCAAAAACAAAACAGGTGAGCTGGGCTAACCCACTTCCTCCTCCACACACACACACCAGGCTTTCTTGACATATCTTTTAGGCATAAAATCCTAGGATGGTACTTCTGGCCTTTTGATACCGAGGCCCAGGGGCATATTATGACAACAAGGCTATTGTCTGGGGGCTTCTTGAGCATGGTAGCCAGATCTGGAGGCAGGCATCAGAGTGGGAACTTCCGTGTTTCCCTGCAAATAGTTCTGTAGTCCTTTGATTTTGGAGCTGGGATGGAGATCAAGCGCTGTGGCTCTGTCTATTTTCATAACTTTGTATTTGTCCAGTTTTCCCCTTGAGATTTTATTATGAAGATTTTCAAGCATACACCACCTAGGTCATCATTACCATTTTGTTATACAGTCATGCCTTGCCATCAACAATGGAGGTCCCATTAGATGATCTTAGAGCTGGGAAATTCCTATCAGCTCCAGTGTATACGTGTTTTAAGCTAAGTGTTGTTACAAAGGGGTCAAATAGTTGAAAAAAATTTAGAAGTTTATTAAGTAAAGAAGTTACAGTAAGCTAAGGTCATTTTATTCTTGAAAGGAAAATTTTTTCTAAATTCAGGGTAACTGTGAGTCCTAGGCCTTCACATTCACTCTCTATCACTCACCAGAATGCCTTCCAGCCCTGCAAGCTCCATTCATGGTAAGTGCTCTACACAAGTGTATCATTTTTATTTTTATACTGTATTTTTATTGTAGTTTTTCTGTGTTTAGATACACAAATACCATTGGGTTACAGTTGCCTACAGTATTCCGTACAGTAACATGTTGTAAAGGTTTGTAGCCCAGGAGCAATAGGCTATACTCTCTAGGTTTGGGTAAGAACACTATGATGTTCATACAATGATAACATTGCAGGCTGGGCATGGTGGCTCACACCTGTAATCCCAGTGTTTTGGGAGGCCAGTGCAGGAGGACTGAGTTCAAGTCTGCAGTGAGCTATGATCACACCACTGCACTCCAGCCCGGGGACAGAGCGAGATCCTGTCTCTAAAAATAATAAAATAAAAATCCTTCTATCCACGTTTGGGAATATTAAATTTTTTTAAATCACCTAATGATGCATTTCTCAGAATGTATCCCCATCATTAAGTGACACGTGACTATTTGCTTTATTACGTATCCTTCCATTCATCAATTTATCTTTTCTTTCTTTTTTTTTTTTTTTTTTAGAGACAGTCTCACTCTGTTGCCCAGGCTGGAGTACAGTGGCGCGATCATAGCTCACTGCAGCCTCGAACTCCTGGTCTTGAGCAATCCTCCCACCTCAGCCTCCCGAAGTGCTGGGATGACAGATGTGAGCCACGGAGCCCAACCTACGTAATGTTTTTGAGATTCGTCAATGTTTTGTAGGTATCAGTAGTTCCTTTCTCTCTATTTCTGAGTATGGCTTGACCACTGCTTATTTATTCAATTAATGAACACCTAGGCTATTTCCAGTTTGGGGCCATTATGAATAAGGCTGCTGTGAACAGTCTTGTACAAGTCTTTGAGAACAAAATCTTCAATTTGGGGGAGTAAATGCCAAGGAGTGGAACTGTTGGGTCATGGGATAGGTGGTCTATTTAGAAACTGCCAGATCTTTTTCCGAAGTGATCATATAATTTATACTGCCACCAACAATGTATGAGAGTTCTAGTATCTCCCTTCCTTAGCAACATTTGGTGGTGTCAGACTTTAACTGAGCCATTTTGATGGGCGTATAGTATATCTCTTTGCAGTTTTCATTGTCCTTTATCTGATGACTCCTAATGATGTACTTGCCACAGGTATATCCTCCTTTGTGAGTTAGCTGTTCAATTATCTTGCCCATATTTCATCAGATTGTTTGTCTCTTCATTAAGTTGTAGAAGTTGGCCAGGCATGGTGGGTCATGCCTGTAATCCCAGCACTTTGGGAGGCTGAGGTGGGAGGATCACTTGAGGTCAGGAGTTCGAGACTAGCCTGGGCAACACGGTGAAACCCTGTTTCTACTAAAAATACAAAAATTAGCTGGGCATGGTGGCAGGCACCTGTGCCTGTAATCCCAGCTACTTGGGAGGCTGAGGCAGGAAAATCACTTGAACCTGGGAGGCGGAGGTTGCAGTGAGCTGAGATCACGCCACTGCACTCCAGCCTAGGTGACAGAGCAAGACTGTCTCAAAAAAAAAAAAGTCGTAGCAGTTCATTACATACTTTGGACATCAGTCCTCTGTCGGATAGTTGTTTTGCAAATATTTAGTCCCAATGTATGGCTTGCTTATTTTCTTTCTTTTTTTCTTTTTTTAGACAGAGTGTCGCACTGTCGCCCCAAGCTGGAGTGCAGTGACGCGCTCTTGGCTCACTGCAAGCTCTCCCTCCTGGGTTCATGCCATTCTCCTGCCTCAGCCTCATGAATAGCTGGGACTACAGGCACCCGCCATCACGCCTGGCTAATTTTTTGTATTTTTAGTAGAGACAGGGTTTCACTGTGTTAGCCAGGATGGTCTTGATCTCCTGACCTCGTGATCCACCCGCCTTGGCCTCCCAAAGTGCTGGGATTACAGGCTTGAGCCACCGCGCCCAGCGGGCTTGCTTATTTTCTTAACAGTATCTTTTACTGGGCAGAAGTTTTTAATTAGGATGAAGTCTGTTTTATAGACTTTTTCTATGTCCTGCCTAAGAAACCCCCAAGTTATATTCATCCGTGTTTCCTTCGAGCTTTCTAGTATTAGCATTTATGTTTAAATCTATGATCCATCTTGAATTAACTTTTTATGGATGGTACGAGACTAGAGTTGAGATTCCTTCATTCCATATGGATGTCTAGTTATTCCAGAACCATCTGTGGAGAAGACCTTTTTGTTTAATTGTTGTGGTGATTTGGTCAAAATTCTGTTTACCTAATTATAAGCATGGATCTTGAGGGGGTGTGTGTGTTTCATTTTATTTATTTTCATTGACAAATAATAATTGTACATGCTCATAGAGTACATAGTAATGTTTCTTTTTTTTTTTTTGGACAGAGTTTTGCTGTGTCACCCAGGCTGGCGTGCCGTGCCCCAATCTTAGCTCACTGCAACCTCTAGCTCCCGGGTTCAAGCAATTCTCCTGCCTCAGCCTCTTGAGTAGCTGGGATTTCAGGCATGCATCACCATGCCCAGCTATTTTTTTGTATTTTTAGTAGAGACAGGGTTTCGCCATGTTGACCGGGCTGGTCTCGAACTGCTGGGCTCAAGTGATCTGCCTGCCTCAACCTCCCAGAGTGCTGGGATTACAGGAGTGAACCACTGCCCCTAGCCAATAGTAATAGTAATTTTTTGTTTGTTTGTTTTTTGAGACAGGGTCTCGCTTTGTTGCCCAGGCTGGAGTGCAGTGGCATGATCTAAGTTCACTGCAGCCTTGACCTCCAAGGCTAAAGCAACCTTCCAACCTCAGCTTCCTGAGTAGATGGGACCACAGGCATATGCCACCACACCTGGCTAGTTTTTTGTGTTTTGTTTTTGTAGAGGTGGGGTTTCACCATTGTTGCCCAGGCTGGTCTCAAACTCCTGGGCTCAAGTGATCTGCCCGCCTCAGCCTGCCTCCAGAAGTGCTGGGATTACAGGCGTGAGCTACCACGACTGGCCTGGATCATATGATGTGCTATTTGTAGTGTTTTGAGGAGCCTCCATGCTGTTCTCCATAGCGGCTATACTAGTTTACATTCGTGAATGTGTGTTATTTATTTATTTATTTATTTATTTATTTTGAGACAGAGTTATATTGTAATTACATATGTAATGTAACGAGGTGATGGATATGCTAATTACCCTTATGTAATCATTATACATTATATGTGTGGAAACATTACATCCGTGGTTCACCCAGGCTGGAGTGTAGTGGCACAGTCTCAGCTCACTGCAGCCTCCACCTCCCGTGCTCAAGTGATCTTCCCACTTCACCCTCCCAAGTAGCTGGAGTTACAGTCACATGCCACTACACCCAGCTAATTTTTGTTTTGTTTTGTTTTTTGAGATGCAGTCTCACTCTGTTGCCTAGGCTGGAGTGCAGTGGCATGATCTCAGCTCACTGCAACCTCCACTTCCTGGGTCCAAGCAATTCTCCTGCCTCAACCTCCCAAGTAGCTGGGATTACAGGTGTCCGCCACCATGCCCAGCTAATTTTTGTACTTTTTAGTAAAGACGCGGTTTGGCTGTGTTGGCCAGGCTGGTCTCGAACTCCCGCCCTCAAGTGATCCACCCACCTTGGCCTCCCAAAGTAGTGGGATTACAGGCGTGAGCCACCGCGCCCAGCCCGAGTGTGTGTGTGGTTTTGTTTTGTTGTTTTTTGTTTGTTTGTTTTTGAGATGGAGTCTCGCTCTATCACCCAGGCTGGAGTGCAGTGGCACAATCTCAGCTCACTGCAACCTCCATCTCCCAGGTTCAAGCGATCTCCTGCCTTAGCCTCCCGAGTAGCTGGGATTACAGGCATGTGCCACCACGCCCGGCTAATTTTTGTATTTTCAGTAGAGACAGGGTTTCACCATATTGGCCAGGCTGGTCTCGAACTCCTGACCTCGTGATCCACCAGCCTTGGCCTCCCAAAGTGCTGGGATTACAGGCCTGAGCCACAGTGCCCGGCCGAGTGCGTGTGTTTTTAAAGTGTGCATCATTATTACTGAACAGCAACACCAAGAGAGTCTCACGGTTCCTGTGTGTTCCCACTTGGACTATTTTGCAACACTCCTCTTGACGTTGAAAAGAAAATGCTATGACACTTGGTTACTGCTGAGGCGAGGCCAAACCACCCTCTCCAGACCTGGGAAACCAGTGAGTATTAAAAATAGTTCAATCTTTTTCGCTACTTTTTAAAAAATCTCATGAGTTCAGCTGAAATCTTTTTCCCCCAAATGATTCATGGAGTAAATCAATGTGTCTGATTTTTGCCGAGGAGGGGAAATAGGACACCTGAAGGCCAGATCATGTTTCCCCTGGTTGTGCGCCATCCTCTCCTCCAAGTTGCCTGATCCTGCAAACAGCAGTTCCGTTTGTCTTCAGTTGCCTGCTTTTTCTAGTCATGCTGTGAACTTGAACTTGAGAAAGCTTGATGCTGACTGGGCCTGGTGAGAACGCTACATGTTCAAGTTGAGGGTCTTTTTAAATGGAAATCTTTTTAGACTGGCTCACGCCTGTAATCTCAGCACTTTGGGAGGCCGAGGCGGGCAGATCACTTAAGGTCAGGAGTTCGAGACCAGCCTGGCCAACCAACATAGCAAATCCCTGTCTCTACTAAAAACACAAAAATTAGCCAGGCGTGGTGGCGCATGCTTGTAATCCCAGCTACTTGGGAGGCTGAGGCAGGAGAATCACTTGAACCCAGGAGGCGGAGGTTGCAGTGAGCCAAGATCATACCACTGCATTCCAGCCTGGCTGACCAAAAAAAAAAAAAAAAAAGTTAAAAAAAAAAAGTTTTAGACAGATAATTCTTGTCAAAAAAGGACAACAAATAAGCACCCTTTTTTTTCTGTTTTAGAGGGTGAGGTGGGGAACTTAAGTATGTTTCATAAGTAAAGAGTGAATCCTCACGGTGATTTTTTTTAAGCTTGAAAACATAGGAAAATGGTAAATCAGAAACTTGAAGCCAGGGAGCCTTACCTGTGTGTGCAAGTGTGGACTTGAGCAAAGGGAAGCCTTAGGCACCTGTGCCAGGCCCATGCAACTTTTCCATGGACACGTCTTCCTATATTTCCAATAACAACCAGAGAACCAGCTACCCGCCTTTTGATGCTGTCCTCTTCCTGCAGGAGGAAGGGTAGGGGGACAGGATTCTTCCACCCAAGTGCCCTTGCAGGTGTCTAAGCCTGGGTGGTGGATTCTTGGTTCCTGGCAGGCCTTGGAGGGCAGGCAACAGCCAGACTGCCAAAAACACCCAATTAGATTGAATGTGGTTCCCTAGTTGTGGCTGTGGGTAGGGAGGAAAGTTAAGTCTCTTCACACATCTCCTCTCTGCACGCTGTGGTCTAGTTTGCACAGCCTCTTCTTATTCTTAATAACCCAGAATCTGAGAATTTAGAGTCCTTCTTGTTACTTAGGAAGGACTAATCTTCCCCGGCAGGTTGTCCTGCATTTGTTGAATGGGGTAAAAATTGCATAGCATCTCGAGTGCTGTGCCTACAAATTACCTTGATAAATGATTGTGACTCAGCAAAGCTTAGGCTTTTGCCCTAGTTTTGGAGGCTGGGGCTAACTAGAGAAAAAATGGAGGGTCTGTTGGGTGTTTCTGCTGTTTTTACAAGGCTTCATAATTCCCCATTGTCTGCGTGTGTGTGAATCAGCAAGTGGTTCGCATCCTGATTGGGTGGTGTGATGGGAGCACCCACCTCGCAGAGCCTCAGAGCCCTCATTGTCTCCCTTTTCCATTTGCTCATTCCTACTTTGGCCAGTGGCACCCTGAAAGAGTTTTCATTAGTAACAGTGTTGAGGAAACCACCCATTAGAGGCAGCGGGACTACACTGATCAGCATGTGGGCTGGGTGATTGCTCAGATCTGAGCTCAGAGCTTGCTGTGCTGCTCACCAGATGTGTGAGCCCGAGGATGCTGTCCCGGCTCCCAGCCTCAGTTTCCTCACCTGTGGGACTAGACGGGACTAAACCAGGGGGAGAATAGAAAGCACCCACGGGTAGTAAGTGCTCACCGAGGCATTTCCCCAGATTCCTGCCATTGTTTACTTACACTGGGAAGCACCCACAGCCTCCTCCTGGAAAACACACACCCCCTGCTCTCAAGAACTTTCCATTTTAAAACAAACTTGCCCTCTGGTGTGTCATCCTTGCTTTCTGAAAGTGAGTTTTCTTCTCCACGCCACTGTGTGTTTTTTTCTGATAGCAGTAGGGACTGTGTATTGGAGCTCAGTCTATGGGAAGCATTTTGTACTCGACGTTTAGGCACGATTATCCCCATTTGAAGATAAACTGAGGCTCAGGCGGGTTCAGTAACCTGCACTGGAGGTCAGGGTCAGTGGCAGAGCTGGAATTCAAGCCCCAGGATGTCCGACTGCAACGCCCATGTGCCTAACCACGATTTGATACCGTCATCCAGACGAAGGACATCACGGGGTAGGTAGATAAAGATAGAAGGAGGTGGGGGTGCCCAGCAACTGAGGGTGGCTGGGATCCCTTCATAAACCCGGCTCATCTGTGCAGAGCGTGGATCCTTCTGGAGTCAGTGCACCTGGTTGCGGCCAGAATCCCCCCTTCCCACTCTGTCCGTCTATAGCTCTAGAAATAGAGTTACACACATACCTGCAACTTGCGCTTTCTGCATGCCACAGGCAGCCATTACACTTGGTCCATCTCTTAGATTATTCTTAAGAGAGAGCTTCCAGGAACGGGGATTACAGCACCAGGAAGCAGAAACATTTCAAAGGCTCTTGATACATGTGGCCAAACTGTTTTCCAATTTACTCATCAGCCAGAGGACTACAGATCCTGCAACGCAGCATTTAAAACACCCACCTCCCAAGCCAGCCAATCGCTTCTTTTTTCTTTTTTTTTTGAGACGGATTCTCGCTCTTGTCACCCAGGCTGGAGTGCAGTGGCGCAATCTCGGCTCACTGCAACCTCCGCCTCCCAGGCTCAAGCGATTCTCCTGCCTCAGCCTCCCTAGTAGCTGGGATTACAGTCGCATGCCACCACATTCAGTTAATTTTTGTATTTTTAGTAGAGACGGGGTTTCACCATGTTGGCCAGGCTAGTCTCAAACTTCTGACCTCAGGTGATCCACCCGCCTCAGCCTCCCAAAGTGCTGGGATTACAGGTGTGAGCCACTCGACCCGGCCTCTTTTTTTTTAAGAGATGAGATCTCGCTCTGTTACCTAGGCTGGAGTGCAGTGGCACAATCATAGCTCACTGCAGTCTCGAACTCCCAGGCTCCAACAATCCTCCCTTCTCAACCTCCCAAGTATCTGGGAGCACAGGTGCGTGCCACCACGCCCAGCTAATTTTTTATTTTTTATTTTTATATTTTTATTTTTATTTTTTTTGAGACAGAGTCTTGCTCTGTTGCCCAGGCTGGAGTGCAGTGGCACGATCTCAGCTCACTGCAAGCTCTGCCTCCCGGATTCAAGCCATTCTCCTGCCTCAGCCTCCCAAGTAGCTGGGACTACAGGTGCCCACCACCACGCCAGGCTAATTTTTGTATTTTTAGTAGAGACGGGGTTTCACCATGTTAGCCAGGATGGTCTCAATCTCCTCACCTCGTGATCTGCCTGCCTCAGCCTCCCAAATTGCTAGGATTACAGGCATGAGCCACTGCGCCCGGTCTTTTAATTTTTTAAAAATTTTTTATTTTATGTAAGTTATTTTTTATTTTTTTATTTTTTGAGACAGAGTCTCACTCTATCGCCCAGGCTGGAGTGCAGTGGTGTGATCTCGGCTCACTGCAACCTCTGCCTCCCGGGTTCAAGCAATTCTCTGCCTCAGCCTCCCGAGTGGCTAGGATTACAGGTGCCCACCACCACGCCTGCTAATTTTTTGTTATTTTTAGTAGAGACGGGGTTTCACCATCTTGGCCAGGCTGGTCTTGAACTCCTGACCTTGTGATCCACCCACCTTGGCCTCCCAAAGTGCTGGGATTACAGGCATGAGCCACTGCACCTGGCCTAATTTTTAAAATTTTCACAGAGACGGGGGTCACGCCATGTTGCCCAGGCTGGTCTTGAACTCCCGGCCCCAAGTGATCCTCCCACCTTGGCCTCCCAAAGTGTTGAGATTACAGGTGTGAGCCACTGTGCATGGTGAAATATATTTTTATATATTGGGACAACTGAGAATATTAGAATGTGGACAGGCTATTAGATGATACTGAAATTTGTTAATTGTACTTAGGAGTGATATGTCTAATGTCTAACTTATCTTTAACCTCACAGAGTGAGATGAAACAAATACAGAAAATAATAATTACCAAATCTAGGTAGTGGGTAGATAGGTGGGTTTATGGTACACCTGGGATGACAGGTGTGAGTCACCACGCCTGGCCTTAAACATTCAATTACAAGGGGGATATGGGGGCCCACAGCGACAAGGGGTTTCACCCCCAGGAAGAAACAGACATGGAACCTGCTGGCCGGGCTTTGAAACTCCTTGTTCTCAGCGTGTGGCCCCAGTGGAGCAGCATCAGCCTTACCTGAGACCTTGCTAGAAATGTGCATTCTTGGGCCCCACTTCAGTCCTACTGAGTCAGGAGCTCCAGGGCCAGGGCCTGGCTGTCTGGAAACAAGCCCTCCAGGTGATTCTAGTGCCTGCGCAAGTTTGGGAGCTGCTGGTCTGCAGAAAGCTACATCAACTGAAAGGGGAAATGTACCACACTTGTTTACACACAAATCTGTGCCAGCTGGGAGCAACTCCAAGGGAAATGTCACTTCCATCTCTCGTTCATATGATGAGTTGGTGCCTCTTAACTCAATAGTGTCTTTAGTTCAGATGATTTGACCACATGGAAAATGTCCCTCTGTCCCTCATGTTGAGGAGACTAGCCCTCACAAACCGTTGTTCTTCATACCGAGGCCTATGATGGGCTAGGCACGTTATTATTAATATCCCTGTTGTTCCCTCGGGAGGGGAAATGAAGGCTTAGAGCAGTTTATTTATTTTATTTTATTTTTTTTCCAAGATGGAGTCTCGCTCTGTTGCCCAGGCTGGAATACAGTGGTGCGATCTTGGTTCACTGCAATCTCTGCCTCCTGGGTTCAAGCAGTTCTCCTGCCTCAGCCTCCCAAGTAGCTGGGATTACAGGTGCCCACCACCACCCCTGGCTAAATTTTGTATTTTTAGTAGAGACAGGGTTTCACAGTGTTAGCCAGGCTGGTCTCAAACTCCTGACCTTGTGATCTGCCCACCTCAGCCTCCCGAAGTGCTGGGATTACAGGCATGAGCCGCCACACGCAGCCCTCAGAGCAGTTTAGAAACAACCCAAGGTCCCACAGCTAGTAAGTGGCAGAACTGAAACTCAAACCCAGTCTCTCTGCCAGAGACGGAGTTTTAACGGCCACACAGACTGAGAGAGAGAGTTGAGACACTTACGTAAGGTGGGAGCCCTGCAAATGATTGGGTGTGGTGGTGTTCTGGAATCTTCTGAAGCTCTGTATTGAGTGCTGTGAGGCATGGCTTTCCCCTGCCCCTCCTAACCTTGGACCCTGACACATCAAAGCCAGTCTTGGGCACACGTGGCTCTTGCCTGGTTGACAGTCCCCATCAAGCTGGTGAGGTGGTCTTGTCTTTTTTCCCCAACCTGTTGTAATTTGACTCTTAGGAATTGTGCCGTGAGCGCTGAGATTTGTAGACATCCCATTGTAGGGGTCTTGGTTGCGTATCACTGTGCCCATGGCTCTTAGGGTGACACACACCCAACTCCCAAATTCTGTCCCGAATGAGAGGTGGGGTCCAGAGGCACTTAAAAGTCCAGGGAGTCTGAGGGACAGGGATGCTGACAGTGGGCACTGGTGGTTTGTCTGTTCTACTGTTTCAGGGGGATGAGCCCACCATGTGGAATTCAGATGGGCCTTCTGGCTACCCCAGGGGCCTCCAGCTCAGCTTCCTGGGTGTGTCAGAGAGGCGTGCCAGGAGCCAGAGCTGAGGAATGAGGCTGGGCTTACTGCCACCCAGGAGGAGTCCCTCTGGAGAGCCTCAGAAAGTACCTGCAATGGCAATACAACAGAAGAGCCTCTAAATATCTCCTTTTGGGGATACGGCAGGAAAGCCAAAGGAAATGTGAAGAGATGTCTGAACGCCCAGAGGAAACCAGTGGGCCCTTCCAGGAGTTCTATTTGCGGTAAGAAACCTTGGCATGGGGCAGCCAGCTCTCCTGCAAAAATAGACCAATGTGCTGAGAAGCAGCTCAATTCTGGGAGCAATTCCCCTCCATGGGGAAGAGAGCTTGCACTGGGACTTAGAAGGATCTGCCCCCTCTCTTCTTCTTGCCCCTGGACTCCAGAACCAAAAACGGGGAGAAAAAAAGGTAAACATTTTTTTAAAAAAGAACTCTTGGCCAGGTGGAGTGGCTCACACCTGTAGTCCCAACACTTTGGGAGGCTGAGGCAGGAGGATCACTTGAGGCTAGGAGTTTGGGACCAGCCTGGACAACATGGCAAGACCCTGTCTATCAAAAAAATACAAAAATTATCTGGGTGTGGTGGCACATGCCTGTAGTCTCAGCTACTTGGGAGACTAAGGCAGGAAGATTGCTTGAGCCTGGGAGGTCGAGGCTGCAGTGAGCTATGATCAAGACAGTGTACTCCAGCCTGAGTGACAGAGTGAGAACCCCATCTCTTAAGAAAACAAAAAACCAGAACTTATGAATGTATCCATGACTTAAATCAAAAATGGGCCAGTGGAAACACAGGGCAAAGGAAGGTTTCAAATAAGCACCTGGACACAAACGGACCCAGGAGGTGACACACAGTATTGAGGACCCACTCCCCATCACTAGGTCCTTTGGCCTCAAATGAGTGAGATGACTAAGAAAATAGGGCACCATGTGCGGCAGAAGTGAGGGTGGCTAGACAGAAAATGACGGCCTTGACTGTGATGGTCATCACAGACAGGACCCCTAAGAAAGGTGGCCAAGGGGGTCTGGGGACCCATCTTTAGAATACCGGGCTGACAGCATAACAGGGGTTTGGGACACCACCATGAAAGAAGACAATGAAGCCAGGTGCAGTGGCTCACGCCTATAATCCCAGCACTTTGGGAAGCCAAGGCAGGAAGATTGCTTGAGCCCAGGAGTTTGAGACCAGCCCGAGCAACGTAGCAAGACCCCCATCTCTACTAAAAATTTAAAAATTAGCGAAGCATGGCTGGGCACGGTGGCTCACGCCTGTAATCCCAATACTTTGGGAAGCCAAGGCGGGTGGATTACGAGGTCAGGAATTCAAGACCAGCCTGACCAACAGGGTGAAACCCTGTCTCTACTAAAAATACAAAAATTAGCCGGGTGTGGTGGCAGGCTCCTGTAACCCCAGCTACTCAGTAGGCTGAGGCAGGAAAATCGCTTGAACTCAGGAGGTTCAGTAAGCCAAGATCATGCCATTGCACTCCAGCCTGGGTGACGGAGTGAGACTCCATCTCAAAAAAAAAAAAATTAGCCAAGCACAGTGGCATGTGTCTGTAGTACCAGCTACTTGGGAGGCTGAGTGAAGAGGGAGGATTGCTTGAGGCCAGGAGTTGGAGACCAGACTGGGCAACATAGCGAGACCTCAGCTTGGAAGTAAGGAAGGAAAGAAGGGAGGGAAGGAGGGATGAAGGTAGAAAGAAACGGGACAAGATGGACTCCTGAGGCCATCCTAATTCTGGAACACAATACAATGGCCTCTGTATGTTAGGAGGGCTCATTTGGCTTCTCTCTAAGCCAGCAGTCCACATCTTTTTGGCACCAAGGACCAGTTTTGTAGAAGACAATTTTCCACGGATGGGGGCGGGGGGTGGGGGTGGGAGGGGATGGTTTCGGGATGAAACTGTTCCACCTCAGATCATCAGACGTTAGATTCTCGTAAGAGGTGCCCAACCTACATCCCTTGCACGTGCAGTCCACAATAGGGTTTGTGCTTCTATGGGAATATAATGCCACACTGATCTGACAGGAGTCAGGGCTCAGGTAGTAATGCTCACTCACCTGCCGCACACCTCCTGCTGTGCGGCCGGTTCCCAATAGGCCATGGAATGCTTATTGGTCCACAGCCCTGGAGTTGGGCACCCCTCTTCTAAGGCAGAAGCTTCTACTGTCTTAGGAGCAGCGTCCTGGCCTCCACAGCAGGGAGAGAGCAGGAATACCCAGCCACAGATACTGGTCAAGATATTGATCAACTTCCTACCATCATGGTGGAGGCAAGCCTGGAGGCCTCTGGGTGGTCATCAGGTCACCCCAGCACATTTTCCTGCCCCGGACTCCTGGCCACGCTGAGGTTGCTGTGAGCAGACACGATGTGCAGGGTCATGGATGTGCAGCTCAAACTCCTTGACAAGCGGGAGATTTATTTTATGGCCCAAGCAGTTTGGAGACAAAATCGTAAGGTGCTCACCCATCCAGTGTCTCTTCAGCCGGCACTGGGAGGTGTCAAACTGACCACATTCGACTGCCCCTTCCGCCCGCAGAATATGGGTCTGCGTTTCTCTTTCCCTCTTGGTGGCCAAGAACTGTCAACATCCAGCTGTGGCTCTGCACTCAGCCGCCGCTCAGCCTGCTCAGGTTGAAAGGTCAAACGTTGTCTGGAATTGGCAGCCCAGCTTACTAGCAGCTCTTCTGTCTTCAGAGTGCAGTGAGGGGAGCTGTCAGAGGGCTGAGGCAAGGACCAGAGAGGGAACTCCTGCGACAGAGAAAGCTCAGCCCTGGTTATGTTCTGGAGGGAGCATAGCAGGGTCTGTCCCAGGAACTTTATTAGTTAGCGGTTAAGATCCTCATCCACAGAAAAGCCGGTAGGAATTAGCCAGGTGGTGTGTGCCTATGGTCCCAGCTACCCAGGAGGGTGAGGAGGGAGGACTGCTTGAGCCCAGGAGGTTGAGGCTGCGGCTAGCTATGATTGTGTCACTGCGCTCCAGCCTGGGTGACAAAGCAAGATCCTGACTCAAAAAAAAAAAAAAAAAAAAAAGGAAGAAAGAAGAAAGAGAGAGAAGAAAGAAAGGAGAGAAAGAGAAGGAAGGAAGGAGAAAGGAAAGAAGGAAGGAAGAAAAGGAAGAAAGAATGACAAAGAAAAGAAAGAAAGACGAAAAGGAAAGGAAAAGAAAAGAAAAAAGAAACAAAAGCAGGAAAGTGAGGGGAGAGGGCCAGGAAGACAGAAGACAGGATGGGCAAGAAGGGTGGGAAGGATTCCCACACCAGATTCAGGAGTGGCTCTGCATTGGGAAATCCATCTACGACTGCTGGGGACTTGGTTTTGCAAACATGCACAGAGAAACCTTCATCCACCTCTGTGCAATGTTGGACTGAAGTAGAAATGAGCCGCTGTTTTCTGGAAGCACCCCATTTCTTTGAGCTGATCTTCTCTAATAATGAATTCTGGTGAAGCCTGCCATTCACAGCACCCTGCCCTCCCATCTGTAGGAGGTGGGAACAGGACCCAGGCCAGTTGATCAGAGAGCTCCCTTGCCCTGGGATGAGCATGTGACCCAGATGTCTCAATCATGGGGAAGATCCTCTTGCCTGTTATAGCCACTATGCTGGAAGAACAGGATGTGGGCTTGCTGGCCGCCATCTTCCAGTCCACGCTGGGAACCCATCTGCAGGAGGAGGGAAGGAGGACAACCCAGTTTGAGGGAGCATATGGACAGCAGCTATAGAAGGCTCCATATGTGCCCAGTGCTAGATCCACCCCATCCCTTCCTGTTCCATAAATCCATACATCTTCTCTCACTTTTGCTTACCCTAGTTTGAGTTACATTTCTGACACCTGCCACCATAAAAGCCCAAATGATTACAGAGAATATTTGGCTACAGGAAAGACCCTGCAGTCTGTGAAAAAAGAGGCTGCTGGTGCATAGTCATCGTAGACCAGTGCAAAGAGTGAAACAGAAACATCCAGCTTAATCTGCAAAAGCCTTTTTGGATCCTTGAGAGGCGCTCATTAACTTACAGCAAATTGGTGAGCTGATACTCTTCTTTCATCCAGGTGAGTGCATTAACTAGGTTAATGTTCCTGTCTCAAGGGACTGCTGTAGGTTAGGGTGAATGAATGAAAGAAGCAAGTTTTTAAACAGGAAAAAGGCTGCAGGGAAGTTGAGGTGACAAGCATCGTTTCACCCCCAATGGAAGGTGAGCTTGTCTGTTAGGTCCCAGGGACTGAATTGGAGTTCCGTGGTTAGGGAATGACCCATCTCAACAAGCAACTTCCATCATCCTTCCATGGGGATCTGATTAAGGTCTTCTCCAGAAGGAGATGGCCTCGTGAGTTGGGGCTTTTTAATCTCCCTGTCCCTCCTCTAGAAGGGCATTGCTACTGGCCTTGCCCTGCCAAGTCTTCAGTCTACAACAACACTGCCCGGCTTCAGACACAGCCCAGATCCTTCCCAGATCCTTCCCAGACACAGCCCAGATCCTTCCCAGACAAAAAGTCCTTCCGACTTTTTGCCCTTTCGGCCCAGCCTTCCCTATCACTTATGCTGAAATTGGGAACGTTTCCCAAACCAACAATTTCCCAGTCCACAATGTTCCCTTGCTGAGTGTCCCCACAGGAGAGACAGGCAGCCTGATAAATAAAACCAGTCATAAAACCTCCCTGCCTTAGCAAAGGGACTGCTTTGCCAGGCTACCGTCACATAGCACTCCTGTCTCCCGTTTGACTTCATATAGTGAAAATTGTCTAAAAGATAAGGCAGGAGCTCTGGTTGACACCCCCCCTGCCCCCGCCTCATAGATCTCTCTCTAGAAGCATTGGAAGAGGCCGTCTCAAAAAAGAAAAATAAAATAGAAGCATTGGAGGAAAGATGTGGTTTGTAGTGAAACAAATTGGAAGTCAAGCTCAGCCTCAACCACTTACTTGCTTCTGACCTTGGGTAAGTCCTATGTACCTAGGAACCTCGGTTTTCTTTTCTTTCTTTTCTTTTCCTTTTTTTTTTTTTCTTTGAGATGGAGTCTTGCTCTGTCGCCCAGTCTGGAGTGCAGTGGTGCAATCTCGGCTCACTGCAACCTCTGCCTCCTGGATTCAAGTGATTCTCGTGCCTCAGCCTCTAGAGTAGCTGGGACTACAGGCATGCACTACCAGGCCCAGCTAAATTTTGTGTTTTTAGTAGAAACAGGGTTTTGCCATGTTAGTCAGGCTGGTCTCGAACTTCTGATCTCAAATGATCCACCCGCCTCAGCCTCCCAAAGTGCTAGGATTACAGGCACAAGCCACCGCACCTGGCTGGAACTTCGACTTTCTTCTGTACAATGGAGGGGGGACAGTAATACTGCAATGTTTACAATTAGGTTCAACTGAGAGTAACAGAGGTCTGAATACAGTAACTGAAATGGGGTGGGCAGATCACTTGAGGCCACGAGTTCAAGACCAGCCTGGGCAACATAGTGGCATACCATCTACAAAAAAATAAAAATTATCCGGGCGTGGTGGCACAGGCCTGTAATTCCAGCTATTCGGGAGGCTGAGGTGGGAGGAACACTTGAGCCCAGAAGGTTAAGGCTGCAGTGAGCTGTGATTGCACCACTACACTCCAGCCTCGGTGACAGAGTGAGACCCTGTATCTAAAAAAATAAAAAATAAAACATTTGGCCATGCCTATCTGCAAGAACATCTGGGAGAGGTAGCTGTGGTAGGTAGCCTCAAAAATGGCCCCAATATCACTGGATGCAGTGGCTCACACTTTGGGAGGCCAAGGCAGGAGGATTACTTGAGCCCAGGAGTTCCAGACAAGCCTGGGCAACGTAGTGAAACCCTGTCACTACAAAAATTTCAAAATTAGCTGAGCATGGTGGTGCATACCTGTAGTCCCAGATACTTGGGAGGCTGAGGTGGGAGGATCACTTGAGTCCAGGAGTTCAAGGCTACAGTAAGCTATGATCATGCCACTGCATGCCAGCCTGGGTTACAGAGTGAGATCCTGTCTCAAGAAAAAAAAAAGGCCCTTCTCCACTCCCCAAAAGTCCCCATTAATCCCTTTATTCCAGCATTTTCCCCCTTGTGAGGAAGGGGGGAAATTTGTATTTGTATTTGTATTTGTATTTGTATTTGTATTTGTATTCCCACTCGCTTTGAGTGTGGCTGGATCTAGTAACTTTCTTCTAAGCAATAGACTATGGCTGGAAGAATAGAATTTAGTCACATAACCATGTCTAGCTGCAATAACATCTGCATTAGTCTGTTTTCATGCAGCTGATAATGACATACCTGAGACTGGGAAGAAAAAGGGATTTTATTGGACTTACAGTTCCATATGGCTGGAGAGGCCTCAGAATCACGGTGGGAGGTGAAAGGCACTTCTGTCATGGTGGCAAGAGAAAAATGAGGAAGAAGCAAAAGCGGAAACCCCTGATAAACCCATCAGATCTCAAGAGACTTATTCACTATCACAAGAATAACACGGGAAAGACCAGCCCCCATGATTCAATTATCTCCCCCCGGGTCCCTCCCACAACATGGGGGAATTCTGAGAGATACCATTCAAGTTGAGATTTGGGTGGGGACACAGCCAAGCCATATCAACATCTATGGTAAAAGTGATGGGATGTCCCTTGTGAGATTAGGTTTCAAAGAGATGGCAGTTCTGTCTTGGGCATCCTGTCTTGCTCTGAGGAAAACCAGCCACCAGGTAGTGAGGTGCTCTCTGGAAAGGCCCACGTGGTAAGAAACTGATGTCTCTGCTGGGAGCAGTGACTCATGCCTGTAATCCCAGCACTTTGGGAGGCCAAGGCGGGTGGATCACTTGAGGTCAGGAGTTTGAGACCAGCCTGACTAACATGATGAAACCCCGTCTCTACTAAAAATACAAAAATTAGCCAGTATCATGGTGCGACAGAGCAGGAATCTGTCTCAAAAAAAAAAAAAAGAAAGAGAAACTGATGCCTCTGGTCAACAGCTAGCAAGGACCTGAGGCCCTCGGTGCAACAGTCTTATCATGAGTGAGCTTGGGAAGAAGATCCTTCCCCAGATTAACCTTCAGATGATGGCAGCCCTTGTGGAAATCTCAATGCAGTCTCACAAGAGACCCGAGTCAGAGGACCCACTGAAAACATGAGATGCCAAACTTTTTTGTTTTGATTTCAGGAGCTAAGCGTTGTGCTCATTTGTTACGCAGCAATAGCTAACTAATACAATAGTTTTCTAGCTAGACACATTTCTAGGATTCTGCTACTAAGAAGGAAGGGAGGGCTGGAGATTGGGAAGCAGTGAATAGTCACTGTCACCAAAACTGAGGAGTTAATTTGATCAGGTCTGGCTGCCCTGCTTGCTTTGGTCACTTGCTTGTTTTGTTAATCTTTCATTTTTCTCCTTTTTTCTTTCTCTTCTTTCTCTTTCTTTCTCCTTCCTTCCTTCCTTCCTTCCTTCTTCCTCCTTCCCTCCCTTCCTCCCTTACCTCCCTCCCTCCTTCCTTCCTTGCCTGTTGTGTTAATTTTTTTTATTATAACAGAGACAAGGTCTCACTATGTTACCCAGGCTGGTCTTAAACTGGGCTCAAGCGATCCTCCCACCTTGGCCTCCCAAAAAACTGGGATTACAGGCATGAGCCACCATGCCTGGCCTTTTTCTCTTTTTCCTATGAAGCTGAAGATAGTCATAGCTGAAGGCTGTGGTAGCTGAATACCATGCATTAAACACTGAAATATACCCTTCACTAGCTTCTTTAGAGATCACATTCACAGGTCACTATGGTAATGTTTGCTTCAGTTGTTTTTCAGGAACTTAGGCCAGCTCCCATCCAGTTCAATCAGGTTGGGACCACCAGTTCTTCAATGGGCCTGCCCAAATGCCCAAGAAGTGGACTTTTGATGTCAGAGGGCCAAAGATCCCGCCCTCAGATCATGCTAATGCCACCACTTTCTGTACACATGTCCTATGAAATGCCACCAACTCTGACTATTACGCTTGTGCAGAACAAACCTATCAATTAATTTTTCCCTGCTGCCAATCACGTTTCCCCATGCCTTACACCACCGTGTTTCCCTAACCCATAAATATCCCTAAGCCTTATCTTCAGGAAGCAGGATGTGAGAGCTGTTCTACCTCCTTGCTTGGTGGCCTTGCAAATAAATCTTTTCTCTTTTGCAAAACCCACGTCATAGTCACAGTGACTGATTACTGCATGCGGGCAGGACACACCTGCACCTGGCCAATAACACCACTTGTACCTACCCCAAAGGGCTGTCGTAAGGATGGAATGAGGTAAATCTGTAATGTACCCATATCCAATTTGCCAGCACCCAGGAAGTGACTAAGGAGACATGGTTTTTAAATTATTATTATTATAATATTTTTAGTAGAGATGGGGTTTCCCCATGTTGGTCAGGCTGGTCTCGAACTCCCAACCCCAGGTGATTTGCCCGCCTCGGCCTCCCAAAGTGCTGGGATTACAGGCATGAGCCACCACTCCCGGCCAGAGACGTGGTTTTTAGTGAAGGGCCACTGTCTAGTGTCTGCTTCCCAAGCTTTTCGCCAAGCTCCTCTAGGAGTCAAGGTGGGCTATGTCTAACATTCAGTTTTTCCTGACTTCTTCCCTTTGACAGTTCAGATTCCCCATGTCCTCCAGCCAATTAGTACGATTACTCCTTCTTTTTCTTCTTCTTTTTTTTTTTTGAAATGGAGTCTTGCTCTGTTGCCCAGGCAAGAGTGCAGTGGCATGATCTCGGCTCACTGCAGCCAGGTTCAAGTGATTCTTCTTCCTCAGCCTCCTGAGTAGCTGGGGTTACAGGTGCCTGCCATCATGCCTGGCTAATTTTTGTATTTTTAGGAGAGATGGGGTTTCACCATGTTGGCCAGGCTGATCTCGAACTCCTGACCTCAGGTGATCTGCCCACCTCCGCCTCCCAAAGTGCTGGGATTACAGGTGTGAGCCACCACACCCAGCGTTACAGTCACGACTTCTGCAAAAATGAAGATCCCCAAGCCCAGTAGGAGGGTTCACAGAATCGTAAGATTTCAGAGGGAAAAGGGCTAGAGCCCTTCTAATTCAGTTCCCCCACTCACCATTGTGAACCCAGACACTTCACAAAGTCACAAAGCAACGATCAGGGGTGGGACCTGGCTCCTCTGGAGAGATGACCTAGCTCTGTGTTCCTCTCTCTCTCCAAACTGCTAATGCTCAGGCAGAGGCTGGTGTGTGCAGCATTTTACAAAGTTTCCTATACAAGCACTTTGGGAGGCTGAGGCGGGTGGATCACTTGAGGTTA
The DNA here is from genome assembly GCF_000001405.40 of Homo sapiens. Lineage (NCBI taxonomy): Eukaryota > Metazoa > Chordata > Mammalia > Primates > Hominidae > Homo > Homo sapiens. The sequence goes on along the minus strand of NC_000016.10, from coordinate 14,414,306 downwards.
GGAGTTCGAGACCAGCCTGGCCAACATGGCGAAACCCTGTCTACTGAAAATACAAAAAAATTAGCCAGGCGTGGTGGCATGTGCCTGTAATCCCAGCTACTGCCAGCTGAGGTGGGAGACTGGCTTGAACCTGGGAGGCAGAGGCTGCAGTGAGCTGAGATTGGGCCACTGCACTCCAGCCTGGACTGCAGAGCAAGACTCTGTCTCAAAAAAAAAAAAAAAAAATCTATAAAGTTTCCTATAGAAAAAAATAAATATGCACCAGTTCAACCCAGCTTTTTCTCCCTGAGAGGAGTTGAGGTCAGGTTTATGGGACATGCGGTGCTTTTTGAGTGAATGAGCGTCATAAAGGGAAACCTTCTGGTTTCCCTTTAGGCTTTCGGGGGCCCCTCCTCTTGTGTCTTTGGCGTGGCAGGGAGCTGAAGTCCTTGCAGTCATGAGCCTGTCCCTTATGGATATAACTGGGAGAAAAGTCTAGAAAGTGCTGCCTGGGGTCCCAGGATAATGTGTCCACCTACCTAAGGCAAGAATGCAATCTATATTATCACCCTTCCCCACGGGTGCAGGATTTATGTCACTCTGGAAGAATGCGGACTCCCTAATCAGTTCACCTACAATGAAACCCCGGGTTTTCAGAATAGATTAAGACCAAAGCCTTTCAGTGAAAATAAATGTTCTGGGCAGAAAAAAAAAATTAATGAAAGTCCTAAGATTTTTTTTAAGTATTAATCTAAAAATGGGAGATACAATGTGCCAATCTCCCTGCTGCTTATTTCCGCTAGTGAACTGGGCTATATGGGAACTTAATAAAACATTCACAGAAGGCGGCCGGCGGTGGCTCACGCCTGTAATCCCAACACTTTGGGAGGCCAAGGTGGGCAGATTGCCTGAGGTCGGGAGTTCGAGACCAGCCTGGCCGGCATGGTGACACCCCATCTCTACTAAAAATACAAAAATTAGCCGAGCGCGGTGGCAGGCACCTGTAATCCCAGCTACTCGGGAAGCTGAGGCAGGAGAATCACTTGAACCCGGGAGGCAGAAGTTGCAGTGAGCCGAGATCGTGCCATTGCACTTCAGCCTGGGCAACAGAGACAGACTCTGTCTCAAAAAAAAAAAAAAAAAAAAAAGAAAAAAGAAAAACAAAACAAAACAAAACAAACAAAAACATTCACAGAAGGCTCAGCTGCAATATTTAAAATCTTTACCAGTGGCCGGGTGCAGTGGCTCACACCTGTAATTCCAGCACTTTGGGAGGCCAAGGCGGGTGGATCACCTGAGGTCAGAAGTTCGAGACCAGCCTGGCCAACATGGAGAAACCCCGTCTCTACCAAACATTAGCCGGGTGTGGTGGTGCATGCCTGTAATCTCACCTACTCAGGAGGCTGAGAGGGGAGGATGACTTGAACCCGGGAGATGGAGGTTACAGTAAGCTGAGATGGTGCCACTGCACTCCAGCCTGGGCAACAGAGCAAGACTCTGTCTCAAAAAAAAAAAAATTTACCAGTCATTTGTATTTCATAAACAGCAGCAATTTCATTAAAATCAGTGCATATGGGGAAAATGGATGCGTAGGTGGTGTCCTATCTTCTTGTTTAATGCTGTGTTAACATATTTTTGCACGTTTAAAAAATTGACATTGATAAATTTTTAGCATGAAGTTGCAGAAGCTGACCTGGGTCCTAACTGTAAAATGCAGAGGAACTCTATCCATGAGGAAGCTTTGTGAAGTCGATTCATTGCTAATGTCCCTGTGAGTATCTAACTTAAAAAGTCCAGTGTAGCCAGGCATGGTGGTGCACACCTGTAATCCCAGTTGCTTGGGAGGCTGAGGCAGGAGGTTCACTTGAGGCCAGCAGTTCGAGGCTGTAGAGCATGGTGATTATGCTCGTGAATGGCCACTGTACTCCAGGCCTGGGCAACATAGGGCGATCCTGTCTCTATTTAAAAAAAAAAAAAGTTCAGCAAGAACTGGAGGGCTATGGAGGACTGAGCATTGAGTTTAGAAAGTTGTCACTACAGGGCGGGCATGGTGGCTCATGCCTGTAATCCCAGCACTTTGGGAGGCCGAGGTGGGGTGATCGCTTGAGCCTAGGAGTTTGAGACCAGCCTGGGCGACATGACAAGACCTCGTCTCTACTAAAAATTTTAAAAATTAGCCAGGCATGCAGGCATGTGCCTGTAGTTCCAGCTACTTGGGAGGCCCAAGTGGGAAGACTAGTTGAGCCCAGGGGTTCGAGTTTCAGTGATCTGAGATCACTCCACTGAATTCCAGCCTGGGCCACAGAATGAGACCCTGCCTCCAAATAAATAAATAAAAAGTAAAAGAAAGTTGTCACAACAAAATGAGGCACACGGAGTTTGAACACCTCTCTTTTTGGGAGAACACACTGAGTAGACAACACTGTGTGTGTGCGTGTGTGCGTGAGCGCATCTGTGAGTGTGTGGGGGGTGCTTTGGATGGGGGAAGAGTGTGAAGGAGGCCATGAATCCATTTATTCTGATAAAGAGCAGGGCCAGGCGCAGTGGCTCACTCCTGTAATCCCAGCTACTTGGGAGGCTGAGGCAGGAGAATCACTTGAACCCAGGAGGCAGAGGTTGCAGTGAGCCAAGATCGCCACCACTGCACTCCAGCCTGGGCGACAGAGCATGACTCCGTCTCAAAAAAAAAAAAAAAAGGAGCAGGAGTATTTATGAAGCAGCCAGGAGCTGGGTATGTGTCCAGGTTGAATCTTTGTGATAAGCATTTGATAACCATTGAGCTTAGCAATAGAGTTATGGAAATGGTACTTAGATGTTTTTCTTTTTCTTTTCTTTTTTTGAGACAGTGTCCTGCCCTGTCATCCAGGATAGAGTGCCATGGCGTGATCATGGCTTACTGCAGCTTCAACCTTCTGGGCTCAAGCCATCCTCCTTCCTCAGCCTCCCAAGTAGCTGGGACCACAGGTGCACACCATCACACCTGGCTAATTTTTAAATTTTTGTAGAGATGGGGGTCTCGCTATGTTGCCCAGGCTGGTCTCAAACTCCTGGCCTCAAGCGATTCTCCCACCTCAGCCTCCCAAAGGGCTGGGATTACAGGTGTGAGCCACCACACCTGGCCTGTGATTGCTTTTCTTAACATGGTACTCTGCCATTATATTCTCTATTAGGAATTTGATATGCTCAGAAGATATAGTGAATTATAGTTGCCTGTTTACTAACATCGGGGTCCTTTCAGGTAGTGTCCACCACAGGAAACATTACTATTTGGGTTTTGTGACCCAGGAATCCATATTTACCTGGCGGCAACGACACAGCCCTCACCTTTCCAGACCTCATCTGGTGGCCTTGTAATCCTGGAGCTGAAGCTGCCTACACACAAGCAATCGGTCGCAGTGTATCCGTGCAGGGTCCCAACCCACTCCAGGATTCATTTCGGGATGGCTTCCCCTCCCTCAGCCAGGTCTCCGGCCCCGTTGCTCTGCATGCTTGCCCATCTCCATCTCCACGGCGATCATGTGTTTGCAGGGAGCCATCAATATCCTCTTCTCTTACGCTTTCTGAATGGGAGAGTCAATCTCAATGGGAAGCTAGCAGGGACTTGGGTGGACAGGTGTCTCACGCTGGATGGGCGAATCCAGGTGGGAGGGAGGGTGGGCTTGCTGTCATTTGTTGGTGGGTCATGGGATTTGCTATGAAGCTGGAGGGAAAATCTGGACCCCTGAAGAGGGGTCCCTTCCCTTCCTAAGGGAAGGCCTCAGCTCCAAGACTGCAGGAGGAGCTGGGTAGCCATTGGATATGGCTAACGCACATGAATCATGACCAGGGTGCACTGTTTGGACAGCAAGTCAGTGGCCCAAGGAGAGAGAGGTTAGTGATGGGAAGCGTCCTGAGACTCACTGATGCATCTTTACATTTTTCTCTTTAAGCATTAGGAAGAGGCCGGGTGCCGTGGCTCACACCTGTAGTGCCAGCGCTTTGGAAGGCTAAGATGGGCAGACTGCTTGAACTCAGGAGTTTGAGACCAGCCTGGGCAATGTGTCAAGACCCCATCTCTACAAGAAATTTTAAAATTAGCCAGGCATTGTGGTAGGTGTCTGTGGTTCCAGCTACTCAGGAGGCTGAGGCAGGAGGATTGCTTGAGCCTGAGAAGTTGAGGCTACAGGGAGCTGTGATCTCACCACTGCACTCCAGCCTGGGCAACAGAGTGAGACCCTGTCTCAATCAATCAATCAATCAAGAAATATTAGGAGGAGAATTTGTTGATGTCTCTTTTCTGTCATAAGCTCGGCTCTCCAAGAGCCTTTTCTTCCCAGGAGGACATGCTGGTGTTTCATGAATCTAGGACTTCTTGCCTGAAGCTTGTAAAGTGCTAGATGGAATGAAAACAGCAGCAGTAAGAGCAGGCTCTTATGCAACCTTGCTACACACAAGGCATTGCTCTAAGTGCTTTGCAGGGGTTAAGAGATGCAGCTGAGTAGCTGAGGACAGTCTAGGGGTGGGGTTTCCAGAGGCTGTCAGGGGAGTGGCCCCCAGTCTCCCTGGTGGAATCCCTGACCATTAATCACACACATAAGTTTCACTCCACAAACATGGGTTGTAAAAACATTACAATCTAGCCAGGCGCAGTGACTCATGCCTATCATACCAGTACTTTGGAAGGCCGAGGCAGGAGGATTGCTTGAGGAGTTCCCGACCCGCCTGGGCAACGTAGCAAGACCCCCATCCTACCAAAAAAAAAAAAAAAAAAAGGCAGGGTGTGTTGGTGTGCACCTATAGTCCCAGCTACTTGGGAGGCTGAGGCAGGGAGATTGCTTGAGCCCAGAAGTTCAAGGCTGTGGTGAGCTATGATTATACTACTGCACTCCAGCCTGAGCAACAGAACAAGACTCTGTTTTTTTTTTAAGCCATAATCCATTATTTTTTTCTAAATTAAATGGAATGTGTTGTGAACCACAATCATTTATTTTATTTACTTATTTATTTTTGAGACGGAGTCTTGCTCTGGCGTCCAGGCTGGAGTGCAGTGGTGTGATCTCGTCTCACTGTAACCTCTGCCTCCTGGGTTCAAGCAATTCTCCTGTCTCAGCCTCCTGAGTAGCTGGGATTACAGCTGTGCACCACCACACCTAATTTTTGTATTTTTAGTAGAGATGGAGTTTCATCACGTTGTCCAGGCTGGTCTCGAACTCCTGGCCTCAAGCGATCCACCTGCCTCAGCCTCCCAAAATGCTAGGATTACAGGCGTGAGCCACCATGCTTGGACCTAGCCACAATTATTTAATACCAGGGCTCCCTGCCATTGCTCCCCAGAGCTGGGAGAAGGTCTCAGGAGCATATTGGGTCAGGTATGTGTGGAAAGGCCCTCCAGGCTCAAATCCACACTGGGCCTGCTCTGTGCCCTGACTCCAAGCTCCAGGAGCCCTCAAAGGTGGCAGCTCCACTGCTCATGAGCCAAGCTTAGGGACCGGGGCCCTTCCTAGCAGCCAGAAAGAGCCTTATTCTTAGTTGTTTTTTTTTTTTTTTTTTTTTTTTTTTGTAGAGACAGAGTCTGGCTCTGTTGCTCAGGCCAGAGTGCAGTGGTTCGATCATAGCTCACTGCAACCTCAAACTCCTGGGTACAAACAATCCTCCTACCTCAGCCTCCTGAGTAGCTGGGACTACAAGCGTGCACCATCACACCTGGCTAATTTTTATATTTTTAATTTTTAATTTTCTGTAAAGACAGGGTCTTGCTATGTTGCCCAGGCTGGTCTCAAACTCCTGGCCTCAAGCGATTCTTCTGCCTCGGCCTCCCAAAGTGCTGTGATTACAGGCATGACCCACTGTGCCTGGTTCTGTTTTTAGTACCAAGGGCCCTCATACCCCCTGTCTCTTCTTGGGACTCTGCCAAGTCCCAGGCTCCTTCTCAGCCTTGGGGACGGTACCCAGATCAGCACCTCCACTTCCATCTCCCCACCTCACCCCAAACCCTTCCCTCTGGCATCTAGAGCCATCCTAAAGTTTCTCTTCTTGAGTCTAGCCCTCCTGGGTATGCTTGGGGACTGAAATGCTCAAACTGGCCTCACCTCTTGACACTGTAATTGTTCCTTATCTCCCATTAAACAGGAATCCTGCTTTGTGTAGTTCAGTGCCTGCTGCCAAGTCAGAGCTGTGACCTCAATGAAAGTGGCCCAGCCACAGCAAACCTCAGTTTCCATAACAGTCCTGGGATCCAATGTGGCTTTCACACTACATGTCACTTCACTCTGTTATCTCTGACAGAAAACCAACTCAAACTGGCTTAAGCAAAAAGGGTACTCACTGGGCCATGTAACCAAAAAGTGTAGGCATACATGTGGCTTCAGGAATGGCTGGATCCAGGCACTCACATGTGGCATCGGGAGTCCCTCTCCTGGCTGTTGGTTTCAGTTTTCTCTGCAGGGGTTTCATTCAAGCACTGGTTCCCTCCTCATAGTGGCAAGGTGGCTGCCCAGGACAAGAGGCTTATAGCCACGGGCTCAGCTACTTAAGGATAAGTTCCATCAGAAGCCCAAGTTGAGGCCGGGCTTGGTGCTCACACCTGTAATCCCAGCACTTTGGGTGGCCGAGGTGGGTGGATCACTTGAGGTCAGGAGTTCGAGACCAGCCTGGCCAACACAGTGAAACCCTGTCTCTACTTAAAAAAAAACAAAACAAAACAAAAAAAAAAACCATGAAAATTAGCTGGGTGTGGTGGCACGTGCCTGTAATCCCAGCTACTTGCAAGGCTGAGGCAGGAGAATCACTTGAACCTGGCAGGCGGAAGTTGCAGTGAGACGAGATCACGTCATTGTACTCCAGTCTGGGCAACAGAACGAGACTTCGTTGGCAATGACTGGGTCATCTGTCCAGTCCTGAACCGGTCACTGTGTCAGGTAGAAGCATTGTTTGATTGGCCAGGCCTGGGACACACGGCCATCTCCAGACCTAGGAATGGCATCATCTCTACCCAAACCCCGTGAACCAAGAGTTGGGGAGGAGCAAAGCTTCAGAGAAAACTCTGGGCCCTGTCATCAAGCAGAGGAGGAAAGGAGGCCACACAGACTGAGACATCAAGTACCCACTGTGCCCTCACCACCAGCTCCCGCCCTGGCCAGTGCACTCCTGGACCATCTCTCCTCCCCGTCTTGTTCACAGTCACCCTCTCACCCCAGCAGAGATCAGGCCAGGGTACTGGTGGCAAGTGAGTGAAGGGTTTCAGCAAGGGGGTCCCCACCTTCCAGGCACAGTGTAAGTGGACCCCCCACACTTGGGGGCTCTCCTGGGTTGCACAGTGTCCTCTGAAAATTCACATCCACCTGGAACCTGCAAATATGACCTTATTTGGAAATGGAGTCTTTGCAGATGTTGTCAAGATAAGATGAAGTCATACTGTTTTAGGATGGGCCCTCTATATGGCACGACTGGGGTTCTTATACGAAGAGGGACCCTGGCACACAGATGCATACAGGGAGAGTGCTGTGTGATGAGAAAGGCAGAGATTGCAGTGATGCTGCCACCAGCCAAGGAGTCACCATCAGCCAGGAGATGGGCATGGATCTGATTCTCCCTGGGAACCTCCAGAAGGAGCCAACCCTGCCAACACCTTGGTTTTGGACTTCTGTTCCCCGCAACTGTGAGACAATACATTCTGTGGTTTTAAGCTTTATGATAATTTGTTACTGTAGCCCTGGGAAAGGAATACAAGGGTAGACAGACACTGATCAAGTAAGCAAACAAATGTGAAATTGCCCTGTGACAAGGGAGGTGCGGGGTGCCTGTGTTGGGGAAGAATTCTCTGAGACTTGAAGTCAGAGAAGGAGTTAGCTAATGGGGCCGACAGGGTTCTGCACACGCAGCTCACGGCCCAGATCTTGTTGGCCAAGTGTTTTTGCAGGGATTAGGAACTAAGAATGGTTTTGCAAGAAGAACATCACAGGCTGAGGGGACAGCATGGGCAAAGGCCATGAAGTGGGAGGCGCCCTCTGTGAAACCAACAAGCTTTCAGCCACGTGGGTCTCTCTGACGCGTTGCCTCAGCCACAGAGGGCTTTAAAAAGCCCCGAAACTGGACAGGTGTCACTGCCTGTGGCAGTAGCGGCCATTTGGCGCCTGTGGTTTCAACTCCACCCGTTTCACATGTCTATGTTACCAGACTGGCCCCTGAAGGGGATCTGTGTGCCAGGCCCTGACCTGCCGGGCTTTGGAAACATCCTCGACAGTGTCCCCTGACCTGCGCCCCGCCTTGTGGAGTGAGGCCTGGTTGCCCAAGCTGGCTGGGCCGGGCTGTTTGTTGCTTCCAACAAACATAGGAGAGAACGTATGGCTGCTTTTTATTGCCAGTGAGAGTTCCGCGAGGCCTGGCCCGAGATGTGGCTGGCGTGAGGGGTCCCGGACCTGCTGTGCTGGGGACGCACCCAGTTCTGTGTCGCTTGGTCCAGTGAGGACTCGAGCCCCTTGGAGGCGGGGCCTCGGGCTGCAGGGGCGGGGCCCCGAGCCGCCTGGGGGTGGGGCCTCAGGCTCTTTGGGGGCGGGGCCTCAAGCTGTCTGGGGACGGAGCCTCCGGCCGGCTGGGGGCGGGGCCTCATGCCTAAGGGGCGGGGCCTCGAGCTTTCTGGGGGTGGGGTCTCAAGCTTCAGGGTCGGGGCCTGGAGCCGCCTGGGGACGGGGCGATCTGTTGGGGAGGAGGTTCTCGAACTGCTGAGGAGGATCGCAGTGCTTTTGCTTCCTCTAGGAGACCAGCTGCACAGGCTGGAACATGCCATCTCTATGCCTGTTTTCCCGTCGATAAATCCAGAGACATTACTCTCATCATTTCTTCCTCTGTACACAATATTCATATATGTAACCCCTTGGTAAAGCAGTTGTAAGAATTAAACAAGAGGAATTGCTCTTTCATTCAGCAAATATTTTTTGAGCAGCTACTAGATGCCAGGCACTGTTTTAGACGCAAGTGATACTTCAGGAAACATAATCAGACAGACAGACAGACATGCCCTCCTGGAACTGACATTGTAGAACAAGGGTCCGCATCCTGTGGCTCACAGGCCAGATCTGGTTGACCGTCTATTTTTGCATGGACGTTAAACTAAGAATGATTTTTGCATTTTGATTTTTATTTTATGAAAAAAAAAATTGAGGGCTGGGCGCGGTGGCTCAAGCCTGTAATCCCAGCATTTTGGGAGGCCAAGGTGGGTGGATCACCTGAGGTCAGGAGTTCAAGACCGCCCTGGCCAACATGGGGAAACCCTGTCTCTACTAAAAATACAAAAATTAGCCGCCATGGTTGTGGGCACCTGTAATCCCAGCTACTTGGGAGGCTGAGGCAGGAGAATCGCTTGAACCCGGGAGGTGGAGGTTGCAGTGAGCCGAGATGGCGCTACTGCACTCCAGCCTGGGCAACAAGAGTGAAACTTTGTCTCAAAAATAATAAAATTAAAATAAAATAAAAAAGAGTGGTCTCTGGAACAATAGCTCAGTATCACCTGGACATCTGTTAGAAATCCAGACCTACTGAACCAGAATCTGTATTTTAGCAAGACCCCCAGGTGATCTGTGTGTACATTAAAGTGTGAGATGTTTTTGTAGCAACACGCATGGAACTAGAGGTCATTATCTTAAGTGAAATAAGCCAGATACAGAAAGACAAATATTGCATGTTCTCACTCCCAAGTGGGTGCTAAAAAATGCATACACATGGCTCCACAGAGAGTGGAATAATAAATAATGGAGATTCAGAAGAGTGAACGTGAATTTTGGCAGTTCATCCACCGCTGTGAATCATAAGAAATAGTTTAATGGCTGCCAGGTGAGGTGGCTCACACCTGTAATCTTAGCACTTTGGGAGGCCGAAGCAGGAGGATCACTTGAGCCCAGGAGTTCAAGACCAGCCTGGGCAACATGGCAAGACCCCATCTCTACAAAAATTGCAAAATATTAGCTGGGCATGGTGGCACCAACCTGTAGTCCCTGCTACTCAGGAAGCTGAGATGGGAGGATCGTTTGAGCCTGGGAGATAGAGACTGCAGTGAGCCATGATTGCACCACTGTACTTCATCCTAGGTGACAAAGTGAGAACCTGTTTAAAAAAACAAAAATAGGCTTGGTGCGGTGGCCCATGCCTGTAATCCCAGCACTTCAGGAGGCTGAGGCAGGCGGATCACCTGAGGTCAGGAGTTCGAGACCAGCCTGGCCAACATGGCGAAACCCCGTCTCTACTAACAGTACAAAAATTAGCCGGGCATGGTGGTGGGCGCCTGTAATCCCAGCTACAAAGGAGGCTGAGGCAGGAGAATAGCTTGAACCCTGGAGGTGGAGGTTGCAGTCAGCCGAGATCGAGCCTGCACTCTAGCCTGGTGACAGAGCGAGACTCTGTCTCAAAAAAACACAGCAGCAACAACAACAAAAAGAAATCACTGAATGGGTACAATGTATGTGATCGGGATGATGGAGATCCTAAAAGCCCTGACCTGACTATTACACAATCTACGCATGTAATGAAATTGTATTTGTACCCCATAAATTTATGTAAATACAGAATTTTAAAAAGTGTGAGTTGTGCAGGTCTAAAATGATGCAGAATGCTCAGCACAGGCCTGACACTTAGCAAGAGCTCCATGAATATTAGCTAATGTGGTGGATGGACTCATGGTCCCCCAAAGAGGTCCACATCCTAATCCCCAGAACCCGTGAAAGTGCTAATTTACATGGTAAAAGGGGCTTTGCAGGTGTGGTCAAATTAAGGCTCCTGAGATGAAGGAATTCACCTGGATTATCCCTGAGGGGCCAAATGATGTAATCACAAGGGTCTTTTTTTTTTTTTTTTTTTTTTTTTTTTGAGACAGAGTCTCACTCTGTTGCCCAGGCTGGAGTGCAGGCTTGATCTCGGCTCACTGCAACCTCTGCCTCCTGGGTTCAAGCGATTCTCCTGCCTCAGCCTCCCGAGTAGCTGGAATTACAGGCGTGCACCACCATGCCCAGCTACTTTTTGTATTTTTAGTAGAGATGGGATGTCACCATGTTGCCCAGGCTGGTCTCGAACTCCTGACCTCAGGTGGCCTCGGCCTCTCAAAGTGCTGGGATTACAGGCATGAGTCACCACACCTGGCCCACAGTGGTCCTTATAAGAGGCGGTGGGTGGGGCAAGAAGAAACGTGACATGTGAGGCTGGAAGCAGAGGGTGGAATGCATGCTTTGAAGGTGGAGCCACCTGCTTTGTAGGGGTCCTGTAGCATCTGGAAAAGACAAGGACTCAGATTCTCCCTCAGAACCCCCTGGAGGAACCAAGCTCTACTGACACCTTGATTTTAGACGTCGGACCTCTGGAACGGTAAGAGAATAAATGTATCTTTTTTTAAGTCACTAAGTTCGTGGAAGCTTGTTGGAGCAGCAATACAGAATGAATATAGCTGCCATTCTTACTGTTATCCTGTTTGTCGTAGGCTGGCTCTGCCATCTTCCTATTCAGTTGTTTCAGGCAAGTTACTGAGTCTCTCTGAACTTGAGTTTTCTGCTCTGTAAAATGGAGACAAGAAGTTTTCCTACTTCTGGTCAAATGAGATAATGCACTTAAAGTGACTCCAGCTGTCATGATTGTTGTTGCTCTTGTTTAAGTAAAGGCAGTGGCCATGGCTGGCTGTGTGTGACCTTGGGCAAGTTATGTGACTTCTCTGAACTTTAGTTTCCCCGCCTACAAAGTGGGGGTCATGACAGCATCTACCTCCTGAGGCTGTCGTGAAGCTGGAAGGAGACCCTAAGCATAATTTCTGGGTCCATGCCTCGCTGGAGGACGCAGGTGTAATTCTGGCCAAATTGGAGAATGTGATCTCTAAACTGGGTGGGACCCTCTAAGCTGTCCTGACTCGGGTCATCTGTGCTGGATCACAGCCTCAGCCTGGCTGGCAGGGGAGTAGATCATTCCTATTCCCTTTGCCTCCCCAGCTCTTCCCAAGTGGACACCACAACCCCATTGCGTTTTTTAGGGACGGAGTCTCCCTCTCTCACCCAGGCTGGGGTGCAGTGGTGTGATCTCGGCTCACTGCAACCTCCGCCTCCTGGGTCCAAGCGATTCTCCTGCCTCTGAGTAGCTGGGATCACAGGTGCACGCCACCACTGCCGGCTAATTTTTGTTTTTTCAGTAGAGATGGGGTTTCACCATGTTGGCCAGGCTGGTCTCAAACTCCTGACCTCTAGTGATAAGCCCGCCTTAACCTCAAAGTGCTGGGATTACAGGCGTGAACCACCGCGCCTGGCCCCCATTACCTTTTGTTGTGACTGCAGCAGACTCACTGGGGGGCTTCTGTCCCCAGAGGGCGGGGAGCTCAAGCTAGTTCATAGAGGAGGGGCAGGGGCCATTGGGCTGGGGCGGGGCCTGGATATCCTGACACGAGGGTCCTTCCTGTGCTGAGGTTCCGGACTGAGGCGGGAGTCAGTCTGAAGCCTGGCTGTGGGGCTTGGCGTCTATCCAGGCTGGAGTTGGCTCCCTCGGAGTGTGTGTCTCACTGGATTGGATCTGTCTGTGTCTTGGGGGTGTTCTTTAAAGGGAAGAACCTGACAGACTTCACACTACAGTGCCCCGTGCAGGGCCTGGCACACAGAAAATATCTATTGGACCAGTGAATGCATAACCCAAGGGACTGAACGTCCCCAGTGCAAACCAGAAGGGAGTTTGTGTCAGTGGGGAGTCTCCCAGGCCCCAGTAAAGGCTGGTTGACCACGTCCTCCCTAAGCTCTGGGTGTTGCCGAAGTGGCCTTGCTGCTCTGAAAACAACTGTGTGCATCTCAGCCTTGCCTCTCCCGGAGGATGGCCTCTCACTTCCTACGAGACCAGGACTGCAGCCTCGGAGAGGTTTGAGGGTGTGCCCAGGGCTACACACTTAGAGTGAGTTTGGGGCGTGAGGCAAGGATTTGTGTGTTGGCTGCCCGGCTAAGCACCTGGACAGTGTTCCGTAGGAAAAGAGAGCTGTTAAAGAATTTGTTTCTACCTCTTTTTCTTCTTGGTTTTGTTACTTTCCCCCAACATTTTATTATGAAAATTTTGAAACAGCAACATCAACTCACTAACATTTTACTAAATTTGAGTGATCACATATCCATCCCTCTATCCTTCCATCTATCCAAATTTTGGGTGCATTGTCTCTTTACTTTTACTTTTTCTTTTCTTTTTTTTTTTTGAGACGGAGTCTCACTCTGTTGCCCAGGCTGGAGTGCAGTGGCACGGTCTCAGCTCACTGCAACCTCCACCTCCCAGGTTCAAGCGATCCTCCCACCTTGGCCTCCCCAGTAGCTGGGACTACAGGTGCCCACCACCATGCCTGGCTAATTTTTGTATCTTTTAGTAGAGATGGGGTTTTTCTATGTTGGCCAGGCTGGTCTCGAGCTCCTGACCTCAGGTGATCCGCCCACCTCGGCCTCCCAAAGTCCTGGGATTACAGGCGTGAGCCACCATGCCTAGCCCGCCCCAGTTATTTTTTTATCCAAGCACCCTGTTCTTATCCTTCAAACGATGATTGCAATTAGGTACACACTATTTGTTTCCTTTTGCGTGGGGCTAGGTCTGTCTTGTTCCCTCCTGTGTTCCTCAGTCTGGCACAGGTTGCATGTTCTTAAGTATCTGCTGAACGAACAGATGAATGGGGGAGACGTTACTGGTCTTTGCTCCTCTAATGCTGCCCCCAACCCCCGATGTCATGTCTCGACATGTCTGATTTCCTGAGAGTGGCTTACGTGCCTGGCATGGTACTGAGCCTTCTATGAAGCAGCCCTCTGAGGGAGGGATCCCTAGATCGTACATTCACAGATGCGGCAGCTGAGGCTCAGAGAGGTGAAGCGACAGGCCCCGGGTCACACAGCATCGAGGGGGCAAGTCAGGATGTGATTGCAGTTGCTCCGACCCCAGGCCCGTGCCCTGAGTCTCTGCACAGCCATCCTGAGATTCCGAAGTGGGTCCCCATCATGTCCCGGCTCTCCCCACTTCAGAAGCAGGACCTTGAAAATTTCAAGGGGCCCCAGATACCCCCCCGGATGGCGTCCTGACTCAGGGCAGACCTGCCTCCCGGGCTCCGCGTTATGTTCCGCTCTTTCTCATTGCCTCCCAAATTAGTTCCACGTTCAGCCCGGGGCCTGTGGATTCCACTTGTTTTCTGTAACTGGAGCTCCCCCAGTGCTTGGCACCAAGCTCGGTGACTCTGCGTCGGCTCAGGTTCCTGATTTCCTTGGACAATTTCAAATGATTTCACTGGCAGGGAAAAGCCCAGCCGGGGGTCAGTGAGCAGATCACTCCCCTTTCCCGTAATCAGGTAAAAAAGGATCACAGATGATGAGCAGTTCCTCCCAAGACACACAGGCTGTAGGAACAGGCCTCGTTTTCTATTTTCACCGCGGAAACCACCTTGCAGGATGGGCCTTATGATCCCCACTTCACAGATGGGGAAGCGAGGGCTCGGAGAGGTTGGGTGCTTTGCTGAGAGTTGCACAGCAAATGAGTGGCAGGGCAGGATCTGTCGTCCCCTAGTCTGCTGGCCCCAACACCCAACCTCTTCCTCCCAGATTCTTTTCCGGCTCCAGGCTGCAACAGGAACCTGGCCCTGGGGACTCAGAGTGGCGAAAACCCAGACCTTGCGCACAAAGACCTCAAAGTCAAGCAGAAAAAGACTAGATTGAGTGCAAACAGTGATCAAAGCAGCACCCGCCAACATGAGACAATATGTATTTTTAGACAGTGAGTCAGTCCTGATGATTCACAGGCCTGGCTAGGCTTGCAGGGCAGCCCCAGGACACCAAGGGCAGGGCAGGAGATGAGCTACCCGGGGGCCAGGAGACCAGAAAGGGGTACAGGGCTGCGCCTCCTTATTCTCCATTGTGTTGTCAAGGGCTGGAGGTGGGGCTGGACTCCTTCCCACTTGATCGGAGGATGCATTTTCGAATAAGTACTTAACTAGCTCATGGTCACAGAATTAGAATGTGATACAAGCAGCCTCCCATCACTTTATAAGCATCTGCTCTGGACTGGGCACTGTGACGGGTGCTTGGGAGATGGCAGAGCATGAAACTGACAAAGTTCTAACCTCATGCAACTGATCTTCCAGAACAGGTGTGGGCATACTTTCTCCATAAAGGGCCACATAGTAAATATTTTAAGCCTCGTGGGCCATGACAACTCTTAAGGCTGCAGCTGTAGCTGGAAGGCAGCCGTATGCAATATGTAAATGAGGGGGTATGGCTGTGTGCCAATAAAACTTTATTTACAAAATCAGGCCGGGTGCGGTGGCTCACGCCTGTAATCCCAGCACTTTGGGAGGCCAAGGCGGGCGGATCACGAGGTCAGGAGATCAAGACCATCCTGGCTAACACAGTGAAACCCCATCTCTACTAAAAATACAAATAATTAGCTGGGCGTGGTAGCGGGCACCTGTAGTCCCAGCTACTTGGGAGGCTGAGGCAGGACAATGGCGTGAACCCAGGAGGTGGAGCTTGCAGTGAGTGGAGACTGTGCCACTGCACTCCAGCCTGGGTGACAGAGCGAGACTCTGTCTCAAAAAAAAAAAAAAAAAAAAAAAAAAAAATCAAGGAGCAGCTAGATTTGGCCTGTGGGCTATAATTTGTTGACCCTTCTTCTGGAAGATGCCTTCCTCCACACCCTGGTTCCCCTCATTTGCCCTCTGCTATGTGACTTTGGGACCCCTGATGGCCCTATGGACTGTGGCCTCCAAGGCAATGTGCTGGTTCTGCCAGTGAAACTGCTACAGTGCTCTGTGTTCCTTGAAGATGTGTTCGCATTTGGCCTCACAAGCCCCCACATGTAGCTCTTTCTGAGTCATGTTGTACTGTTACCTTTTTGGCACCAGCATCCGTGTATCACTTGGTTCAACCTAGTGCTTGGTCCATAGCGGGTGATGGATGAATGTTTGTAGAATCTGCAGAATGAACAGACCCAACGCTGTGCCTAGTCTTGTGTATCTTCACTTTAGTGAGAAACTGGCAATAGAGGGGGGGGTTGTGACAGAGACCAGGGCCCCCTCTGGTCTTCCTCCTTGTCCTCCAGGGGTCTAGGTACCCCACTGTCTCACCCCCACCCCGTGCTCACACGACAGTCCAGGAGGAAGGTGCAGGGCAGTGGGGAGGGCCTGGCTCGTTGTGGGCACCAGTGCTGAGCCCCGGCTTCCTGGTCTGTGAAATGGACGGGGATGAGGCTCACATCTCTCACAGAGGTTGCTCGTGGGCTCAAGTAAATCGCTGTGCTTGCTCAACCACCTAAATTCAAGATGAACTCTCTCAGGTGTGCCTTTTGGCTCTTCTAAGAGGTGGAGTTAGGCTGGGAGCGGTGGCTCACGCCTGTAATCCCAGCACTTTGGGAGGCCAAGGCGGGTGGATCACGAGGTCAAGAGATCGAGACCATCCTGGCCAACATGGTGAAACCCTGTCTCTACTAAAAATACAAAAATTAGCTGGGCATGGTGGCGGGCACCTGTAATCCCAGCTACTTGGGAGGCTGAGGCAGGAGAATCACTTGAATCCCGGAGGCGGAGGTTGCAGTGAGCCGAGATTGCGCCATTGCACTCCACCCTGGGCGACAGAGTAAGACTCCATCTCAAAAAAAAAAAAAAAAAAAAGAGGTGGAGTTAGCACCAGTCTCACAGATAAGTTAACAGAGACTGGGGCATCCAGGGACTTGCTTGAGGTCACAGCTAGCAGGTGCAGGGTAGGGTTCAGACCCTACCCTCTCTGTGCCTCCCTTGACCATGAGTCACCCTCTGTAATCAGCAACAGGGTGGCCAGAAACCTGCTGGGCTCTTTTCTGCCCCTGTATCTCTAGCAGATGGTCTTGGATAAGGTGGTCTTATCTCATGCCTGCCTGCCCCTCTACCCATGTCCCTGCCTTCTGCCTGCACCTGTTCAGTGGCCAGGTCAGGGGACAGACGAGGCTCCTTACTGCCACATGGGTGTTTGGAGAGTGGGGCAGGCAGCCCGGCAGAGCTGTTAAGCAGCAACCCCACCACCAGTGCTTCCGGATACCTGGACTCTGGGGCAGGAGCTGTGGAACTATCATTCTCAGATTCGGGCTCAAGTCCTATGTCGGAGGACAGCTAGCCTTATGACCTTGGAAAGCCAGGGAAGTCTTCCAAGCCTGTTTCTCACCTTCGTAATAGGAATGGTAGATGACACGCATTACACATAGTGGATTCTTATTTGTGGTAAAGTCTCTGCAAACACTGAATTAGCGGATCTGGAGCCATTGCTCCTAGGGAGAAATACAGGTTAAGTTCTTACAAACCTCTGGTCACACATTTTCATCAACAGATCAATACCTAACCTGGTTTTATGAGTTTCTCTGTAGACACTTTATTTAATATATAAGTGATTCATTAACATCGAACATGTTGGCTGGGCGCAGTGGCTCATGCCTGTAATCCCAGTATTTTGGGAGGCTGAGGTGGGCAGATGGCTTGAGCTCAGGAGTTTGAGACCAGCCTGGCCAACACAGTGAAACCTCATCTCTACTAAAAATACAAAAATTAGCTGGGAGTGGTGGCGCGTGCCTGTAATCCCAGCTACTCGGGAGGCTGAGGCACGATAATCGCTTGAACCCGGGAGGCAGAGGTTGCAGTGAGCCGAGATTGTGCTGCTGTACTCCAGCCTGGCGACAGAGTGAGACTCTGTCAAAAAGAAAAATAGGCCAGGCGCAGTGGCTCATGCCTGTAATCCCAGCACTTTGGGAGGCTGAGGCGGGCGGATCACGAGGTCAGGAGATCGAGACCATCCTGGCTAACTTACACAGTGAAACCCCGTCTCTACTAAAAACACAAAAAATTAGCCGGGCATGGTGGCGGGCGCCTGTGGTCCCAGCTACTCTGGAGGCCGAGGCAGGAGAATAGCGTGAACCCGGGAGGTGGAGCTTGCAGTGAGCCGAGATCACACCACTGCACCCCAGCCTGGGCAACAGAGTGAGACTCTGTCTCAAAAAAAAAAAAAAAATAGAAAAGAAAAATAATTAAACACATACATGTCCATAGGCAACAGCACTAACGCATGCCTGAACAAACCCTCTCTAACACATGTGTTTTCTCTGTAACGTAGTCACTCCTGCCTTGCTCTCACTGCACACGGGGGTCATTCTTAACATCGACACGACCGCAGAAAGCACAAAAATGGGAAAAATTTGGCACTAAGTAGACCATGAAAAGGATACTTGTTTGCGATGTGAGAGCTGAGATCGGAAGGCAGTGTGAGATCTTCTGAAACCTCAGCTGGGAACATGCCCCTCAGACAGTGGAAATTTTTTTGCCACTTGCACATGTCTGTGAATGACCTTGAAAGTACCTCGAGTGTTGATTTTTGAGGTTACAAATACATTCTAATAAGTAGGTGAACTTGCAAATGCAGAATCCACAAATAATGGGGATTGAGTCTGTGTCTGTAAAAATTTGTGCTCAGTCATTAGCTGAAAGCACCCTATGGAAAGGTGATTTGGATTTTTTCTACATATAAGAAAAATCTTTTTTTTTTTGAGATGGAGTTTTGTTCTTGTCGCCCAGGCTGGAGTGCAATGGTGCAGTCCTGGCTCACTGCAACCTCTGCATCCCAGATTCAAGCAATTCTCCTGCCTCAGCCTTCCAAGAAACTGGGATTACAGGCACCTGCCACCACGCCTGGCTAATTTTTTTGTATTTTTAGTAGAGACAGGGTTTTACCATGTTGGCCAGGCTTGTCTCGAACTCCTGACCTCAGGTAATCTGCCAGCCTCGGCCTCCTAAAGTGCTGGGATTACAGGCGTGAGCCACTGTGCTGGCCCAAATAAGAAAACTCTAAGGCCGGGTGCAGTGGCTCACGCATGTAATCCCAGCACTTTGGGAGGCTGAGGCAGGTGGATCACGAGGTCCGGAGATCGAGATCATCCTGGTTAACACAGTGAAACCCCGTCTCTACTAAAAATAATAAAAAAATTAGCCGGGCGTGGTGGAGGGCGCCTGTAATCCCAGCTACTCGGCAGGCTGAGGCAGGAGAATGGCATGAACCTGGGAGGTGGAGCTTGCAGTGAGCCGAGATTGTGCCACTGTACTCCCGCCTGGGTGACAGAGCGAGACTCCATCTCAAAAAAAAAAAAAAAAAAAAAAAGAAAAAGAAAAGAAAAATCTATGCCACTTTTGAGAACTTGCTTTGTGCCTGTCTGAGCTAAGCTCTTCAAGGCCTTATCTCACTTAATCCTCACAAGGGTTCTATGAGTTTGGTACTGTTATTATCCCTGTGTTACAGATAAGACACAGAGAGGTTAAGTAACCTGCCTATCATCACACAGCCAGCACATAAAACTCGAACCTGGGCAACCAGACACCACGCACACAACACCCCTGGTACAGGCCTGGCATAGAGTGTTGTTAATAGGCTGGTGTATTTTGAGCAGTGATTGGACCCAGGCTTGTGTGGATTCAAAGGCCACCACACCGTGGAAGATGACTGTGGGGAGAGTTTTTGTTTTGCTTCATTTTGTCTTTTTTTTTTCTTTTTTTAATAGATAGTCTCTATCACCCAGGCTGAACTGCTGAGGCATGATCTAGCTCACTGCAGCCTTGAACATGTGGGCTCAATCAATGCTCCCAACTCAGCCTCCCAGGTAATTGGGACTATACACATGTACCACCACGCCCAGCTAATTTTTGTATTTTTAGTAGAGGTGGGGTTTTACCGTGTTGGCCAGGCTGGTTTCCAACTCCTGACCTCAAGTGATCTGCCCGCCTCGGCCTCCCAAAGTTCTGGGATTACAGGTGTGAGCCACTGCACCGGCCAAGAAGGAGACTTCTTTAGATCATTCACTTGTTCATTTATTCAGTTAATCTGTGATCTGAGTACCCTGTGTGTGCCAGATCCAGGACTTGGGACATGGAGGACAATCTACAAGCAGGTCCTGCCCTCAAGGGGCTCCTAGTCCATGGGAGACAAACACCGAACAACCACAGGTCCACATGAAGACCAGATTGCAACTGTGATGAGTGCTACCAAGAAGGGAGGAACCACATGTGCCCAGCTCCAGGGGCCACGTCACAAGGGTTCTGGCCCCATTGTGGCAATCCCTTTCCCTTTCCTGGACATTAGTATCTCAGCTTCTCTTGTAGTTAGAAGCAGTTGGCCGGGTGCGGTGGCTCACGCCTGTAATCCCAGCACTTTGGGAGGCCAAGGTGGCTGGATCTCGAGGTCAGGAGGTCAAGACCATCCTGACTAACACGGTGAAACCCCGTCTCTACCAAAAATACAAAAAATTAGCCAGGCGTGGTGGAGGGCGCCTGTAGTCCCAGCTACTCGGCAGGCTGAGGCAGGAGAATGGCTTGAACCCGGGAGGCGGAGCTTGCAGTGAGCCGAGATCACACCACTGCACTCCAGCCTGGGCACCAGAGCGAGACTCCGTCTCAAAAAAAAAAAAAAAGAAAAAGAAGTGGACATGTGGGCTGGGCATCGTGGCTCACGCCTGTAATTCCAGCACTTTGAGAAGCCGAGGTGGGCAGAGCATTTGAGGTCAGGAGTTTGAGACCAGCCTGAGCAACATGATGAAACCCTGTCTCTACCAAAAAAAAAAAAAAAAAAAAAAAAATTAGCCGGGTATGGTGGCACATGCCTGTAATCCCAACTACTCAGGAGGCTGAGGCAGGAGAATTGCTTGAACTCGGGAGGCAGAGGTTGGAGTGAGCTGAGATCGTGCCACTGTACTCCAGCCTGGGTGACAGAGGGAGACCCTGTCTCAAAAGAGAAGTGGCCATGTGATCCAGCTCTGGCCAATGCAAGGGATAGACACTTCTTCCGTCTCTTTTTGCCTTGAACTAGGATGTGACAGCATTCAGGCTGGAGATGGAAAGCAAACACACAAGGGTGGCAGACTGAGAAGACAGGAGGAACCTGGATGCTTTTTAAAAAAATTTATTTTTGTGGAGACAGGATCTTGCTATGTTGCCCAGGGTGGTCTTGAACTCCTGGGCTTAAGGGAGCCTCTCACCTTGGCTTCCCAAGGTGTTGGGATTACAGGTGTCAGCCACTGCGCAGCCAGAACTTGGATCCTTGATGCCAAAGAGCTGCAGTGCTAACTTCCAACCTTCGTGTCAAATATGGCCACTGTCTGCAGCTTTAAGTCACTGCCAGGTGGATTTCCTGTGACTTGTGGCCGAGGGCACTCCTGACTTAGCCGCCCTGAGGACCAGCTGTTGAGGTTGGGGCCTGTACCATGGGGAGTTCACCAGGGCCCAGAATGGGATCCCACAGCCTCTGACTCCTCATTCAGAATTTGCTCTGCTCTGCCCACTCTTTCCCAAAACTTGGGCCTTGGTTAAGCTGGGTTCTGCTTCTGTATGTGAACACTGCTGCCTCGCCCCTCAGGTACGGGGATTCCAAACTGCAGTCCCTCCTCAGCCTCCTGCACCACCATGTCCCCACCATAGGTGCTGCTTGCTCTCCTTTCAGCTGACCCCCGGCCCCATTCTTCTTACAGTAAACTTGTTTACAGAGGAGGCTTTCCATCACCATCAGTGACAAGCCAGTATCACTTGCCATAAAACAAGGCCATTGTTCCATTTTCCCCTCTCTGAAATGGGGATTATAATATTTTGCTGTGTTTGGTGTATGAAAATGCTTAGAACAGTGTATAGCTTTTAGTAAGTGCTCAATAAAGGTTTGTTGTCACTGTTACTCCTGAATAAGAAGGTCATTGTAAATACAAAGAAATACACACATGTAAACAAATACTATGGTGGACCATATGAAATCATCATCTGACCGTTTTCAAGCTATAATCACAGCAATTGTATTTGGTTTAACTATGTATATGTACATATAAAGTATAATAGCTGAGTTCAGTGGCTCACGCCTGTAATCCCAGCACTTTGGGAGGCCAAGGCAGGAGGATTGCTTGAGTCCAGGAGTTCAAGATCAGCCTGTGCAACATAGCGAGACATGATCTCTATAAAAAATTTTTTTTTTAAATTAGCCGGGGATGGTGGTGTGCACCTATAGTCCCAGCTACTTGGGAGGCTGAAGTGGGAGAATTGCTTGAGCCCGGGAGCTCGAGGCTGTAGTGAGGTATGATTGCACCGCTGTACTCTAGCCTGGACAACAGAGCAAGACCCTGTCTCAAGAAAACAAATAACAAAGGCTGAGCATGGTGGCTTATGCCTGTAATCTCAACACTTTGGGAGGCAAAGGTGGATGGATCACCTGAGGTCAGGAGTCCAAGACCAGCCTGGCTAAAACGGTGAAACCCCATCTCTACTAAAAATACAAAAATTAGCCAGGCGTGGTCATGAGCACCTGTAATCCCACCTACTTGGGAGGCCGAGGCAGGGGAATCGCTTGAACCCGGGAGGTGGAGGTTGCAGTGAGCCGAGATCGCGCCACTGCACTCTGGCCTGGGCAAAAAGAGGGAGACTCCGTCTCAAAAATAAATAAATAAATAAGTAAAGTGCAAGTCCTGGTGTGTGTCTGTCTCTCCGTCCCCCTGCCTCCTTTTTCTCTCTCCCCCACCTTCTCTTTCTCTCTCTCCCCAACACAGTATAATATATGTATATATCTAAATATATAATAAATAGATATTCTAAATGAAAAAGCCCTGGTCTGTGAACCACAGAAAATGGTCTCACTCCCACTTTGGTTGCACTCTGCCCTGTGGGGACCCCTGACTGAAGGAGGGCAGCTGAGAGTTGGTTAAAGGCTTCACAGTCACATGGAATAGGGTTGGAATTATGGCTATGTCACATTCTGGTAATCGGACAGGGGACAGCCTCTGAGGTACCCTGTATGTCAGTATCTCCCTGCCCAGGTGGTATGTGTGTTAAATGATGTCATGAATGTAAGTGCTTAACCCAGGCTGGGCGCAGTGGCTCATGCCTGTAATCCCAGCACTTTAGGAGGCCGAGGTGGGTGGATCACCTGAGGTCGGGAGTTTGAGAACAGCCTGGCCAACGTGACGAAACTCCATCTCTACTAAAAATACAAAGATTACCCAGGTGAGGTGGCGCACGCCTGTAATCCCAGCTACTCGGGAGGCTGAGGCTGGAGAACCACTTGAACCTGGGAGGCAGAGGTTGTAGTGAGCTGAAATTGTACCGTTGCCCTCCAGCCTGGGTGACAAGAGTGAAACTCCATCTCAAAAAATAAATAAATAAATAAATAAATAAATAAATAAATAAATAAATAAATGTACCTAACCCAGAGCCCAGCAAGTGATGAGCATGCAATCGATGGCATTTCTGTTTCTCCTTTTCCTTCTTTCCATTATTAGAACGTTTAGTTGTTAATATCATGTACTAGTCAATTAAAGACATCTGCCAAGGAGTACAGACAGACAGAATTCCAGGAGGGCTTGCTCTACACAAGCGTTGGGGAGGGGAGAGCCCCCTCTCCTGCCTCCCAACCTCATAGCACTTGTTTCTCCCCCTCCCTGCTTCTCAGTGTCCCTGACGCAGTGTCTCAGTGTCCTGCCAAGCCAGTCTTCCCTCAGCTCCACTCTTGTGGACTGGCCCCTTGGTAAGCACTGTCCTTCCTGTTGCCTTCCTGCCCTTCACTGAGTCATTCATTTATTCAAGAACAGTTTCTTGATCACCTGGGCCATGCGAGGCCACCTGCCAGCCCCTGAGGTCACAAAATGAGCCAGGAGGGCCCTGGCTTCCCAGACAGCACAGTCCAGAGATGGAGACAGACTCAGAACCAAACCCACAGGGCGTCCCCAAGTTTGAGGCTCCGGCTCAAGAAAAACAAGTTGGTCCTCTCTTTAGAAAAAGCCTGAAGCAGCTGGGTGCGGTGGCTCACACCTGTAGTCCTAACACTTTGGGAGGCTGAGGCAGGTGGATCACCTGAGGTCAGGAGTTGAAGACCAGCCTTGGCCAACTTGATGAAATCCCATCTCTACTAAAAATACAAAAATGACCCGGGCATGGTGGTGGGCACCTGTAATCCCAGCTACTCGGGAGGCTGAGGCAGAAGAGAATTGCTTGAATCTGGGAGGCAGAGGTTGCAGTGAGCTGAGATTGTGCCATTGCACACCAGCCTGGGCGACAAGAGCGAAACTCCATCTCAAAAAAAGAAAAAAGAAAAAAAAGCCTGAAGCTCTGCACATTTCTGATCATTGGCTTCCGTGGCCCATCTCCCTACCTCCTGCCTTTGCACGCCCGTTGGTCCAGCCAGAATAAGACATTTATAATCTTCCAAAGGCAGGAGCAGGAACTAAGAGTGTAGGCTCTGTGCCTGTGTCCCCCTCTCAGCCCTGTGACCTTGGGTGAGTGACAAACACCTCTGGTCAGTAAAAATAGATGCTATAGCCAGACATGGTGGTTCACATCAATAATCCCAGCACTTTGGGAAGCCAAGGTGGGAGGATTGCTTGAGGCCGGGAGTTTGAGACCAGCCTGGGCAACATAGTAAGACCCCATCTTTAAAAAATAAAAAAAAGCCAGGTATGATGGCATGTGCCTATAGTCCCAGCTACTCAGGAGGCTGAGGCAGGAGGCTCGCTTGAGCTCAGGAGTTGGATGCTCTGGTGAGCTATGATTGCACCACTGCACTCCAGTCTGGGCCACGAGCAAGACCCTGTCTCAAAACAAAAGGATGCTACAGCACCTACCTGGAGCAGTCGGTGCCTCAGTTGAGTGAATGATGGTGTTACCAGGCAGGTTCAGGGGCCAGCATCAGCTCTCTCCTTTCTCCTCCCCTTGGCCAGCACCTCCTGGGATCTAGGAGCCATATCAGGAATGATTCTAATTCCCATGAGTCATTCAAGGTGCTGATTCTCAGCCCTGGCTGCATGGGAGAGTCACCTGGGAGCTTTAAAAGGTGTATGTCTGGATCCCACATCAGCCCAATTAAATCAGACCTGTGGGTGCCAAGCACAGTCATTGTTTTTTGGTTTTTGTTAAAGCTTCCCCCATGATTCTGAAGCAAAGCCAAGGCTAAGAACTTCTATATTAAAATAAAGTTAAATAAAATTAAATAAAAATTACATCTAAAATTAGCAAAGAGAATTTTAGATTTTTCTTAGGCCACTCTCCAACTTGTTTTTGTGAATATTTTTATACAGACAAAAATCTTGGAGGAAAAATAGTACATAAACTCACCTATCTACCCACTACCTCGATTCGGTAATTATTTTCTGTATTTGTTTTATCTCACTCTGTGGAGGTTAAAGATAAGTTAGACCTTAAACACTTCACCCCTAAGTACAATTAACAAATTTCAACATCATCTAATAGCCTGTCCACATTCAAATATTCTCAGTTGTCCCAATATGTAAAAATACATTTCGCTATGCACAGTAGCTCAAACCTGTAATCTCAACAATTTAGGAGGCCAAGGTGGGAGGATCACTTGAGCCCAGGAGTCCAAGACCAGCCTGGGCAACACGGTGAGACCCTGTCTCTACAAAAAATACAAAAACTAGCCATGCGCGGTGGCATATGCCTGTAGTCCCAGCTACTCAGGGGCCTGAGGTGGGAGAATAACTTGAGCCCTGGAAGTTGATGCTGCAGTGAGCCATGACGGCATCACTGCACTCCAGCCTGGGCAACAGAGTGAGATGTCATCTCAAAAACAAACAAAAAATAACATTTTATAGTCAAGCGTGGTGTCAGGCACCTGTGATCCCAGCTACTTGGGAGGCTGAGGCAGGAGGATCGCTTGAACCTGGGAGGTAGAGGTTGCAGTGAGCCAAGATTGTACCACTGCACTCCAGCCTTGGTGACAGAGTGAGACTCTGTCTCAAAATAAATAAAAATATATTTTATACTTTATTTTGATAAATAATAAATTATAATAATTTATTATATGTCATAAATATACCATGGGCTCAAGTGATCCTTCCCCCTCAGCCTCCCAAGTAGCTAGGACTACAGGCACGTGCTACCATGCCCAGCTGATTTTTCTATTTTTAGTGGAGATCAGGTTTCACTATGTTGCTCAGGCTGGTCTTGAACTCCTGAGCTCAAGCAGTCTGCCTGCCTTGGGCTCCCAAAAATAGTGGGATTAATTACAGGCGTGAGCCACCGCGGCCAGACACGTTTTAGATTTTAAACCAGGATCCTATCACGCATGCATTGCACGTTGCATTTGGTTGCATTGTTTCAATCTTTGGGTCTATTTTTTTGTCCTGCCATTTCCCCCTACCCATGACACTGACTTCTAGAAGAGTCTAGGTTCTTTTTGTATTGTAGGTTATCTTAAATTCTGTACAGCATTCCCCCCTTGTCCAAGGGGAGTACACTCCAATAACCCCACTGATGCCTAAAACTGTGGCTAGTACTGAGCCCTATATATATTAATACTATGTCTCTTTCTGTAGATAGATACCCTTGACAAAGTTTAATTTATAAATTAGGCACAGTAAGAAATCAGCGACAAGGACTCATGATAAAATGGCACAATTATAACAATATACTGTAATGAGTTTTATGAATGTGGGCTGTCAATATCCTGCTACACTGTAGTCACCGATTTTCATTTCTTTTTGAGATGGAGCTTCGCTCTTGTCACCCAGGCTGGAGTGCAATGGTGCAATCTCAGCTCACGGCAACCTCTGCCTCCCGGGTTCAAGCGATTCTCCTGCCTCAGCCTCCTGAGTAGCTGAGATTACAGGAGTGTGCCACCATGGCTGGCTAATTTTTTGTATTTTTAGTAGAGACAGGGTTTCCCTATGTTGGCCAGGCTGGTCTCGAACTCCTGACCTCAGGTGATCCACCTGCCTTGAGCTCCCAAAGTGCCAGGATTATAGGCATGAGTCACTGCACCTGGCCAGTCACCTATTTTCCAACCACAGTTGACCACGAGTAACAGAAACCTGGGAAAGTGACATTGAGGATAAGGGAGAACTACTGTATTTGT
The DNA here is from genome assembly GCF_000001405.40 of Homo sapiens. Taxonomy (NCBI): domain Eukaryota; kingdom Metazoa; phylum Chordata; class Mammalia; order Primates; family Hominidae; genus Homo; species Homo sapiens. The sequence goes on along the minus strand of NC_000016.10, from coordinate 14,387,487 downwards.
GTAATTCTTTTTTTTTTTTTTTTTGAGATGGAGTGTTGCTCTGTTGCCCAGGCTGCAGTGTAGTGGCACGGTCTTGGCTCACTGCTGCAACCTCTGCCTCCCGGGTTCAAGCAATTCTAGTGCTCTCGAACTCCTGATCTCGAGTGATCTGCCCACCTTGGCCTCCCAAAGTGCTGGGTTACAGGAGTGAGCCACCGTGTCTGGCCTGTATTTGCCTAATTTTTCCCTCGTGAAGCCGTTCAACTTGTTCATCTGTCTCATGTATTTCCTGCACCCTGGAAAGTTAGGCCTAGATGAAAGATTTTTTTTTTTTTTTTTTTTTGAGATGGGGTCTCACTCTGTCGCCAGGCTGGAGTGCAATGGCACGATCTCGGCTCACTGCAACCTCCGCCTCCTGGGTTCAGGTGGTTCTCCTGCCTCAGCCTCCGGAGTAGCTGGGACTACAGGCGCGTGCCACCATGCCTGGCTAATTTTTTGTATTTTTAGTAGAGATGGGGTTTCACCATGTTAGCCAGGATGGTCTCGATCTCCTGACCTTGTGATCCGCCTGCCTCGGCCTCCCAAAGTGCTGGGATTACAGGCGTGAGCCACCACGCCTGGCGAGATGAAAGATTTTAGCGCCCCAGGGGTAACGTGATGTTGGGTCACATCACGGGGGCACCTGCCAGCAGACTGTACCACTCAGGGGTCCTGAGCTTATTGCTTCATTTACGTGTTCACTGCTTGATGTCCCCATTGTCAAGTCATTGTCCCTCTGCCATAGGTAGTCTGTGGGGTGCTGTCCTGGCTCTGGGTGAGTAGCCTGCTCCCCAGTGACCTTTTACCCAGCACATTGGCATCTCATCATGACCCTGGCCTGAATCGACAATTGCACTGGGGTTTGCAAAACTGTGATTTTGCTAACTCCATCATAACTGCTACATTTGAACTGGTAATCTTCTATAGAAAAGAACTTTTCTGACTGGGCGTGGTGGGTCATTCCTGTAATCCCAACACTTTGGGAGGATGAGGCAGGAGGATCGCTTGAGCCCAAAAGTTTGGGACCAGCCAGGGCAACATATTGAGACCTCGTTTCTACAAAACATTTAAAAATTAGCTGAGCATGGTGTGGCATGCACTTGTGGGGCTATCTGGGAGGCTGAGGCAAGAGGATCGCTTGAGCCCAGGAATTGGAGGCTACAGTGAGCTGTGATTGCATCACTACATTCCAGCCTGGGTGATGCAGTGACACCCTGTCTCAAAAAAAAAAAAAAAAAAAGGCTTTCCCCCACTTTTATTTTTTAAGTTCAGTGAATTCTTATTAGAGTGAGTTATGTTTTCTAAAGTTGCCACAGCAAACATTGAATTAAGGCATGCTGAACCCTTGCTTCCAGGGGAAATATAGGTTTAGTTCCTGTAAGCCTCTGGTCATGTTGTCAACTGATGAATACATAACCTGGTTTTATCTGCCTTTCTGTTTGAAGATGCCTTATTTAATATACATGTTTGGTTTGTTAACATTGAACTAAAAGCCAGCAGCACTACAACTTGTCTCTGAGTGAAGCTTATCTGACATACACATTTTCTCTGTGAGGCTCATCACAGCTTTCCTTGCTTAGAAACATTGGACACTAAGGCTGGGCACGGTGGCTCACGCCTGTAATCCCAGCACTATGGAAGGCTGAGGCGGGTAGATCACCTGAGGTCAGGAGTTGGAGACCAGTCTGGCCAACATGGTGAAACCCCGTCTCTACTAAAAATACAAAAAATAGCCAGGTGTGGTGGTGCATGCCTGTAATCCTAGCTACTCGGGAGGCTGAGGCAGGAGAATTGCTTGAACCCGGGAGGCGGAGGCTGCAGTGCGCCAAGATTGCGCCACTGCATCCCAGCTTGGGCAACAGAGTGAAACTCTGTCTAAAAAAAAAAAAAAAGAAAAGAAACTTTGGACATCACATTAGCAGTACACGGGGACCATTTTAAGTGATAAAATCACCTACACAAATACAGAAAACGTGGCACATCTGGTTAAATCGACTACAAAAAGGACGCTTGTTTACAGTATGGGAACTGAAAGGAGGCAGAGTGTCACCTTGTTTGACCTCCCCTGGGAGCACTCACGTCAGGAGATTAAGATTTTTTTCCCTGCTTTGCCTTTGTGATTGACAATGAAAATGTTGCAAGTGCTGTTGATTTGGGGGTTACAAATAAATTATAGCGAGTAGGCATATCTGCAAATATCAGATCCTTGAATAATGAGGATAATTGTCAATATGGACAGATGGATTTTTATTCATCCAATTTATTATTCAATATGTTATACTTCATTATAGTCATTATTCTTCTAGATGTTTAAAAGTCCCTGTGTGGCCAACGGATGTCCCTTCGACCTGACTTCTATGTCCCTTTGATGTGATTCTTTTTGTCTTTGATAGCTTTCTCGATTTTCTATACAAGATATCGTAAGCTCAGCTGGAATCAGCCATTTCTCCAAAGAGCCTCAGTTCTTAGTTAAGAGGAAATGGTGTTTAGAATCCCAGACCTGGGTGTTAGATGTGCTCATTGCTGCTGGGCTGTCATTACCCCAGGCTATTTCAGTGGACAGAGACCTAAAATGTATTTTTAAAAAATTATGCGTGGGTTGGACATGGTAGCTTACGCCTATAAATCTCAGCACTTTGGGAGGCTGAGGCAGGCAGATGGATGGAGCCCTGGAGTTCAAGACCAGCCTGGGCAATATGGTGAAACCCTATCTGTACAAAAAATACAAAAATTAGCTGCACTTGGTGGCACACACCTGTTGTCCCAGTTACTTTGGAGGCTGAGGTGGGAGGATCACTTGAGCCTGGGAGGCAGAGGCTGCAGTGAGCTAAGATCTTGCCATTGCACTCCAGCCTGGGTGATAGAGCAAGACAAGACCTTTTCTCAAAAACAACAAAACAACAAACTCATGCATGAATACTGATAAATCTTATATGTATACATATAAAATTGAAACCTTGGAAAGTGAAACAAAGGATAAGGGAGATATCAACAGAGGATACTGATAGTTCCAATGTAAACGTCACATGTCAAGAGTGTTTTCATAACTACTTTTTTTATTGTTTTTAGAATATACATAACATAAATTGACCTTCTTAATTTTTCTTTTTTATTGAGATGGAGTCTCACTCTGTCACCCAGGCTGGAGTGTAGTGGTGCAATCTTGGCTCACTGTAACCCTCGCCTCCCAGGTCCAAGCCATCCTCCTGCCTCAACCTCCCGAGTAGCTGGGATTACAGGCATGTGCCACTATGCCCAGCTAATTTTTATATTTTTAGTAGAGATGGGGTTTCACCATGTTGGTCAGGCTGGTGATCTCCTGACCTCAGGTGATCCGCCCACCTCGGCCTCCCAAAGTGCTGAGATTACAGGTGTGAGCCACTGCACTTGGCCTGACCTTCTTAACTTTTTAAGTTCAATGACATTAAGTGCATTCACATTATTGGGCAGCCCTCGCCACCATCCACCTCCAGAATGTTTTCATTTTCCCAGACCACGATTCAGTATCCATTAAATACAAACTCCTCATCTCCCTTCCCAGCCCTCGGTAACACCGTTCTATTTTCTGTCTCTATAAATCTGACTACTCTAGGAACCTCATATGTGGAATCACACACTGTCTGTCCTGCCATGACTATCTGCTTTTACAAAGCATGATGTTTTTGACAATCATCTGTATTGTAGCCTATGTCAGAATTGTCTTCTTTTTTTTTTTGGACAGAGTCTTGCTCTGTCACCCAGGCTGGAGTGCAGTAGTGCGATTTCAGCTCACTGCAACCTCTGCCTCCCAGGTTGAAGCAGTTCTCCTGCTTCAGCCTTCCGAGTAGCTGGGACTACAGGTGCCCACCCCCATGTCCGGCTAATTTTTTGTGTTTTTAGTAAAGACGGGGTTTCACCATGTTGTCCAGGGTAGTCTCGATCTCCTGACCTCGTGGTCGATCTGCCCGCCTCGGCCTCTCAAAGTGCTGGGATTACAGGCGTGAGCCACCGCGCCCAGCCAATTTCCTTCCTTTTTTGAGGCTAAATAATATTCTATTGTCTTTATATACCATATTTTGTTTATCATTCATCTGATAATAGACACGGGTGTTATTTCTACCTTTTGACTTATTGTGAATGATGCTCTTATGAATATTGGTATAAAAATGGCTGTTCAGCTGTTCATCCTAACTGCACTTATTTTTATTATTTTTTGAGATAGGGTCTCGCTCTGTTGCCCAGGCTAGAGTACAATGGCACAATCACAGCTCACTGCAGCCTCTACCTGGGCTCAGGAGATCCTCCCACCTCAGCCTCCCAAGTAGCTGGGAATACAGGTGTGCATCACCATGGCTGTTTTTTTGGTAGAGACTAGGTTTTGCTGTGTTGCCTGGACTGGTCTCAAAATCCTGGGCTCAAGTGATCCTCCCACCTCAGCCTCCCAAAGTGCAGGGATTATAGGCATGAGCCACCACACCTGGCCTCATCATAACTACTTTTATATTTATATCTCTTTTTTCACACACTGAAAATCTAGGTCCCTAAAAACATTAGTATTTATCCTACACTAAGTATACAATTATTCAAAAATTGTAATAGCAACAACCTCTAAAAACAAACCTACAAAAGATATAAAGCAGATTGGTGGTTTTCAGGGCCTGGGAGAAGGGTGGAGTAAGGAGTGGCTGATTCATGGGGATGAGGTGTTCTTTTGAGGCAATAAAAAGTTCCAGATAGTGATGATAGATAGTGGTGATAGTTGCACAACATCTTCAATGTCCTAAATGCCACCGAGTTGTACACTTTAAAACTTTAATTAATTTCATGTGAGTTTCACCTCAATTAAAAAAAAGAAGACAGGCCAGGCGCGGTGGCTCACGCCTGTAATCCCAGCACTTTGGGAGGCTGAGGCGGGTGGATCACGAGGCCAAGAGATTGACGCCATCCTGGCTAATATGGTGAAACCTCGTCTCTGCTAAAAATACAAAAATTAGCTGGGCGTGGTGGCACGCGCCTATAGTCCCAGATACGTGGGAGGCTGAGGCAGGAGAATCGCTTGAACCCGGGAGGCGGAGGTTGCAGTGAGCCGAGGTCGCACCACTGCTCTCCAGGCTGGGTGACAGAGCAAGACTCCGTCTCAAAACACACACGCGCTTGCACACACACACACACACACAGACATGGGGGCTATTTAAGATGCCTATGTCATTCTTTTTGTCCTTAAAATATGTCACTGAATATATATCACCCTGAGGAGGTACAGTAAGATCACTGTGTTCAACAGGTAGTATTAACAGAAATAAGTTTTCATCCAGGCACAGTGGCTCACTCCTGTAATCTCAGCGCTTTGGAAGCCGAGGTGGGCGGATTACTTGAGTTCAGGAGTTCGAGACCAGCCTGGCCAACATGGTGAAACCCTGTCTCTATGAAAAACACAAAAATTAACCAGGTGTGGTGGCAGGCGCCTGTAATCCCAGCTACTCGGGAGGCTGAGGCAGGAGAATCGCTTGAACCTGGGAGGTGAAGGCTGCAGTGAGCTGAGATTGTGCCACTGCACTCCAGCCTGGGCCATAGAGTGAGACTCTATCTCAAAAAATAAATAAATAAATAAGTTTTCTCATTTTGATTATGTTATCAATTTGATATGCAATTAGGTTACTTGTTTCTGTATTGTATTCACCTTTGGGATTTGCTTTTTATCTTTTTTTTATTATTATTATTATTATTTTTTGAGATGGAGTTTCACTCTTGTTGCCCAGGCTGGAGTGCAATGGTGCAATCTCAGCTCAGTGCAACCTCTACCTCCCGGGTTCAAGCGTTTCTCCTGCCTCAGCCTCCCGAGTGGCTGGGATTACAGGTGCGTGGCACCACACATGGCTAATTTTGTATTTTTAGTAGAGATAGGGTTTCTCCATGTTGGTCAGGCTGGTCTCAAACTCCTGACCTCAGGTGATCCGCCTGTCTCAGCCTCCCAAAGTGCTAGGATTACAGGCATGAGCCGCTGCATCCGGCCTATTTTTATTTGAGATGAGGGTCTCATTCTGTTGCCCAGGGTGGAGTGCAATGGTACAATCTCAGCTGACTGCAACCTTTACTTCCTGGGCTCAAGAGATCCTCCTCCCTCAGTCTGGGACAACACATCTTGAATGTACTAAATGCCACTGAATAGTAAACTTTAAAACAGCAAATTTCATGTCTGAGTTTCACCTCAATAAAAAAAACAAAACTACAAATGTGGGTGATATTTACGATGCCTATGTACTTATTTTTGTCCTTAAAATATGCCACCCTGCGTGGCTAATTTTTGTATTTTTTTGTTTGTTTTTTGTTTTGTTTTGTTTTGTTTTGAGATGGAGTCTTGCTCTGTCACCCAGGCTGTAGTACAGTGGCTCCATCTCAGCTCACAGCAACCTCTGCCTCCTGGGTTCAAGCAATTCTCCTACCTCAGCCTCCTGAGTAGCTGGGACTACAGGTGCGCCCACCACGCCTGGCTAATTTTTGTATTTTTAGTAGAGATGGGGTTTCACCATGTTGGCCAGGCTGGTCTCAAACTCCTGACCTAAAGTGATCCTCCCGCCTCAGCCTGCCAAAGTGGTGGGATTACAGGCATGAGCCACCGTGCCTAGTCTTTTCCATTTTAAATGATAAGAAATGATAACACTTTATCAAATGTTATAAATATTTTTTTAATTTGTCCTTTGCCTTTCATTTTTGAACACAGCCTTAAAAAGAACAGGAATGTAAGATTCGTATGTGGCCCATTTTACCATAAGGGAGCTTCATGGTTTCTTGTCTCCGGTGCTGTGTACTTTTTCTTTTTGCTTTTCTGTGTCTTTGCATTGAAACATTTAACCATTGGCTTTTGTTTCCAGGTGAAGTAGGCATCGAACTCTGCTCATTTTCCAAATCACTGGCCATTTTGAATGACAAGTCCTTTGCCGCCCACTTTGATATGCTTCCTTTACTGCAGACTGAGTTCTCATGGAGGCTCAGGTCTCTTTCTGGACTCTCTTCCAGTCTATCCCTCTGCCATTCACGTTGTTATAGTTCCTGCCCAGTCTCCACTGTAGAATCTCTGAATTCCCCCAGACTGGAGAGTTGGGAGGTTGGACCGACCCCCTTTGTAAGGTTTTAGTTCAAGGCAAACCCCGTGGCCCAGCCGTTCAGAAGACACGTTCGGGCGATACCTTCTGCCCAGGTACTGTTTTCAGTGCCAAAAATAGAAAGATGATAAAGGCTTGGTCCCTAAGGCTCTCAAGGGTGACTGCTGCAGTGTTGGAGTTGAGTTTTGAAGGTTGGATAGAATTTTCTGGGCAGAGGAGAAAGGGCAGTGGGGGAACAGAACGTGGCAGACCTAGGAGGCATCATGACGGGGCTCAGGGCCAGCTCCCTATGGCTGGAGCAAGGATGGGAGTGAAGGAGTGTCCCAGCTTTGGTCTTGGGGAGGGAGGCAGGGCTGGGCCTCTTTCCCAGTGCCGAGCACTGGAAAGCCACTGAAGCTTTTATATGAACAGAAGCAGAGTAGCCTGGTGGGCTCTGGTTTGGTAAGATGGGCCTGGGGGTTGGGTGGGGAGGCAGCTACTTAGAGGGACAGTGAGGGTCTGTCTGAGAGGTCCTCCCCATTCTCCGCCAAGTCCCTCTGGACTTAGATTCAGAGCCAAGGGTAACTCTGATTTGTTTGGAGGCCTGTCCCTCTCATCCTGACCCCGCCTTGGCCCTGGATAGATGCATTAGGCGGTGTGTCCTACCTGTGGCCCAAGGTCCTCCCTCTCCTCCTCCCTCCCAGGATCTCCAGAAAGACCCAGGCTTGCCTGTAATCCCAGCACTTTGGGAGGTCGAGGGCAGATCACTTGAGGTCAGGAGGTCAAGACCAGCCTGGCCAACGTGGTAAAACCCCGTCTTTACTAAAAATACAAAAAAATTAGCCAGGCGTGGTGGCAGGTGCCTGGCACCTACTCGGGAGGCTGAGGCAGGAAAATCGCCTGAACCCAGGAACTCAGGAGGCAGAGGTTGCAGTGAGCTGGGATTGCGCCACTATGCTCCAGCCCGGATGACAAAGTGAGACTCCATCTCAAAAAAAGAGATCCAGGCTCAATTCAAAGATGCCCGCTTGCTTTGAGCTCACATTTTCTTCTCACTCCTTGGCCGAGGCCTTGACGTGTGTCCTGGGATGGAGATGTTGGGGTGGGGACCGGGTAACTCTGGTCCCTTGTGGCGCTGAGGGAGCATGACAGGAGAGCTGTCCAACCCCACTGCACATTCTTGAGGGCTCCTTCCGATGGCCCAGGAGGCTCACTGGGCAGGCATGGAGAGTGAGCCTGGGGACTTGCCCAGGACTTGGGAGAAGAAGTGCAGAGACAAGATTGCCCCCAGGCCTCTGAGTGGCTTCAAGGAGGGGAGTGGACAGGAGAGGTGGGGCATCACGGGGCTGGCTACCAGGAAGGAGCTGGGCCCGGGAAGGAAAAGGGCCCCCAATCCCATGGGTTGTTGTAAAAACTCCCAGAAGGCCTGGGGCAGGTGGAGAGGGCTGGGGGACTCCGCGTGGGTTCACGAAGCCTTGTGACTCACTGTCCTGCCACTCTGTTTCTCAACTAACCAGCTCAGTGCAGGAATCCCTGGGGGTGCGGAGCCCTTTCTGAGTCAACCTTTTCCTCAATGGGCAACTCATCGTCTGGGACCACATGAACCCAGCTGCACCCCAAGCTGTGTCCTGCCTGCCCTGTGGCCTCAGCCAGGTGGGCCCGTGTACCCCTCCCCATCTCTTTCTTCCACTGCAAAATGGGGGGATTGTGCAGCGTGCCTGGTATCTGGTCCATCTTCAATACACAGCGATGGGGATGGTCTCATGTCTCCCTCCCGCTCCTTGGTCTTGGCAAAGATGAAGGACCTCGGGCTTCTAGAAGGATCAGCGTGCAGACCAGGGCTTCTGCATAAAGCTCCCCTGATAGCCAAGAGACAGGCCTTTCTGTTTCCCCAGCTCCTCCCACCTAGGGTAAGCCCAGCTCTGGTCAACCACACCCTTCCTTCAGGCGATCAGGTAACAGGATATCCAAGTGACACAGGGCAAATCTCTTCCCCTTCCAGCCTCAGTAAGCTCATCTCCGTGGCCAGAGTGGAACCCGTTAGACTTTCCCATGTCCAAATTCCAGGATCCCTTTTTTTTCTTCTTCATATGAATGGGATCAAATAACATGTGACTTTTGTGTCTGGTATCTTGCATTTAGCATAATGTTTTCAAGGCTCATTCCTGTGTCAGCACTACTTTTTTTTTTTCCTGCCAGATGTACGTTCATAAGTACTTAATTTTTTTTTTTTTTTTTTCTGGAGACAGAGTTTTGCTCTTTTTGCCCAGGCTGGAATGCAGTGGCATAATCACAGCTCACTGCAACCTCCGCCTCCCCGGTTCAAGGAATTTTCCTGCCTCAGCCTCCTCAGTAGCTGAGATTACAGGCATGCACCACCACACCTGGCTAATTTTTTGTATTTTTAGTAGAGACAGGGTTTCACCATGTTGACCAGGCTGGTCTCAAACTCCTGACCTCAAGTGATCAGCCCACCTCGGCCTCCCAAAGTGCTGGGATTACAGGTGTGAGCCACCACACCTCAGCCTCCAGAGTAGCTGCCTCAGCCTCCAGAGTAGCTGGGATTATAGGTGTGCACCACCACACCTGGGTAATTTTTGTTCTTTTAGTAGAGACGGGGTTTTGACATGTTGGCCAGGCTGGTCTCAAACTCCTGCCCGCTAGTGATTCACCCGCCTTGACCTCCCAAAGTGCTGAGCCACCAAGCCCAGCCCCAGCAAGTCTTTTTTTTGTTTGTTTATTAATGGCTAGGACTTCATTTGTTAATGGCTGAGTAATACTCCATTGTGTGGACAGACCAGTTACTTCTCTGGACATCTGGGTTGTTGCCCCTCTTTGGCTGTTACCAGTCATGCTGCTGTGAACTCTCATGCATAAGTTTTTGTGTACACAGATGTTTTCAATTCTGCTGGGCATATGCCTGGGAGTGGAATTGCTGGGTCACAGGGTGATTCTAAGTTTGTTTGTTTGAGGGACCTCCAGGCTGTCTTCCATTGATGCTGCACGTTGAACATGAGGGCTCATTCTGAATTCTCTACATTTACTTCCCTGTTAGGGGAAATCTCAGGGTTTTAGAAAAAAGCTGCAACAAAAGAAGTGGCCGCCCGTCCAGCCATGAAGCCTAACGAATTGCTTGGGACCTGTTGGCCCCTTTACCCTGGAGATCCACCCTCTGAGCTCTGCCGCGTGCCAGTTCCGCTATTGGGAGGAGCTCAGGAGGATGATGAGGATCCCAGAAAGTTCTATGCCCACTGCTTTCATCCTGGCTGTAGCCTGCCAGGAGGGCACTGTTATTATTATGGCCACTTTTTTGGATAAGAAAGTGAGGGCTCAGACATTATAAGACTTGCTGGGGCCTGTAATCCCAGCACTTTGGGAGGTAGAGGTGGGCAGATCACGAGGTCAGGAGTTCGATACTCTCCTGGCCAACATGGTGAAACCCCGTCTCTACTAAAAATACAAAATTAGCCAGGCATGGTGGCGGGTGCCTGTAATCCCAGCTACTCAGGAGGCTGAGGCAGGAGAATTGCTTGAACCTGGGAGATGGAGGCTGCAGTGAGCTGAGATTGTGCCACTGCATTGCAACCTGGGCAACAGAGCAAGACTCCATCTCAAAAAAAAAAAAAAAAAAGACTTGGGGCTGGGCTTGGTGGCTCAGCACTTTGGGAGGTCAAGGCGGGTGAATCACTAGCGGGCAGGAGTTTGAGACCAGCCTGGCCAACATGTCAAAACCCCGTCTCTACTAAAAGAACAAAAATTACCCAGGTGTGGTGGTGCACACCTATAATCCCAGCTACTCCGGAGGCTGAGGCAGGAGAATCGCTTGAACCTGGGAGATGGAGGCTGCAGTGAGTCGAGATCGCACCACTGCACTCCAGCCTGGGCGACAGAGCGAGACTCTGTCTCAACAACAAGAAAAACACTTGCTGGATGTCACACAGCCTCATAGTGACCCACCTGGGATCTGAAGCCAGGTGGCCTGACTCCAGGCTCTGTGACTGTAACCATGAATCTGCACTGCCAATGCCCCTTGTCCCCGAGCTGGTGGGGGCCTGGGGTGCACGTGGCGCTCTCTGCCCTCTGATATTTCAGCCGTAGAGGGGTCTGCCTCTGTTTGAAGAACCTGGGGGTGGAGATTCCATGTTGATGGCAAGAGGCCTCCTTTCTCTGATCCCAGGGGAGAAAAAAAGTGGGAAGGGGGCATACTGCCAGCCGCCTGGCCCCCCTGCCCTGTGCCCCTCACACAGCTGGCACCAACGTCAGTTCATGTTGCCCAAGCCATCTGGCTGATTAACCATGGCTGCCATCCCCAGGAGGCTCCTGGAGCATCAGAATGAGCTTATTACTCGAACAACAGGGCCCCTTCCCTCCTTGGAACTCCTGCCTGCCTCTCTCTGGGGACCTGTCCTCAGAGGGACTGGTGGGGAGGGAGGAATAGCTGGGCAAAGTCCTGCCCACGGCTGCCCCAAGAAGAGGGTACCTACAGCTTGCTTTAGGACAAGGACATGTAGGAAGGCCCCCTGGCCAGGTCATGTGCTCAGGCAGGGTCTGTCTGTCTAGAAGAGTCTCTTTTTTTGAGAGGAAGTCTTGTTCTGCTGCAGTGCAAAAGCTCACTGCAACCTTCGCCTCCCGGGTTCAAGTGATTCTCCTGCCTCAGCCTCCCGAGTAGCTGGGATTACAGGCACGTGCCACCACACCCAGCTAATTTTTATATTTTTAGTAGAGACGGGGTTTCGCCATGTTGGCCAGGCTGGTCTTGAACTTCTGACCCCAAGTGATCCTCCTGTCTTGGCCTCCCAGAGTGCTGGGATTACAGACGTGAGCCACCACACCAGGCTGGGAGTCTTTATTTTTAATTTTTTTTCTATTTCTAATTTTTAATGCATTTCAAACCGGGGTCCTTATTTTTTTGTCTTTTTTTAAACTATAAAGAAACAGGGTCTTGCTATGTTGCCCAGGGCGGTCTTGAACTCTTCGAGTCAAGCAATCCTCCCATCTTGGCCTTCCAAAATGCTGGGATTACGGGTGTGAGGCACCGCGGCTGGCATAACCAGAGTCTTTAGATACCTCTCTGGGCCCTGGGAGGCTGCCTTCATTTCAACAGCTTTAGTGAGACATACTTTACATACCATAAAATTCCCTCATCTGAAGTGTTCAATCCTATGAGTTTTAGTAAATCTATGTCATTTTGCAACCATCACCCCAAACTAATCTTACACATTTCCATCGCTCCAAAAAGAAACCATGTAGCTGGCCAGGCGCAGTGGCTCACGCCTGTAATCCCAGCAGTTTGGGAGGCCAAGGAGGAGCAAAGTCACATCTTACATGGTGGCGGGCACGAGAGAGTGTGTGCATGGGAACTCCCCTTTATAAAAGCATCAGATCTCATGAGACTTATTCACTCTCATGAGAACAGCAGGGGAAAGACCCACCCCCGTGATTCAGTTACCTCTCGCTGGGTTATGGGAGCTACAATTCAAGATGGGATTTGGGTGGAGACACTGACAAACTGTATCATAGGTTCATGCCCAAACACAGAGAGCCTCAGGCTAGGAGCCATCAGATCTCCGGGGCCTTCTTCCCTCCATGACCCCAACCCACCCTAATTCTGGCCATCCGAGCCTGAGCTGCTGCTCTGATGATCCCAGTGTGAGCCCAGAGGCAGCCAGCCCGTTTCCGACTACTGGGAGAACCCCAGGGCTGCTGTCTGTGCCTCCCGCTTTGGGCTTGGGTCCTGTGAACTTGTGACCTCTGCGGGAGAAAATCTCCCAGCAGACGGGGTTGACTGGGGCCTGAGCAGGAGGCCTGACATTGGCTCTGGTGCCTGACATGAGTTGGCTGAGTGTGACAAGAGGCTCCCTGGACAGAAGAAACAGTCATTTCCCAAAGTGCTTTCTGGGAATGATGGAGTTGGAAGCCCTGGGTTCAAATCCCCTCCCTGGCCCTCACTAGGCATTGCTGTTACCTCTCCGCATCTGTTTCCTCTTCTGCAAAGTGGGATGTAATCCATCTCAAAGCATTAGCTGTGGTTAAAGAGAATCAGGCGAGAATCAGGGTGTCACCTCCTCCAGGTCGGGAGAAAATGCTCTCCTATGGATTTCTGCAGCCCCTGTGCGTGGCTGGGGTCCCAGCACTGGTCACACAAGGCTGTCCTTTTCCGTCTCCCCTGGCTGACTTGGCTCCTTGGGAACAGAGAGTGTGCCATATTCACCTCTGTCCCCAGCTCCTCCTTGGGCCTGGTGCAGAGTGGGCGGCAGGGACTGAATAGCTGAAATGACAATCCCTCCTAGGCTGGGCGTGGTGGCTCATGCCTGTAATCCCAACACTCTGGGAAGCCGAGGAGGGAGGATGGCTTGAGGCTTGAGCCCAGGAGTTTAAGACCAGCCCGGGCAATACAGCCAGATCATATCTCTACAAAAATTAGTTGGGTGGGGTTGTACGTGCCTGTAGTCCCAGCTACTCGGGGTGCTGCGGTGGGAGGGTGACTGGAGCCCAGGAGTTCGAGGCTACAGTGAGCTATGATCACGCCACTGCACTCCAGCCTGGACCACAGAGCGAGACCCTGTTTCTGACATATTTAAAAGAAAAAAAATTTCTCCTCCTGCAGTAGCTCTGGGTTTGAGGATTTGGAAAGCTGGGCCTGGGGTCTCAGGACGGGTGGGCTTCTTCCTTGTCTTAGGTGGCCAAGGACAGCACCAGGCTGGGCTCAGGGTTCACGGGGGAAGGCAGGGAGCTGCTGGATGTGAACAGGGTGGGAGGGCTCCGTGCCCGGCTCCTTGCTCTGCTGCCCGTGTTGGGCGTGGGCCTGGAGCCGGCCCTCACGGGGTTCTAGAACAAGGCCAGCCAGTGCCTGACCCTCATTTTCACTGGCTGCTATCGTGGCTTGTCCTGGCTTCCCCAGGCGCGGCTCTCACCCACCCTAGCCCTGGGTGGTCCGTGCCCCTTCCTTGACAGATTCGGTCCCCAGGGGGGCTGCCCTACCCCATGGGATTTGATGTCATGGCCCTTTCATGCTTAAAAGGAGCAAAATCTGGTGGAACGGGGTCCAGCTCAGTGTGTGCGTCCTAGGCCTGGCTGTCCATCTCAAGGAGTTGCAGGTGGCCCAGCCGCCTGTTCCTCTCCTGCACTCAGTGGGTGTCATCCTACTCTGTGTTTCCTGACTTGTAAAGTTTAGGTTAGACACATTAACTGCTAGCAGTCAATCCCCTGCTCCCCAACTCCATACCTGCCTGTGGCAAAATGAGAGCTGTGGAACCTTCCAGAAGGGCAGTGCTCTGCTCCGCTGGAACAGAGATCTGGCTTCCAGTCCAGCCTCACAGTTGCCGAGTGGCTCTTAGCCTTAGCATCTCATCTGTGCTGCTTTCTTGCAAAGATGCAAAAACATGCAGCCTTTTTTTTTGAGACTGAGTCTTGCCCTGTCACCCAGGCTGGAGTGCAGTGGCACGACCTCGGCTCACTGTAACCCTCGCCTCCTGGGTTCAAGCGAGTAGCTTGGATTACAGGCGCACGCCACCATGCCAAGCTAATTTTTGTATTTTTAGTAGAGACGAGGTTTTACCATGTGGCCCAGGCTGGTCTCGAACTCCTGACCTCAAGTGATCTGCCCCCGCTCGACCTCCCAAAGCGTTGGCATTACAGGCATGAGCCACCGTGCCCAGCCAAAAACATGTACTTAAAGCACACTTAGGGCAGTGCCTGGCCCACAGGGGCTCAATCAGTAAGTGGAGCTGCCTGCAGGCAGGGGAGGGGAGGCCCAGGGGAGCCGTTGCCCTCCAAGGCGGCCTTGCACTTCCTTTGTGTGGGGCTGCTGCTGTCAGCTGCCGCCCTCTGGATGGGGGGTGGCAGCGGATGGGAGCAGGACCACCTGCTTCTTGCTGGAGGCCCTGGGATACAGGTGGGGGAGGGTTTCTTTCCATAATTGGCTGAGGAGAATCCCAAGTAGGATTGCCAGATAAAATATAAGACACGAAGTTATCTAGGTAAACAATGAGTAATGTATGCTAAAAAAAAGTTACTTGTTATTGATCTGAAATTCAAACTTACCTGGGCATCCTGTGTTTTTATTTGTGAAATCTGGCAACTCTAGCTCTAAGCTTCGTCCTGATTGGCCAGCCCTGGGCTGAATGACAGGCCTGGGCCACTATGTGGGGGAGCTGGGACTGGTCTAAGCCATCAGGTTAATCCTGAGGGAGGGGGTGGGGTAATGGGTGTCAACTCCTCCTCCCAACCACTGGACTGAAGGGCTGAGGGTTGCCGGGGAGACCACCCTGGTCCCCCACCGTTGGGAAGGCACCAGCTATTGTGTGTCCTTCTCCTGGCCACCCTGGAAGACTTTGACTGGAACACAAAGTCCATAGGCCCAGGCAACAACCGACTCTCAGTCTCTCCTCGTCCCTATTTAACCAGGAGTCTCACCCATTTTGCAGATGGAGGGACTGAGGCAGGGAACCTGGGGAAAAAAGGTGGCCAGCCACTGAACAGCTCATTACGGAGCAGCACCTATTTGGCATCTCTCTCTCTCTCTCTCTTTTTTTCTTTTTTGGAGTTGGAGTCTCACTCTGTGACCTGGAAATGGGTACATGGTTTCTTTTTTCGTTTTTTTGAGACAGAGTCTCCCTCTGTTGCCCAGGCTGGAGTGCAGTGGTACAATCTTGGCTTACTGCAAACTCCACCTCTCAGCTTCAAGTGATTCTCCTGCCTCAGCCTCCTGGGTAGCTGGGATTACAGGTGCGCGCCAATACAAATACAAAAAATGCCCGGCTAATTTTTTTTATTTTTAGTAGAGACGGGGTTTCACCATGTTGGCCAGGCTGGTCTCGAACTCCTGACTTCAGGTGAACTGCCCGCCTCGGCCTTCCAAAGTGCTAGGATTACAGGCGTGAGCCACTGCGCCCGGCCTATTTGGCATCTCTTAATCTGTTTATGCCTGAGATTTTTACAGGGCTGGAACACTGCTGTCACACCCACCAACCAAGAGATATGGTCGCCCGTCACTTCTGTCTTGGTTGTGAAGCATTGTTGCTCTTTATATGGGGCCCAAGATGTGCCGGCAGCTAAATCCCATTAGGGAGGGTCACTCCTGGTCGCACAGAGGCCCAGGCTGCGGAAATGACTGGCCCAGGTGACTTGGTGACTTAGCAGGCAGGCTGAGCTCTAACCTAGGGCTACTGGCTTCTGATCCCAGAGGGGCTCTTTCTAACCACACCAGCCCAGCTGAACTTGACTTCCGAGGTCTCTTCCCAGGGAAGATATGGGGACTTTCAGCTTTGTAACCCCACCCCTGGTACTTACTACACTCAAGCTCGAGGGAATGCACCAGAACCTGCCCCTCCGCCCCCCAACTTTTTCAAAAGACAGGGTCTTGCTGTGTTGCCCAGGCTGATCTTGAACTCCTGGGCTCAAGCAGTCCTCCCACTTCAGTCTCCCGAGTAGCTGGAACTACAGGCATGCGCCACTACGCCCAGCATGGCCCTCTTTTGTGAAAGCCTGGAAGGGGGCCCTCCTGGGTCTGCGGGTTAGGGAGTGACACCCTGAGACCCCCCCCTTCTCAGAAGCTGGACAGGATGAGGCACTAGTACTCCTGGCCAAATGCATGATGATTTTAGGTGGGACACAGGTGAGCCAGGTTTTATTTTTGTGGTTATTTACTTTCTGTAAAGCCTTAGGGGGAAAAAAGTATAAGTAGCCCATCAAACTTGGCTTCACCAGGTCGTGGTAGAGTACTTTCATTTCCAATGAATAATGAATGTCTGTTTGTGAGGCCCTCTTATAAGATTTGTAAGGCAGCTATTAGGTAAGTGAATGTGAAGATAAAATGCGTGGAGATGGCAAATCCTCAGGGATCTGGGAGCCTGGGATGAAATTTGGCAAATGTGGCCTCCGTGGAAGCCGCTGGAAGCCAGAGCCCACAGTTTCCTCCACCCTGAGCTTCCTGGTTACAGCCGCAGGCAAGCTCTGCTGATGGGCTTGGAAAGAGTGACTCCCAGCTGGCCTGCGTCGGAGGTCAGAGTGACCGGGAGCAGGCGCCGTGCCTGCTGCTTGGCGCGCCACGCCCAGCCTGGTCAGCAGCTCCCATGGCCCTCGGTGGCCCATCCCTGTGGCCTGCACATGGCTCAGGGCTCTCCTCCCCAGACCAGGAGTTCCCAGGCTCTGGCTCACTCCCTCTGCCGACATCTGAGGAACCCCCCAAAGCCGGGTCTGCAACACCCCTCCTGAGTCCTCCCCCACTGCCCTGCCACAGCTTCTTGGTGGGACTCTAGGGGGCGAGGGGGTGCAACTGGACACCCATTTCACAGATGCCCCCCCCAGCCAACTGGTACATCTAATGCAGCACAAAGCTCAGACCGCCAAGACTGGGAACGGGGACCCCAGCTCTGCCACCTCCCCTCCATGCCTCACTGAAGCCTTGTGCAGATTGAACAAGCTGAAGTAGAAACGCGCTTGGAGCAGGGTGTGGCATACAGGAAGCACCATGTAAGTGCATGTTCCTGCCGCTGCTGCGGTTAAGCCTCTGGGCTCTTGGCCACCATCATTCCTCATTCTTCATTCACTTGCATTTTGGGAGCATCTCTACTCTAGCTCTAAGGCTCTTTTCTTTTGAGAGAGGGTCACGTCACTGTCAGGCTGGAGTTCAGTAGCACGATCATAGCTCACCGCAGCCTCGAACTCCTGGCCTCAAGCAATTCTCTCGCCTCAGCCTCCCGAGGAGCTAGGATTACAGGTGCACCACCACGCCCAGCTAATTTTTAATTTTTTGGTGGAAATGGGGTCTTGCTATGTTGGGAAGGCTGGTCTTGAACTCCTGGCCGAAAATGATCATCCTGCCTCAGCTTCCCAAAGTGCTGGGATTACAGGCATGAGGCACCGTGCCTGGTCATGTCAGGCTTTGGATGTGTGGAGAGAGCAGGCGCTGTCTGCAGAGGACACAGGCAGGTGGCAGGATGATGTTTCCACCCATCCTCAGCTCCTTCCTCACTCTGGCCTGTGCCCAGCCAGGGTGATGGGGTGGGGTGTCCAGGAGCCCAAGAAATGGGATGGAGACCTTTGCATCAAGCATGTCTGAAAGGAGAATCCGCCCTGGCTGCGAGATGGGAGTCACTGTTGTTAGTGCTTCACTCTGAGGCACCTCTTCTACGGGACGGGTCCCCAGGTAAGGGCCAGGAGGAGAGTCTGGGACACGTGAAGGCCTGGCAGGTCACCCTTGCACCCTGCAAAATGTGCTATCCTTTCACTCAGAATTGTCTGAGACAGGATCCTGCTCTATCACCCAGGCTGGAGTGCAGTGGCATGATCTCGGCTCACTGCAACTTCCACCTACCGGGTTCAAAAGATTCTGGTGCCTCAGCTTCCTAAGTAGCTGGGACTGTAGGTGCTCACCAACATGCCCGGCTAATTTTTGTATTTTTAGTAGGCATGGGGTTTCACCACGTTAGCCAGGCTTGTCTTGAACTCCTGACCTCAAGTGATCCTCCTGCCTCAACCTCCCAAACTGCTGGGATGACAGGCGTGAGCCACTGTGCCCAGCGAGAATCTCTTCTTGATAGCTGATAAGCCTGACCCCTTTCAAGCATCAGGGAGGGCCATGGCCAAGTGTGCGCAGCTGAATGGGTTCCAGTTTTAGAGGTGCCTGGATAGAATTGCCCCTGGGTCCTAGGGGCTCATTCTTCCAGGGGAGAAGGAATGGGAAGGGACCAGGGAAAGTTTCAGGGAGAAAATGTTTGCAAAGGAGTCGGTGTTGGGATAAAGCAGGGAAGGCGTCCCAGGACGGGGGAGCTGGCTGTGCAAAGGCCCTGGGGCATGAAGGAGCCTGTGATATCAGCTCAACTGGGTGGCTTGAAGCCCATCAAGCTCTTATTCTTTACAGATGGGGTAAGGCTGGGGCCAGCTCAGAGATGAGTGAGCTGCCCTGTTGGAGCCCTGGGCACTGTACCTCCCCCCACCCCCACCACCCCAGCTCAAGCCTGGAACATCCCTGGTTTCTGTATGAAGTGTTTCAGTGCCTCACTTTATCTGTAAGGAATGTTATCATCTGGGGGCTACAGAAGAAGAAAAGACCAAGCCTCTTAGGGATTCCTGTGTTCGGTGCCCAGCCAGAAGGGCAGCTCTTCCCCAGGTCTGGGGGTGAAGGTCCCATCCCCTAGAGGCTGGCCCCTGTGAGCAGAGCTGCCCTCATGCCAGCCCCTGCTGACCCCCTGCCTGCCTACGTCCCCCTGGGCAGGCCCATCTCTGGGGCCACCCCAGCAGGGCCATGGGCTGCCCATCTCTCCCTTGAATACCACCACCCTTTTGTTCTTGTGGGGTGTGGCTACCTTTTTTTTTTTTTTTTTTTTTTGAGACGGAGTGTCGCTCTGTCGCCCAGGCTGGAGTGCAGTGGCGCGATCTCGGCTCACTGCAAGCTCCGCCTCCCGGGTTCACGCCATTCTCCTGCCTCAGCCTCCCAAGTAGCTGGGACTACAGGCGCCCGCCACTACGCCCGGCTATTTTTTGTAGTTTTAGTAGAGACGGGGTTTCACCGTTTTAGCCGGGATGGTCTCGATCTCCTGACCTCGTGATCCGCCCGCCTCGGCCTCCCAAAGTGCTGGGATTACAGGCGTGAGCCACCGCGCCCGGCCGTGGCTACCTTTTTACTTCTCTGTGAAGAGATGGTGCTTCAGGGAAGGGAAGGAAAGTCAGGGGTGACCGGGACATGTGGGCACTGATCAGTTCTCACAGCTGCCTGGGTGGCAGGCCTGGCCAGCCCCACGGTATGGAAGAAACTGAGGCTGAGTCACATGGGGTTGAGTGAGGTGGCACTGCTTCTGAAGTTGGTGACTGAGAGTCATCCTCTTTGCCCTGGAGCCCCTGCTGCTGTTCCCTGGCACTGGAGCCCCTTGTGACATTTGATGCTCAGAGGGCCAGGAGCTGTGGTAGGCTGGGCTGGGCACTACCGGCTCGGCTGCCTGGGACTCCCTCTCTGCTACCCACGCTCCCAGCTTGCTGGGTGCAACTGGCCGTTTTTGGTGGGAGCTGTTGTCCTTGGAGGCAAGGGGGTCAGGGGCGGGAGTACCTGGGTGCTTCCAGTCCCTGTCTTTCCTCCAGGAAATCTTTAAATCTGCAGGTAAAGCACATAGTTCAAAGCCACCCCCAGAAAGTGTTATTTTAAATTGTAAAGTATGTTCAGGCCAGGTGCAGTGGTGCGTGCCTGTCATCCCAACATTCTGGGCAGCTGAGGCGGGAGCATGGCTTGAGGCGAGGAGTTTGAGATAAGCCTGGCCAACATCGTGAGATCCCATCTCTACAAAAAATTTTAAAAATTAGTCATGTGTGGTGGCATCTGCCTGTAGACTCAGCTGGTAAGTCTGGTAGCAGGTCTTTAAGTGGAAACAGTTGTTTTCTTTTCTTTTCTTCTTTTTTTTTGAGACAGAGTTTCACTCTTGTTGCCAGCCTGGAGTGCAATAGTGCAATCTCTGCTCACTGCAAACTCCGCCTCGTGGGTTCAAGCGATTCTCCTGCCTCAGCCTCCCAAGTAGCTGGGACTACAGGCACCCGCCACCATGCTCAGCTAATTTTTTGTATTTTTAATGGAGATAGCGGGATTTCACCATGTTGACCAGGCTGATCTCGAACTGCTGACTTCAGGTGATCCACCCTCCTTGGCCTCCCAAAGTGCTGGGATTACAAGCATGAGCCATGCTGCCTTACGTTTTTTTTTTTTACTTTTTGAGACAGAGTCTCACTCTGTTGCCCGGGCTGCAGTACAGTGGTACAATAATGGCTCACTGCAGCCTTGACCTCCTGGGCTCAAGTGATCCTCCCGCCTCAGCCTCCCAGGTAGCTGAGGCTACAGGTACGCACCACCATGTCCAGCTAATTTTTAATTTTTTGTAGAGATAGGGTCCTGCCATGTTGCCCAGGCTGGTCTCAGACTCCTGGTCTTAAGCAATTTGCCTGCCTCAGCCTTCCAAAGTGCTGAGATTGCAGGCGCGAGCCACCATGCCCGCCCCAGATAGCCATTTTCTACCCTGTGTTTCCATCCCAGCAAGTGTTCAAGCTATAAACATGCTTTGGGTTTTTTTGCTTGCTCGTTTTTTAGTTATTTATTTATTTATTTTGAGATGGAGTTTTGCTCTTGTTGGCCAGGCTGGAGTGCAATGGCATGATCTCGGCTCACTGCAACCTCTGCCTCCCGGGTTCAAGCGATTCTCCTGCCTCAGCCTCCCAAGTAGCTGGGTGGCCATCACCACGCCCAGCTAATTTCATATTTTTAGTAGAGACGGGGTTTCACCATGTTGGCCAGGCTGGTGTAATCCCAGCACTTTGGGAGGCCAAGGTGGGCAGATCATGAGGTTAGGAGATCGAGACCATCCTGGCTAACACGGCGAAACCCTGTCTCTACTAAAAATACAAAAAATTAGCTGGGCGTGGTGGCGGGCGCCTGTAGTCCCAGCTACTCAGGAGGCTGAGGCAGGAGAATGGTGTGAACTCAGGAGGTGGAGCTTGCAGTGAGCCAAGATTGCGCCACTGCACTCCAGCCTGGGCGACAGAGCGAGACTCCGTCTCAAAAAAAAAAAAAAAAAAAAAAAAAAAAAAAGAAACAACTCCTGACCTAAGGTGATCCACCCGCCTTGGCCTCCCAAAGTACTGGGATTACAGGCATGAGCCACCGCACCCAGCCTTGTTTTTTTTTTAAATAAAGAGACAGGGTCTTGCTCTGTCACCCAGGCTGGAATGCAGTGACGTGATCACAGCCCACTATACCCTCAAACTCCTGGGCTTGAGCCATCCTCCTCCCTCAGCCTCCCGAGAAGCTGAGTCTGTAGGCAGATGCCACCACATGTGGCTAATTTTTAACATTTTTTGGAGAGGCAGGATCTCATGATGTTGCCCAGGCTTTTCTCAAACTCCTCGCCTCAAGCCATGCTCCCGCCTCAGCTGCCCAAAATGTTGGGATGACAGGCATGCGTCACTGCACCTGGCCTCAACATACTTTAAACTTTAAAATAACACTTTCTGGGGGCGGGTTTGAACTAAGTGCTTTACCTGCAGATGTAAATGGCAGCTCCTCAACCTAATGACTGTGTAACCTCGGGAAAGTTTATCAATCTCTCCGAACCTTAGTTTCTCATCTGGCAAATGGGGGTAGTAACAGCACCATATATTGAAGGATTTAATGCATATAGAGCCCTTAGCGCAGGGCCTGGCACCAAGTTGGCCCCGGGCACGGCCATAGCCACTTCGCCTGACCGTCAAGGCAACCTTGTGAGATTCGTGTTGTCATCAGGCCCATTTTCTAGTTGACAAAACTGAAGCCCCAAGCAAGTAAGTGCTTCCCCCGAGGTTAAGTCATCATTTAAAAATCCTGAAATAATGGCGCCATCAAGGGGTTCAGGTGGAGTGACCACCACAGCCCCTCCCGTCCCCTCACCACACTGAGGGCTCTCGGCCCCCCTGCAGTGACGTCCCCACTCCCAGCCTTCCCTGGCCCAGAAGCCCACTCCTCTCCAGCCCCCGACTCTGGGGCAGCCCAGGGAGCCTGTGCTGCGAATGCCACCTCTTCTTGGGAGCTTTCCCCTCCCTATGACCCTGTCCCATTGTGAGCCATCATAGTCATTACCCAACTCCACCCCACCCAGTTTCCAGGAAGTTCAAAGCAGCCCTGGACCCCTTTCCGCCCTGCCCTGCAGGTGTCCTGACACACATGTGACCTGGCGTGGCCAGATTCCACGAGGGTGTTTAAGCGTTATTTATTTGCTTTACCGCACATGTGGACACACAGCCGTCTGCAAGAATTCCTGGGCTGAGCAGCGTGAGTCAGCGCTCCGGTGCATGCCTGCGTGCGGGTGTCTGGGTGTACGTGAGCCCACCCATGCATATCGGCTTGGTAGAGTTACATCTTCATTATGGAAAATTTCAAAAATGCACAGTGGAGAAGACCGAGCCGCCATTCCGGCATCCCCGCCCTTGCTTCGGCAGCAGAAGCACTTTACCACTCTAGTTTCACCTCTTTGCAGGCTCCCTCTCCGGCCTCTTCCCTCTCTTGGCTGGAGTATTTCAAAGCGAATTGCCGACATCATACCATGCATGTCATTTTTTAAAACTTTAAATTTTGAAATCATAATAGATCCACAGGAAATTGCAGAGATTACCCAGTGGCCCTGTGTACCCCTCACCTATTTCCCCCCAATGGCTACATCTCACATGATCTACAATATCCAATGTCCAATATCATTATCTGTCATATCAAAACTTGGCAATTGACATTGGTATTAATAGAAAGCGCGTGTATAGTTTTTGGTTTTTACTATTTTGAGACAGAGTCTCTCTCTGTCACCCAGGCTGGAGTACAGTGGTGCAATCTCCGCTCACTGCAACCTCTGCCTCCTGGATTCAAGCAATTCTCATGCCTCAGCTTCCAGAGTAGCTGGGATTACAGGCGCCCACAACTACAACCAGCTCATTTTTGTATTTTTTTTTTTGGACAGAGTCTCGCTCTGTCACCCAGGCTGGAGTGCAGTGGCGCAATCTCGGCTCACTGCAAGCTCCGCCTCCCGGGTTCATGCCATTCTCCTGCCTCAGCCTCTCTAGTAGCTGGAACTGCAGGCACCTGCCAACACGCCTGGATAATTTTTTTGTATTTTTAGTAGAGACGGGGTTTCACCGTGTTAGCCAGGATGGTCTTGATCTCCTGACCTCGTGATCTGCCCGCCTCAGCCTCCCAAAGTGCTGGGATTACAGGTGTGAGCCACCACACCTGGCCTCATTTTTGTATTTTTAATAGTTATAGGGTTTCACCATGTTGGCCAGGCTGGCCTTGAACTCCTGGCCTCAAGTGCTCTGCCCACTTTGGCCTCCCAAAGTGCTGGGATTACAGGGGTGAGCCACCGCTCCAACCTGCATGTATAGTTTTATGCTGTTTTGTCTGTGTAGATTCACACAAACCACCATTGCAACAAAAAACAGAATCACCCTATCACCACCAAGATCCCCAGGCAGTCACACTCACCCCATTCCCCCACTGTCCCTGCCCCCCAGCAGCCATTAATCTGGTCTTCATCTCTGTAACTTTGTCATTTGAGAATGCTATAGAAATAGAATCATCCAGGATGTGACTTTTGAGGTTGGCTTTTTTCCCCAGGCAGCATAAACACCCTTGAGATCATCCAAGTAGTGGCGAGTATCGGCAGCTCATTCGTCTTATTGCTCAGTGGTGTTCCGCGGTGTGGAGGGGCCACGGTTTGCTGAACCGGTCGACTATCGAGAGGCATCTGCGCTGTTTCCAATTTGGAGCTGTTATGAATAAAGCTGCTACAGGTTTCCATGTGGACATCAGCTTTCATTTCTCTGGGATAAATGCCCAGGAGTGTGATTGTATAAATGTCTAAGTTTATATTCAGTTTTCAGGAAACAGACAAGCTCTTCTCCAGAGCGGCTGTGCGGGCGGATCATTGTCGGGGAGAGGGGGGCGGAAAGTGAAGTATTTGTTGCTGGGGGCCCAAGGAGCTGGCCCTGGTGACCCTGAGCAGCCCGCGTTCGGCTCACACTACGCAGCACTCACCGTGCCCTGGGTGCTGTGCTGTTACAGCATGTGACCCCTGTTACAGGATATTTAGTCCCCACTTTACAGAAGAGAAAACTAAAGTTAGCAGGCTGAGCAACTGGCCCCAAGCCACTGCTAGCAAGTAGGAGCATCAGAATTCAAATCCAGGTCGGGCGCAGTGGCTCACGCCTGTAATCCCAGCACTTTGGGAGGCCGAGGCGGGTGGATCACCTGAGGTCAGGAGTTCAAGACCAGCCTGGCCAACATGGCGAAACTCCGTCTCTACTAAAAATACAAAAATTAGCCAGACGTGGTGGCAAGCACCTGTAATCCCAGCTACTCGGGAGGCTGAGGCACGAGAATTGCTTGGACCCAGAAGGCGGAGGTTGCAGTGAGCCGAGATCTTGCCACTGCATTCCAGAGTGGGCAATAGAGCAAGACTCTGTCTAAAAAAAAAAAAAAATTTAAATTCAGGCTGGGCGCAGTGGCTCACGCCTGTAATCCCAGCACTTTGGGAGGCCGAGGCGGGCAGATCACTGGAGGTCAGGAGTTGGAGACCAGCCTGGGCAACATAGTGAAACCCCGTCTCTACTAAAAATACAAAAATTAGCCGGGCATGGTGGTGCAAGCCTGTAGTCCCAGCTACTCAGGAGGCTGAGGCACGAGAATGGCTTGAACCTGGGAGGCAGAGGTTGCAGTGAGCTGAAATTGCACCACTGCACTCCAGCCTGGACGACAGAGCGCGACCCTGTCTCAAAAAAAAGAAGAATTCAAATATAGCCCCATTGGGGTTGATATTCAACCTTGTTGGGTGGCAAGAATTGGTGCTGAATGTTTTGGGGAGACAGTGGATAGACCAGGGGAGTCGGGGGGAAGTCCCTGGCATGAGGAATACAGACCCCACTGACAGGAGGGGAGAAAGGGGCCTGGCTTCTTCTCTCTCCTGGCCAGGCTGACCCAGCTCCTGCCCCCTGATCTTTGCCTGATGTCCCTCCTCTCTCCGTCACAGGGGAAGCTGTTGTTCTGTTGCTCCTGGGTCCCCTTGGTCTCGACATGTGCATCTGTCTTCCCTGGCACTCAGTCCTGTGGGGGAGAATCCTTACCCAGCCCCGTCTGCACCTAGAACCTCCAGCATCCCCATCGTCTTGGGAAGCGGGGGTAACACAGAAAACTTACTCTTTGTTCTTCATCCCACCCTGCAGCAAGCTCTGAGTCTGCACCCTCTTTGTGGGGTTTTGGTCTGGTGAGGGGCTATTGGTGGTGAGGATGGCGATGCCTACCCTCTGCTGGGCTCAGTGGCTGGCGCTTGAGTATATGATCTCACGTGACTGGCATGACTGCCCTGCAGCAGGTGTTATTACTGCTGCTTTAGAGACACACAGTGGGGGGCTCAGCTAGATGAGGCTCATCGAGCTCGCAAGTGGCAGAGCTGGGATTTGAAACCATGTCCATCCGACCCCAAAATCTGAGCTAAGCAGTTAGGAAGGGTGTTTGTTTGTTTGTTTGTTTGTCTCCCTCTGTTGCCTAGGCCGGTGCACAGTGGCGTGATCTCAGCTCACTGCAACCTCTGCCTCCCAGGTTCAAGTGATTCTCCTGCCTCAGCTTCCTGAGTACCTGGGATTATAGGCATGCATCACCACACATGGCTAATTTTTTGTATTTTTAGTAGAGACAGGGTTTCACCATGTTGACTGGTCTTGAACTCCTGACCTCAAGTGAGCTGCCTGCCTTGGCCTCCCAAAGTGCTGGGGTTATAGGTGTGAGCCACCGTGCCTGGCCCTGGAAGGGTGTCTTGTCAATGCTGCTGGAGAGGGCTTGTCTTTCATGCCCAGGATGGGGCAGCCTGGGACTCAGGCACAGGTTGCCCAGCTGCCTGGCTGTGAGTCCTCAGGGATCCAGGTGCCCTTCAACAGGGACCTCACTCTGCTCAGGAGCCACTGGAGCAGCTCCGTGTGAACCCCATGGTTCTGCTCTGCTCTGCCCACGGCTCTTGGGTGAAGCCTCTACTCTGGCCTGAGGTCCCAGGCCTGCCCTTAAGTCACATCTCACCCTCCTAGCTGTGTGAGCCCAGGCAGGCGGCTCAGGCTCTCTGAGCCTCCTCACCTCTTCCAGGAGGGGAAATCAGTCTTTTCCATTTCAGGAAGGCCCAGCCGTGGATACTCTGTTGACCCGAAAGACACTAAGTGGTCAGAAGGGGGATGTTGAGCCTGGTGGGTAAGGTCCCTGTACCCCTAGCCCCAGCCCTGGTCCCTACACACAGTGTGACCCAGAACAAGTGGCTTTAGCTCTGGGCCTCCTTTCCCACTTAGCAAAGATGGCCCTTCTGACAGGTTTGCATAGCTGGCCCAGGAGGCGGCTTTTTGTGAATCATGAGGTGCTACACGTGTGTGAAGCTTTTCTGGTTCATCAAGCTACAAGCTTGGGACTGTGTATTTTTTATTTGAGTCTGCTTCTTTTTTGTGGCTCTGATTTTTGTTGTTTATTTAATTTTTCTGTAGAGCCGGGTTCTCAACTATGTTGCTCAGACTGGTCTCAAACTCCTGGGCTCAAATGATCTGCCTGCCTCTGCCTCCCAAAGTTCTGGGATTACAGGTGGGAGCCACTATATCCAGCCTGATGTTTTTTTTTTTTTTTTTTTTAGACGGGGTCTCACTCTGTCACCCAGGCTGGAGTGCAGTGGCATGATCTCAGCTCACTGCAACCTCTGCCTCCTGGGTTCCAGCGATTCTCTTGCCTCAGCCTCCTGAGTAGCTGGGACTACAGACACCCGCCACTACACCCAGCTGATTTTTAATAGAGACGGGGTTTCACCATATTGGCCAGGCTGGTCTCAAACTCCTGACCTTGTGATCTGCACACCTCGGCCTCCCAAAGTGCTGGGATTACAGGCGTGAGCCACTGCGCCTGGCCCTGATTTTGTTTTTTAAGGCTTAGCTGGGCAAGTGTATTTCTAGTCAAATTACAGTATCTGTACAGCTGGAGGAGTGGGGAACAGGATCCCTTCCTCCATTCGCTTGCTTTGGTTTGATGTTTCCTGAGCATCTGTTGTGTGCCAGGCCCAGTGCTGGGATGGAGAAAGAAGCCAGGCAGGGCGTCAGCCCTAGAGGTGCCCATGGTCCCCTGGGGTATCAGGAGTAAACAGCCCATCCAATCCAGGGTGACGTGCACAGCAAATGAGGGGTGTTGCAGGAGGGAACCTGACCACCCTCCAACACCAGGCTAGGTGGAAGAGGGCTGATCAGGGAACTTCCTGGAGGCACAGGAACCCCAGATGAGTTGTAAGAGATTGAGGGGATCTGGGTAGGCAGAGAAGTAGAGAGGGGACCTTCCAAGCAGAGGGAACAGCATGAGCAAAGGCTGGGGTGTGAATTGCAGGTGTGTGAATTGCCCAAATCCCCTCCCCAGGGCTCTTCCTGCTGGGTGATGAGGTTCACCTTAATACTGGGCTGCTCCTACCACACCCAGTTTGCACCTTGGACCAGTGAGTTGTCCTTCTCTGTCCTAAAGTTTTCCAAAACCATCCAGCCGTTTGTCTGTCTGGCTATCTATTATCTATTCATTGATCTATTCACCCATCCATCTATTAATTCATTTATCTATGCATGTATTCATCTGTCTCTTCATTTGTCATCTATCCATCCACTTATCCATCCATATAATCCAGCCATTTATTTATAAAGCATTCATCCATCTATCCATTTGTCTATCCACCCATGCATCCACCTGTGTATCCATCTAATCATCTGTTTCTCCATGTCTCTGCTTGCCTGTCCATCCATCCATCCATCCATCCATCCATCCATCCATCCATCCATCCGTCTGTCTGTCCATCCACCTATTTATCCAGCCAGCAACACATCCAACAAATATCTGTTGAGTGCTGACAATGTGCCAAGATCTGCTGGGCAGAGCCTTGCTGGGGAGGTGCAGGGGAAGTGATGAGCAGATGTGGGCTGAGGTTTGCCTCACTCCCTGCCAGGGCCCTGCCCAAAATGGGCACAGACTTGCCCCGGGGGTTCCTCCCCGTCCTGGGCTGCCTGGTCTTGTTAGGAGGGAGGCGGCCCTCACCTCTGGGCTTGGGAAAATGTCCCTGGCATTCTACTCTTGAGAGTGTCACTGTATTAGTCCATTTTTCTACTGTTGTAAGAACTGCCTGGGACTGGGTAATTTATAAAGGAAAGAGGTTTAATTGACTCATAGTTCAGCATGGCTTGGGAGGCCTCAGGAAACTTACAGTCATGATGGAAGGCAAAGGGGAAGCAAGCACCTTCTTCACAAGGTGGCAGGAAGAACTGCCGAGTGACGGGGGGCAAGAGCCCCTTATAAAACCATCAAATCTGATGAGAACTCACTATCCTAACAGTACCGGGAAATTGCCCCCATGATCCAATTACCTCCGCCTGGTCTCTCCCTTGACATGTGGGGATTACAATTCAAGATGAGATTTGAGTGAGGACGCAAAGCCAAACCATATCCGTCACCTACGCAGACAGTGGGTGAGAAAATGCACCCAGACTGCAGAAGGCCACACACTCCCCAGGTCACCTGCCTCCCTCCTGCTCCAGCCTCAAACATCACCCCTTGCTGCCTTTCTATGGACAGATGTGAACTCTGGGCCATCCTCAGCCACTGCTGCTGATCTATTAGCTCTTCTTCCTCATCTCAGGTCTTTGGGTTTCCAGACAAGATGCCAAATATTTGTGCTGCCCCCTGAGCATTTTTTTACAAGATGGGATCTTGCTATTTTGGCCAAGTTGATCTTGAACTCCTGGCCCCAAGCAATCCTCCCACCTTGGCCTCCCAAAGTGCTGGGATTACAGGCATGAGCCACAATGCCCAGCCCCACTGATCTTCTTGTAGCCCATTCTCAACTAGTCCCAGAGCCTCAAGGCAGCCTTTTTAGCTCTTGGGAAAGCCAAAGTTATTGCTAACCTCACTGTGTAGCCCTTCTCATGTCTCTGAACCAGCAAACTTATGACCTGGGCTTATATCTGTTCACTTAGGATGTGAAAATACCAACCCACCGCCTCTCAGGTTCAGAGGGTTCCAGGGTGCAGATGGGGCTGGGTTGGGGTGCCCCCCACTACAGGACCAAGGTGCCAGGAAAGGCAGGGCCACCCATTGGGGCCAAGGGGACCCAGCCAGCACTAGAGCAATGGCTCTACCTGTGATGGACAGAGGAGGAGCCTGGGGCAAAGACTGGGAGGCAGGACTGGGTCAGCCTGGCCAGGAAATAGCAGGAGCCAGGCCCCTTACCCTGCTCCTGTCAGTGGGGTCTTTGTTCCCCCTCCCAGGCCCTCCTTCCCAACACCCATGGTCTGCTCGCTGTCCCCGAGGCCACAGGGCATGGTGCAGAGCTGACATCATTTGATGTGTCTGCAGCAGTCACCGGCTGTGCAAGATGACATTCTTAGATCACTCCAGGAGCTGGTACGTGTGTCCAGGTGAGAGGTGAACTTGGTGACTTTCATAATCAGGAAAAAATATTAAGCTGCCTGTACCCACGCGTTTCAGTTTCCTAGGGGTGTTGTAAAAAATCACCACAAACAGGGCAGCTTAAAGCACCAGAAATGGATTTTCTCAGAGCTCTGTAGACCAGAAGACAGAAATCAAGTTGTCCAGCAGGCCCACTGGGTACACTCACAGGTAGCTGGGGTGAGGATTTCAACATATCTTTTTGGGGAATATAATTGGGCTCACAACACCATAGGGCCCTGATTTTGTTTAAAAACCACATTGGTGGCTGGGTGCAGTGACTCACGCCTGTAATCTCAGCACTTTGGGAGGCCGAGGCAGGAGATCCTCTTGAGTCCAGGGGTTCGAAATCAGCCTAGGCAACATAGCCAGACCCTGTCTCTACAAAAAATTAAAAAATTAGCCAGGCTTGGTGGTGTGCACCTGTAGTCCCAGCTCCTTGGGAGGCTAAAGGAGGAGGATCACTTGAGCCCAGGAGGTGGAGGCTGCAGTGAGCCATACCCGTGCCACTGCACTCCAGCCTGGGCCACAGAGTGAGACCCTGTTTCTAAAAAACTTTTTTAATTTGAAAGACAAAAAAACACACACTTTCATATGTTCCGTTTCTTGATCCAGATGCTTATTACATGGGAGTTTTTGCCCGAAAATTCCATCAAGCTATACATTTATGATCCATGCATTTTTCTGCACATATGTTATATTTCAATCAACGTATTCTAAAGCACACACATGCTGAAAACAGCCGACCTACCATGGGGTTAACAGAGGCCTCCCCTGGGGGGTAGGTTTATGGATTTCATTTTTCTCCGTTATGTTCCAAGTTGTCTGCAATAAGCCTGCATTCACTTTGTGGAATAAAAAATACATGTATGTCATTAAAAAAGTGCTAGAGATGGCACATTCCCTCTCAGATCCTTCCCTGCTCCCAAAACTATTGTAAAAGGAGGTGAGGATTCGAATGGAAATTTGGCTGCCTCAAGATTCTTTCCAAATTAATATTTTTAGCACGATTACGCACCGCTTCAAATGTCCTGCTAATGATATGTTGTCCTGATTATCCAAACTGTCTTTCTGCGGAGTGATTTGTGTGGCTCCAGCAGGAATCTCACCTGTGTCCTCTTCCGGAGGGCGAGGTAATAATAGGACTGACCTCATGGGTGGCCAGGAGGCTTAGCTGGGATAATGCACATGAAACCCCATGCACGGGGCTCTGGCACAGGGGACCGGCTGCCTCAAGTACCCTCCTGATTAGGGAATGCCCAGAGAGCGGCCCAGGTGCCTCAGGGTCCTCGGTTCATGGCTCAGTTTATTTGGGGAAGTCTGAGACCCTCCCCTGTTCCATGTTGTCATCCCTGCGGGATGGACAGGGATGCTGGGGGCTGCCCTTCTCTGGCATGTTTTCCCGTTTTGCTCCCCCACTTTTTAAATTTAAATTTAAATTTTTATTTATTTTGTTTTTTTGAGATGGAGTCTCACTTTGTCACCCAGGCTGGAGTGCAGTGGTGTCATCTCAGCTCACTGCAACCTCTGCCTCCTGGGCTGAAGTGATTCTCTTGCCTCAGCCTCTCAAGTATCTGGGACTACAGGTGCCTGCCACCATGCCCGGCTACTTTTTGTATTTTTAGTAGAGATGGGATTTCACCATGTTGGCCAGGCTGGTCTCAAACTCCTGACCTCAAATGATCTGCCCACCTCAGCCTCCCAAAGTACTGAGATTACAGGCGTGAGCTGCTGCGCCCGGCCCCGCTTTGCCCCCTTTTAATGAATCTTGGTGCCCTTTTCCTTCTGTCTTCCTCACTTGTTAGGGTTGTGTGCTATTTCATCTTGTGCGTTTAAGACATGGGGTCATCACTGTTCTGTGATCACAGGAAAGCTCAAAGGAAGCTGACAGCGGTGAGATGGTGGCAGGACTGGAGGAGATAGAGAGGGGATGTGTGTCCTTGTGTCTCCTGGGTCTCTGCTGCCACCCAACCCCCCGCCCCCCCCCCCCACTCTTGGCTTTGGAATTTGGGCTGAGTTGTATATGAACCTGGTCTCCTTGGCCAATATCTGTCCAAATTACCAATGCAGAAATCCTCTGTCCCAGCTGGTCTGCAGCCCAGCAGTAATCCTACAGATAAACTGGGGCTTGTGAGACCTTATTTACCTCTGAGGTTATTTTTTGCAACATTGTAAAAGCGAAAGATTGAAACAACCTAAACCCCCTTCAGTAGGGCACTAGTTAAAAATAAATGGCACCATCTGTATAACCGCATATGCTATGCAGCTGTGAAAAACCAGGGAGGAAGCATTTCCAAGCTTTATTAGGTAAGAAAAGCAAGTATGCACAAAGCAAGTATACCTCTTTGTGTAAAAAGGGGAGGACGTGAGAATATATTCCTGTGAGCTTACATTGCATAAACTACAGCTACTCACTGAATGGTGAAATGTTACTTGTGGAGGTGGAAGTGAAACTTCGTGGTTAGGGGACTTGGGGTTGAGAGCAGGACACAGATTTGTTCATTGCCTTTTGGTGAGCATGTACACGCACAACTTTTCAAAATCTTAAACTTAGAAAAATGTAACATCATTAAAGCATAGCATGTTTTGAGTGTAGCGGTTTCGGTTTGAGTGTCACACTGGATCTTGTTTCAGCCTGTCAGCTGTGTGACCTTGGGTAAGTTACTTAACTGCTCCGTTTCCCCATCAACAGAATGCAGTTCCAACCTTGGGCTACTCAGATGGGTAAATGAAATAAACTACTCCCTCCTTCCCTCCTCCCCATCCTCCTCTCCTCCCCTCCCCCATCCCCTCCTCTTCCCTCTCCGCTCCGCCTCCTCCTCCCTCTCCCCTCCCCTCTTCCTCCTTCTCCCCTCCTCCTCCCTCTCCCCTCCCCTCCTCCTCCCTCTCTCCTCCTCCTCCCTCTCCCCTCCCCTCCTCCTCCCTCTCCCCTCCCCTCCTCCTCCCTCTCCCCGCCCCTCCTCCTCCCTCTCCCCTCCCCTCCTCTCCTCGTCCCTCTCTCCTCCTCCCCCTCCTCCCCTTCCCTCCTCTCCCTCCTCCGCTTCCCTCCTCCCCCTACTCCCCCTCCTCCCTTCCCCCTCCCCTCCTCCCTTCCCCCTCCCCTCCTCCCTTCCCCCTCCCCTTTCCCCTTCCCTGTCCTCCCTCCTACCCTCCCCTTCCCCTTTCCTTCCCCCTTCCCCCTCCCCCTTCCTCCTCCTCCCTCTACCTCTCCCCTCTTCCCCCTCTTTTCCTCTTTCCCTCCCCCTCTTTTCCTCTTTCCCTCCCCCTCTTTTCCTCTTTCCCTCCCCCTCTTTTCCTCCTTCCCTCCTCCCTCTGCCCCTCCCCCTCCCCCTCCTCCCATTTCTTCCCCTTCCCCCTCCCCTCTCTGCCCCCCACCTTGCTTTCATTCCCCTCCCCCTTCCTCCTTCCCTCCCCCTCCTCCCCTTTCTTTCCCTCCCCCTCCTCCCCTTTCTTTGCCTCCTCTCCCCCCTTTCCCCCTCCTCTCCCCACTTTCCCCCTCCTCTCCCCACTTTCTCCCTCCTCTTCTTCCTCCCCCTGCTTTCCTTCCTCCCCCTTCCTCCCTCTCCCTTTCTCCCTCCCCCTTCTACTACTCTCCCCTCTGTCCCTCCTGCTTTCCTCCCTGCCTTCCCTGCCATGCCTTTTCCCCTCCCACCTTCCCTCCCTCCCTCCCTCCTGCCTCCCCCACCTTCCCCTGTATATATGTTGGTTAATATCCAAAATATATAAAGAACTCCTACAACCCAATAGCAAAAAACCAAATAGCTCCAAAAATGGGCAAAGGACCTGAGCAGACTCTTCCCCAAAGAAGACAAATGAATGGTCAAGAGGCATATGAAAAGGTGCTTGACGCCACTCAGCAGGGAAATGCAAATCCAAAGAACAGTAGGCTATGGCCTCACACCTATTAGGGTGGCCATTCTCAAACAGAAGGTGGCCAGGCGCGGTTGCTCACGCCTGTAATCTCAGCACTTTGGGAGGCTGAGGCAGGTGGGTCACTAGGTCAGGAGTTCAAGACTAGCCCGGCCAACATGGTGAAACCCTGTCTCTACTAAAAATACAAAAAGTAGCCGGGCATTGTGGCGGACACCTGTAATCCCAGCTACTCAGGAGGCTGAGGCATGAGAATCGCTTGAACCCAGAAGGCGGAGGTTGCATGAGCCGAGATTGGGCCATTGCACTCCAGCCTGGGTGACAAAAGGGAAACTCCATCTCAAAAAAAATAATGAAAAATAAAAACCCAGAAGGCAACAAATGTTGGCAACGTTGGGCAGAAAAAGGAACCCTTGTGCACTGTGGTGTGAATGAATGTAAGACGGTGTAGCCACGATAGAAAACAGCATGGAGTTGTCTCGAAAAGTGAAACAGAACCACCACGTGATCCAGCAGTCCCACTTCTGGGTGTGGATCCAAAAGAATCAAATTCAGGACCTCAGAAAGAGATCTGCATATCCATTGCAGCACTACTCACAATAGCCAAGATACAGAAGCGACTCAGATGTCCAGAAGCTGATGAGTGGATAAAGAAAACATGGTAGAGTGATACAGTGGAATATTATTCACTCTTAAAAGGGAACAGGCCAGGCGTGGTGGCTCACACCTGTAATCCCAGCACTTTGGAGGCCGAAGTAGGTGAATCACCTGAGCTCTGGAGTTCTAGACCAGCCTGGCCAACATGGTGAAAACTCATCTCTACTAAAAATACAAAAAATTAGCCGGGCGTGGTGGTGGGTGCCTGTGATCCCAGCTACGTGGGAGGTGAGGCATGAGAACTGCTTGAACCCGGGAGGCAGAGGTTGCAGTGACCCAAGATCTTGCCACTGTACTCCAGCCTGGGCAAGAGTGAGACTCGCTCTCAAAAAAAAAAAAAAAAAAAAAAAAAGAAGAAGAAAAAGAAAACTATTTTATTTATTTATTTATTTATTTATCTATCTATTTATTTATTTTGAGACGGAGTCTCACTCTGTCACCACACTGGAGTGCACTGGTGCAATCTCGGCTCATTGCAACCTCTGCCTCCCGGGTTCAAGCAATTCTCCTGCCTCAGCCTCCTCAGTAGCTGGGACTACAGGTGCACGCCACCACGCGCAGCTAATTTTTGTACTTTTAGTAAAGACAGGGTTTCACCATGTTGGCCAGGATGGTCTCAATTTCCTGACCTCGTGTTCCACCCGCCTTGGCCCCCCCAAAGTGCTGGGATTACAGGCATGAGCCACCGCACCCGGCCGAAAACTCTAAGTTTTTAAAAAAATTTATTTATTTTGAGACAGGGTCTCATTCTGTTGCCCAGGCTGGAGTGCAGTGGTCGAATCACTGCTCACTGCAGGCTTGACCTCCCGGGCTCAAGCTATCCTCCCACTTCAGCCTCGCAAGTAGCTGGGACTACAGGCTTGCGGCACCACACCTGGCTAATTTTTTTAAACTGATTTTTGTGGAGATAGGGGTCTTACTAGGTTGCCTAGGCTGATCTTGAATTCCTGGGCTCAAATGATCCTCCCACCTTTGCCTCCCAAAGTGCTAGGATGACAGGCATGAGCCAGCGCACCTGGCCAGAGAAGGAAGCTCTGACATGTGCGTGACATGAATGAAGCTGGAGGACTTTATGCTGAAAGGGAAAGAAGCCAGTCACAGAAAGACAAATACCGCAGGATTCCACTCATACGAGGCATCTACAACAGTCGAACTCACAAAAACAGAGTAGAATGGTGGTTGCCAGAGGTGAGGGGTGAGGTAAATGGGGAGTTGCTATTCCACAGGTATAAAATTTCAGTTATGAAAGATTAATACTTATTTTTTTTTTTCCCAGACAGAGTCTCACTCTGTCGCCCAGGCTGGAGTGCAGTGGCGCCATCTCGGCTCACTGCAACCTCCACCTCCTGGGTTCAAGCAATTCTCCTGCCTCAGCCTCCCAAGTAGCTGGGATTACAGGCACGCGCCACCACGCCCAGCTAATTTTTGTATTTTTAGTAGAGACGGGGTTTTACCATGTTGGCCAGGCTGGTCTCAAATTCCTGACCTCGTGATCCACCCGCCTCAGCCTCCCAAAGTGCTGGGATTACAGGCGTGAGCCACTGCGCCCAGCCAAAATGAATACAATCTAAGGCCGGTCACAGTGGCTCACACCTGTAATCCCAGCACTTTGGGAGGCCGAGGTGGGAAGATTGCTTGAAGCCAGGAGTTTGAGACCAGCTGAGGAACAGCACGAGATCCTGTCTCTACACAGCAATTTAAAAAATTATCCTGGCACTGTGGCATGTGCCTGCAGTCCCAAGTACCTGGGAGGCTGAGATGAGAGGATCACTTGAGGCCAGGAGTTCGAGGCTTCAGTGAGCCATGATTGCACCACTGCACTCCATCCTGGGTGACAGAGCAAAACCCTGTCTCAAAAAAATAGATAAATAAAAAGTTCTAGAGATCTGCTGTATAACATAGTGCCTATAATTAACAGTACTGCATTGTACACTTAGAAATCTGTGAAAAGGGTAGACCTCGAGTTAATTGTTCTTACCAGAATTTTTTTTTTTAAGTCAGTGGTGAAGGGCCAGGCACAGTGGGTCACGCCTGTAATCCCAGCACTCTGGGAGGCCGAGGTGGGCGGATCATCTGAGGTCAAGAGTTTGAGACTTGCCTGGCCAACATGGCAAAACTCCACCTCTACTAAAAATACAAAAATCAGCCAGGCGTGGTGTAATCCCAGCTACTCAGGAGGCTGAGGCAGAAGAATCGCTTGAACCCGTGTGGTAGAGGTTGCCGTGAGATGAGATTACATCACTGCACTCCAGCCTGGGTAGCAGACGAAGACTCAGTCTCAAAAAAAAAGTCAGTGGTGGGATTTGGCTTGTAGGATATAGGTGCCAACTCCTTATCTAGGGTTTCAGAAACCAAAGGCACAAACAGTGTTGGTGCTGCCTACTCGTTGCCCCTCTCCCTGAAGGCAGTGAGTAGGAGCAGCAGGCTCTTTGCTTAGAAAGAAGGAAAAAGAGAAAATGACTAGAGGATTAAAAAAAAAATGAGATTTTCATGCTGAAACACCGGCTTATTTGTGAATCGTTTTGCAAGTCAAATATCACTCCCTGATTTACCTTTGAGGGGAGATATATTTTCCTACACCGATTTGCCTAAAGCTACCAGTGCCTGATGCTCCCAGGATCATCAGATTCTCGAAAGCTCTTTCATGCCCAACCTGAACGTCTCTGCGTCTGAGCGCTCCAGGTGTGTGGCTAAGGCCTCTTGCTTAGCGGTTTGGCTAGTCTGGATTGGAGTCATGGTCCTGCTGTTTTCTGCCTGTGTGACCTTGGGCAGGATACCTTGCCTTTCTGTGGCTCAGTTGCCTTCTTTGTAAACCCCGGGAAAACACACATCTCCTGTGCTGAGGGTTGTCAGAAGACTCAATGAGTCAGTGTTTATAAGATGCTCAGCACTGGGCCCGCTAGAGGTGGATGTGCAACAAATGGAAACTGACTACCCAGCGTCACACTCTGATTATCTTGGGGAGAGACTTGGGGCAACTGATTGGAAAGATGATTAAAAGGTAGACGAAAGCCAGGTATGGTGGGAAGTGCCAGTAGTCCCACCTGCTGGGGTGGCTGAGGCAGGAGGGTTGCTTGTGCCCAAGGAGTTTGAGTCCAGTCTGGATAACATAGTGAAATCCTGTATCTTAAAAAAAAAAAAAAAAAAAAAAAAAAAGAGGCCGGGCACGGTGGCTCACGCCTGTAATTCCAGCACTTTGGGAGGCCGAGGCAGGCAGATCACCTGAGGTCAGGAATTTGAGACCAGCTTGGCCAACATGGCGAAACCTCGTCGCTACTAAAAATAAAAAATTAGCCAGGTCCGGTGGCACGCGTCTATAGTCCCAGCTACTCAGGAGGCTGAGGCAGGAGAGTTGCTTGAACCCAGGAGGCAAAAGTTGCAGTGAGCCAAGATCGTGCCACTGCACTCCAGCCTGGGTGACAAGAGTGAAATTCTGTCTCAAAGAAAAAAAAAATCAAACGTTGGGCATGGTGGCAAGCGCCTGGAGTCCCAGCTACTCAGGAGACTGACATGGGAGGATAGATTGAGCCCATAGAGAGAGAATCTCATTCAGGGCTGGTTTTGAACTCCTGGGCTCAAGTGATCCTCCGCCTCAGCCTCCCAGAGTGGGGATTAGAGGCGTAAGCCACTGCACCCAGCCCAGTGGTTTTAGAAGAAAAATATTAAGCAAAGAAAGTGAACAGGAGGAAAAATGATACTGACTCAAGTTTGGTAAGCTCTGGGGTTGAATGACGATTGGAGTTCTGGAATAGAGAGCCAGTGGCATCGTGGGGGACTTTGGAGCAGTGAGATAGGAACCAGGTATTTTTGAAGGGGTACTCAAGGATCCTGCAGTTACTTAGTATCTCTGGGCCTCAGTTTCCTCACCTGCAAAATGGGGCAGGTGATGATTGTGAGAATTCAGTGAGATCAAGCAGGTGACATGCTTGGCACAGGGACAGGCACATCCTAACATCTACGGTTTCATTTTTAGGTTGTAGGGGGAGCTAAATGCATTGTGGTGCCCTGGATCAGGCCCTAAAACAGAAAAAGGGCATTGGGGGAAAATGAGGGAAATCTGAATGCGTCCGGAGGGCAGTTCACAGTCATGACCTAGGTTAGCATCTGTCTGGGCATGATCAGGTAAGATGCTGGCATTTGGAGAAGCTGGGCGAAGGGACACAGGACCTCTCTGTACCATCTTTGCAACTCTTCTGTGAATCTAGAATTCTTCTTGGCCGGGCGCGGTGGCTCACGCCTGTAATCCCAGCACTTTGGGAGGCCTAGATGGGCGGATCACTTGAGGTCAGGAGTTTGAGAGTAGCCTGGCCAACATGGTGAAACCCCACCTCTACTTAAAAAAAAAAAAAAAAAAAAAAAAAATGAGCCTGGTATGGTGGCAGGTGCCTGTAGTCCCAGCTACTCGGGAGGCTGAGGCAGAAGAATTGCTTGAGCCTGGGAGGAGGAGGTTGCAGTGAGCCGAGATCACACCACTGTACTCCAGCCTGGGCCACAGAGCAAGACTCCGTTTCAAAAATAAAAGAAAAAATTGCTCTTCTATTTCTTTTTGTAGAGATAGGGTCTTGCAGTGTTGCCCAGGCTGGTCTCGAGCTCCTGGCCTCAAGTGATCCTCCCACTTTGGCTTCCCAAAGTGCTGGGGTTAAGGCATGGGCCACCGTGCCCGGCTAGTAAATCTAAAATTATTCTAAAATAAAATGTTTATTTAGAAACATTCAAAGGGATGAGGGTAGAGTGTTATAAGTCCTCAGGTAAGGGAGGCGCTGAAACCAGCTTGGGAGATTAAAGGCTTCCTACAGGAGACGGAAGGCTGAGTTTTGGAGGGGCGCAGGCGCTGCTTACAGAAGGAGGGGGTCGGAGTCAGGCCCTTCCTCGCCACCTCCCGGGAACCTGGCCCAAAGCAAGTGTCAGTCCTCAGAGAGAGATCTCCCAGCCGCAGGCTGGGTCCTGTCATTGTCACACACCCCTCCCTATTTTCTTCTTGGCCTGATCGCAGCACTGTAATCAACTAGTTCCTGGCAGGAGTCAGGGCCGGCTTGACGGGTATGTCCTGTGCTCAGGAGGGCCCAGGGCAGGGATTGGTGGCTCAGACCTGTAATCCCAGCATTTTGGAGAACTGCTTGAACTCAGGAGTTTGAGGTCGGCCTGGGCAATATAGCAAGACCTTGTCTCTGCCGGAAGAAAAAAAAAAAGCCCGGCGTGGTGGCATGTCCCTGTAGTCCCAGCTACCTGGGAGGCTGACGCAGGAGGATCACTTGAACCAGGAGGTTGAGGCTGCAGTGAGCCATGATTGCACCACTGCAGTCCAGTGTGGGCAACAGAACCAGACCCTGCCTCAAACAAGGGCCCGGTGCTTGGCTGAATGCTCTGCTGTTGCTGTTTTGAAACTCATGATAACTTTTTTTTTTAATTCTTTTTTGAGACGGAGTCTCTCTCTGGCCTAGGCTGGAGTGCGGTGGTGCCATCTTGGCTCACTGCAACATCCGCCTCCCAGGTTCAAGTGATTCTCCTGCCCCGACCTCCCAAGTAGCTGGCATTACAGGCATACACTACCACTCCTGGCTAGTTTCTGTATTTTTAGTAGAGATGAGATTTCATGATGTTGCTCAGGCTGGTCTCGAACCCCTGACCTCATATGATCCACCCACCTCGGCCTCCCAAAGTGCTGAGATTACAGGTGTGAGCCACTGTGCCCGGCTGCTGCTAATTTTTGAACAAAGGAAACTGCATTTTCATTTTCAACTGGGCCCCCCAACAAATCATGTGGCCAGTCCTATAAGATTTGTAGGCTGTCTGCCCTGCCAGACCATCACATTAGTTGCCTATGGCTGCTGTGGTGAATTTCCACAATCAGCAGCTTAAAACAACTCACATTTGTTACCTTACAGTTCTGGAGGTCAGAAGTCTAAATTAGGTCCATAAGGCGTCATTCTTTCTGTTTATTTTGGGTTCTTTTGTTTGCCTTTTTTTAGAGACAGGGTCTCACTCTGTTACTCAGGCTGGAGTGCGGTGATGTGATCACCATTCACAGCGAGGGATCTCCCAGCCCCAGGCTGGGGCCTGTCATTGTCACACACTCGGGGTCCCCTCCCCATTTTCTTCTTGGCCTGATTGCGCAGAAGTGCTGGTGCTGCCAGCACAGAACATTAAAATTTTTTTTTTCATATGAACAGGGTCTCACTATGTTGCCCAGGCTGGTCTCGAACTCCTGGCCTCCAGCAGTCCTCTCATCTCAGCATCCCGAAGTGCTGGGATTACAGGTGTGAGCCACTACGCCCAGCTGCTGCATTCTTTCTGGAGGCTCAGGAGAATCTGCTCCCATGCCCTTTTCAGCTTCCAGAGGCTACCTGCTCTCTTTGGCTTGTGGCCCCTTTTTACTGTTTTCAAAGCCAGTGATGTATTAATAGCATCTTCTCTTCTCTCCGACCTCTGCTTCAATCCCTACCTCTTCTGACTCTGACCCTCTTGCCTCCCTGCTGTAAGAACTCTTGTGATTATTTTGGGTGCACTTGGATAATCTAGTATAATCTCCTCATCTCAAAATGTCTTATTTAATCTCCTCTGCCAAGTCCCTTGTGCTACATATGGTGACATATTCACAGGTTCCTAAGATTAGGATGTGTGCATCTTTGGGGACCGTTGTTCAGCCAGCTACAACCACAACCACGATAGCTGGGAGTGCAGAGCTTCATCTGCTCACCACTGCATCTCCTGACCTGGCATGGTGCCTGGCATATAGTAGATGCTCAATAAATAATTGTGTGCTAAGTGAATGCGTGCGGTGAGGCGTGTGGGGATGAGGGAGGGCAGGGGACTGGCTTGGGCAGGGCCCGGACAGTTGCTTTTCTGGGTTGGAGCTCAACTTATGGGTGGTGGGCAGTGGTCAGCGAGAAGCTGACCTTAAATGACAGAAACCTGGAGAGGTGCCAGTTCCTGGCCTTGCTGCCCCTTGGCCTTTCCAAGTCTGCCCAGCTGGTGTTGAATGTCCTGGCTTCCTGAGGCAAGGGCACACGGGCCTTCCTCCCCATGCCATCAGCTCGTCTGCCTTTGGGGATTGCGGGCGGAAACAGTGAAACAACCTGGATATTGCAATCCGCGCTCTGAGATGTGCTGCAAAGGGAGTTGTGTCATCGCAGTGGGGACGCGGTGACCCAGTGACCTGGAGGTCATGCCCTAAGTCCCTGGCTCTGTCCTCAAACCGGCTGTGGGATGGTTTCTCTTTTGGTTGTGGCAAATGCTGAGCACCGATTGCGTACTAGGCACCATGCATGCTAGGCACTGTGCCAAGTCTGGGGATAGGGCAATGACAAGAGACAAGGGGAGTGAGGGCCCTCAGTACTAAGAACAGGGCTGGGCGCGGTGGCTCACGCTTATAATCCCAACACTTTGGGAGACCAAGGTAGGAGGATTGCTTGAGGCCAGGAGTTCAAGACCAGCTCGGGCAACATGGTGAGATCCCTGTGTCTACAAAAAATACAGATTAAAAAAGCCCGGTGTGGTGGCGCGAACCTGTAGTCCAAGTTACTTGGAAGACTGAGGTGGCAGGATTGCTTGAACCCGGGGGTTCAAGGCTGCAGTGAGCCACGATCACACCACTGCACTCAAGACAAGACAAGTGAGACCTGGGCAAGACAGTGAGACCCTGTTTCTAAAAAGCAGACACACAAATGGAAACCATGCCCTTTGACCCAATAATCATGCTTTGGGCATCTTTCCATAGACACGAGGAGATAGGTCAAAGCGCTGCTGGTTGAGCGAAGGGCTGGAAACGGCCCACATATCCATCACTGGGAAAGGGGTCAGTGCCTTAAAATACATCGAGGGTCATTGCCAATGAGTAATATTAGCAAGCTGCTAGAAAGAACGAGATTGATCTTTCCACATTGTATTAGCCTGGGACGATGTGTATGGAATTTGCCCATTTTTGTAAAAATGCAAAAAGCCCATATATGCAGGTGGATGACTGTGCAGAGAGAAAGGTGCGAAAGGAAAAATGGGCACTGGTTACTTCCTCTGGGGAATGTGGGGGTGGGGAAGGGGTCTGGAGGTTACGAGGTTAGCGAGAAGGGAAAGAAAGAGACCTGGCTTTTTCTTTGTTCACCTCTTTGCTGTGTGGCTTGTTTCAAGGAACATACATTGCTTCTGTAGCTCAGAAGGAAAATCCAATAAAACATATTTTTAGAAATGTACTGAGCTAGGCTTTGTGCTAAGAGTGTGCTGGCTGTGCTTGGAGCTGCTCTCAGTGCTAATAGACACTCTGTGAGCACCATGGGGTGGACGCTTTCATCACCTTGATTTTTTGAATGGGAAACTGAGGCTCAGAGAGGTTGAGTGACTTGCCCAAGGAAGCACAGCTGGCAAGCATCGCAGCTGGTGTCTGGGGACAGGGAAGGGGAAGGTGGAGTCCTACATCACAGTATCCAGTTACAGGTTG
Organism: Homo sapiens; assembly: GCF_000001405.40. NCBI lineage: Eukaryota > Metazoa > Chordata > Mammalia > Primates > Hominidae > Homo > Homo sapiens. Next base: position 14,344,460 of record NC_000016.10, on the reverse strand, counting down.
GGGCGGGGAGCAGCACAGAGGGCTGGTGATGAAGGAACAGCCTCAGCTAGCGGGGGTTGAGTGGCAGCACCTCCTCTTGTGATGTGTGCTGAGTGAGTGTAGAGGCTCCCACCCACGGAGGGAAGGGAATGGCCAGCTGTTCATGTTTGATTGGGGCTTCACTTTCCCCAGCCTTCCCTTTCAACGTAGGGGGTGCGGTGGCTCACGCCTGTAATCCCAGCACTTTGGGAGGCTGAGGCGGGAGGATTGCTTGAGCCTAGGAGTTCAAGACCAGCCTGGGCAACACAGTGAGACTCCCATCTCTCTCAAAAAAAAAAAAAAAAAAAAAAAAAAATCAGCTGGGCGTGGTGGTGTGTGCCTGCTGTCCCAGCTACTCAGGAGGCTGAGGTGGGAGCATCGCTTGAGCACAGGAGCTCAGGGGTGCAGTGAGCTGTGATCGTGCCACTGCACTTCAGCCTGGGTGACAGAGGGACGGTGTCAAAAAAAAAAAAAAAAAAAAAAAAGAAGGCTTATGGGTCTGGCTTCCCTCTTCCCCCACCTTAATTCAGCCACAGGGTCCCAGTGCCTCTGGTCTGTCCAAGAGGGCCACACCACAGATGTGTGGCTTCTCGCAGGGCAGTGAGGGGGGCTCAGCTCCAGTGATGGCCGTCAGGTTCAATTTCTCTCCAGAGCCTCAGCAAATGACATTGGACGTTTCCAGCACTAAGGGGACTGAGATCATGCATGAGAACCATGCCAACAGGCTTACCTCCAGATGGGACAAAATCGGAACCTGGCTACCATTGAGCATGGCTGGAAACATGTAGCTATGGTTAGAAACCCTGTGGGCAAGTAAGGTTTTGTCACAACTACAGTCATTCATTCAACAGATGTTTTGTGAGCTCCTGCTACGCCTCAGACGTGTTGGAGACACTGCCCGTGGTGTGTGGAGGTGAATGAGAGTCGAATCTCTGGATCATGGGGCTTCTGTTCTGGGGTTGGGGGAGGGGGTAGGAAAAAAACACCATGGAAATAAAGAAATGAGGATGTTGGCTTTTGAGTTGAGCTAGAAATGACCAGCAGGAATCAATCCTGCAGGGACCTGGGAGAGATGCTGTTCCAGGCAGAAGGAATAGCATGTGCGAAGGACTAGGGGCAGGAAAGAGCTTGATGTGTTTGAGGAATCAATGGGGCGCCAGCGTGCGGGCTCTGTGAGCTGGAGGAAAATGGCGGGGTTGGGCTTGGAGATGCGGTCAGGGCAGGGATTTGCGTACCTGGGGCCAGGGTGAGAGCTTCAGTGTTCCCGTAGTCTTCCGAGGGACACCCATTGAGGGTTGTAAGCAGAGGAATGATGTGGTCTGGTTTTACCATAAAAGATCACTTTGGCTTCTGGACTGAGGTAGAATCAGGGCAGGGAGTTAAGATGTGGTTGGGGTGAGGAGGGAAATGGAAGCAGAGAAACTTGGTTGAACTCAGAATATTTCAGAGGTAGAGTCAATAGAATTGGATGTTGGGGTGTGAGAAAGAGAAGAATTTTGTGGATGACTCCTGGGTTTTTGGTCTAGAGCAGTTGAATGGAAGTAGAGTCATTGACTGGGAGAGGAGGGGGTGTTGGGGCTGAGTGTCAGAAATCATACATTTCAGGCCAGGTGCAGTGGCTCATCCCAGCACTTTGGGAAGCCAAGGTGGGCGGTTCACCTGAGGTCAGGAGTTTGAGACCAACCTGGCCAACATGGTGAAACCCCATCCCTACTAAAAAGACAAAAATTAGCCGGGCATGGTGGCAGGCGCCTGTAATCCCAGCTACTTGGAAGGCTGAGGTAGGAGAATCGCTTGAACCTGGGAGGCGAAGGTTGCAGTGAGCTGAAATTGAGCCATTGGCACTCCAGCCTGGGCTACAAGAGCGAAAATTAGCCAGGCGTGGTGGCGGGCGCCTATAATCCCAGCTATTTGGGACCTAAGGCAGGAGAATCACTTGAACACAGAGGCAGAGGTTGCAGTGAGCTGAGATTGCATCACCGCACTCCAGCCTGGGTGACAGAGTGAGACCCCATTTCAAAAAAAAAAAAAAAAAAAATAGTCTGGTAACAGAAGGGCTGAGATGGGAGAAAAGAGAGCCACTGAAGTAAAGGAAAGATGTCATGGAGGACTCCATGAATGTAGAACTTACTTATTCGCTGGGTATGGTGGTTCATGTCTGTAATCTCAGCACTTTGGGAGGCTGAGGGGGAGAATTGCTTGAGGCCAGGAGTTCCAGACTACCCTGGAAAACATGGTGAGACCCCATCTCTATTATTTTTTAAAGGAAAAAAAAAGCTTACTTTCACTTGCTCAAACCCAGAATACATGAGTCATTGCTAATGGTGGCAGGCATTGTTGGTGACTGAGATGTATCCCATCAACCTGTCCCTGGCCTGGCTTCCAACTTTGGCACTTGCATTTCTTTGCCCGAGGACATCTTCTGACTTCTGGAGCCCATTCAACCCTTTCGCATAGCAGGAGAGAATACTGACATTGATATAGTTTGGCTGTGTCCCCACCCAAATCTCATCTTGAATTCCCATCTGTTGTGGGAGGAACCCACTGGGAGGTAATTGAATCATGTGGGCTAGTCTTTCTCGTCCTGTTCTCATGATATTGAATAAGTCTCATGAGATCTAATGGTTTTATAAAGAGGAGTTCCCCTGATAAGCTCTCCCTTTGCCTGCTGCCATCCATGTAAGAGGTGACTTGCTCCTCCTTGCCTTCCACCATGATTGTGAGGCTTCCCCAGCCACATGGAACTGTAAGTCCATTAAATCTTTTTTTTTTTTTTTTTTTTTTTTTTGTAAATTACCCAGTCTCGGGTATGTCTTTATCAGCAGTGTGAAAATGGACTAATACAGGCATATTAACACTCCCTGGGAGCAGCTTTCAACCAATGACTGGCAAGGTCTGGAGTATAAATACCCCAGCTCTCTTGCCTCTCAGATGAGAACAGTGTATGTTCAACATTATCTCCCAAAGTTCCTGAGTGAGACTGAGCTGCAGTTGCCCACAGAGGTAACTCATTTCATAACACACCCCTGTGGGTGGGCTTCCTTTCTTGACTCTCTTCCCCACTTCCTACCCATGCTTCCTCAAGTCCCCTTTGTGTGTGTGTGTGTGTGTGTGTGTGTGTGTGTGTGTGTGTGTGTGTGACATGGAGTTTTGCTCTTTCCCAGGCTGGAGTGCAATGGTGCAATGTTGGCTCACTGTAATCTCCATCTCCCAGGTTCAATCAATTCTCCTGCCTCAGCCTCTCAAGTAGCTGGGATTACATACAGGTGCATGCCACCATGCCTGGCTAATTTTTTATATTTAGTAGAGATGGGATTTCACCATGTCGGTCAGGCCGGTCTCAAACTCCTGCCCTCAGGTGATCCACCCACCTCAGCATCCCCAAGTGCTGGGATTACAGACATGAGCCACTGCGCCCAGCCCTCAAGTCCCTTCTTATGTAAATGATTTCTATCACTCAAGTCCTTGTCTTATAGTCCACCTCTGGGAGAGGTCAAGCTAATTTCTAATATCTCTTTTCACCCTCCAATCCAATCTCTAAGTCCTATCAATTCTTCCAAAATGCATTTCAAATTAATGTGTTTCTCAACTCCACAGCCATTGCCCTGGCCCAAGCTACCACCATCTTTGACCTAGGTAACTGCACCAACAGCTTGATTAATATCCCTCCTTTCATTGTTGCCTCTCTTTGATCTGTTGTCCATACAGCAAAGGTATCTGTTAAAATCTAAGTAAAATAAGCCAGGCATGGTGGCTCACACCTGTAATCCCAGCCCTTTGGGAGACCAAGGCAGGAGGATCACTTGAGGCCAGGAGTTTAAGACCAGCCTGGGCAACATAGTAAGACCCTGTCTCTAAAAAAAGTTAGCCGGGCATGGTGACATACATTTGTTGTTCCAGCTACTCGGAAGGCTGAGGTGGCAGGATCCTTTGAGCTCAGGTGTTTGAGGCTGCAGTGAGCTATGATTGTACTACTGCACTCCATCCAATTAATTGAATCCACTCAATCAAAAATTAATTTAAAAAGTAAAAAGTAAATACAAATAAAAATAAAGAAAATAAATGAAAAAGAAAACCATGTTACTCTTCTGGTCAAAACTTCCCATTACTTTCCCAACATACTAGGAGAAAATTCCCAACTCTTTCATGTAGCCTCCAAGGCTGGCATGATCTGGCCTGGCCCATCCTTCCTTCCATCTTTGTCTTAACTCACTTTCCTCCCGACTCGCTCTGCTGCAGCCAGACCTAGAAATCTCAGGCTCTGTTCTTCCTTGGGGACATGGCCTGTGCAGTTCCTTTTACCCAGATATTTTTCCTGCAACTCTTTGTATGTTTCATTCTTGTAGACCCAGCTTAGACATTGTCTTCTTAGAGCAATCTTTCCTGATCACATGATCTAAAGTTATTCTACTCATAAATTTCTCTCCTCAGTACCTATTGGTTTCTTTCTCAATACTCTGTGTATTTTGTAATTGTTTGGTTGTTGATTTACTTTTGTCTGTCTTATTCCTGAAATGTCAAGCTTCATGAGATCACAGACCATGTCTGTTGCTCACTGCCACATGCCTCACACCTTGTATGGTGACTGTCACATGGTAGGTGTGCAGCAATTGATTGTTGTATAAATAAAACATTGACGTTAGTGTCTAGGGAACCCACCCCGGGACATACCTCTCTTCACATGGATGACTTGGCAGGGTATTTGTTGGTAATCAGGGACACTATCCTCTTCATCTCTGTGACCACAGTCTCTGCCTCTGAGAGGCCCAGATCCTAGGATGGGAGACCTGGGTTAAAATCCTGGCTTGGCCTCTTATAATGTGTTTGGTCATCTTTGCTGCATAACAAACAATCCCCAAAATGTAGTGACTTAAAAGAATAACTTACTTTTCTACAGAAGTTAGCTGGGCATGGTGGTGGGTGCCTGTAATCCCAGCTACTCGGGAGGCTGAGGCAGGAGAATCGCTTGAACCCAGGAGGCAGAGGTTGCAGTGAGCCAAGATCGTGCCACCGCACTCCAGCCTGGTGACAGAGTGAGACTCTGTCTCAAAAAAAAAAAAAGAATATATTTTTCAGGCTGGCTGCTTCCTCTGACTTCACTCATGGCCTGCAGTCAGCTGGGGGTTACTGGGCTAGAGGGTCCAAGATGGCCTCCCTCACATGTGTGGCCGTTGGCTCTGGCTGTTGGCTGGGTTGCCTCAGTTCTCCTTCATGTGACCTCTCGCCTTCCAACAGGAAAGACCAGCTTCCTTACATGGAAGCCTTGGGTAAGCATTCCACGTCAGTTCACAAAGAAGCTTCGAGGCTCCCTGAAGCCTGTTCTCAGGACTTGCATAACACTACCTCTGGCATATTCTATCAGTTGAAGTAAGTCAAGAGGACAGCCTGTATTTAGGGGAATGGAGAAATAGACTTCACCTCCTTGTGAGAGGAGCCACAGGGAATTTCTGGCCATATTTAATCTACCACAGTAGGCTGTGAAGTCTGGGGCCAGCCACTTACCCTCTCGGTGCCTTACTTTCTTCCTCTGTAAACTGGGTCTTTTGGCATCTATCTCATAGAATTGTTTGTGAAAATTAAACAGATGATGTTTCCAAAGTGCTTAGTGTAGAAACCTGTTTCTTAGAAAGTACCTAGTTGATAGGAACCACTGCTATTATTGCTATTATTAATATTACTGTCATAATTATATTGAGAACTTAGCAAATTGATGGATGGATAGATGGGTGGATAGACAGGTAGATGGATGGATAGGCTGGGTGGATGGATGGATGAGTAGGGAGGTGGGTGGATGGATGGGTGGGTTTAGGGGTAGATAGATGGATGAATGGATAGGTGGGTGGATGGGTGGATGGATGGATGGGCTTGGGGGTTGATGGATGGGTGAATGGATAGGTGGGTGGATGTGTGGATGGATGGATGGATAGGTGGGTGGATGGATGGATGGATGGATAGGTGGGTAGGTGGATGGATGGGTAGGTAGATGGGTGGATGGATGGGTAGGTGGATGGGTGGATGGATGGGTAGGTGGGTGGATGGATGAATGGATAGGTGGGTGGATGGAAGGGTAGATGGATGGATGGATAGGTGGGTGGATGGATGAATGGGTAGGTGGGTGGATGGGGTAGATGGATGGACAGATAGGTGAGTGGATGGATGGATAGGTGAGTGGATGGATGGATGGGTAGGTGGATTGATGAATGGGTAGGTGGATGAATAGGTAGGTGGATGGGTAGATAAATGGATGGATGGATAGGCAGACAAATGGATGCATGGATTGACAAATGGCTTTTGATGTTCAAACAACATGTAGCCCCACTGACTTATCTGTTAATGATAAGTCATCTTATTTCATGGGGTTTAGAATAAACAGTAGCTCTCTGCTGTTGAGTTCAAACACCCTTGATTTCTAAAGAGACCTGACCTCTCACTTAGTTTACTTTTTCATCACCTGTGTTTGTGTGGGAAGAGGGGTGGCGGGGGCGGCGGTGGGGGTGAGTGTCAGGCAGTTCTACTGCAGGCTTTGTGTTTGGGAAATATGCGAGCTTGTGCGAGCACCCCTCTCACTCACACATGCGCTCTCCTCCACAGCCTTAGTTAAACGTCACCAGACTCTAACTGTGAAAAACAGCCAAGCTTGCCACTGCAGAGTTCAGCAGCAAAAGGAGTTTGCCGATACACATCCCTACGGGCTGGGGCCAAGTGCGGCCAGTGTGGGCAGCTGTGAGGGGCAGCCCTGCTGGCTCCTGCACGGTAGAGGCCACCTCCTCCCAGGTCCTGAGGCACAGAGCCCAGGCCTGGCATGCAGCACACACACTATGAGCATGTGCACTTTTTGCTACTCTTGTCGTCTCTGTATCCCCAGCATAGGGAACCGTGCCTGGGAGACACTAGTAAATATTTTCAGAATAAACGATGGCATGGCTGAGCACGCGGGGAGCTGTGTCTTCCCCAGCTCTCGGGCTTGAAGACTTTGTGCCCGAAAGCTGGGTGGGACTAAGGGGCTGACGGCAGGATTCTCAAACATCCCCAGAGGCAAATGTGTGCCTTCATATCCTAAAACCCAACCAGGCAGGGCGCAGTGGCTCATGCCTGTAATCCCAACACTTTGGGAGGTAAAGGCGGGAGGATCGCTTGAGGTCAGAAGTTTGAGACCAGCCTGGGCAGCAGAGCGAGATCTTGTCTTTACAAAAATAAAAATAAAAAAATTAGCCAGGCGTAGTGGCACATGCCTGTGGTCTGAGCTACTCGGGAAGCTGAGGCAGGAGGATCGCTTGAGCCCAGGGGGTTGAGGCTGCAGTGAGCTATGACTGTGCCATTCCATTCCAGCCTAGGTGACAAAATAAGACTCTGTCTCAAAAAATAATAATAGGCCAGGTGCAGTGGCTCATGCCTGTAATCCCAGCACTTTGGGAGGCCGAGGCGGGCAGATCACGAGGTCAGGAGATCAAGACCATCCTGGCTAACACGGTGAAATCCCGTCTCTACCAAAAATTAGCTGGGCGTTGTGGTGGGCACCTGTAGTCCCAGCTACTCGGGAGGCTGAGGTGGGAGAATGGCATGAACCCGGGAGGTGGAGCTTGCAGTCAGCTGAGATTGCGCCACTGCATTCTAGCCTGGGTGACAGAGTGAGACTCCGTCTCAAAAAAAAATTAATAGTAATAATAATAATAATAATAATAATAATAATAATAATAATAAAACCCAACCTGTCCCAGCAAGGCAGTGTGATCAGATTCACATTTTGAAACAGTTCCTCTGGGTGTGGTGGGGAGCTAGGTTGGAGGAGAGGGGCAAGAGTGGCTATAGGAGAACCAGGAGAGATGCACTTCTAGAAGGCCAGGGAGGAATGAGGGCGGCCTGGTTATGGGTGGGGACATGAATGGGACGGGGAGAGAAGCTGCTGCGAGGGCTGCCAAGGAAATTGATGGGCAGGACTTAGTGAGGCTGGGATGTGGGAGAGAGGGAAACTGGAGGGGTCAGAGATGGTACCTGGTGTCTTTTTTTTTTTTTTTTTTTTTTTCAGAAGGAGTCTCACTCTGTCACCCAGGCTGGAGTGCAATGGCATGGTTTCGGCTCACTGCAACACCTGCCTCCCATGTTTAAGTCATTCTCCCACCTCAGCCTCTCAAGTAGCTGGGACTACAGGCGCGTGCCACCACACCCAGCTAATTTTTGTATTTTTAGTAGAGACAGGGTTATATTATGGGAGGCCCACCTCGGCCTCCCAAAGTGCTGGGATTACAGGAGTGAGCCACCGTGCCCGGCTGGTACCTGGTTTCTAGTTAGCATCTCTAGAGTGGCAGATGAGGGACCTCAGAGGGAAATCAGTTTCGGGGGAGGCTCTTGAATTCAGTTTTGGACAAGTTGAATTTGAGGAGCCACAGACACTAAAGAATTAGCCCAGGTTTGAACTCCTGAGAACACAGTGACCATGTTACCTGGGCAAGCCTCCCTTACCCTTCTGAGCCTCAGTTTCCCCAGGTGCAAAATGGAGTGCCTCACCAGGTAATTGTGAAGACCCTATGCAGGAATATAAGCAAACTGCCTGCCTTAGAGCCAAGGCACCATGCAGAGAAGCTATGTAACCCCATTACTTAGCACTCTTCAGCAAGAAGCAACAGACACAAAGGTAAACTGGCTTAAGCAGTAAAAGAATTTACTATTCCTGTAACTGTCAAATCCAGGAAGTAGATCTGGCTTCCTCTACAGGTGCATCTAAGGCTCAAGCATTGTCATAGGGACTGCATATCTTTGGGGGCTTCTTATATTTCTCAGGCACCTTCCATATGTGTTCCCAATGGGCACCAGCTTAGCAACGGTAGGGTTGGGGAGTCTTTTCCTATCTGGCAAAAAAAGTCTCAGGGAAGATTCTGATTGGCCCAGCTTTGTCATGTGCTCATCACAGAGCCAATCACAGTAGCCAGGCCCGGGTCACATGACTTTCTGCTCCTAGAAGACGGCAGCAGGCAAGTGGAACCAACAGTGCAGCAGCTGTCAGGTTCCCAGCTGGTCCAGTGGGAGTTTTAGGATGGGAACAGATGAGAATATGGTTTGTGGTGTACAGTAGAAACTCAGTTCATGGTGATGGTTTTCATTATGATTCTGGAGGTAGATCACCAAATGGCCCTCCATTTGGGTGTTTTAAAGTCCTTTACAAATATGACCTTCACCCCTAAAATCCTAAGTTCAGAGGTATCATCAGCCTCCTCCAGATAGTCTGTCAACATGCTTGGGAGATGGATGTGAGAGGTCAGTCCTGGGGGGCTTGCGGCACCCTTTCTGCAGCAGTGTTGGGGGTCACATTGTCTGTGGTGAGCCATGAATGTGCTCTGAGCATCCCTGTCACTGACCCTAACCAGGAGACCCAGGGACTCCCCACGCCTCCTAGGGAAAGTCCAAGGCGTCTGGTGTCGCCCAACAGCCAAATCAAGAAAACAGGTTCTGCAGAGTTAGGCAAAGACCTTTGCGGTTCATAATGTCAGCGAGAAAATTCCAAAACCTCTGAGCGAGCTGTAGTGTGGACGCTCCTTTCAACAACCTGGTTCTGATTGGAGCTGCCTGGTAACTCCCTGCCAATTAGCAGCCATGCTGCGGAAACCTGGAACTTTATAGCTTAGCAACGAGAAATCTGGAAGAACTCTGGAATTAATTTAAGGAAAGGGGAAGGAAAACATCAAGAAGAGAATTAGCAGCCAAATAATCTGGCTGTGCGTTTGTATTATTACCTTTGCTGCCAAGATAAGTATTGAAACTTTTCAGCGTTAATTACCGGCAAAGAGGGAACCAGTGAGATATCTTGTCTCAAACTCTGGGGCTGATGTTTTTGTTTTGTTGTCCTAAGCTACTATTGAAGTAGGGATGTGAGCAGAGCTAAGAAAATGTGGTCAGAACAGGTACAGTAATTAAAAACCACACCAATCCTGCCTTCCACGTCCTCCTCCAGGAGCTTCTCCCTTTGCCAGTCTTTTTCTGGGATCATTTTCCATCCTGTGACATCATGGATAGCAGCCTGGGAAGTGGAGACCCTGGTGGCTATGGAGGGTTTCTGTGATTTCAGATGGAGGCCCAGTTGGAGGTGATAGCAGTCTTTGGTGGGGCCATTCAATGACTTTTTTTTTTTTTCCTTTTTTTTTAGACAGAGTCTCGCTCTGTCACCCAAGCTGGAGTGTAGTGGCATGATCTCGGCTCACTGCAACCTCTGTCTCCCGGGTTCAAGCAATTCTTGTGCCTCAGCCTCCCGAGTAGCTGGGACTACAGGCATGGACTACCACACTCAGCTAATTTTTTGTATTTTTAGTGGAGATGGGGTTTCACCATGTTGGCCAGGCTGGTCTTGAACTCATGACCTCAAGTGATCCAACTGCCTTGGCCTCCCAAAGTGCTGGGATCACCGTGCCCAGCCATTTTATTATTATTTTTTTTGAGATGGAGTCTCGCTGTGTCTCCCAGGCTGGAGTGCAGTGATGTGATCTTGGCTCACTGCAACCTCCACCTCCCAGGCCCAAGCAATTCTCCTGCCTCAGCCTCCCGAGTAGCTGGGACTATACAGGCGCATGTAACCACACCCAGCTAATTGTTGTAACTTTTAGTAGAGATGGTGTTTTGCCATGTTGGTCAGGATGGTCTCGAACTCATGACCTTAGGCATTCTGCCCACCTCAGCCTCCCAAAGTGCTGGGATTACAGGTGTGAGCCACATGTCTGGCCCATTCAGTGACTTTTGAGTGTCATTCATGTGTCTCCACTGAGTCAGGCTGTAAAACAGTGCACATCACACACCCACCCCCGCCCCTGTGGGCTGACAGTCTAGCCAGGGGTGGGGGAGGCTAGATATTAATAATCAGCTAATTATACAAATAGCTGTGTAATTACAATTGCACTGATGTCATGGAAGAAAAGGGTAGGATGCTAAGATAAAGGTTACGTGGGTGAAGGGGGGTGAAGTGAGAAGTCTTTGGTTATCCTGTCCTTGCTTGGAATTTTGTAGGGGTGAGGTGGGGTGGGTTGCAGAGAGAGGCAGCACCAGGTGGACAGAGGCAAGCCCACCAAGGGTCTCCTGGGCCAGCAGAGTTTATGGTTGGTCCTAAGGCAATGGGGGGAAAATGAGAAACCATTTAGGTTTGCATACTGGGACATGGGGCAATTAGGTTTAGGATTTAGAGCACTTTAGCTGTTTGGGGGCAGAATAGGATGCCAGGCCGTGGGCCCCCGCGGAGTCCACTGAGGTGACACATAGGTGGAATCTCCAGGGTATCATAGACATAAAACCCTAGTCTTTCAACGGGGTCTTGATGGTTCTTGCCAGCCAGCTCCATCCCAAAGCCTCATTTCCTGGAAATAACCATTTAGACACCTTACTGTCTATGGGATGGAATGCCCAGCTCATCCCAGTTGGCCCAGAGCTTTCCTGGTTTTAGCACCTAATGTCTCCAGTCCCAAAAACCTCCTAGTCCTAGGCACGCTGGGATGGCTGGCCACCCTGCTTTAGGACAGGATTACATGGGGGCAGTAAGAGTTGGCTTCCCTCACTGAATAGGGCTTCCCTGCACCATCTCCCCAAGCAGTGTGAACACAGGCTCAGCTACCCATTTGCTATGTGGCCCCAGTCAAGTTACTTGGCTTCTCTGGGCCACTGTTTCTTCATTTGGAAAATGATCTGGAGAGCTTTTCAGTCTTCTGGCAGCACTGATTTCCTGGCCCTGCTGTGGCATTTCAAAGCTTCATCAATGCACAGAGGGCTGAGCACAGAAGACAGGGCCACAGAAGGCCACACCAGTAGTGTGGCCTTTGGCAAGGTATCTCACCTCTCTGTGCCTAAGCTTCTCCCTCCACAGGATGGGAATAATGTGACTTAGCTCATAGAAATGTGAGCACTAGGCCAGGCACAGTGGCTCACGCCTGTAACCCAGCAGTTTGGGAGGTGAAGGCGGGTGGATCACTTGAGGCCAGGAGTTCAAGACCAGCCTGGCCGACATGGTAAAACCCCATCTCTACTAAAAATACAAAAGTTAGCTGGGCATGGTGGTGCGTGTCTTTAATCCCAGCTACTCAGGAGGCTGAGGCAGGAGAATCACTTGAACCCGGGAGGCAAACGTTGCAGTGAGTCGAGATCATGCCACTGCACTCAAGCCTGGGCAACAGAGCGAGACTCCATCTCAATAAATTAAATACATTAAATAAATAAGAAATGTGAGCGCTAAATTAAATGAAATGATCCTGTGTGATTGCCATAACTAGATACTCATAGTTGAAAAGTATAGATGTTCTGGTTAATGAAAAGTATGACTGGGAGTTGTGACTGCTAATTTTTTTAAAAAGTGGAACATGAGGCCAGGTGCAGTGGCCTATGGAGATTGCCTCTCACCCCTGAGTAGAGTTCCATGAGTTGGAGACTAGATCCTTTTTTGTCACTGTCCATTCATAGTAAAGATGTGTTGAGCAACTAACTCAACAAAGGTCACATTATACCAGCTTTATATATTTTATTATTATTTTGAGACAGGGTCTCGTTCTGTCCTCCAGGCTGGAGTGCTGTGGTGCAATCACAGCTCACTGCAGCCTCGACCTCCAGGGTTCAGGTGATCCTCCCACCTTAGTCTCCCGAGTAACTTGGGACTACAGGCGTGTCCCCCCATGCCCTGCTAGTTTTTGTGTTTTTAGTAGAGACGAGGTTTTGCCATGTTGCCCAGGCTGGTTTTGAACTCCTGAGCTTAAGCAGTCTGCCCACCTCAGCCTCCTAAAGTGCTGGGGTTACAGGCATGAGCCACCGTGCCCGGCCTATTTTTTAAAATTTTTGTAGAGATGAGGTCTCACTATGTTGCCCAGGCTGTTCTAAAACTCCTGGGCTCAAGTGATCTTTCTGCCTCAGGCTCCCAAAGTGCTGACATTACAGGCATGAGCCATGCCCAGTCGTGCCCCCTGCCTTTTTTAAACATTAAATAAAACTGTATGCCCATTTTATAGATGAAAAAAAAATGAGGCTCAGGGAGGTTTCCGATCCTGCCATTAAGTGGTGAAGTCAGAATTTGAACCTGGATCTGATTGAGAGTCCTGTTCTCTCCACTGACTGGCCCCTACTTCTTCAGGGGGCACACAGGGAGGGCCAGAGGGATGGGGAATGGGTGCAGGGAGGCAGTTCTGGTGGGAATTCTCCCAAGGGAGCAGCAAGACAGGGCCTGGCATGACACTGGTGGCCTGGCCTCACCCCTGTGGGGACCAGAACTTTGTGGATGCAGCTTTCCCTCCCCACTGGTTGCCATGGAGACGGGGGTGGGATGCGTGAAGATCTATCTCAAGCCTGCTACCCAGGCTTGTCCCAGAGATGCCAGCAGTGGGTGGACACACTAAGCATTGAGAGAAAGGAAGGAAAAGGCTGGTCTTTACCTCTTTTTTCTTTTTATTGTGAAAAGCTTCAAGCACACATAGGAACGGAGCGTGTGGTACAATAAGCCTGGCTTCAGCAGTCAAGTCTCAGCCAACCTTATTCCATCCACGCCCTCTTCCCCTTCCCTCATCCCAGATTACTCTGAAGCAAATTTCAGACGTCAGTCATTTCTTTTACAAACATTTCAATGTATAACTCCAAAAAATTTTTTTTGGCCACCTTCACTCCTCCTAAAACTATTTAATAACAGTAATGCTTTTACTATCAGCAAATACCCAGTTAGTATTCAGATTTCTCTGGTTATCTCATAAAGCGTTTCTTTTTTTTTTTTTTGAGACGGAGTCTTGCTCTGTTGCCCAGGCTAGAGTGCGGTGGCATGATATCAGCTCGCTGCAACCTCTGACTCCTGGGTTTCAGAGATTCTCCTGCCTCAGCCTCCTGAATAGCTGAGATTACAGGTGCACGCCACTGCACCTGGCTAATTTTTGTATTTTTAGTAGAGACGGGGTTTCACCATCTTGGCCAGGCTGGTCTTGAACTCCTGACCTTGTGATCCACCCGGCTTGGCCTCCCAAAGTGCTGGGATTACAGGTGTGAGCCACCGCGCCCAGCTAAAGGGTTTCTTTAGCTAGTTAAAATCAGGATCCAAATAAAGTTCGAATGTTGCCATCGGTTGGGATTGCTTTTGTATCTCTCCTAACCTGTAGGTTCTCTTCCCTTGTCTTTTTCTTCCTTTGCAATTTATTTGTTGAAGAAACTGGCTTGTTTGTTCTGTAGTTTCCTGTGGTCTGAATTTTGGTTATAGCATCTCCATAGAAGTGTCATGTGCTCCTCTTCCCGCTATATTTCTTAGAAATTGGTAGTTAGGCCTAGGAGATAACTTAGATTGATGTTTGATTTTTTTTTTTTTGTATGAGTACTTCCTATTGGTGGTTTTGTACTTCCATTCAAAGGCACACACTATCTGGTTGTTCCTCTTTGCAATGTTAGCAGCTGTTGTTGATGATCATTGTCTAGATCCACAATTTCTTCTTCTTTTTTTTTTTTTTTTTTGAGGGGTCTTGCTCTGTCACATAGGTTAGAGTGCAGTGGTGCAATCATAGCTGACTGCAGCCTTGACCTCCTGGGCTCAAGGGATCCTCCCACCTGAGCCTTCCAAACAGCTGGGACTACAGGCACATGCCCAAACCTGGCTAATTTTTTTTTTTTCTTTTTTTTTTGTAGAGACAGGATCTTGTTGCATAGACAGGTCTGTGTTGCCCAGGGTGGTCTTGAACTTCTGGCCTCAAACAATCTTCCCATCTCGGCCTCCGAAAGTGTTGGGATTACAGGGATGAGCCACTACACCTGGCCCATTATTTCATTAGATATTACAACATGGTGGCATACTAATTCTATGATTCTGTCTTTGGTAGTGGACATATGTCTATAAAAGGTATCAATTTATCAACTATTTGGCTACCAAAAAGTATGGTTTGTACCAAAAAGGATAAATGCTTCTTTCCCTTTCTTTGACAGTTTTCAAAATGAGTTGGGTTTTCCAATATCCTCCCATGGTGATAAATGAATTTTTCTTTTTTTTTTTTTTTTTAAGTATTGTCAACTCATAGATTTGGACATATATGACATGTTTCAATCCATTAAAGTCATTCTTTTTTTTTTTTTTTTTTGAGATGGGCGTCTTGCTCTGTCACCTAGGCTGGAGTGTAGTGGCACAATCTTGGCTCACTGCAACTTCCGCCTCCTGGGTTCAAGCGATTCTTCTGCCTCAGCCTCCCAAGTAGCTGGGATTACATGTGTATGCCACCACACCCGGCTAATTTTTTATATTTTTGGTAGAGATGGGGTTTCACCATGTTGGCCAGGCTGGTCTCTAACTCCTGACCTCAAGTGATCTGCCCACCTTGGCCTCCCAAAGTGCTGGGATTACAGGTGTGAGCCACCGCACCTGGCCTATAGTCATTATTATTATTATTATTATTATTATTATTATTATTTATTTTTCTGAGACAGAGTCTCGATCTGTTGCCCAGGCTGGAATGCAGTGGCCTGATCTCGGCTTACTGCAAGCTCCGCCTCCTGGGTTCACGCCATTCTCCTGCCTCGGCCTCCCGAGTAGCTGGGACTACAGGTACCCCACCACCACACCCGGCTAATTTTTTGTATTTTTAGTAGAGACGGGGTTTCACTGTGTTAGCCAGGATGGTCTCCATCTCCTGACCTTGTGATCCACCCACCTCGGCCTCCCAAAGTGCTGGGATTACAGGCGTGAGCCACCGCGCTCGGCCCATTATTGTTAATGATGCTCAAACTCTCCCCATTGGGAGCCACTCCATGTTGTCTCCTGCATCCTTTTCAATGTGACCCTCACCTTCCTTGCTATCAAGGAAGCAAGGAATGACCAGATGTTCCAGGCTCATCTTGAATTTTTTTTCTTGCCTCAGACCTGGAATTGGTTATTTCTTCATGCCCTCATTTCTAGTCGGAAGTGGCGTTTAGACACCATAACCTGGGTGCTGGGGTGTTCACTGCTATTGGATGGCTCATTATTTCTAAACTTTATGGTTGACAGAGCTAGCAAACACCTGCTTTACTTTGTAAGACAAAAATATAGCATGAATTCATACTGATGCTTCCAATTCCAATTCGGGGCTACGGGTTTTTCACCTTGTCTCTGTGATCTTACGTGGGCATCTCCTTTCTTCCATGATCATGTGACAAAGCCTGTTTGGAAAAGCAAAGCTCCCTACTGTGATTCTCATCAAGCTGGAAGCGTGTGAGAAAGCACTTCAGTTTCTTCCCTCGGATATGAACCTGAGCTCTCTGATGAGGTGGTTTAGAAGTGGCCCTGGGAGAAGCCCACTTCTTGGTCACAAGATACTGCATTCTCCTGGCAGATGAACCAGCTGCTTCCAGCATCCTCTGTGTGGGTCCTCACGCCTAGCTGCTCTACGTGCTGGCTGCACAGTGGCATCACATGGGGAAGTAGAAAAACCTCTGATGCCTGTCCCCACCCGGCTTAATCACAGTGAAGTCAGATTATCTGGGCCTGGGACCCTACCATCATTTTTTTTAAAGAATTGCAGGGGCCAGGCGTGGCGGCTCAGAGCTTCTAGCACTTTGGGAAAAAGCTCACAGCTTCCAGCACTTTGGGAAGCCGAGGTGGTAGGATCAGGAGGTCAGGAGATTGAGACCATCCTGGCTAACATGGTGAAACCCCGTCTCTACTAAAAATACAAAAAATTAGCTGGGCGTGGTGGCAGGCGCCTGTAGTCCCAGCTACTCGGGAGGCTGAAGCAGGAGAATGACATGAACCCGGGATGTAGAGCTTGCAGTGAGCTGAGATCGCGCCACTGCACTCCAGCCTGGGAGACAGCGAGACTCCATCTCAAAAAAAAAGAATTGTAGGTAGGCCGGGTGCGGTGGCTCATGCTTGTAATCCCAACACTTTGGGAGGTCAAGGAGGGTGGATCACCTGACGTCAGGAGTTCGAGACCAGCCTGGCCAACATGGCGAAACCCCATCTCTACTAAAGATACAAAAATTAGCTGGGCGTTGTGGTGTGTGCCTATAATCCCGGCTACTTGGAAGGCTGAGGCAGGAGAATTGCTTGAACCTGGGAGGTGGAGGTTGCAGTGAGCCAATATCACACCACTGCACTCCAGCCTGGGTTACAGAGTGAGACTCCGTCTCAAAAAAAAAAAGAATTGCAGGTAATTCTAATGTGTAGCCAGGGGATACAGTCACTGCTCTGTTCCTTGCTTCTCAGCAGAGGGAAGAAAAAGAAGCAACAAGGCTGGCAGATGAACTCTGCCTTCAAAGCCCATTAGCTTCGGCTTGAATTCTGGCACTGCCAGGTTCTAGCTATGAAATCTGAACCTGGCTGGGCGTGGTGGCTCACACCTGTAATCCCAACACTTTGAGAGGCTGAGGCAGGTGGATCCCCTGAGGTCAGGAGTTCGAGACCAGCCTGGCCAGTGAAACCCCATCTCTATTAAAAATACAAAAATTAGCTGGGCGTGGTGGCATGCACCTGTAGTCCCAGCTACTCAGGAGGCTGGGGCAGGAGAATCACTTGAACCCAGGAGGCGGAGGTTGCAGTGAGCCGAGATTGCACCACTGCACTCCAACCTGGACAATAGAGCGAGACTCCATCTCAAAAAAAAAAAAAAAAAGGAAATCTAAGTCAGTGCTGACCAATAGCACTTGTGCAACCTTCAAATGGTCTATATCTGCACTGTCCAATGTGGTAGCCATCAGCCACAGTACACGGGGCTGCTGGGCACTTGAACTCATTGTTAGTGCAACCTAGGGTGTAAATGTTAAAATTTATTTAATTTTAACTAATTTACACATCAATAGCCACAAGGAGCCATCACAGCTACTGTCTTGGACAGCACCACTCTAGAAAATGACCTAACGTCTCGTGGCTTCACATCTGTAAAATAGGGAATAATAGGGGTTATTTCACTGGATATTGACAGGATTAGTGTCAGGATTAGAAACAATGTATATAAAGTTCCTGGTTCCCACAAAACACTCAATAAAATGCTGCTTATTTATTAACATCAGCCTAATACTCAAAAAAAATTGCCTGGAAAACAAATGTTCAGAAGCACCCTACCACAGAGGCTAAAAATTCAGAGCCGTTCCAGAGAAACTCAGAAAATATTCCTTAATTGTAGAAGTTCAATGGCAGCAGGAGGTTATCAGTTACAAGGGCTGTATTTCATTACAGATCCAGCCGCAGCTCAATAAATTAAGCAATCACTCAGAATAACATGTTGCTTTAATCCCCTCTCTTGGAGCGGTTCCAAGTTGTTTGGTTTTATACACGCTCAGCCCTGAAAGGGGACTCATACTGGGCTCATTTCTTTCCCCTCAATTCATCAGCCCCTCTCTGGAAACATCTTTGCATCTCCCAACCAGCAGGAGAGAGGATTCCAAGCCAAGCAGGCCTCCTTTTATCAAAACTGGAGCCTTTTCCATCCTCTGGCCTTGACGTGTTCCACGTTTCATTTGCTGAAATTACTGGCAGGTTTATCTGCAATGAAAAAAAAGACACCTTTTAGCAGCCCAGTTCTGGGCATGTAGAGAGAGCTAACTCTCGGCGGCTTTTCCATTCTCATCTTCTCTCGAGTGGTTTATAATCTCACAGTAGAATTTTGTTTCCCCTAGAAACTTGGCACGGGAGGTGTCAGCCTGGGAACATATTTGTTTGTGTAAATTAAAAGAAGAGTATGTTTTGACCATATTTAAGTTCTAACTGCACTAAAGAAATAAATACCGACTTGCACAACGCTTCTCGCTGCCGCACGGTTCTGGCTCACCTCCCCAAACTCTGTCTTTGTTAATAAAACCCACACTAACAAGAGCTCTTAATAGCTTATCTCCTCAGACAGCTACAGGGACAACCTCAGAAGCCATGTCTGCCCCGACCCAGGCCCACATAGAAAATCCACTTACCTCATTTGGGATTTGCTTCTCCTGACACACCGCATTCTTGCTGGGGTAGAAAAGGGTATCAGAAACAGCACCCTCACCAATGTAGGCTTGTTTTTTTTGGTGGGGGAGGGACAGGGTCTTACTTTGTCACCCAGGCTGGGGTATAGCGGTACAATCACAGCTCACTGTAGCCTCGACCTCCCGGGCTCAAGCGATCCTCCTGCATCAGCCCCCCAAGTAGATGGGACTACAGGCATGCGCCACTATGCCTGGCTAATATTTGTATTTTTTATAGAGACAGGGTTTTGCCATGTTGCTCAGGCTGGTCTTGAACTCCTGAGCTCAAGCCATCCTCCAGCCTCAGCCTCTCAAAGTGCTGGGATTACAGGCGTGAGCCACCAAGCCCAGCCTCTACAGGTATACCCTTGATGTGCATGTGAATGATAACCTTTTGAAGGCCCTGGGCAATAGCTGTAGAAATTTACAATGCACACCTCTTGGCTGGGAGCAGGGGCTCACATCTGTAATCCTAGCACTTTGGGAGGCTGAAGGATGGCTTGAGCTCGGGAGGTCAAGACCACCCTGAGCAACATGGTAAGACCCTGTCTCTACTAAAAAATACAAAAAACATTAGCTGGGTGTGGTAGTGCAGGCCTGTAGTCCCAGCTATTTAGGACGCTGAGGCAGGAGGATCACTTGAGCCCAGGAGGTGGAGGTTGCCGTGGGTCGAGATTGTGCCATTGCATTCCAGCCTGGGCAACAGTGCGAGACTGTCTCAAAAAAAAAAAAAAAAAAAAAAAAAAAATCTCCTCTGACTGAGAAATTCCACTTCTAGGAATTTATCCTACAAGTATTCTTGGCCACATGCCAAAGATTATAGATGTTATAAAGGCAAAATCCTCGAGTTAACTGCAAAGTTGGCCAGTAGAAGACAGGTTAAGTATGATGCGATGCTAGAAGTCATTAGAAAGAATGAGGTGGGTCTAAGAACTGTCGGGATATATTGTATACCCCCAACTTTCTTACCACTATGAGCCAAAAAAAGTGCATGCTTTCAAAATTTATAAAGATTGTGCAAACTGCCCACGGTGGTTATGTCTTATAAAGAAGTGAGGTTGGAGTTAAAGAAAAATTGCAGGGCAGGCGTGGTGGCTCAAGCCTATAGTCCCAGCACTTTGAGAGGATGAGGTGGGAGGATTACTTGAGGCTAGGAGTTCGAGACTAGCCTGGGCAACGTAGTGAGACCCTGTCTCTATGAATAATAATAAAAATAATTAAATAAAAATGGTGGCATGAGCCGGTAGTCCCAGCTACTCTGGAGGCTGAGGCGGGAGGATTGCTTGAGTCCAGGAGTTCATGGCTGCAGTGAGCTATGATCACACCACTGCATTCCAGCCTGGGTGACAGACTGAGACTCTGTCTCTAAACACAATAAATTAAAAAAGGCAAATCGCCCCTTTATTTCCACCTTATTCTCTTTTGTATTTTTTCTTACTATAGGCATAGTTTCATTTTTAAAATTTGGGATAATTAAAGAACATACAATGGTGTTTAAAAAATCATTTCCACACTCTGAGCTGTAGTAATAATAATAATACCGCAATGATACTCTCTTTATTGCATGCCTGCTAGGACAACAGAGTTGGGAGGAGGTGAGAATCTCTGCTTTTCTGATTTATTTATGCAGATAACCTGCAGTAGGCTAAATGGCAGCCCCCAGAGAGATAGTAAGTATGTCTGCTTTCAAACTGAATCACTGGAAAAAGACTGATTAAGGATCTTGAGAGGAGGCATTTGTTCTGGATTATCCAGATGGGAACTAAATGCAATCCATGTATCCTTAAAAGAGAGAAGCAGAGACCAGGACAGAGAGAAGAGGAAGGTAAGAAGACGGAGGCAGAGACCGGAGTGATGCGGCCACAAGCCAAGGAACGCCAGAGCTACTAGAAGGTGGAAGAGACAAGACACACATCTTCCCTAGTGTGCCTGGAGGGAGGGCAGCCCTGCTAGATTTACAACTTCTGGCCACCAGAACTTTGAAATGAATCTGCTGTGTTAAGCCCTGTAGTCTGTGATAATTTGTTATAGCAGTCCCAGGAAGAAAAGATATAACCAGACTTCCCTTATACCTATTAGAAGCATGAAATGCACAGGTACATGAGAAAACAACTTTGGTAGACCTGTGTATGTTGGCAAACACAAATAATCCATTCATTCCAGATACTTACTGAGCATCTATTAGGTGACAGACACAGTTCTAGGTGCTGAGGATATAGTCAGCAGAGAACACAACAAAGATGCGTGCCCGCCTGGAGCTGACATTTCAATGAAGGAGAAATCAACAAAATAAATAAAACACGGAGGAGGGTGGATGGTGGTAGAAGGTGCTACAGAGAGTGAGAAAACAAAAAAGAGGGACCCGGGGGTCAGGGAAGGGGTACTGGAGTAGACTGGAGTAGAGGCTTGAAGGTGGTGAGGGCATGAGGTTTGTGTCTACCTGAGGGCAGACAGGTAGAAAAAGGAAAATAGGGACTGGGCACAGTGGCTTACGCCTGTAATCCCAGCACTTTGGGAGGCCAAGGTGGGTGGATCACTTGAGGTCAGGAGTTCGAGACCATCCTGATCACCATGGTGAAACCCATCTCTAGTAAAAAAAAAAAAAAAAAAGTATATATATATATATAATATATAAAAAACACATATATAATATAATATCTAAAATATATATATATACACACACACAGACACACAAAATTAGGTGGGCATAGTGGTGCACGCCTGTAATCCCAGCTACTGGGGAGGCTGAGGCAGGAGAATTGCATGAACCCAGGAGGCGGAGGTTGCAGTGAGCTGAGAACGCGCCATTGCACTCCAGCCTGGACAACAAGAGCGAAACTCCATTAAAAAAAAAAAAAGGGAAAAAGGAAAACAGGTAGACAGGTATAGGGAACGAATACAGAACTTGAGCCTATGAGTGACACATTGGTTGGACTAGAGAGAAAATAGGAAGGAACTCCCTTTTTTCCCCCTTCTTCCTCCCCCACCTCCCTCCCATACTTGCTACCTGCCTGCTGTGTACCAGGGCCTGGGGTACGGAGATGAATGGGGCCTCTTCCTCAAGCTCGATGCCTTCCCTAGTATGGGGACAGTCATAAACAAATCATTACAAATATAACGTGGTAGGCGTCACAGTAGAGGCCAGGGCAGGCTGCACGCACAGGCCAGCGTAGGAAGGTGCGTGTAGGTTGGGGTTAAGGTTGGGGAGGTGGTAGTAAATTGATTAGGGCAGGACTTGAAATCCCAGCACATGCGTTGAGCTGCAATTCAGCAGGAAATTAACAGGAGGGGTGGTGGTGAACATGGAGATGGGTCTGGGATTCTTTTATTTTTAAGTACAGCTGGCACATCGGAACAAGAATATAAGTTCTGAGAATGACGTATCCCTTTCAGTTCTACACAATCCATGAAAAGGAAAACAGTTCCCAAGTCCTGAATTGGGACACTGTGGGTTGCAAACAACAGGCACTGAAGTTGATCTGAATGAGGTAGAACGAGGGATTTATTCACTGGGTAGCTACGATGAGGAAAGGGAAGAGGCTGTATTGCTCTCTAGGATCCAGGGACTGGAAGCTCTGGGTTCTCTTCCTGTCCTAACCCCCTCACCTCATGTTTCATTTCTCCTCCTCTCTGCTTATTGGCCTTATTGTCTGAGGCCACTGGTAGTGCCAAGTCTACCTCTTTAAGGCCTGGATGCCAGAGAGGAGGAGGGAGAGAAAGAAACATCCTCCCCACAAGCTCTGCAGACAATCCTGAATTCGCCCTGCTTGAGTCACATGACTACACCTGGAACAATTGCTGTGCCCCCGCTCAGAAGTGGGCTGCTATGATTGGTCATGATGGGTCACATGCCTACACATGGACCAATTACTGTAGCCGAGGAACAAGTACCGTGGGCGGCCATTTTTGGCCATCTTCCCATGGTACGGCAGGTCTGTTATCAGAAGTGGGGGAGAGAGTGCTGGCAGGAACAGAGAGAGCCACCTGCCTCCCTCAGGGCCTTCTGACTGTGTTACTGCTCCATTCATTCTGCTGGGAATTGTCTCAATCTTGAGCCAGACTCTGCTTTAAGATCCCACTCTGGGCCAGGCGCAGTGGCTCACGCCTGTAATCCCAGCACTTTGGGAGGCCAAGGCAGGCGGATCACGAGGTCAGGAGATCGAGACCATCCTGGCTAACACAGTGAAACCCCATCTCTACTAAAAAATAGAAAAAATTAGCCAGGCGGGGTGGCGGGCACCTGTAGTCCCAGCTACTCGGGAGGCTGAGGCAGGAGAATGGCGTGAACCCGGGAGGCGGAGCTTGCAGTGAGCCAAGATCGCGCCACTGCACTCCAGCCTGGGCGACAGAGCGAGACTCTGTCTTAAAAAAAAAAAAAAAAAAATTCCCACTCTGGTTTTCTACAAACGCCAGAGCTGCCGGATGGGATTTACTCAGACCTGTTGCTGTAGTTCTTTTTTGTCATTATGCGATTTTGATCAGATTTAAAATGGTTTTTTAGTCATTGGTTTATGGTTGCCTCTGCCCATAAGCGTCGGAACCTCACCTGTCTTGATTACGATACAGCTCATGCTCAGTCCCCAGCGCCTATGAACAGTAGGTACACAGGTAGTGAAATGAATGAACATCCTCCAGAGAACAGGAGGAGCTGCACAGTTCTCATCTGTTCTCAATGAGTCCCTTTCTGTCACCCTCTCCTCTCCTTTGCCAGTCACCCTATAACCCTTCATGACAAGGCTCTGTTAGCGTAAGTACACCTTGGGTCCTGTTAGTATAAGTCCCTGGGTGTCAACCCAACACACACTGGAGGTTCCGAATCTCTGGGTGTTTTGAGTAAAGATGATCCTTTGGCAAAGCTAATGGAGTTCTGTCTGAGCTCAGAGGGACTGGGCGCCATGAGTGAGTGGTTGGCAATGTCTCCCGTGGCCACCTGCCATGTTGGGCATTCCTGGTCTTGCTCTGTGTCCTTTGCTAACCAGGGAACCTCTGTTTTTAAGACTGCAGCCCTGTCATCTGCTGGGATATCACAGTACACTCAGAATCCAGGACAAAATGGTGGGGCCAAATAAAACAACTGTGGGCGCTTAGGGAAGAAGGGAAGAAGGCTTAAGACAAATGTTTGTGTTTTTTTTTGTGTTTTTTTTTTTGAGACGGAGTCTCGCTGTCTCCCAGGCTGGAGTGTAGTGGCGTGATTTCGGTTCACTGCAAGCTCTGCCTCCTGGGTTCTCGCCATCCTCCTGCCTCAGCCTCCCGAGTAGCTGGGACGACAGGTGCCCGCCACCACGCCCGGCTAATTTTTTGTATTTTTAGTAGAGACGGGGTTTCACTATGTTAGCCAGGATGGTCTCGATCTCCTGACCTCGTGATCTACCCGCCTCGGCCTCCCAAAGTGCTGGGATTACAGGCATGAGCCACCGCGCCCGGCCAAATGGTTATTTTTTTTTTTCAAGTGCTCATGACCCACGTCAGCTGGGGTCATCTTATTTTTGGAAATTCAAACGAAATGGGCTTGAATCTTGTCTCACATGCCAGGGAAGACCCAACTATCCTCGGATTCTTTCCAGGGATTGGAGGTGAGGGGCGCACTTCTGTCTCACCCAGACACCTGAGGCTCTATAAATTCCTGCGTCCCCTTAATCAGTTCTGCTTGGGCACCTTTTTGCTGGCCTCAGGAGAAGGCTAGCCGTCATAGCCATCGGAGGCATGGAACGTGTGCAGTGACACAAGCCCATGCTGTTGCTGTCTTCAACTTTATAATAATTTTTGAACAAAGGGCTTCCCGTTTTCATTTTGCCCTGGGTCCTGCAAATTAGGTAGCCAGGCCTGCCCCTCTCAGGGGCTGTTCCCTTCCTTCCCCACATTGATTCTGCCCCAGTTCATCCATTCTCCCCAAATCCCATCCCACACAAGGATGTGGGTGCAGGAGACTTGGAAGCTTTGGGACAAAAGAAAATGTTGAGCTCTCAGACAAAGAAACAACATCAAGTGCGATGCTGCCTCTAAAATACTCAGTGGGAAAGAACACAGGCAAAAGCCGAGCGGTGTCGAACCTGGATGATGAATACTGGATGCTTGTTACATACCACATACTACTTTCAGGTATGGTGGGAAATTTCCATAATACATAGTGGTGGGGTTTTATTTATTTATTTACAGACAGGGTTTGGCTCTGTTGCCCAGGCTGGAGTACAGTGATGTGATCATAGCTGACTGTAGTCCCATCCTCTTGGGCTCAAGTGATCCTCTGGCCTTGGCCTCCCAAAGTGTTGGGATTACAGGTGTGAGCCATCACTCACAATTTAAACTCTATAATACAAAGTTTAAAAAGGCGGGCACAGTGGCTCACGCCTGTAATGCCAGCACTTTGGGAGGCCGAGGCAGGCGGATCACAAGGTCAGGAGATCGAGAACATCCTGGCTAACATGGTGAAACCCCGTTACTACTAAAAATACCAAAAATTAGCCGGGCGTGGTGGTGGGCGCCTGTAGTCCCAGCTACTCGGGAGGCTGAGGCAGGAGAATGGCGTGAACCTGGGAGGTGGAGCTTGCAGTGAGCTGAGATGGCGCCACTGCACTCCAGCCTGGGCGACAGTGCGAGAGTCCATCTCAAAAAAAAAAAAAAAAAAAAAAAGGCAATAAAGGCCAGGCACAGTGGCTCATGCCTCTAATCCCAACACTTTGGGAGGCTAAAGTGGAAGGATCACTTGAGCCTAGGAATTCAAGACCAGCTGGCAACATGGCAAGACCTCATTGTTACAAAAGATAAAAAATTAGCCAGGCATAGTGGCATGTGCCTGTGGTCCCAGCTACTCGGGAGGCTGAAGCAGGCAGATGGCCTGAGCTCAGGAGTTCAAGGCTGTGGTGAGCTGTGATTGCACCACTGCACTCCAGCCTGAGTGACAGAGCCAGACCCCGTTTCAAGAAAATAAAAACAAAAATTAAAAATAAAAAGGCAATATATTAAGACTTGCCCCTGGCAGTTCCTCAAAATGATAAACATAGGGTTGCCTTATGGCCCAGCAATTCTACTCTGACCTATATGCCTAAGAGAAATGAAAGCATCTGTTTACACAAAGACTAACACATGAATGTTCATTGCTGCATTATTCATAGCAGCCAAAAAGTGTAAACAACCCGTATGTCCATCACTGACAGTGGTTAAACAAAATGGTGGCCCATCCATAATACAGAATATGATTCAGCTGTAAGAAGGAATGAAGTTCTGATCCATGCTACAGTGTGGCTGAACCTTGAGAACGTCCTGCTAAGTAAAAGGATCCAGTCACAAAGGACCGCATTAATTGTGTGATTCCATTTATAGGAAATGTGCAGAATAAACAAATCCACAGGGGCAGAAAGTAGATTTGTGATTGCTCAGGGTTGGGGGCGTTGGAGGATTAGGATGCGGGAGGGTTCTGGGTTTCTTTTCTTTTTTTTTTTTTTTTTTGAGATGGAGTCTCACTCTGTTGCCCAGGCTGGAGTGCAATGGTATGATCTCGGCTCACTGCAAGCTCCGCCTCCGGGGTTCAAGCGATTCTTCTGCCTCAGCCTTCTGAGTAGCTGGGATTACAGGTACACGCCACCACGTCTGGCTAATTTTTGTACTTTTGGTAGAGACGGGGTTTCACCATGTTGGCCAGGCTGGTCTCAAACTCCTGACCTCAGATGATCCGCCTGCCTTGGCCTCCCAAAGTGCTGGGCCCAGGGTTTCTTTTTGAGTTGATGGTGTTCTAACATTGATTGTGATGGTTGTACAACTCTGTGTATACACTCAAAGACATTGAATCATACATGTTAAATGGGTGAAGTGTACGTTAAGTGAATAATCTCTCAATAAAGCTGTTTAAAAAAAGAAGTCACACCTTCCTCTCTGACCCTCCTGCTAGGAATCCTTTGGCTCCAGCTCTCTGCCCTCTTGGGAAATTCCCTTTCTCTTCTCCACCCTCTCCCTACACACACACACACACACACACACACACACACACACACCCCTGCCATTCTGTCTTAAGCTATTTTCAGCCGGGCATGGCGGCTTACGCCTGCAATTCCAGCACTTTGTGAGGCTGATGCAGGAGGATCACTTGAAGCCAGGAGTTCAAGACCAGCCTGGGCAACGTAGTGAGACCCCGACTCTATAAAAGAATAAAAAAATTAGCCGAGAGTGGCCGGGCACGGTGACTCATGCCTGTAATCCCAGCACTTTGGCAGGCTGAGGTCAGGAGATCGAGACCATCCTGGCTAACACAGTGAAACCCCGTCTCTATTGAAAATACAAAAAAAAAAAAAAAAAAAAAAAAAAAGCCAGGCGTGGTGGTGGGCGCCTGTAGTCCCAGCTACTCAGGAGGCTGAGGCAGGAGAATGACGTGAACCCGGGAGGCGGAGCTTGCAGTGAGCCGAGATCGCACCACTGCATTCCAGCCTGGGCGACAGAGCGAGACTCCATCTCAAAAAAAAGAAAAAAAAAAGCCAAGAGTGATGTTCATCTGTAGTCCCAGCTACTCAGGAGGCTGAGGCAGGAGGATCACCTGAGCTCAGGAGTTTAAGGCTGCAGTGAGCTATAATGGCACCAGTGCACTCCAGCTTGGGCAACAGAGCAAGACACTGATTATAAAAAAAAAAAAAAAAAAAGATTTTTATTCTCAGTTTAAAGAATGGCTTCCACAGGCAAAGTGAACCACTGAGGTATTTTTCTGAACTACCACACTTTCTTTCCTCTTTAAAAGTTACTCAGTTGACAGCTACTAAAATTACAATGTTGAAATCCCCAGGGTATTCTATTGTGGCTGTCACCAAGAAATCCTAATAGATCTAATTTCCAAGAGCTGCAGAATTCCCTCAAAGAAGGAGGAGCCAACCTAACCTCTCCAGAGACAGTGGTCATCTGTTCCGAAACATAACTCTGTCACCTCACAGGTGGGGAGAAAAGAACGTTGCCAGGGCCAAGTTCATGATGTTCTAACTGAAGGATAAGCTTTTGCTCTGGAACAGGAGTCAGGAAATACGGCCTGTGGGCCAAGTTTGGCCCACTCCTTGTTTTTGTGAATAAAGTTTTATTGCAACACACAGCCACATCCGTTTGTTTGTGTACTATCTGTGGCTACTTTTGAGTTAAAATGCCAGAGTTGGTCGGGCACGGTGGCTCACACCTGTAATCCCAGCACTTTGGGAGGCCGAGGGGGGTGGATCACGAGGTCAGGAGATGGAGACCAGCCTGGCCAACATGCTGAAACCCCTATCTCTACTAAAAATACAACAATTAGCTGGGCGTTGTACCCTAGAACTTAAAGTATAATAATAAATAAAAAAATAAAACACTGAGACAAAAAAAAAATTAGCTGGGCATGGTGGCGGGCACCTGTAATCTCAGCTACTCAGGAGGCTGAGGCAGGAGGATCACTTGAACCAGGGAATCGTAGGTTGCAGTGAGCCGAGATTGCGCCACCACACGCCAGCCTGGGCAACAGAGCAAGATTCCGTCCCTCCCAACCAAAAAAAAAAGGCAGAGTTGAGCAGCTGCAACAGAGACTGTATTGCCTGCAAAGGCTAAAATCTTCACAATGTGGCCTTTTACAGAAATGGGCTGCTGACCCTTGGAATGGAAGATCCAGGCCTGAGCCCCAGTTCCTCACATGCCGGGTATGTGGCCTTGGACGTCAGTGCATCTCTCTTTCCTCATCAGTAAGCTGGAGATACCAATAATCCCTTTTTATATGTTGCTTATGCAACTGAAATGACTGACTTCATACAGGTGCAGCGCCTAGTACATACAAAGCATTCAATACATATCGATGGTTATGATGTTATTTAGAAAGTGAGGACAGCTTCTGCTTCACAGCATTATTTGAAACAATGGATCATACCTGTGCAAACAGCTGGCAAAGAACATTATAAAAATATATTGGCCAGGTGTGGGGGCTCACGCCTGTAAACCCAGCAGTTTGGGAGGCTGAGGCGGGCAGATCATTTGAGGTCAGGAGTTCGAGACCAGCCTGGCCAACATGGTGAAACCCCATCTCTACTAAAAATACACAAATTAGCTGGGCACGGTGGTGTGTGCCTATAATCCCAGCTACTGAAGCTGAGGTGGGAGAATCACTTGAACCCTGGAGGCAGAGGTTGCAGTGAGCTGAGATGGCACCACTGCACTCTAGCCTGGGCAACAGACTGAGACACTGTCTCAAAAAAAAAAAAAGTTTTGTTATAAATATCTTCTAGGCTTTTGAAACCATTCTTTGCTTCTTAGTACCATTTAGGAGTTTTGAGTGTCAATAAACTTCCAACTTCAGAGGAAAAGGAATCTTTCCTTCAAACCCTCTCATTAACCAATTCAGAAGACCATAACCCATGACCCCTGGCTGGGTCTTGAACCTGCCTGAACTAACATCCAAGTATTCTTTGGGCTATACTCTGCCTCTTCCCCACTATAGGCACTCGAGAAGCCAAGCCCATATGCCTTTATTTTTAATTTAATTATTTTGAGATGGAGTCTCACTGTCACCCAGGCTGGAGTGCAGTGGTGAGATCTCGGCTCACTGCAACCTCCGCCACCAGGTTCAAGCGATTCTCATGCCTCAGCCTCCTGAGTAGCTGGGATTACAGGCGCACGCCACCAGGCCAGGCTAATTTTTGTATTTTTACTAGAGACGGCATTTTACCATGTTGGCCAGGCTGGTCTCAAACTCCTGACCTCAGGTGATCCACCTGTCTTGCCCTCCCAAAGTGCTGGGATTACAGGTGTGAGCCACCGCGCCTGGCCTCCACATGCCTTTAAATACTTGTGTTACCTCTGAACCCCCCACCAGAGCCCGTTAAGCAGGAATCTACTCCAAGGTGTGGGCACACAGGTTTGGGGCAGGGGGAGGGTCTTAGGGGACCCTCAGGGGCTGTCCAGAAGTCTACTGGGGGATGGAGGGTGGTGTTCGGGATGATTGACATCTGACACTGCACCACTGACTTGCTTCCCTGGAAGGTGTCATTTAAGTAGGTTGGGTCCGGGGAGATAGAGCAGTCTCCGATTCACTGGCTTCATGTTAAAACTATTAACTGAACATCTAACACAGACCAGGCCCTGAGGATACAGCAATGAAGGAGTGATGCCCTCTGCCCTTAGCAACTGCCCCGCCTGCCTTTTAATGTTGGCAATTCAGCCCCATAAGGAGTCTTCACATTCTCCCAGGATCTCAGTCCTACTACAAAACACCATCCTGATGACTTGGAAGGTGACTGTGGGCCTGGCTGTGTGATATATGGCTGGTAGGAGTTAAGAGTGACAGCTCTGGAGTACTTTAGATCAGGGCAGGATTGGCTACATAATTTGCAAAATGAAAATGTGAGGCCCCTTGTTCCAAAGTTAGTAAGGCTGGAGCAAAATTGTTAAGGTGGCACTATCACAGCTCACTGCAGCCTGGACATCCTGGGCTCAAGCCAACCTACCCCCTCAGCCTCCTGAGTAGCTGGGACTACCGGGGCGTGCCACCATGCCTGGGTCATTTTTTTGTTTTTGTTTTTAAAGAAATGAGAGTGTGGCTATGTTGCCCAGGCTGGTCTGCAACCCCTGGTCTCAAGCAATTCCCATGCCTTGGCCTCAAAGCAGTCAACTAAGCGTGGGTCCCAGCCCCTGGAAACCAGCCCTGCATCTGAGGTCACACTGCTTGCCTGCTGGTTAACCTTAAATACCTCTCTTCACCGGCCTGAGCCTCAGTTTCCCCAGCCTCAGATGTCAATTAGGCTCACCTGCAGGTTGGCTGTGGCCATTAGGTGAGATGAGGGCCTGTAAAGCGTTTCGCACAGAGGACAGGCTCGGCCACATTACTGATGTTCCTGGCCTGCTGTGGCTGGCGCATTTCATCTTACAATAATAGTTCACATTTATTATTCTTATATAATAGCTAAGACTTATATAGCACATCATCAATGTCAGGCGCCGTGCTTAGTTCTTTACAGACGTTCATGTATTTCATCCTCACCACATCCCTATGCTGTGCCCTAATATTCTAGTAACTGTAGATGGGGGAACTGAGGCACAAAGAGGGCAAGTATCTTGGCAGAGGTCACCCGACCACTCAGTAGAAGAGTCAAGTTCAAACACAGGACAGCTGGCTCCCAGGTCTCTATTCTTAACCCTACCTATTGTTGGGGCTCAGAAAACGGTACCCCAAAATATGGCTCTTTGATGTGCTCAACTGAAGCAGCCTCAAGGTCTCTCCAACACCACCCCCCCGCCCCCACCCCCAATCCTGTTTCTCCATCCTCTGTCCGTCCCAAAGCATAGGAGGAGCCTGCTATCTGGAGTTCCCTTATCTACCTGGAAACCACACCCGCCAAAGAGGAACACAATTGCCTTCGACTCCTTCACTGAAATTTCATTAACCAGAGATGAAAACTCATATCACAGAGGAAGAGAATGAAATGAAACACCACACCTGGAGTGCAGACGGACTTCATCCCAAACTATCATCTGTCCTCCGATCCCATTCGACTCCCTAAAGGAATTATTCACTGACCGTTGTCCCAGCATCAGACCCATTCATTCCTCCTAAAAATCATTTACTACCCCTGAGAGTGGCCGCATTTCCCCCATCTCCCTTCTATGACGGAAGTATTTATTTATATTTTTATATTTTTTTGAGACAAGGTCTCAGTTACCCAGGCTGGAGTGCAGCAGCGTGATCTCGGCTCACTACAACCTCTGCTTCCGGGGCTCAAGCGATCCTCCCACCTCAGCCTCCCGAGTAGCTGGGAGCACAGGTGTGCACCACCAAGGCTGGCTAATTTTTTTTTTTTTGTATTTCTGGTAGAGACAGGGTTTCACCATGTTTCCCAGGCTGGTCTCAAACTAGTGACCTCAAGCAATCCACCTGACTCGGCCTCCCAGACTGCCAGGATTACAGGTGTGAGCCACTGTGCCCAGCGATGGACTTCACTGGGTTATTGGATAATCATTCTCCCGCCACTCCCCTGGCGTTTATGCATGGTGAATAAATTCATATGCCTTTTTCTTTTTTTTTTTTTTTTTTGAGATGGTGTCTTGCTCTTGTCGCCTAGGCTGGAGTGCAGTGAGGCGATCTCGGCTCACTGCAAGCCCCGCCCCCCGGGTTCAGGCCACTCTCCTGCCTCAGCCTCCCGAGTAGCTGGGACTACAGGCGTGCACCACCTCGCCTGGCTAATTTTTGTATTTTTAGTAGAGACGGGGTTTCACCGTGTTAGCCAGGATGGTCTTGATCACCTGAGCTCGTGATCCTCATGCCTCGGCCTCCCAAAGTGCTGGCATTACAGGCATGAGCCACCACGCCCGGCTCATATGCTTTTTTCTCCTATTAATCCACTTGTTGTCAGTCATTTCTTTGGTAAAAACTTTTAAAAAATAAATATAAAATAGGGACAAGGTCTCACTATGTTGCCCAGGAACATTTTGAACTCCTGAGCTCAAGTGATCCTCCCACCTCGGCCTCCCAAAGTACTAGGATTACTGGCGTGAGCCACCATGCCTGGCCTGTCAGTTATTTTTAGCAAACTTTTAGCGGGTGAAGGGGCAGCCTTCCCTTGCCTCCTATGCTATGTGTTCTGGGAGTTGACTCATGACAGACATGTATGCATGATCCCTTCCTGAGATCCTAACACCAAGTATTCAGCGTGAAATTTCCATCGTAACGTGGGATTATTTCTTTTTTTTCCTTTCTTTCTTTTTTTTTTTTTTTTTTTGAGACGGAGTCTCGCTCTGTTGCCCAGGCTGGAGTGCAGTGGCTCAATCTCCGTTCCCTGCAAGCTCCGCCTCCCGGGTTCACGCCATTCTCCTGCCTCAGCCTCCCGAGTAGCTGGGACTACAGGCGCCCGCCACCACACCCGGCTAACTTTTTTGTATTTTTAGTAGAGACGGGGTTTCACCATGTTAGCCAGGATGGTCTCGATCCCCTGACCTCGTGATCCACCCGCCTTGGCCTCCCAAAGTGCTGGGATTACAGGCGTGAGCCACCGCACCCGGCTGGATTATTTCTTTGATTCTTTTGTCTGTCTCCCCTGACTCAACTGTGAGCCCCATGCGGGCAGGGGCTGTCTGGCTCCCTGCTGTACCTCCAGCACCTGGCACCCAGCTCCGCACACAGTAGGGCCTCAGCAGCCATCTATCCAGGGAAGGAAGGGCAGAAGCAGTGTCTAGCCACAGCAATCTGACCCAGAAGCAACAATCACAGCTCTCTTGAGTTTCTAGCCTGCGTGATTTACAAGCTTGTTTTGGGCAGGACTAGGTGGCATGCACCTGTAGCCCAACCACTTTGGGAGGCCGAGGCAGGACGATCGCTTGAGCTCAGGAGTTCGAGGCTGCAGTGAGCTTTGACTGCACCGCTGCAATCCAGCCTGAGTGACAAAGAGAGACCCTGTCTCAATTAAAAAAAAAAAAAAAAAAAAAAAGGTTGTTTTGGGGGAATCTCCAACAGCTCAGGAAACCATCTCATCGGCTCCAGGCTTTTCTCACTTGAGGTCCCCGACACTGTGCAGGTGGAAAGATTTAAGGGGCTCCTGAGAGCCCAGCCCCCATCCTGGCAGGCTGCAGGGGGTGGGTGGGGGGTGCGTTCTGGCAGCAGGGCCGGCAGCTGTCTGCAGGCCTCTCAGTGCCTGCTCTAGCTGGCCAGCGGGGGCCCGCTGCCACCCCCCACCCCATGATGCAGCAGAAAGTGAAACCGCAGTTGGCCCCTGCCGGCTGGGACTGATCACCCATGGTTTCCCTGCAAAACCAGAGTCCCAGGGGGCTGGTGGGCAGCTGGCTCCCAGGTCCGGCACAGTGAGGCCTGTCAGGCAAGTGCCCCTAGAGGCCAAGGGAGGTGCCCTGGCCAGAAAGGAGGGTGCTGAGTCATCGTGACCCTAAAATGAGAGAGAAATCTGAGCTATGGATCAATGCAGGAGTGGGGGGGTGAGGGGTCCCAGTGGTGTCGGTGAGCAGGGAAGGGTGGTTTCCCGACCCCCAAAAGGAAGATGTGTGACACCCAGTTTTGTCATGCTGGAGCCCTCTACAGATCTGAACTGGCAACTCCCCCATCTCCCCCCACCCCTCCCCACACCGACTACAGGAGTGCGGAAAATCCCTGAGATAAACAAGAATTCTCTAAAAGTGGACCTCTGAAACTTTACACACGACTTTCTGATTTCTGTCCCATCCTCAGGGCAGCTGTAGTTGCTTAATATTTTTCTTCCAAAACACCCACTCTTTTTTGTTTAACTGACATCAATTGATGGACAAAAAAAGGGCCCCTGTCTCCCGACCCTAAATGGAAAACCAACCAATTGCCTGAAGTACAAATCAGCGGTGCAAAGAATACCTACTAGAATAATTTTCACCTTTAGCCGGCGCCGCTTAAAATCAGAGATGTGCAAATCAGACTTGGGAGTCTGAGTTACAGGTTTCATGCCTGAGGAGCTGGTGGCTCAGAGAGACTGACTCACTTGTCCCGGGTGACACAGCAAGAGAGGCGCAGAGCTCGGGCTGGAATGCAGGCCTGGCTGATCCCAGAAACCCAGGCTCAGTGCTGGGCTGCCGTCTCCCCACCCATGAATTCCTCTGTGTGTATTCATATTATTACCTTCCATGTTTAATGCATGGACTCTCCAATTTTCAAAGCACCTTCAGAGCTTATACAACGTTAGAGCTTTTTATATATAACATTGGCTACATCCAAGAACCCTTTGAAGCCAGAGCAGGGGGTGCTGCCCCTCCCTTGGTGTATGGGGAAACTGAGGCAGCGAGCGGGGAAAGTGTTCTGTCTCAGGGAGCTAGCAGGAAAGCCAGGACTGCCCCAGGGCCCCCTGCCAAGGCGATGATCCCGGAGGCCCTGGCTGCAAGGACCAGGCCTCGTCAAACAGGTAACACTTGTTTCTTTCCGCTTTCCCTACCTCCCCCTACAACCCCCCAGAGCAAATGCTGACGCTGATGGGGAGCCACAGCTGTACTCCTTCCCAGGCCGGATCTCAGCGTCTGCCCCTGGAGGGCAAAAGCACGTTTAGCAACCAGTGTCTGCGCATGGCGTCTTTCAATTTTTCACAGTGATAACCGGTTTTGAGCACAAGAAGGCATCTACCAGGGACCCAGAAGGCGCTACAGCGGAAGAGTTTGGGGAACAGCTTTCTCTCTTCTTTGAGTTGCTGGAGGAACTCCGAGCTGATGTCTTTCTGGCCCAGGGACCCCCGAGGAATACTGCAAGAGCAATAAGGATTTTTAGGGGCATTATGATAGTGGAATGGAAACACATCTGCCCCCAAAAGTCCCTCATTTTCCCTGCGGTAACGAACCAGCTGGCAGGAAGTGGTAGCTCTCAGAGCACCAAGAGCCAAAACTAAAAAGGAAAAAATGTACAAAGTTAGAGCAAACTTTAAACAAGTGAGCGCTTTCATGGTGTACGGCGGCTCCGTGCAGACTCACGAAAGGGACCTCATCTTCTCAATAATTGGCTAAATAGGTCTCAGTGCAGCAGCTTCCACACAGACGTGCTCAGAAAACCACAGATCTGGAATCCCAGAGCAGGTTCCCAAAATGGATACAAGGATTATTCCCTAAAGCCAGGCGCATCATAGGAGACGTGACGTTTCCCCCAAACTTCAGATGACTGTTCCAGACCCTCATTAATGATCTAAGTTATCCTTCAACACCTCCTCCTCTGGAATGGGAGAAACTTAGTCCCCTTGGAAATGCTGATGAAAATACCTGGTTTCCACAACACGGACAGAAGGACTAAGGCTTGGGTAGGGGAGCTGAGTGGTTATCGCTGGTGGTGCAAAAGGGGCAAACCGGCTGGCGTGGGGGCTCACGCCTGTAATCCCTGCACTTTGGGAGGCCAAAGTGGGAGGACTGCTTGAGGCCAGGAGTTTGAGAACAGCCTGGGCAACACAGTGAGACCCCCCCCAAGTCTCTGCAAAAAATAGCCAGGTGTGGTGGTGTGTGCTTGTAGTCCCAGCTACTCAGGAGGATGAGGCTTGAGCCTAGGAAGTTCAGGCTGCAGTGAGCTGTGCTCACCACTGCACTCCAGCCTGGGCAACAGAGTAAGACACTGTCTCAAAAAAAAGGGGACGGGTTTTACTGCTAAGGTCCCAGGTGCCATCTCTTGGTTCAGCCACTAAGATCTGAGGACTAAGGAGTTCAGGGTGTCTTCCCCAAGGCATATAACCTTTGAGGCCCTGCAGGTGGGTGCCCCCTGTGCCAGCCAGCACCCTCAGAGCCAGGAAAGGGTTAACCCCTCCACATGGCTGACACCAGAGGAGGAGCTTACTACGCAGCCTGGGATATCACACTGGGCCATCTCAGAGAGGAGAGGCCTCTGTGAGTTCTGTGAATGGAAGTGGATTCACTGCCTTCAGATTGAGAACGGGGTGAAAAGGCATCCCCACACAGAACCGACGCCCCAGTCGCTAGCTGGCTCCTTGGCACCCGTCGCATGGCCCCGAAGCTCTGGCAGGGACTCTGGGCACCTGTACCAGTGAGCACCCGGCCATCTCGGCCAGGTCTGTGAGGGAGCGATTCTACCCTTGCCATGTGACAGCCGGCAACTAGGGCCCAGATCTCTTCTTTCAAGTAGCACCTAAAATATTCTCCGGGTGAACCTAGGGCTAAATACGGCATGGCCTACAGGTGCCGGGTCTGGACCTTTTAACGCCATTCTAAGATACGATCGAGAACCCACGAGGCCTTTGGTAGCCTGGAGTCCAGTTACTGGGGCCAAATGGGAGTCCCACGGGTTTGGCTGACTCAGGGCTGGGTGCAACTTCCTGGAGCAGGCACATGTTGGTGCCAGGGCAGAGAGGCTGCAGACAGTTTTCTTGTGTGTTTGAACCCAGAATGCCAGCCCAGTTCTCACTCTGGGCCGACCCCCAAGGTGGCTTAGTTGGTGGCCCCTTTTTCTGTCCACCTGGCCCACTTCTTTCCACTTCCAGCCTGCAGCCCGGCCCTTCCTGGCCTAGGTTTTCCTCCCAGCCTGATCAAAGCAAAAGGCTCAGCTCCCAGGTGGGAGGCCTCACGGAGCTGGAGAAGAGACCAGCAAACACATGCACGGTAACTCAGATGTGTTATGTGTTGTCTTGCTGGCTGGGAGCTACGCCTCCTAGGCCCACCCCAAGTCGAAGGATCGCAGCCCTGGTGCTCGAGAGCAAGGGCTTGGGGCTGGGCTGCAAAAGCTCAGCTTTGCCTCTGAATCTTCTAGAACCACGTTTGCACTCACACAGGACAGATTTGCTCTGAGCCTGTGGGATAGCCTCATCTGTTCCCCTTTGAGCATTTGGAAAGCAAAGTGGGGTTCTGCCCTCGCCAGAGCCCACAGGGTCACCAGGCTATTAAACCCTGCAGAGTCTCTGGGGAGGCTGACTTTGAGAGCCAAATACCCCATCTTCTGGCTGAACTGCTGCAGGCTTCGTCTCGGGAGGAAAGACCCCCAGGCACCTGTCTGGACTTGTCTGGGCACCAGTAGTGGCTCTGAGGCCACATCTGGGCCTCGGCTGGCAGAGGTCTGGGCTGTCTTGGGCACAAATGCCAATGCCAACAGGCCCAGCACTGATCTCACACGATTCCAGCAAGAGAGCCTAGATTTTTGCACATCTCTGAGAAAACTGTCATACCACACCGCACAGCTAACCTTAGGCGCAACCAGCCACTAACTCCTCTCCCTGCCCAGGCGAAGTCCCCTTTGCTGCAGTGGGGCAGCATTTCAGGGACACGGAGAAAGAAGTTTGCTTTGTGGTTCCGTAAACTCAGACGGATGATATAAAATCAGAAACCTTATTTTAAAGCTTGGTAAATATGTGCATATGTCCCCTACAACTGGGGACGCTGGAAAGGCAGCATCTGAACACTGGCTGCTTTGAAAAGAGGTCATGAGAAGGGCAGAAGGGGTCAGCTGGGCATGGGGTGATGGAGGGAACCCCAAGTCCACTCCTAAATTCTTTCAACGTCCATCTCTTTCCCTGAAAAGTCGGCTTGGCTACTAGGCCTGAAAAGTATGTTGTTTATATCATGTTTGTGAGCGTCAGGGTTTATTTTCACCTGCTCCAGATACAAGAAGCAAAAAGAACTCTACATTTTTCTGTGTTTGGGGTGCTCAGGCGAGAAAGAAAATGCCTGCTTAAAGTAACTGATCAGCAATGTTTTGTTTGTACACGCACTTTATTCTGGTGAGTGATTTTAAGTACCAAGTTTGCCTTAACTTTTCACTGCACTCATTTTTATCCTCATGGCTAAAATAGCTGTATTTGCTCCACAATCAAAATTAAAGGAGGGTGAGCTGATCGTTAGGAGGCTATAGTTGATCTGGCAAGAATTTCCATCTTTCTGTTCATAACGTTAAGTTGGGGGGTTGCTGGGAAGGGAAACAGAGAGAGTGTTCCCTTGGAGGGACTTTTCCAACTTTCATTGGTTTGAATCACCAACATATATTTTATTTTTAAGGAAGTATCATATTCATTGCAGAACCACCTCTAAATATTTTACTCCTGGCCATACCGTATTCTTTTCTATTGAAACATCTTTTTTGCCTCTCTGAGATCAGCTATGGCTTGGGGATTGCTAAGAACAAAATTCAAAGTTGCTTGTTTTTTGTTTTTTTTTTTCTTAAATCCACACTTCTTTGGGGGTTAGCGGGGGTGGGGAGGGAACAGCAACTGCTTAATGAAGTTTCTCACACAGAGGCAAAAAGAGAAAAGCCAAAATATATTCAGTGTATCCAGCAGTTCCATGCTGAATTTTTTTTTTCCTTATTGGTTGAGGGGGGTGTGTAGGAGGGTGGTGGGAAGGATCTGAAAAGAAGCTGTGATTCTTTGCTGAATTAATGATGACTTCTCACTGCAAAATGCTGATTTATAATCTCTTCACCATACTAGACTGTTTCCAGACTCAGAGGGGGGTTAAAGTTTGTTAAATGTATTCATAATTACATGCACAGTTTCAGACGGCTGAATATAAGTAATGCTTGTGCTGTTGCGAATGCTCACCATTAAAGCAGAAATTGTTTCACATTTAGCACTAAATTCTGTCTGATTTTGCACACTTAACAATTCAGTAATTTTAACATTCGGCTTCGTCGCCTCCATTATAGCTCAGTATCTTGGAGAAACAGTCAGTGTTCCGGCCTCGTTAATTCATGTAAAACACCCTATTTGTAGAAGTATCATTAAAGGCTAATTTGATGAGATATCCTTATTTAGCAAAGCAAATAGGATTTGACAGTCAGCTCCGGGTGGCGATTTAGCAAAGCACAAACACAATTCACAACGTGACAATTTCCCATCCACGCGCCTCGCTGGAATTGTGGACTCCTGAAAATTGTGCTGTTTCATCGTGTCCCATACTAAAGAGAAAGAACTCTGGAAGTAAAGAACTGTTTTTGCCAAGGCAGCACAAATGTCATCTGTGTGTACATGTGCCATGTCTTTCAAATCCTAAATCTTGTATCAAGAACGCTGTGTTCAAAGGTTTTTTCCAGGTACAGCTCACTTTTCTATTCCCTGCTATGTAGACTTAATTTAAATCTAGACTTGCAAATAACTTAGGATGTGTGAAAGTCTATATAGGTTACAACTATATAGGGTGTGTGTGTGTGTGTGTGTACACACAACTGAAGGTTAATGTTCTGCGACGGGGATTTATACACACTACCCTTGCTTTAGAGACTTCCCCTGAACGTATTATCCAGCCTTCTATAAAACGCCTGGCTGGGTGCAGTGGCTCATGCCTGTAATCCCAGCACTTTGGGAGGCTGAGGTGGGCGGATCACGAGGTCAGGAGATCGAGACCATCCTGGCTAACACGGTGAAACCCCGTCTCTACTAAAAATACAAAAAAATTAGCCGGGCGTGGTGGCGGGCGCCTGTAATCCCAGCTACTCGGGAGGCTGAGGCAGGAGAATCGCCTGAACCCGGGAAGCAGAGGTTGCAGTGAGCCAAGATCGCGCCACTGCACTCCAGCCTGGTCAGAGCCTGGACAGAGCGAGATTCTGTCCCCAAAAAACAAACAAACAAACAAACAAAACAAAACAGAACAAAAAGAACGCCTTCAACAGCAAAGAGTTGCAAAGAAATGTTG
Source organism: Homo sapiens (assembly GCF_000001405.40). Taxonomy (NCBI): domain Eukaryota; kingdom Metazoa; phylum Chordata; class Mammalia; order Primates; family Hominidae; genus Homo; species Homo sapiens. The sequence continues at coordinate 14,304,506 of NC_000016.10, read as the reverse complement.
CAATTCCAGGTGGAAGCAAACAGCTGGTTTCTCCTAATTTAGCAAACGTAAAGACAAATCTAATGTCGTTACAATTCATCATTTCAGGAGCGCCTTATTTGGGGGCTTCAAACACTTTGCCACAATTGACATCCTACTAATTCCTTTCCAATCCAATACTGTCCCTTAAACCACTGTGGGGGTGGTCAGGGGGAATGTACTTTCTCCTCCTTGTATCGTTTTTCGGCCTCCCAAGGAGAGAAGCCCTTGGAAAACACAGTAGGTTCGGCAAACTGAGAACACACACTTATAAGAATACCGCCCTCGAAGGGACCTTTTAGTTTTATGGAAAGTAGCAAACCTCCCCCTCTTTCCCCGCCCCCCCGCCAGCCGGGTTTTGGACGCGCTCCCTGGGGGTGGTAGCTCTCTGCCCTCACCCTCCCGAGACTGCCGGGGCCTGAGTCCCTCGCTGTCCAGAATGACCCCAAAAGCGGGACTTTGAGGGCCAGTTGGATAAAACATAAACTCATCTCGCCCTCAAAACCCCGATTCTGAGACCACAGCCTCCAAAAGCCTCTTTTCCCAAGAAGTGAGTCCCCATTCACGGCTGACAGCACCGGGGCAGGCCGCCTTTGAGGCAAGAGTTTGGAGAACCGGGATCACTGAAGGAATCGTTACTGGGTGTTCCCTCAGGGCGGCGGTTCATCTCACCAAAATGCCAGGGGGTCGCTGTGGGAGGAGGGGACATTTGCCACACCATGGCTGAGGGCAAGAGGATCGCTTGATCCCGGGGTGTCTCTTCCCTCCCGGAGCAATCACCAATCTCGCCCAGCAAACAGGCCTAAAAGCTTCCCGGACAACACGAGGGGTGCCCCAAACGTCCCTTAGCAGCGGATAAATCGGGTGTCCGAGGTGCCTCGTACAGTTCCCCCCACCCCATCTCCAGCTAAATAAAGTTTGGTTATTTGTGTCCTTAATCGTCTCTCATTAAAGTCAAATTTGCTGCGCGCCCAAGTTGGGGGAAATGATTTCCATTTTAATAGCTTAATTAGCCTCTAGGTTCTGGAAAGGCCACTCCCCCACGCACCTTTTCTCCTCATTTTAACCCCCCTCCCTTTTTCACAACTTCTCCTAAAAATAAATTATAAATATGGATGTGTCCTCAGAGGACATAAGCGGCGCATTCCAACGCTCCGCTTGGTGGGGATTGGAAGCAAAGAGAAACCAGAAACGCCACTCCCCCCACCCCCAAATCAAAATGCCTTTTTCTTTTTTTTTCTAACTTCTTTTTCCTAACTTGGTGTTGTCTCGGGCACAGACACCCCGCTCCGCACCCCGGAACCTAGTTTTTTTGCCCCCGTCCTGCAGAAGCTAAAGCCAACGCGCCAGGGCTGCCTGCTTCTCGGGGGGAGGGAGCTGACAACTTTAGGGGGCGGCGGTAACTCTCTGGGGACGGTGGTTCCCGGCTAGTCCGGGATCCCCGGGGCCCGGCCCCCGCAGGCGCCGCCGCCCATGCCAGCGGGGCTCGGGCGCACGTGGAGCGGCGGGCGCGGCCGGCCTGCTCCGCGCGCGGCATTGAGATCGGGGTCACGCAGCGAGTCAGTTTCCCGAGCGGGCTTTCCGGGGTGGGGGCGGGGACGCGGACGCTCCACCGCCTCGTCAATTTCCAAGCCCAGGCACTAGGGAGGCTGGGGGCGGCCTCGCCCCCTTCCTACCTCCCGGCTTCACACGCCCCTCTGGGGAGCGGGGGAGGGGTCCGAGGGGGAGCCGGGGTGGCGGCAGCGGCGGCAATCGCAGCCCAGACAAGCGTCTCGCGCCGAGTCCCGAGAGAACCGCGCGCTCCCCCGCCGCCACCTCCCCTCTCCCGTTCCCATCCACCCCGCAGACAGCCGCCCCACACCCCTTCGGCCCTGGGGGCTTGGGCACCCACCTGCCGCGATCCCTGCCTTGGCTGGCGGAAGGTGCCAGGCGGGAAGAAGGGGAGCACTCACCGCCGCTGCCGCCTCCGGGGGTGCACGGGCCCCCCCACCCAGGGCTGCGCCTTCCCGGGCTCCGGGCAGGCGTGCGCCGGGCGGGGGGCGCCCCGCGGGCCCTGCAGCCTCCGCCTCGATTGGAGCCCAGCCTTAAATCCTCCACCGTGGAGAAGAAGGGTACTTCCAGAAAAAAAATCCGCCCCTCCCCAGACGAGATCCAAGTGATGGGCGGGGAGCGTAGAAAATCCTTTTCTGCAGAGAGCGCGCAGCCGACGGGGCTGCACCCGGCCTCCACGGTCCGCTGCCGCCACAAAGCCGCGCCCCCGCCCCCCCCAACCCCCCAGCGCCCTATGGCCGGCCCGGGGCGGGGGCTGGGCCGGCCCGGGGTTGGCCGCGCTGGGGAGGCGGCGGCGGCAGCGGCCCAGGCGGCGGGGCGGCTCCTCCCCGGCCAGGCAGAGAGGGCGAGAGCCTGGAAGCCTAGCGCGCCCGCCCGGGTGGGGGTGGGGGTGGGGGTGGGGGTGGGGGTGGGGGCGGGGGCCGGGGTGGGGGGGCGCCTTCCTAGAAACGCTCGCCAAATATAGTCAGCGGATAGGGGCATTCCTAGAAATGCGGCGGCGACGTCAGCCTCGACCCTGGGGGCGGGGGGCAGAGCCCGGGGTGCTTCAAACAGGGGGCACGGAGGAGGGGGAAAGAGTCCCCACTTCCAGTACCACCGCAGCCCACAGACGGAACCGAGGCCGGGCTTCCCTCCCGAGGGGCGTGCTGGAGTCCTCCAAAGGCGCTTGAGGTATCCGGGAGCTAGGGGCGCATCCACTGAAGATTCAGACCCGGTCTGTCCCCCTCTTTCGGGAACACCCAGTGCCAATGCCAGCTGGCGCTTTTGGCCCTTCCCCCAATTTTCAGCACCCCCCGCTTCCCCCGCCGCACAAACACACACAACCCCCGTGAACAAACAGTAAAAGTAGGAGCAGCATCAGGCAGGTTCCCCAAGCCTCTTACACCCACCCCATGACGGTCTCTCACCTCCTCTGGAATGGCTGGAGTCCCCTGGATCCCCCAGGGTTGAAATTGCACAGACACACTGTGTTCCCAAGAACTCCCCCAAATACCAACCCAGCTTCGGGCCAGAAAATAAAGTTGTGCTTCCTCCTCCCCAGTCCAATGTCACTTTGTTGCTGCTTCCGGGGCTAAGGGCTCTTGGAGAGGTGCTGGAACTTGGGGGTAGGGCACAAGGGTGTCCCCTCCACCTGGCAAAGATCTGGCCTCTGGTGCTGACACTCTCACCAGCCATAGCTGTAATACTTTTCATTTCCCGCAGTAAGGGAGATGCCCCCCCCCAGCAGCTCATCCCCTTCCTAAAATCTTCCCCCACCCCCACACCCCTGCCCAGGGACCCCCAAATCCATTGCAGAAGTGGCCCCTCTTTCGCAAAGAGAATCCACATAACTGAGACATGACTTGTCCCTCTCCACCGCCCAGCCTCTCTGCGCGAAAACGTGACTGGCCTGAACCTCCCAGGATCATAAAAAATGTATTTTGCTGTCCTCTGTTGGCCAACACAGGTCACGCTCATAAAACACACCACCCAACTTAGCGGGCAGTCCTGATGCCACAGAGGAGGTCCCAGGGACCCCAGCCAAGGGGAGCGAGCTGGCCTCCTCTCCTTCTGCCTGTGGTGTCCCTGCCCTCTCCATCCTCTTTCTTTCTTTTTCTTTTTTTTTTTTTTGTTTGAGACAGAGTTTCACTCCTCTTGCCCAGACTGGAGGGCAGTGGCGCGATCTCGGCTCACTGCAACCTCTATCTCCCAGGTGTAGGCGATTCTCCTGCCTCAGCCTCCAGAGTAACTGGGATTACAGGCATGCGCCACCATGCCCAGCTAATTTGTGTATTTTTAGTAGAGATGGGGTTTCACCATGTTGGCCAGGCTGGTCTCAAACCCCCGACCTCAGGTGATCCACCCGCCTCGGCCTCCCAAAGTGCTGGGATTATGGGTCATCTTTCTTATCTTGCAGCCGACGCACAGGACTTGCTCATGTCCCCTTTTCCTCATTGGGCCTTAATTCCAGAAATCTGGAGGGATTTCTTCCTTGCTCTAGGGGAGGCAAGGAAGGCTGTGTTCACTCTGGACCCGGGGTCGGTGGGGCACGGGGGACCTTGGGATGGTTTTTCCAATAGCAACTTGGAGAGGAAATGTAGCACAAAAGGCAACAGCTGATCACTGATAATAACAGTCCCCATTCCCCCCCACCCCGAGACCTAAGCACATGAAGAATAGTAACTTACTGAACTTACCCATTTTCCAGATCGAAAGACTGAGGCTAGGCCAGGCACCGTGGCTCATGCCTGTAATCCCAGCACTGTGGGAGGCTGAGGCGGGTGGATCATTTGAGGTCAGAAGTTTGAGACCAGCCTGGACAACGTGGTGAAACCCCGTCTCTACTAAAAATACAAAAAAGTTAATGGGGTGTGGTGGTGAGCACCTGTGGTCCCAGCTACTTGGGAAGCTGAGGCAGGAGAGTGGCTTGATCCCGGGAGGCGAAGGCTGCAGTGAGCCAAGATTGTGCCACTGCACTCCAGCCTGGGCGACAAAGTGAGACTCTGTCTCAAAAATAAAAATAAAAAATAAAACAAAAGACTGAAGCTTAGAGGTCAGTTGTTCATGGAACTAACACCTGCTGGCCCTCTGTGTGCCAGGCACAGAGCTGCTGCTAGAGCCCCCAGAGCTAAGGTGGTAAACAGCACAGGTCCCTGCCCTTGAGGAACTAGACGTCTCAGGGAAAGACTTGAGTCAACAGGTGAGCACTTCGCTGCCGTTATGGTCCAGGGCACCGCGACAGAGCGAGGCTGGGCTGGGGGTGTCCTACCCTGGCCCTTCCTGCAGGGGTTGTCTCCATCCAGCCTGCAGTATCCTCACCGGCTCTTCTTGCAAGCTGCATTGAAAGAGAGCGGCTGTGTCTCCCCCTGCTGCGTGTCGCCAGCTCGGGGGACCCCGGGCACTGCTTCGCCTCTCTGGGCCTCTGTTTCCTCCTTGGTAAAGTAGGAGTCACAAGGCCTGCCTTATAGGACTTTTAGCGGGATTGCCTGAGACAGACAACCTGTAGGAGTACATGGCAACAGTGATTGGTGAGCTTGGTGCTGTCACCTGGAGGATGGGATGTCTGAGCTGAAACTGTGAAAAAGGAAAACACTGGGGCCGGGCACAGTGGCTCACGCCTGTGATCCCAGCACTTTGGGAGGCCAAGGATCACCTGAGGTCAGGAGTTGGAGACCAGCCTGGCCAACATGGTGAAACCCCGTCTCTACTAAAAATACAAAAATTAGCCAGGCGTGGTGGCGCGTGCCTGTAATCCCAGCTACGCCAGAAACTGAGGTGGGAGAATCGCTTGAACCCAGAAGGTAAGAGGTTGCAGTGAGCCGAGATCGCACCATTGCACTCCGGCCCAGGCAACAGAGCGAGACTCTGTCTCAAAAAAAGAATACACAGGGCTGGTGGGAGGGATCGAGTCGGGGCAGCAGGCACCGCATGTGCAAAGGCCCGGCCCCTCTGGGGAACTAAAATAGCTGCAGCAGTGCTGCCTTGGGGGCCTCCAGGTGCTGCCCCCACCCACATCTGTGCCCTGAGCCACAAGATTTTGGAAGCTCACCTCATCTCTCCAGTTCAGGCCCTGCCTGGGCTCTGGGACACCTGGATCAGGTGCAGAAGGAAAAACCAGGCCACCAAAGGCAGCCAGGGCCCGACCTTTATCTTGCAATTGAAATCCCCTTCAGAGGTGCCCCCTGGATCCTTCTGAGGCCTGCCCTTGCCAGGCCTGGCTTGGCTTCCCCGTGACTCAAGCGAGTGGCGGCCTGAAATCCAGTTCAGCAGTGGAAGCGCCGCCAGACTCCGGAAAACAGCCCGCTCTTGGTCCGGAAGCCCCAGAGGCCCACCCTGGCCTTCTCCCAGGAAGGAGCCCCACCTGCATCCAGGTTTCTAGCCCCAGGGCGATGCCAAGGCCCCAGCCAGAACTAGGGAGCGGCCACGCCAGGCAGAAGGAGCCCTGGAGGGCCGCAGCCGTGCTCAGCCTCTGGGAAAGTCTTGGACTCTGGGCTCCCAGGCCCGCACAGAGAGGGTGGGCGCAGGCTTTGCCCTGCCCGCCTGTGGGCGCTTTCCTTGGGGCCTGGGGAAGGAGGACAGGAGGGTACCAGCGCCCAGTTACTGCCACCTCCTGAGCCTCCCAAAATACCCACAATGAGAAACTTCCCAAGCAAACATACAGAATGTATTGTACAATTGGTTTTATTTTTATTTTATTTACTTATTTATTTATTATTTTGAGACGGAGTCTCACTGTCGCCCAGGCTGGAGTGCAGTGGCACAATCTCGGCTCACTACAAGCTCCGCCTCCTGGGTTCACGCCATTCTCCTGCCTCAGCCTCCAAAGTAGCTGGGACTACAGGCGCCTGCCACCACGCCCGGCTAATTTTTTTGTATTTTTTAGTGGAGACGGGGTTTCACTGTATTACAGGATGGTCTCGATCTCCTGACCTCGTTATCCGCCTGCCTCGGCCTCCCAAAATGCTGGGATTACAGGAGACGGGGTTTCACTGTATTAGCCAGGATGGTCTCAATCTCCTGACCTTGTGATCCACCCGCCTCGGCCTCCCAAAGTGCTGGGATTACAGGCGTGAGCCACCGCACCCGGCCTGTACAATAGGTTTTAAATGCTTGGATTGAACAAATGTAGGCTTGTTAAAAACAGACACACAAGTCCATAGCCATACGGTGATGCTAGCCATGGGACAATGGCGGAATATAGGTGCTTCCAGAGGGATCCTTGGAACAGTTTGTTTTTTTGGTGGTTATTTATTTATTTATTTATTTATTTATTTATTTATTTATTTATTTTTGAGTTTCGCTCTTGTTGCCCAGGCTGGAGTGCAGTGGCACGAACTCAGCTCACTGCAACCTCTGCCTCCTGGGTTCAAGCAATTCTCCTGCCTCAGCCTCCCAAGTAGCTGGGATTAGAGGCGTGCGCCACCACGCCCGGCTAATTTTTTTTGGTATTTTTAGTAGAGACGGGGTTTCGCCATGTTGGTGAGGTTGGTCTTAAACTCCTGACCTCAAGTGATCTGCCCGCCTCGGCCTCTCAAAGTGCTGGGATTACAGGCGTGAGCCGCTGCGCCCAGTTTGGGACACCGTTTGAAGTGGTGTGATGGCTGACTTTCTCATTCAACCCCATCAGAAGGAGGCTGTGCCCACCCTATGATACCTTCTGGAGAGAACGTTAAGAAACGAATCTAGGCCTGATGCAGTGGCTCACGCCCATGATGGTGGAACTTCAGGCATTGGTGGAAGGAGGACCACTTGAGGCCAAGAGCTCAAGATCAGCCTGGGAAACATGGTGAGACCCCTATGTTGAAAGAGAGAAAGAAAGAGAGAGAGAGGAGGGGAGGGAGGGAGGGAGGGAAGGTAGGAAAAGAAAAAAGAAAAAGAAAGAAGGAAGGAAAGAAAGAGAGAAAGAAAGGAAGGAAAGGAAGGAAGGAGGGAAGGTAGGAGGGAAGGAAGGAAAAGAAAAAAGGAAAAGAAAGAAGGAAGGAAAAAGAAAGGAAGGAAAGGAAGGAGGGAAGGTAGGAGGGAAGGAGGGAAGGAAGGGAAGGAAGGAGGGAAGGAAGGAGGGAAGGAAGGAGGGAAGGTAGGAGGGAAGGAAGGAAGGAAGGAGGGAAGGTAGGAGGGAAGGAAGGAAGGAGAGAGAGAGAAAGAAAGAAAAGGAAAGGAAAGAAAAGAGGAAAGCAAGCAAGCCCGGTGTGCAGGTGGGCACCTGTAGTCCGAGCTACTTGTGAGGCTGAGGCTGGAGGATCACTTGAACCCAGGAGTTTGAGATTGCAGTGAGCTATGATCACGCCACTGCACTCCAGCCTGGGTGACAGAGCAATATCTTGTCTCTAAAAAAAGGAATCTAGTCTAAAAATCGTTTTGAATACAAGATTTCAGGTCAAGTGGCTCTTACAAGATAGATGTAAAACTACCTAGAAACCAGAAGTGTCTTCACCCACCTCAGCCTCGGACCCTTGACAGGGGGCGGCTGGAAGGCCTTCCATTGTGCCCTTGCCCGCCTGCCTTGATGGTATTTGCCCCTCTGCAATTAACAGCAGAAATTTGGGTCAAGGGCGGTGAAGTAAAACCAACCTTCTGTGGCGCAGGCCCTCGGAGCTGAGATGTCAGATGACAAGAGCTGCCTACCCGTCCTTAAAGCTATCCAGGGCCTTATACAGATATTCCAGAGGCCAGACACGGTGGCTCATGCCTGTAATCCCAGCACTTTGGGAGGCCGAGGTGGGCGGATCATGAGGTTGGGAGTTTGAGACCAGCCTGACCAATATGGTGAAACCCCGTCTCTACTAAAAATACAAAAATTAGCTGGGCATGGTGCCTGTAATCCCAGCTACTCAGGAGGCTGAGACAGGAGAATCGCTTGAACCCGGGAGGCGGAGGTTGCAGTGAGCCGAGTTCGCACCACTGCACTCCAGCCTGGGTGATAGAGTAAGACTCTGTCTCAAAAAAAAAAAAAAAAAAATTCCAGGCCACAGGCACAGTGGCTCACGCCTGTAATCCCAGGACTTTGGGAGGCCGAGACAGGTGGATCACTTGTCACTTGAGGTCAGAAGTTTGAGACCAGCCTGGACAACATGGTGAAACCCTGTCTCTACTAAAAATACAAAAATTAGCTGGAAGTGTTGACGGGCGCCTGTAATCCCAGCTACTTGGGAGGCTGAGGCATGAGAATCGCTTGACCTGGGAGGCAGAGGTTGCAGTGAGCCAAGATGGCACCACTGCACTCCAGCCTGGGCAATAGAGAGAGACTCAGTCTAAAAAAAAAAAAAAAAAAAAAAAAAATTCCAGGCCGGGTACAGTAGCTCACACCTGTAATCCCAGCACTTTGGGAGGCTCGAAGCAGGTGGATTGCTTGAGCCCAGGAATTCAAGACCAGCCTAGGCAACGCAGTGAGACCCTGTCTCTACAAAAATAAAAATAAAACAACTAGCCGGGTTTGGTGGCACATGCCTGTAGTCCCAGCTACTCGGGAGACTGAGGCAGGAGGATCACTTGAGCCCTGGAGGTTGAGCCTGCAGCGAGCTGTGATAGCGCCGCTGCACTCCAGCCTGGGCAACAGAGTGAGACCCTATCTCAAAAAAAAAAAAATCAGATATACAGAGTCACTAGTTCCTTAAAATAAGAAAGATAATAATAATAATAATAGAATAAAATAAAATTCCAGGTCCTGTGGACCTCAGCTTTACTTTTCTTTGTGGAATGAAAAACACAGGGAAAGTCAGAGCTGTAGATGCTTCTGCTCTGTGTTGGCCTTCGGGGCAGAGCCTATGATAGTGCCAAGCTTTTATCATGTCCTGACTCTGTGCTTGGCATTTTCTACACCTGAGACCACTTCCCCATCAAAGCAACTCTACAAAGCAGGAACTGTCATTTATTCCTATTTGACAGATGAGGAAACTGAGGCCACAGCAGTGCAGTCACTTGCCCAGGCTTCTCAGTCCAGAAACTGCTAGAAGGATGCTGGGAAGCTGAGTGCGAGCTGCCAGCCCCCTCATCCTCAGCCCCATGGGTGGTATTGACAGCTCCCTGGGGCATCTTAATAGCTTCCAAAAGCAGAGAAGACAAAGACAGGAAGTGACTTGCACAAGGTCCCCCTTTGGGTACCCCCATGTTTTTTTGTTTTGTTTTGTTTTGTTTTGTTTGAGACAGAGTGTCGCTGTGTTGGCCAGGCTGGAGTGCAGTGGCACAATCTCGGCTCACTGCAAACTCCGTCTCCTGGGCTCAAGCAATTCTCCTGCCTCAGCCTCCCAAGTAGCTGAGATGACAGGTTTGTGCCACCATGCCTGGCTAATTTTCGTATTTTTAGTAGATACAGGGTTTCACCATCTTGGCCAGGCTGGTCTTGAACTCCTGACCTCAGGTAATACACCCGCCTTGGCCTCCCAAAGTGCTGGGATTACAGGCATGAGCCACCGCGCTTGGCCCGGGTACCCCCACTTTTGAACAGATGCCTCTATGTCTTTGATGCTGGGGTCTATGCTGGAGCATCTTCTGCTAGCCCCCTGGCCCCACCCCCCGAGCACGTCCTCCACGCCTTCCAAGCCCCACCAGGAGCTTTGGTTAGGTGAGTGCTATCTCTGCTCGTGCCCATGTGCGTCTGTCCTTTTCTTTTTTCTTTTCCTTTTTTGAGACAGGGTCTCACTCCCATCCCCCAGGCTGGAGTGTGGTTATGCGATCTCACCTCACTGCAGTTTTGACTTCCCAGGCTCAGGTGATCCTCCCACCTCAGTCTCCCTAGCAGCTGGGACTCCAGACACGTGCCACCACCAGCTGATTTTTTCATTTTTGGTAGAGATAGGTCTCACTCTGTTGCCCAGGCTGGTCTTGAATTCCTGGGCTCAAGTGATCCTCCTGCCTTGGCCTCCTGAAGTGCTGGGATTACAGGCTCCAGCCACTGCTCCCGGCCTGTGTCTGTCCTTTTCTTCTCATATCACATTCATTAGTCCCCTCTCATTTGTCTGTGAATCCCCTGGGGCAGGCAACCCATCTCTTGTGACCAGCAGCCCTGGCACCATGCCAGGTCTAGCACATGGTGGGGCACAATGAAGATGTGTTAGGAAATGAATGACAGGCCAGGCGCAGTGGCTCATGCCTGTAATCCCAGCACTTTGGGAGGCCAAGGCGGGCAGATCATCTGAGGTCAGGAGTATGAGATCAGCCTGGCCAACGTGGTGAAACCCCATTTCTACTAAAAACATAAAAATTAGCTGGGCGTGGTAGCACACACCTGTAATCCCAGCTCTTTGGGAGGCTGAGGCAGGAGAATTGCTTGAACCTGGGAGGCAGAGGCTGCAGTGAGCTGAGATCATGCCACTGTACTCCAGCCTCCATCTCAAAAAAAAAAAAATGAATAAAAGAAGAAGCCTGGTGCAGTGGCTCACGCCTGCAACCCTAACACTTTGGGAGGTTGAGGTGGGTGGATCACTTGAGGTCAGGAGTTGGAAACCAGCCTGGCGACATGGTGAAACCGTGTCTCTACTAAAAAATACTAAAAAATTAGCCATGTATGGTGGTGGGTACCTGTAATCCCAGCTACTTGGGAGGCTGTGGCAGGAGAATCGCTTGAATCCAGGAGGTGGAGGTTGCAGTGAGCCGAGATCGTGCCACCGCACTCCAGCCTGGGTAAGAGGGCAAGACTCTGTCTCACACACACACACACACACACACACACAAAGAAGGGAGGGAGGGAATGGGGTTGGGATTGCAGTACCTTCCCCCTGTGATGATGGCAGGGCTCCCAGGAGGCCAAGAGCTCCAGGCCCTGGGTGGACAGAAAGACAAACTGCCCCAGATCTACAAAAGGGTCCATGGTTCCTGGTGGGCTGGGAAAAAGATCCTCGCCGGCTAAGGCAGTGATGCCACAGTCACTCCAGAGGCTGGTTCAGAACCTGGCTTCACCATGAAAAGAGGTACCAGAAATGCCGCCGTGACTTGGGATCAATTGTTAGCCCTTTTGAGTTTCAGATCCTTTGGTAGCAATGATGGGGATGTGAAAGGGTTAAGTTGCATGGTACCCATCGCTGCATGTACGGTCTGGCGTGTACTAAGCACTCAATAAATTGCAGCAATTATCATTTGCTATTAAATGTGGTGATAAACGGTTGTGCCTGCATATGCTATGAGTAGATTTAGAAATGCCAGGAGTGCTCTCTTCTCTCCTTTAAGACATAGTTGGTTGTGCCTGGTTTCAGCTTCATCCTTGCCACTCAGTCCACTGAAATCAAAGTGGAGGAGGCACTGGTCTGGGTGAGTGGGCCATCCTGGGCCAGCCTGGTCTCGCTGGACCTGGTCACCCAGGGAGGAAAAGTTAGCCTCAGAGTTTTGGCAGACGGGCCAAAGTGTGTTAAGAAACTAGAGGAAGGCCAGGCACGGTAGTTCATGCCCGTAATCCCAGCACTTTGGGAGGCCAAGGCAGGAGGATCACTTGAGCGCAAGATTTCAAGACCAGCCTGGGCAACATAGTAAGACCTAGTCTCTACTAAAAAAAATTTTTTTTAAAGTAGCTGGGCCCGGTGGCATGTGCCTGTGGTCCCAGCTACTTGAAAGGCAGAGGCAGGAGGATTGCTTGAGCCTAGGAGTTTGAGGCTGCAGTGAGCTATGATCATACCACTGCACGGCAGCCTGGGTGACAGAGGGAGACTCTGTCTAAAAAAACAAAACAAAAAACACTAACGTAATTCTAACCCAAGTGGAAATGAAAGAATTGATCAACTTCCCTATCGGCATAGAACTTTTCTCTGGAACTCACATGACTAGGGTTGCGGCACCAACTCTCAGACCAATACCAACTTAAAAATAAATGCTGCTGCATTTGAAGTGTTTTGACCAGAGGTTGCACTTGGCAGGCTGCAGGCCAAGTTGAGCCCACAGATGTGTTTCATTTGGCCTGTGGAGCATTTAAAATAATAAATTTGACTTAGTGGCCAACATTTTTAAATCAGGAAATTTCATATTTTAAAAATCCAGATTTCTGGCCGCTTCTAAAAAAAATGGATGATCCAAAAGATTTGGCAGCAGAGAGCCTGTGTTCCCACAGGGGCCAAATAGTGGTATATCTGTTGTTGGGGTATGCTAGCTGCTGTTACAGACAACCCCAGTCTTTCAGTGGCTTAGCACAATACATGTTTATTTCTTGCTCATATCACTGTCCAAGGAATAGGGGACAGGCATGATTCTTAGAAGACAGGGATAACTTTGGGGGGCATCCTAGAGTCTATTTACCATACTTCTCAAAGGAAGATGAAGGGCTTGTTATTTGCGTGTTTTGAGAATTGCTACAGGTTTTGCATTTAGCAAGGCCTAAGTTTGGGGGTTCTTTTTTACCTACAGCAAGTAAAAATCAGCTTGCTCACCTGAATTAGAAGGGCAGAGTGGAAGCAAAAAAAAAAACCCCGGAATGGTGGGAAACGTTCGTTGTGCGCCAGCCTGGTGATTTGCTCAGCAAAACTCAAGTTGATGTGATATAAACAACGTCTGCTGCTTCCAGGGGCCTGCCACAATATTTTCTTTTAAGTGCTACTCACGCCTGAAATACACTTCTGGTTTTGAAATGTGGTTCTCAGCCCATGCACGTCTACAAACCACCCGCTCCCTTATTAAGAGTTCCATTTTTAATTCTTGAATGTAGGTTTCCTAAGCACATGATGTCAGCCCATATGGGAAACCTGACAGGGCAGGGGGGACTGGAGGCCTCCCCTTGGAGAGGGTCAGCGTGATGACAGGACAGGGCTTTTGCACTGGGAACTTAGCATCGTCTCCGTGTAAGTGGCCACTCCGTGTTAACGCTTCTGCTCCCCAGAGCCCAGAGATCCGATTACTCTTTATATTTTCTCTTTTTTCTGTTAACTTTGTACGTTTTGCTGCAAAAATAGTGAATCCAAAAGCCATAGAGCCTCTCTTTGCCAAGGCCATGATATCAGGAAAAAACTTGGAATTTTCTCTGCAATTTCCTCTCCATCTCTCACCCCACCTGGAGATATTATCAACAGCATGAGGTGTGGCGAAGCCTTCGCAGGGGTATGGACTTTCTCTACATTCCAAGAAACCAAAACCAACACACATATACACATATACGTAATGATAAATGTGTATTTATCTTTGCAAAAACGAGATACTAAAAATTAATTATACAAGATGAGGAAGTTTGAGATCTGCTGTATATAGCTAACGGTAGGATACATACACATAAACGTTTGTTAAGAGGGTAGATCCCATGTTAAATATTCTTACACCATACACAAAAGGACACATGGAAAGTTTTGGAGGTGACAGATATGTTTATTACCTTTTTTTTTTTCGAGACAGAGTCTTGCTCTGTTTCTCAGGTTGGAATGCAGTGGTGTCGTCTCAGCTCACTGCAACCTCCACCTCCTGGGTTCAAGTGATTCTTATGCCTCAGCCTCCTGAGTAGCTGGGACTTTGGGCGCATGCCACCATACCTGGGTAATTTTTGTATTTTTAGTAGAGATGGGGTTTCACCATTTCAGCCAGGCTAGTCTTGAACTCCTTGCCTCAAGTGATCAGCCTGCCTCGGCCTCCCTAAGTGCTGGGATTACAAGGTAATACTTGATTCTTGATTGTGGTGAGACTATCAGCAGGTGCATGCATATGTCCAAATGCATCAAATTATACACATTAAATAAGTGCAGTTTTCTGGTTTATCAATTATACCTCCAGACACCTTTAAAACAAAACAAAACAAAAAACCAGAAAAACCAGACTATCAACTTTTCTCACTTAACTATATTCATTATCATGTCAGATCAATCCATCAATCATTCCTTTAAATGGCTTCCTACCATATCATGACATGGATGGGTCAGCATTTACTGAACCGTCCTGGCTGGCGGATGTTTAAAATGTTGTCATCAGAAGAACTCCATGACAGAGGAAGCGAGTGAATGTGTGTCATTCCGAATTTACAACGGGAGAAACTGAGGCACGGAGCCGTTAAAGTGGCTAGTCTGAGGCTCCCACCAGTTCCCAAGAGATGTAGGGGCAGAGCAGAGTCTAGCACTGCTCTTGCTTCATGCCTCCACAAGGTGTCACTGTTGAACTTGCTCCTGCACAGCCTCTGTTGACAAACTGCCCCTCCTTGCTAAAGCTAGGATCCTCACAGGAACCTGGCTTCCCTTCTGTTGCTTCAGAAGTCCTGTTAGGTTGGGCGTGGTGGTACACACCTGTAGGCACAGCTACTTGGAAAGCTGAGGCAGGAGGATCGTTTGAACCCAGGAGTTTGAGGCTCCAGTGAGCTATGATTGTGCTACTGCACTCCAGTCTGGGCAACAGAGCAAGACTGAATCTCTACAAAATAAATAAATGAAAAGTTCTGTTAAACCCTATTCTGCCACTAATTAACTGTGAATAACAGGAAGGTGGGTTGGAAGAGTTTAATTCCTTCTTTCCCAGAAAGCCACGGGCTCCTTATGCAAATCTACCTCTTCCCTCCTGCATGGTCATTTTGCGTGCTGGGATCCCTAAACGTCTCTCTAGGCTCTGTCTTACCTGCCTCTCTTTCCTCCCCAACCCCAGCATCAGAGCCCTTCTTATCTTCCTTTTACACTTCCAACAGAGACGAGGGATTGAATCTGCAAGAACAAAGAGTTGACTTCAAGGTGACTTTCACACATGAAATTCATACAGAAGTTATAGAAATCCAAACATGGCTTTATAGATTCATGAACACAAGTGGTTTAAATGAACACAACACGTCTTGCTTATTCAGAAACATGATCAGCTTCGCCCGTTTCAGTCTAAACAGAACCTGCTTCAAGGATTTAGCTCACTAGTTTCCGATACTGCAGCACGTGCCAAAGTGCTTTTGCAGCTCTGGCACCCCAGATTTCAAGCAGAAGTTACAGTTTTGAGACCTATGTGTCATCTTTCAGGCTTGAAAATAAAAAACAAAACAAAACAGCAAGCACTTCTTCATACACAAATATATATATATATCCTTAGTCATTTTGTGCACACTTTTTTGCATAAATGGTATCTACAGTATTGTAAATTGTGTTTTTCTAATACATTCTCCACCTGATACAGACAGGCTATGGTGGAGATGGATGAGAATGGGCTGTCTCCCTGGGTGATGTCACAGAGAAGGAGTGCTGGTCTACTCTGTGGATGGGGACAGAAAGACAAGGACAGGAAATCTGGGTGGACAATTCCATGCTCTTCAAAGATATTGGCCTACCTGCCCAAGAGCCGTGTTTTTTTGTTTTGTTTTGTTTTTTGAGATGGAGTTTCACTCCTGTCACCCAGGCTGGAGTGCAATGGTGCAATCTTGGCTCACTGCAACTTCTGCCTCCTGGGTTCAAGCGATTCTCCTGCCTCAGCCTCCCGAGTAGCCGGGAGTACAAGCACCCACTACCATGCCCGGCTAATTTTTCTATTTTTGGTAGAGACGGGGTTTCACCATGTTGGCCAGGCTGGTCTTGAACTCCTGACCTCAGGTGATCCACCTACCTTAGCCTCCCAAAGTGCTGGGATTACAGGCGTGAGCCACCTTACCTGGCCCATACGTGATCTTTTATGGCACCTATTCAAAAAGAAACGAATGGGCCAGGCACAGTGGCTCATGCCTGTAATCCCAGCACTTTGGGAGGCTGAGGCAGGAGGCTGAGGTGGGAGGATCATTTGAGCCCAGGAGTTTGAGACCAGCCTGAGCAACATAAGGAGACACCAATGTCGATCCCACCGCCCACCCCCCCAAAAAAAAAGCCAGGTGTGGTGCTAGCGCCTGTAGTCCTGGCTACTTGAAAGGCTGAGTTGGGATGATTGCTTGAGCCCAGGAGTTCGAGGCTGCAGTGAGCTATGACAGCACCATTGCACTCCAGCCTGGGCAATAGAGCGAGACCCTGTCTCCAAAAAAGAAAGTAAAATAAAAAGAAATGAATAGATGCTCCAGTGGAGACAAGAGAACATTCAACATTTATTTGCTTTAATTCTGAATTGTTCTAATTTGCCTGTGTCCCAAAAGGTTTTTGTGTTTGGGTAGGGGTTTTGAGGGACAGGGTGATTCTGGAAAAAAATTGCATATGTAGTACAAAGAAATCATCTTGAAGAAAACCCAAGCAATGTAGAGCACACGTTTACCTGGTAAGAAGTGAAGGAGCCCTTTCAACAGCTTTCCTAGTCTACTTCCCTCCCAGGGGATGATGCTATTTTGGCGTGTACCCTTCCACCCCTTGTGTACCGCTCCTGGAGACCAGCAGCACCAGCATCACCCCAAGACACTTCTTAGAAATGCAGCGTCTCAGGCCCCACTCCAGACCTACTGAGTCACAACCTGCTTCTTAGCAAGATTTCCCCAAGTGGAAGTGTAAGAAGCACTGGTATTTTCTATTTTTATATCATTAACTTACCTATTTATATACATGCCTATGCACAGGCTCCTTCCTGGGTTTAGAATATGGCTGTCGTGGCCGAGTATGGGGGCTCACGCCTGTAAACCCAGCACTTTGTGAAGCCCAGGTGGGTGGATCACTTGAGGTCAGGAGTTTGAGACCAGCCTGGCCAACATGGTGAAGCCCTGTCTCTACTAAAAATACAAAAATTAGCCGGGTGTGGTGGCGCACGCCTGTAATCCCAGCTACTCGGAAGGCTGAGGCAGGAGGATTGCTTGAACCCGGGAGGCGGAGATCTCCGAGTGAGCCAAGATCATGCCACTGCACTCCAGCCTGGGTAACTGAGCCAAACTCGTCTCAAAAAAAAAAAAAAAAAAAAAAAAAAAAAAAAAAAAAGGAAAGAAAGAAAAGAAAAAGGAAAAAAAGAATATGGCTTTCGTTTGAACAGTGGTCCTCGAGGTGCGGTCCAACATCAGCTTCTCCTGGGAGCTCGTTAGAAATGCAAATGACCTGGGCCCAGCCTTGAGCTGCTGAATGCGGAAGCCCTGGGCTGGGGCCCAGCAATCTGCGTTTCTCAAGCCCTCTAGGGGAGGCTGATCCACGCTCACAAGTGTGGAACCCCTGCTGTAGAAGGGGGACACTTACCCCCGGGAGCTCCTGCTCCCTCCCTCTCTCCCTGTCACCTCCCGAGAGCCCGTTCTGGCCTGGCCAGTTCACCGAGGGACGCCCAGAATCCAGTTCCACCAGGCACACACGAGGCGCTCCACGAATGCCTCCTCCAGTTAGGAATCTCAGACTGATACAGCCTTCCCCAAATTCGCTCAAGCTGGTTTTCAGAGTGCACGATGTGGCGGTCCTGGAGGTTGGGGTCATTGCATGACGTCTTCAAAGGCATTCCAGCAGCCCTTTGGTGCATCCTTCGTGATGCAAAGAAAACCTGTGCGATCTGACTGGAGCTCCGTCTACGTAGGCCGCCTCCACAGCAGCCTCTCCTGGCAGCTGCTTCACAAGCGCCCATTTTACAGAGGGGCAAGCGGAGGCTCAGAGCCGGAGGTTTCAGATTTGCGTGTCAGAATTGCTCCAAGCCTGGACAGGGCTGCTTCTCTTTCGAATGCAATGCCTACAGTGGATTTCCTTTCAAAAATAGCAAGCCAGACAGACACCAGCTGACTCTGGGTGTGGGCTCTGTATCAGGCAACGGCAGGGCTTTTGTTAGAGCGGATAAAATTGGATTTTCCTGTGCAGAAGAATGTGGATGGGCCCTTAAGCCAAACTCCAGCAGCTGCAGGTCTCCTTGCCCCAAGGGTGTTGGGGCTTCCCTGAGGCCATGATCTGCAGGGGACCCTTTGAGTTTGCGAGCCCCGCCCCACCCCCAGAGCCCTCCATCTTCTCCCAGGGGATGAAGCGCCCCAGGGGTAGCTGTGTGTAGGGAGCCGATCGCCGGGGCCGGCCAAATTTGCGGACCTTACTCGCCGAGGCTGGACCACCCAGACTTCCACCTTCTGCGAGGGAAGGATGGGAGCTTGAACCCAAACCCTTGAAGGAAAACAGTTGGCTGGGTCTGCAGTCCAGGGGGAAGGATCTACTCGCAGAGTACGGCAAGAGTCGACCACTCCTAAAAAGTCTCCACCCTATAGCTGAAGGTTGGATATCAGGCACGGACGGGGTTCGAACCCGTGATCTTCGGTTTACGAGACCGACGCCTTACCACTTGGCCACCGCGCCTGCGTTGCGATGGCGGTCTCGCGAACCTCTATCCTGGCGCCGCTCCCGTGCGCCCGCCCAGCGAGCACGAGCTCGCACCGTCCCCCTCCCTGCTGCGGCCGGCGGGGCGGGGCTTCAACGGGCGCGCCCCGGCGGGCTCGGGGGCTCGGGGACCCGCGGGCGATTCTGTCGTCTGCAGTGGGCTGGAGAACCTCTGGAGTCGGGGCGCGGCTGGAGCGGTGTCCCGAGGGTCCCGCAGGTCCCGCGGGCGGGGCACCGGCCTGTATCTCAGAAGTCGGGTTCGAATCCCAGCCCCGCCAGCGATGTAGCGCTTCGGGACGGCTCGACTCGGAGTCTCAGTTTCCCCCTCTAGAGTGAGGCACCCAGGAAGCCAAGGAATGGTAGCAGGTTTCCTTATCGGCCCGACTGCGGGCCGTCCACCGCCGCCTTGCAGGGAGCCCACGCCCAGCCAGGGTTGCTGAATGGAGGCGTGAGATTTAGAAAATAAAAGCTTCTGGAAGCTCCGCGCTTTGGCCCGGGCTGAAGGATCGCTTGAGCCCAGGAGATCGGGGCTGCAGTGAGCCGAGATCGCGCCGCTGCACACCAGCCTGAGCGACAGAGGGAGACCTTGTCTCAAAGAAAAGAAAAAAATAAAAACAAACAAACAAAGCCGAAAGTTTCTTCTTCCCCCAGTTTACCTGTTTAGCCTGGATGTGTCCCTGGTCCCAAGACCAGCAGCAGCACCTGGGATTTTGTGAGAAATGCAACTTCTCTCCCGCCCAGACCTGCTGACTTGTCGGCTAAGTCAGCCCCAAGGCACCTGACAGTTTAATGTGCACGCTCATATTTATAGATTCAAACATGCCCTTTGATTTCCACACAAACGGACTGATTTACTGTTCTCTGCACTTTGAGTTTTCATGAATTAATGTATGATGTGTTAATTCAATGGCTCTTGGTAGGTAATACAGTTTAATCAAAATTAATAGCATTGTTTGAGAAATATAACAATTTCTATTATTCATGAATGTGTTGTGTAATATTAACACCATATAGCAAATCATATATACTAAAGTATATACTATAATTAATGGGATTATTATGCATGGGTGGGTTACCTTAGTCTCTAGTAACTACATGGTTTTCCATTGAGTGGCTGTGCTACAATTGATTTAATCTGTTGCTGGGAGCTGGGCATTAGGTTGACTGGAGGATTTGTGTTGCTCACAGAACATTCTGTTATGTGTGTCTCTGCCTGCTGGTACCAGTGATGCGGTAGGGTATATAGGGGCCTATACTAAGAACGTCCACAGCCTGCCATGCAGGTGTATAGGCAAATAGGAAGCTGAAAAATACCAGAGAGATGCTTTAAATGTCAAAGTTTGGGCAGGTGAGTGGGAAATGCGTAATTTTCCCTCCAGGCATTAGGACTGGAACCCTGAGGCCTTGCACCTGGAGTGCTGTGGCGCTCTAAGTGCAGGTGACCTGGTAGCTCCCCAATTAAAAGAAAGACAGACTTGGAGAACATGTTCAGAAAACGTGCATTACCAAGCATTGCTTCTGAATGGCAGATGATAATACTGGCTCCACTGTCCCCATCCTTTTTTTGGGGGGGAGGGGAGGTGTTTATTGGGTTGTTGAAGACTTACTGTGCAGAAGTGGCAGAGGCTTATGAAAAGAAATTAGCAAATGAAGGAAAATCACGTGGGGATTGAGTCCAAAACTAACGGGCAGGTGGAATGGAAATTGGATTTTAATGGGTACTTTAAAAATCTTTGTCTTCTGAGGGAAGGGAGGCAGTTGAAAGCCTCAGGTGTCCCAGGCACATGAAAAGGGGCGTATGCACCTTGATGGGCACGTGGGATGCCCTTTGTATCCTCAGGGCCAGGGGGCCCTCTGACCCTATGTGAGGCCTAAAATAGAGCATACAGGTGGCAGGTGTTGGGCTGATAAGTCCACTTATCTGGCAGGTGAAAAGGAGACCTGAGGAGCCCCAGATCACAGATACCTGGAGGGTGGATGTGTCTGTCCTGGCCCCGGCGTCTGCACGAGGTATGTGCTCAACAAGTATTGTCGAAGGTACCAACATGTAAGATTCCCTTCCACGTGGTTCTGGGGACTCTCCAACCACTGTACCAACAAATGTCCCAGTGCTGAACTTTCAGTAAGGCTTTTGGTGATCAAGCCAAAACCTTCCATTTCTCGGTCATAAGGAATTGGCCATTGTTCACTCTTACTGAGAAACTTTAAGCAAACATTCCCTGTGCCCTGACAGGGTCTGTGGTCCAGGTGAGGTTCTGTTGTCACACAACTGTGACCCAATCCCAGGCCTCCCAAATGCTAGGGTGAGAAACCAGGGTTGGCTGAAGCAGAGGGTGGTTTCAAGGGACTAGAAAGGCGGTGTTTTAAGTGAGAAAATGTCAGAATTGATCTGGTGACAAAGCCAAGTGCCATGATGGAATACTTTTGATCTTTTTGTTTCTTCTGTATAATTAAGTTGCCTAGATCTGAATAATTTATAAGCATCCACTTTTCCTTTGTGTTGAAACTTAGGCACTCTTTTCTATTTCAGAAACAAACAAAATATATACATATATATGTCTTTAATCTTTTTTGGCTTTTTCTGGCACCTCTATTTCCCTGTGCCTGTCTGTAAAGTAGAAATTCTTAGGCCGGAGGTGGCTCATGCCTGTAATCCTAGAACTTTGGGAGGCCCAGTTGGGTAGACTGAGCTCAGGAGTTCAAGACCAGCCTGGGCAACATGGTGAAACCACGTCTCTACTAAAATACAAAAAGTTAGCTGGGTGTGGTGGCACATGCCTATAGTCCTAGCTTCTCCGGAGGCTGAGGCAGGAGAATCACTTGAACCCAGGAAGCGGAGGTTGCAGTGAGCAGAGATGGAGTGAGACTGTCTCAAAAATTTCTTAACCTGAGCCCATGCACTCAAGCCCAGGAAACGTGTGACTTCCCCAAAAGTATATATAAAGTGCGTATATAGTTTTCCTGGAAGAGGGATGTCACAATTTATTGGGGTTTTTGTTTTTGTTTTGAGACAGTCTCGCTCTGTCACCCAGGCTGGAGTGCAGTGGTGCAATCTCAGCTCGCTGCAACCTCCGCCTCCTGGGTTCAAGTGATTCTCCTGCCTCAGTCTCCTGAGTAGCTGAGATTACAGGTGCGTGCCACCACGCCTGGCTAATTTTTGTATTTTTAGTAGAGACGGGGTTACACCATGTTAGGCCAGTCTTGAGCTCCTGACCTCGTGATCCACCTGACTCAGCCTCCCAATGTGCTGGGATTACAGGCATAAGCCACCGCGCCCAGCCGTTATTAGATTTTCAAAAAGACCTCCTGAGGGTCTTAGAAGGCTGAATGCCTTTTTACTTCCTCTCTCCCTTCCTGATGGTGCCTGATTAACCTAAGCCCTACCGAGATACAATATCTATCTAAAGTGGTTTAGCTACAGCTGTGGGTGTCTGAAAAATTGTTTCTGAACAATTCAATGGCAATGTCTCCAAGACACTTTCTGGCTCCAGGGAGGACCTGGGCTTCCCCCAGCTCCTCCATCCTGGCTCACCTTGTGTGCCTGGTGCCTGCTGCCTTCCACAGAGTGAGGGTGGGCAACAGAGGCTCTTCCTGGCCTGTGAGGGGCTGGCACCTGCGTTATCTCAGTAAGCCTTGGTGGTGGCTGGGTGGCACCTGCAGATTTCATGAAAATGCAGGCTGATTCAGTTAGTCTGGGCTGGGTCCGCGGAGCTGCCTTTCTAAGTTCCCAGTTAATGCTGCTGCAGCTGGTCCAGGGCCTCACTTTGGGAAGCACTGCTTTAAAGTATTCCTGGAGAAATTCGTTTGCTTGTGGAAGAGAAAAAACCCTCAGGCTTGGATATTTAGGTCATCTGAGGTCATGACAGCGGGCTTTTTACTAACACCCTAAATAAAGATTTTACCTAAAGAAAGCACACTTAGCTACTCACAGTATCCCAGCTCCTTGAGGCAGGGGCCCTGTGTTGTGAGGGATGGGCAGGGTTCTTTTTGTTTTTTAAAGAGACAAGGTCTTGCTCTGTCACTCACGCTGGAGTGCAATGGCATGATCATAGCTCACTGCAGCCTCTAACTCCTGGGCTCAAGTGATTCTCCTGATTCAGCCCTTGGCTCAACTGGTCCTCCTGCCTCAGCCTTCAGAGTAGTTGGGACTATAGGCACATGCCACCATGCCTACCGGGCTAATTTTTAATTTTTATTTATTTTTCGAGACGCAGTCTTGTTCTGTCACACAGGCTGGAGTGCAGTGGTATGATCTTGGCTCACTTGCAAACTCTGCCTCCCAGGTTCAAGGATTCTCCTGCCTCAGCCTCCCGGGTAGCTGGGATTACAGGCATGTGCCACCACGTGGGCCCAGCTAATTTTTGTATTTCTAATAGAGATGCTGTTTCACCATGTTGACCACGCTGGTCTTGAACTCCTGACCTCAAGTGATCCGCCCACCTCAGCCTCCCAAAGTGCTGGGATTACAGGCCTGAGCCACGTCGCCTGGCCCTAATTTTAAAATTCTTTTGTAGATGTCGGGGGTTGGGGGGGGGGTCTTGCTATGTTGCCTGGGCTGGTCTTGAACTCCTGGGCTCCAGTGATCCTCCTGCCTTGGTCTCCCAAAGTGCTAGGATTACAGGTGTGAGCCACCATGCTGGGCCTCAGCACCATTTGTTGAAATGATTACCCTCTCCCCATTGAATTGCCTGGGTACCTTGGTTAAAATTCAATGAACTGTGTGTGGTCTATTTTTGGTCTTTTTATTCTGTTCTGTTGATCCATATGTCCATCTTTATGGCAATTACCACCAGTCTTGATTATTGTATATTTATAGTGGGTACAAAATCAAGTATTGTAAATCCTTCCACTTTGTTTTTCTTTTACAAAATTGTTTTGCCTATAATAGATCCTTTGCATTTCCATATAATTCCTGGAATCGGCTCATCAGTTTCTATAAAATGCCTTCTGGGATTTTGATTGGGAACGCGTTGAATCTACAGATGAATTTGGGGGAATGGATGACTTAACAGTATGGAATCTTCCTATCCATGAATATTTCATTTCCCCATTGTTTGATGCTGATGCCT
The DNA here is from genome assembly GCF_000001405.40 of Homo sapiens. Lineage (NCBI taxonomy): Eukaryota > Metazoa > Chordata > Mammalia > Primates > Hominidae > Homo > Homo sapiens. The sequence continues at coordinate 14,280,802 of NC_000016.10, read as the reverse complement.
GTGAGTCTTTAATTTTGAATTCATTTCTTTGGAATTTAATTATGTGAGTTTCCTGTGATTTTTTTTTTCAGTGGAGGAGTAGTTGGAATGATTATGGTAACTGTATTCACCTCCTTTTAACAGTCTGTCCAAGTGAAAATCCCTGCCACATGTGGGAACTGTGTCAGCCCTGGCAGAATGCAGCAAGATGGGTGGTCTGTGTAACCAAAAATCTTCTGGCTTGAAAAGAGAGGTGATGATGATTATTTCAACACCCTTAACAAATAATGGCAACCACACACAAAATGTTATAGGGATGAAAAGTAGATTTTTTTCCTGCACAGAAATTACAGTTGTACAGGATGCCCTGGTATCACCTCATCAAATCAATCTTTGAACCTCTCTAACCTTGGAAAGTATCTGTTTAAATTGGTTCGTTCCAGAGCCAGAACAAGATCAAGTTGGCAGCTATGAATAATAAAAAGTTTTGTTCTTTTTTCCCTTTCCTTTTTTTCCCCCTAGATAAGCTCTAAAAAGGTCAACCAGATTATCTGAGCTACAACATTAGCATGCAGAGTAGACAATGGGTCGATCTATATAAGAAGCAGTAGACAGTGAAAGAACAAAATTGCTATTTCTCTTATCATTCTGCCTGCATGGAACAGAGGGCCCCCACCCTCCCAGCTCTAAGTTCCCTTCTTCCCTCCTTCGTCCTCCTCTTTTTCAAGGTTGACCACTGTTAGGAGTTTATTTGGAATCATTACATATCTTTTCCTTTGCTTTCATGTTGATATCTATTTATCCATAGGAAATAAAGACTTTTGGGGAGGATTTTTCTCCCCACAAATGGTATCATATTATACACTTTTTTTTTTTTTTTTGAGACAGAGTCTTGCTCTGTCGCCCAGGCTGGAGTGCAGTGGTGAGATCTCGGCTCACTGCAACCTCCGTCTCCTGGGTTCAAGTGATTCTCCCTGCCTCAGCCTCCTGAATAGCTGGGATTACGGGCATGCGCCACCATGCCTGGCTAATTTTTATGTTTTTAGTAGAGGCGGGGTTTCGCCATGTTGGGCAGGCTGGTCTCAAACTCCTGACCTTAGGTGATCTACCCTCCTGCTTGGATTACAGGAGTGAGCCACGGTGCCCGGCCATATGCATTTTTTAATGTACATATTTTGGATTCTACAGACCACTGGAGCTTTATTTAGCCATATTCCCTGTGGCTCTAGCTCATTCCTTATTTGCCCCATTCTAATCTACTAGGTGACTGCACCACAGTTTTTATAATTCCCCGCTGGTTGCTGTAGCTCACTCCTGTAGTCCCAGCACTTTAGGAGGCTGAGGTGGGCTGATCACCTGAGGTCAGGAGTTTGAGACCAGCCTGTCCAACACGGTGAAACCCTGTCTCTCTACTCAAAATACAAAATTAGCTGGGTGTGGTGGCACGTGCCTGTAATCCCAGCTGTTTAGGAGGCTGAGGCAGGAGAATCGCCTACACCTGGGAGGTGGAGGTTGTGGTGAGCCAGGATCACGCCACTGCACTCCAGCCTGGGTGACAAGAGTAAACCTCCATCTCAAATAAAAATAATAATAATTATTATTCCCCTATTGCTGGCCACCTAGGTTGTTTCCGATTTTTCTTCATTACAGCTTCTCTTGCATTGTTGCACTTGTCCCTCATGCACACATGTAGAGCTCTTGGCCATGGATATAAGGTCCATTACTTTCCTAAGATGACCTCTCTGTGTTGTATTTTACCAGCCTTATCTACTAAAAATATCTGCTTACTGGTGAGTGAGCTGGCCATTGGTCCCACTGGACTCCAGGAGTGATGTTTGCTTTTGCTCAAGTCTCTCTCATTTTTAGCTTTGTGTGGAGTTAGTTGAGAGGAGGTAGAAATAATCAGCCTCACCCTTTGTGTAACAACGTGGCCAACGTTTACCCAGCTGCTTGAGATGTGTGTTATGGGTTGGAGTGTACTGGTATCAAACCAAATTCCTTTGGTTCTTTTTAGTGTTATGAGCTTGTAAGATATAATATGTAAATGTCCAAAATTAGTTCCTTCACATATGTTGCTACTTTCTATAAAGTAGTAGGAGAATCTCACATGATGAATGATAGATGGTACGCATTTTTCAAAATAGGAAATAATCATTTATTTCTCTTTATGTTTATTCATATTATACATTTCAAAAACTCAGACCTTTACTCACATTATCCAGGAAGCGATTTTGATAGTGACCTTTTCCTAGACCTTGTATTTTAAGATCCCTGGTGCATAAATGACACAATCTTCTGGATTGCATTTTTTTTTTAGAGACGAAGTCTCACTGTGTCACCCAGGCTGGAGTGCAGTGGTGCAAGCTTGGCTCACTGCAATCTCCATTTCCCAGGTTCAAGCAATTCTCCTGCCTCAGCCTCCAGAGTAGCTGGGGATTACAGGCGCGCACCACCAGGCCCAGCTAATTTTTGTATTTTTAGTAGAGACAGGGTTTTACCATGTTGGCCAGGCTGGTCTCCCACTCCTGACCTCAAGTGGTTTGCCCACCTCAGCTTCCCAGAGTGCTGGGATTATAGGTGTGAGCCACTGTGCCTGGCCTGGTGCAATTTTTTAAACCAGTACAGTGTTTTTGTGAACTTATGCTTACTCTTGGGCCACCTTCCAGATACACACTCAAGCAGTATATATGTGGTTAAGGATGGGATCTATGTTATGAAGTTTAAAGTGACTATTTAAAAATGTCATCTCCTGTCATCAGACACCAATTATCATCTCCTCAGCTTTTGGTGTGGGAGGTGATTATTCCCAGTGCTGTTCTTGGCAACTTGAAAAGATAAATGGGTGGAAGGAAATGAGAGCAAAGTGTGATGAATTTACTTACTGAGCCAAACATACCTTTTGTGTTTTTCTCTTGCAGCTTTGCTTTAGTGCTGTAAAACTGTAAATGTTCACGTAACACTCAGGTGTAAAAGTGTCAAACATGAAATGTGACCTTTATGTTCTTCCTTTTTCCATTATGGACACATTAGAATTTCTTGATGGAAACGTGAATAACATTTTTTCGGAAACATCTCATTGTTCTTTTTCATGGTACTTAAAATGCTGTCATTCTTGCGACACTTTCTGTCTTTGTAGCTGTTTGTTGGATGCTAGTTTATTGCCCTGGAAGTCTAAATGGGTTTTCTCTGGTGTTTACCTCTGCGTATTTCCCATTTGTTATGGTATATTAGTATCATTTAATCCTCTGCTATCTTTAAAAATAGGTGGGGCACAGTGTCTCACACCTGTAATCCCAGCACTTTGGGAGGCCAAGGCAGGAGGATCGCTTGAGCCCAGGAGTTTGAGACCAGCCTAGGCAACGTGGTGAAAACTTGTCTTTACAAAAATACACAAATTAGCTGGGTGTGGTGGCATGCGCCTGTAGTCCCAGCTACTCGGGAGGCTGAGGTGGGAGGATCACTTGAGCCCGGGAGGCCGAGGCTGCAGTGAGCCATGATGGTGCCACCGCACTCCAGACTGGGTGACAGAGAGAGACCCTGTCTCAAAAAAATGGAAAAAAAAAAAAAAAAACCAACCTCAAGGGAAAATACTTAGACAAAGTACAAATACTGTAGCCAGACCTCATCCTTTCTCAAATACAAGGTACTATTTCCATCCAGGTAGAAGAACCTATAGAAATCTAGGTGGTCTCTCTTTTTTTTTTTTTTCTTCAAATTGAGTTGTTTGCATTGTTTCTTCATGTCCTTTTGTCATCCTTCCCTCCCACCCCTAACAACTGCCATTCTGCTTTCTGTCACCATATGTTAGTTTGCACTAACAAACTAATTTTGATTTTTTTTGGGACGGAGTCTTGCTCTGTCACCCAGGCTGGAGTACAGTGGCAAGATCTCAGCTTGCTGCAAGATCTCAGCTTGCTGCAAGATCTCAGCTTGCTGCAAGATCTCAGCTTGCTGCAAGATCTCAGCTTGCTGCAACCTCTGCCTCCTGGGTTCAAGTGATTCTCCTGCCTCAGCCTCCTGAGCAGCTGGGATTACAGGGTCCCCACTAATTTTTATATTTGTAGTACAGATGGGATTTTGCCATGTTAGCCAGGGTGGTCTTAAACTCCTGACCTCAAGTAATCCACCTGCCTTGGCCTCCCAAGGTGCTGAGATTACGGGCATGAGCCACCATGCCAGGCTAATTTTTGTATTTTTAATAGAGATGGGGTTTCACCATGTTGGTCAGGCTTTCTCAAACTCCTGACATCAGGTGATCTGCCCACCTTGGCCTCTGAAAGTGCTGGGATTACAGGCGTGAGCCACCGTACTTGGCCCACATCCTGGAATTGTATGTAAATGGAATCAAACAGTACGTGCTCTTTTTTCCTGGCTTCTTTCCCTCGGCATAACTGAGACTTACCTGTATTGTACATTATTGTGTACCAAGAATTCATTCCTTGTTGTTGTTGAGTGGTATGGACATTTGAGTTGTTTCTGGTTTTTGGCTATTACAAACAAAACTACTGTGAACATTTGTGTATAAACCTTTGAACAGACATATGTGTTCATTGCTTTTAGATACATACACAGGAGTAGAATCCATGGGTCATATGTTTATCTTTTTAAGAAACTGACAAACTGTTTCCCCAAGTGGCTGCACCATTTTACATTTCCACCAACAGTGGAGGAGAGTTCAGTTCCCCCATATCCTCGCCAACACTTGGTGTGGTCAGTCTTTTTGGTCATTCTAATAGGCGTGTAATGGTATTGCATTGTGATTTTAATTTGCATTTCTCTATTTTTTTTGAGACGGAGTCTCACTCTGTTGCACAGGCTGGAGTGCAGTGGCATGATCTCAGTTCACTGCAACCTCTGCCTCCTGGGTTGAAGTGTTTCTCTTGCCTCAGTCTCCTGAGAAGCTGGGATTACAGGTGCCCACTGGCGCCCCTGGCTAATTTTTGTATTTTTAGTAGAGAGTGGGTTTCACCATGTTGGCTAGGCTGGTCTTGAACTCCTGAACTCAGGTGATCTGCCCACTTAGGCCTCCCAAAGTGCTGGGATTACAGGTGTGAGCCACTGTGCCTGGCCAATTTGTGTTTCTCTAGTACTAAGATGTTAAGCATTTTTTCATGTGTTTGTTTATTTGGCATTCATTTGTTGTCTTTGGTGAAGTTTCTGTTCCATGCATTTTTTATTGGGATTTTAAATTATTAAAATGTGGAATTTTGTTGTTTTTTGTTTTTAAGGTTAGCCAAGTGAAGCAGTGAAAATGGAGAAGAACAAAGAAATGTATAACTGGTTGTGATCAATTGGTTGTAAATTGCACTCAGACCAGTGAGATTCTTGATATATTCTGAATATAAATCCTTTATCAGATATGATTTCCAAGTATTTTGTCCCAGTCTGTGGCTCTTTTTAATCTTTTAACACTGTCCTTTAAGGAGCAAAAGTTTTAAATTTTGATTAAATCAAATTATTAACTTTTTCTTTTATGGATCATTCTTTTTTTGTTATAGCTAAGAAATCTCTAACTCAAAGTCACAAATGTTTTTCCTCTACAAATTTTATAGTTTTAGATTTTAGGTCTATGACTCACTCAGAGTAAATTTTGTATATGATGAGTTATGGATTGAAGTCCACCTTTTTGGATATAGATATCCATTTGTTTCAGTATCTTTTGTTGAATAGACCATACTTCCTCCACTGAATTGCCTTTGCACCTTTGTTGAAAATAAGTTGTCCATATATGCCTGGGTCTCTTTCTTGACTCCATTTTGTCCTATTGATCTATTTGTCTATCTTTACTGTCTTAATGTAGCTTGTCTTTTTTTTTTTTTTTTTCCTGAGACGGAGTTTTGCTGTGTTGGCTAGGCTAGAGTGCAGTGGTGTGATCTCGGCTCACTGCAACCTCCACCTCCTGGCTTCAAGCAGTTCTCCTGCCTCAGCCTCCCAAGTAGCTGGGATTAGAAACGTGTGCCACCATGCCCAGCTGTTTTGTATTTTTAGTAGAGATGGGGTTTCACCATGTTGGCCAGGCTGGTTTTGAACTCCTGACCTCAAGTGATCCTCCTGCCTCAGCCTCCCAAAGTGCTGGGATTACAGGCATGAGCCACCGTGCCTGGCCGATGTAGCTTAAGTCTTGAAATGAGGTAGCATTAGTCTTCCAATTCTTTGTTCCTCCTTTTTTTTTTGTTTTTTTTGTTTTGAGTCTCACTGTCGCCAGGCTGGAGTGCAGTAGTGCGATCTTGGCTCACTGCATTCTCCGCCTCCCGGGTTCAAGGGATTCTTCTGCCTCAGCCTCCCGAGTAGCTGGGATTACAGCTGTGCATCACCACACCCAGCTAATTGTTTTGTATTTTTAGTAGAGACAGGGTTTCGCCATGTTGGCCAGGATGGTCTCGATCTCCTGACCTCATGATCTGCCTGCCTTGGCCTCTGAAAAGTGTTGGGATTACAGATATGAGCCACGGCGCCTGGCCTGTTCCTCTTTTTGACTATTCTATTTCTTTATCATTTTCATATGAATTTTAGTATCTGGTGACAATTTCTACAAAAAACATGTTGGCATTTCGATTGCAACTGCGTTAAATCTGTAGATCAATTTGGGGAGAATTGACATATTGGCAATATTGAGTTTTCCAATGCCTGGACATTATATATCTCTTTATTTACTTAGGTTTTCAATTTCTCTGTAAAGTGTTTTGTAGTTTTTAGTATACAGACCTTTCATATCTTTTGTCAGATCTATCCCATATATTTCATATTTTTGATGCTATTATAAATGGCACTATTTAAAAAATCTCAATTCCTGATTAATTGCTAGTAGATAAAAATACAATTGACTTTTGTATATTGATCTAATATTCTGCAAATGTCTTTCTGTCTCTCCACTCAAGGGACTCAAATTACTGATAGAATACGCTACAGCCTACTCTGTCACCATATGTCTCTCACCAGAGACATATTTTTTCTGTAATGTATCATTTTCCATTATTCTCAGTCAGTGCATTTTTCATCTCCAGACATTGTAGTTTTCATCTGACGTTCAATGTATTAAAAAACTCCTATGTTTTTGTTTCTACTTAACTTTTTGATCATATGGAATTCAGTTATAATGGTTTTAATGTCCTTGTCTGCAAACTGACATTTCTGTCAGTTTTTTTTTTTCTAAACAACTTCTGCCTTTAATAATTCTTTTTTAAAACAACTTCCTGGTTGGTTATAATTAATTAATTAATCTTATTAAATATGTCATATTTTTTGCTTGTATTTGTTAGATGGATCTGGAGCAGAGATTAGTCTATAATCCTCAATGCTGGGGAAGGATTTTCTTGAATACTTCTAATGTCCCTTGCATTATGAGTTTTCAGCTTGGCTGGTGGCAACAGGCACTATTCCCAGCACTGTATGAGTACTGGGAGCTGTTACCTGTAATTTTGGGGGTTGTTCTTTCCCAGGCCATGTGTAGTGTGTTTACACCCATATACCTGTCAGTGCTCTGCTGAATACTAAAGGAGACCCTCTGTAGATTTCCAGAGTTTTCTCAATGTAGCTCTCTTCTCTAGTATTATGTGCTACAAACTCAAGCTGTCTTGGCCTCCTGGATTCATTGCCCTGGCTGCCAACTTAGGAATCCACTGGCTCTACCTGACTTCCCTGGGCAACAGTAGAGTTCACCTTGTTTCCTGTCCCTTAGAGATAACTCTTTTGTTATTTGATATCTAGCATTTTCCAAAGGGTTTCATATATTTTGTCCATCTTGGTGGTTTCAGGTAGGAAGTCAAGTCTGGCCCCTGTTACTCCATTTTGCTTGAAAGCAGAAGTCTTCTGTGTCATTGTTTGGAGGTACTAAGTTTTAGAGTGCTTTATTATGCATCAGTAAATAACCAGAAGACTAGATTTGAAGGCACAAAAAAATCACTCTCACAATAAATGTGCTTAAAATAAATGGATGTTTACTAAGAAAATTGGATTTGTTTTGAGATGGAGTCTCACTTTGTCACCCAGGCTGGAGTGCAGTGGTGTAATCTTGGCTCACTGCAGCCTCCACCTCCCTGGTTCAAGTGATTCTCCTGCCTCAGCCTCCCGAGTAGTTGGGATTACAGGTGGGCATCACCACGCCTGGCTAATTTTTGTACTTTTAGTAGAGACGAGATTTCACCATGTTGGCCAGGCTGATCTCGAACTCTTGATCTCAAGTGATCCACCTGCCTTGGCTTCCCAAAGGGCTGGGATTACAGGTGTGAGAGCCACTGTGCCCAGCCTACTTAGCATAATGTTTTAAAGGTTCATCCTTGTTGTAGCATGAGTCAGTTCATTTTTCTTTTTTTTTTGCCAAATAATCCATTATATGAATATACCACATTTTATCCATTCATGAGTTGATGGACATCTGGGTTGTTTCTACTTTTTGGCTATTATGAATAATGGTGTGGTAAACATTCAGGTACAAGTTTTTGTGTGGACATGTGTTTTTCATTCTCTTGGGTTGTATGCCTGGGAGCGGAATTGCTGGGTTATGTGGCAACTCTATTTTTAAACTTTTTTGAAGAACTGCTAAATGGTTTTCCAAAACAGTCACACTATTTCACACTACCACCAGCAGTGTATATGGGTTTGTTTCTCCACATCCTTGTTGATGCTTGTTATTATCTACCTTTTTAGATTATGGCCATCCTAGCATCTGTCAAGTGGTATCTCGTGGTTTTGATTTGTATTTGTCTGAGGTCAAGCATCTTTTCATGCACGTATTGGCCATTTGTGTCTCTTCTTTGGAGAAGTGACTTCAGATTCTTTACCCATTTAAAAATTGTTTATCTTTTTATTATTGAGTTGTAATAGTCTTTTATACATATTTCAAATACAAGTCTTTTATCAGATACATGATTTGCACAATTTTTCTCCTATTTTGTGGGTTGTATTGAATTTTCTGGGCAGTATTATTTGGAGCACAGAAGTTTTTAGCCTTGGTGATATCTAACTAGTCTATTTTTTCTTTTATTGCTTATGCTTTTGTTGTCATATTTAAGAAGGTTTTGCCTAACCCAAGGTAACACAGATTTTCTGTTGTCTTCTACAAGTTTTATTGTTTTACTTCTTTTAGTTTGATCTATTTTAAATTTTTATATGGTATGAGGTAGGGAGTCCAAATTCATTCTTTTGCATGTGGATATCCAGTTGTCTCAGCACTGTTTGTTGAAAAGCCAGTTCCTTCCCCCACTGAATTATTTTGGCTTTTTTTCGTGTGTGTGAAAAATCAATTGACCATAATATGAGAATTTATTTCTGTATACTTAGTGCTATCCTATTGATCTTTATGTCTATTCTTATGCCAGTACTACACTTTGAATATTGTAGCTTTGCTGTAAGTTTTTAAATTGAGATGTGTGGGTCCTCCAACTTTGTTCTTTTTTCAAGATTTTGGATATTCCAGGTCCCTTGAATTTCATATGAATTTTAGGATTAGCTTGTCCATTCTAGCAAAAACCCAGCTAAGATTTTGATAGGGAGTATGTCCAATCTGTAGATCAGTTTTGGGGAATATTAACATGTTAACAATATTAAGTCTTCAGATCCATGAACGTGGATGTCTTTCCATTTATTTGTCTTTGAGAAATATTTTCAGAGTATAAGTTTTCAGAGTATGTCTTTTTTTTTTTTTTTTGAGATGGAGTCTCGCTCTGTCGCCCAGGCTGGAGTGCAGTGGTACAATCTCGGCTCACTGCAAGCTCTGCCTCCTGGGTTCACGCCATTCTCCTGCCTCAGCCTCCCGAGTAGCTGGGACTACAGGCGCCTGCCACCACGCCCAGCTATTTTTTTGTATTTTTAATAGACATGGGGTTTCACCGTGTTAGCCAGGATGGTCTCGATCTTCTGACCTCATGATCTGCCTGCCTCGGCCTCCCAAAGTGCTGGGATTACAGGTGTGAGCCACCACGCCCGGCCCAGAGTATGTCTTATACTTCTTTTGTTAAATTTATTCCTAAGTATTGCTTGTGATGCTATTATAAATGGCATTGTTTTCTTAATTTCATCTGTGGTTTATTCATTGCTACTGTACAGAATTGCAATTGAGTTTTGTATCCTGTGACCTTGATGAATTCATTTTATTCTAATCAATTTTTAGGAAATTCTTTAGGATTCTCTATAGGCAAGATCATGCCATCTACAAATAGAGATTGTTTTATTTCTTCCTTTCCAATCTGGATGCCTTTTATTTCTTTTTCTTGTATAATTGTCCTGGGTAGAAACTCTAGTACAATGTTGAACAGAAGTTCTAAGAGTGGACATCCGTTTTTTCCTGAGCACTGGAGACAAGCATTCAGTCTTTCACCACTATGTATAATGATAGTTGTGGGTTTTGTGTAAATGACCTTTATAACGTGAGAAAGTTCCTTTCTATTTCTAGTTCATTGCATTTTTATTGTGAAGGGGTGTTGAATTTTGTCAAGTGCTTTTTCTGTGTGTATTGGGATAATCATGTAGTTTTTGTACTTTATTCTATGGATAGGGTGTTTTGCATTAATGGATTTTCAGAGGTTAAACCAACTTTGCATTCCAGGAATAAACCCCACTTGGTCATGCTATATAACAGTTTTTGCATATTACTGGATTTCATTTGCCAGTATTTTATTTAGGACTTTAGTTTCTATATACATCAGAAATATCGTTCTTACTAATCTTTTTTACCATAAAATATTTCCAACTCACAAAAAATAGGGATAGTTAAAATCAACTAGTTAACAATTAGTATTTTGCTATATTGGCTATAGAATTATTAAATATTAGAAAGTTAAAGCCTCCTTTCAGATGTTCCCCAATCTAGTTTTTTCTTTCCAGAAATATTCTGAATCTTGAAACTGACCTGAGTCCTTACCACCCATGTTTTTATACTTTATAAAACACACAGCCTTGTTTTAAAATGTTACTTGAATTATGCAGGCTTTATTCTGCACTTTTTTCCCCCTCAGCATTTTGTTTCAAGATTCTTTTACATTGGCACATTAGATTTAGTTCATTCCTGTAAATTGCAGTGTTTAATGGTTCTCTAATTGAAAGGCATAGGAGTTGCTTGCAATTTTTGCTTTGTAAATGCTTTAGTGTTCATTCTTACACGTGATTTCCTGTGTACGTCTGTGTTTCTCAAGGATGTGTACAAAAAATTGATTTGCTGGATCACAGAGTTTGTGTGTCTTCAACCTTGCTAGGTATTTAAAAATCTTACTGCTCTTGAGCTTTGGTATGTGTTCAAATGGTTACAGAAGCCCCAGCAAGATAGTGTTTAATAACAAGTCATTTTGCATGGCCCAGTCAGTAGAGTTCACTTAAAACGCTCCAGTCTTGGACTCCATGTTCTGGCTGGCTTTAATCTAGTAAAAAGCCATACATTGGATGCCATTAAACATTTGTGAGCAGGTACTTTAGAAAATGTGAGAGACTGAGGAGGTCTAATCAAGACAGTTAGTGGAACCTCATGATAGACATGAATTAAGCTGTACTCAATTGTATTCACAAAGTATCTGGACAAAGGCAGAGAGTTGTATATAGAGTCTACAGGAATGGTGCTATGGTTTGAATGTTTGTGTCTCTAAAATTCATGTTGAATCTTAATCCCCATGCAATGTATTAGAAGTTTGGACCTTTAGGAGGTGATTAAGTGATGAGGGCTCTGCTCTCATGAATGGGATTTAGTGCCCTTATAAAAGGCAGCCTGTTTGTGTGTGTTGTGTGTGTGTGTTTTGGCCTTTCTGTCCCTTCCTCTTTGTGAGGATGCAGCAAAAAGGCACCATCTTCCAAGCAGAGACCTGGACCTCACCAGACACTGAATCTGCTGGAACCTTGATGTTGGATCTTCCAGTCTCTAGAACTGTGACCACTATGTTTCAGCTGTTTGTAAATTGTCCAGTCTGAGGTATTTTATTATAGCTCCCTGAACAGACTAAGACAGATGGTTTGGGTTCTGGGGTTTCAGAAGCTTGGTCTCAAATCTGTGCTGTTTCCTTTGTGATTTCAGGCAAGTCATTTGCCTTCCTTTTTTTTTTTTTTTTTGAGATGGAGTTTCACTCTTGTTGCCCAGGCTGGATTGCAATGGCGTGATCTCGGCTCACTGCAACCTCCACCTCCTAGGTTCAAGGGATTTTCCTGCCTCAGCCTACCAAGTAGCTGGGACTACAGGCATGCACCACCATGCCTGGCTAGTTTTTTTGTGTGTGTGTTTAGTAGAGATGGAGTTTCACCATGTTGTTCAGTCTAGTCTTGAACTACTGACCTCAGGTGACCCACCCGCCTTGGCCTCCCAAAGTGCTGGGATTACAGGTGTGAGCCACTGCACCCGGCCTCAAAGGTCTTTATTTGAATCTTGGATGGGAAACACTTTAATTCTTAACAATTAACCTGACTAAAAGCCCTTTTTCACCATTAATCAAACTTCAGCTTTGGCTTGGACAGTATTAGCATTGAAATAATTTGGGGTTTGGATGCTTCTGACAAGTCTGTTGTACGTCCAATGGCAAGCAGGAGGACGCTGCAGAGTGAGCACCCACAGGGCCATCATTCACGGATTTCCCCGTGGAATGATCTGTGACGCAATCGCATCCAACGAAAGGGCACAGAAAATGTTGATGAGGACCCTTGTTTCTCATCTCATCACACAACATAGGTTTAATTTAATTAGCCTGTCATGCATATTAACAGAAAAGACAGGACATCAATATGAGACTTCTTTCTGAAAGTTAAATTAGAAGTAATACTTGGCCAGGTGCAGTGGCTCACACCTGTGATCCCTGTGCTTTGAGAGGCTGAGGTGGGTGGATCACCTGAGGTCAGGAGTTCGAGACCAGCCTGGCTAACATGGTGAAACCCCAAAGCTACTAAAAAAATATAAAAATTGGCCAGGCATGGTGGCACGTGCCTGTAGTCCCAGCTACTTGGGAGGCTGAGGCTGAGGCAGGAGAATCACTTGAACCCAGGCAGCAGAGGGTTGCAGTGAGCCGAGATTGTGCCACCACACTCCAGCCTCGGTGACTGAGTGAGACTCTGTCTCAAAAAACAACAAAACTAATAAATAAAAAAAAATCTGTTGCAGGAAAAAACAATTTCTCCAATTAATTCTGACCTTGCCCAAGGGGCTGTCTGCCATGACAGCTTCCCCAGAGTTTCCTGTGACATCCCTTGCTCACTCCTCTTGGGCTCCCAGGGCACGTGCAATGCTTCCTTTGGCAAAGTTTTCTCTCAGACCAGCAGGGAGGTCTATTTTCTCCCCAAGGGCAGGATCTCTGCCTGGAACATATGATACTTTATGAATGGTTTAACCCTTTGCGCATCATCTCACTGGTCTGTTGAGGCTGCACTCTGGTTCCCTAAGTGTAATGAACATTTTGCTGTGTTTTGGTAATCAATATCTTTCTTTTCCCCTTTTCTGTGGTTGATACTCGGGCCTTTTTTCTTAATCAAATATTGATATATGGTATAGTTATTAGAGTTTACTCATTACTATTTTGTTTCTTCAAAGCAAAGAGAAAAAAAATTTTAACCAAACTCTGTTTTAAATGTTGGCTTCTGAGTTGAAATGAAATGCCATCTTACTAAAAGCATACTGAATTCTAAAGACCATTTTGTACAGTCTATAAAAATACCTCATATAAATAGTTGCTTTTGAAACTTGGCTAGATTGAAGGATTATGTGGGTCTTTCAGGAATTGTGGTGGTGGTGCATTGATGTTATTGAGTCAGTTTTCATTGTGCGTGTGTGCGCGCCGAGTGTGAAAATCAACCCCCTAGGGAGAACTACATATTTCTAACTTTCATTGTGGAAGAAAGAAACTCACTTTGTGTAAATCTTGACATATTCAAGTTCAGCTCGTACCTGTGAGTTTCTATTTTGTATCTCATGGTCTTGGATCCAGGGGAGGGTGACAAGTTCACAGGCTTGGCCTGCTGGCTTTCTGTTGTGAGTTGTATGCTAAAGGTATAGTGTCTCCTCCTAATAAATCCACTCCCGTTCCACAGTCTACAATGGCTCCACCAACCCATAGGGAGTGGTCTTTCCTCTGCACAGCAAGAATCATAGTACATCAAAATGTCTTTTATTTGAGACACAAAAATGCAAAATTGCTGAGATATCAAACATTTCCCGATCAGCTACAATACTGCCACTATGTACAAAAGATCTGATGATAAATGTGCACACATATAAAAATACAGTATGCATTACTTATGTACAGTACATGTGCAAAATGTATGGCATTCAAACATGATATGGAATTGATTTCAGGGGTGCAAACAGCAAATACAAAGGCATCATGGTTTTTCTTTTAAAAAACAACATAAAGGCAATAGATGAATGGACCCCCGATTGCCATAATTTTTTGTTGATTAAACTAGTGCTTCAACAAGCAGGGCTCTGTAGATTGGTATCTTTCTCCTTTTTTTCATAAAGTGAGATGCTAAGACATAATGTGACAATGAAAATAAGAAGAGAAACACCTATCACATTGCATTTCTATTGCAAGCAAGAAAAGAAAACTAATTTCTACATAGAAAAAAAACTTTGTATTACTACTGAATGTTACTCTTAAACCAACAAAACAACTCTATACTATTTTACATGAAAACAATAAGAGAAATATCTACATCTTAGTGAAAATTATAACCTTAAATGGATAATACCTTTTTGGGGCTGATTTTTGAGATCTCATTAGTCTCAAATTTTAAATAAAAAGTGCCTCCTTTTGGCAAATACTTGGCAATGCCTTTGGTTCCTTTAAAGCAAGTTTGCATTACTATTGGTTACTTGAGGTCAAGTACTTTTGGTAGATACTAAACCCTTTCCTAAATGCTTCCTCTTCCTACCAAATTAGCAAGATTCCTTACAGCATCACGTAGAGAGGTAATTGTTACGAGTTTCAGTATTCTATAAACTTTGTTAAAGCTTTGTCTTAGTAGTTGGCATAAAGCTCTGTTAAACACTATAGATGTGATGATATCTCTGATAACATATTTTATTTGATTCCCGACAGCACCTTGTAGATCCGAGATTGCCATCTTATTGTCACAAAGCTGTGACACCACAGAGCAAAGTGTTTGCATGGAGGGTAAGAGCTCTTCTGTAAACATGTGCAGCTTTTCGAATTGTAGGCCTTCCATGAAAGATTTCAGGTAGAAACCCTTTGTAATGATGTGTTTCCCTGGATACTGCAAGAAAGGGCGAATGTGGAAAAAACACGCACCTGCTCATTGCCATGCAGACAGAGTCACTTTACAAATAAAAATGTAGCTCAGAGAGACTGCTGAATGAGCAAGTTATTGAAGGTTTGAACCAGGAAAAAAAAATTACTACATCTTAGTTGTTTTCCAGTTTTGACTGAAATCACTTAAAAGATGAGTTGAAATGCAGTTAGGATGCTCTCCAGATACACACTGATGCATTTGTAAGCTATGTTCCTTGAAAAACCTGACCTTCCAGTTAATGTTCTTTGATAATTTTGGGCTAATTCTGTGGCCTCTAGGGCGGTGGGACGATTTGTATGGGTATTCTCTTGTCAGTATTCAATATTCATGTTTACAGTAGCAGATATTGAAAAATGGAGGGTTATTTGTGAATTTGGTTAAATTGACACATGTTGCTCTGCTAGTAGACACTGAATAGCTATTCTCTTTACATTTCTCTAAAAAGTCCCCAGCGGCACCATGAGCTCCCCACCTGAGTGACAGCCAGGACTTCTGTGAGGCTACCGTCAGGTGGGTGCATGGAAGCCAGTGAGGATGTATACTGAAATGTGGGCTTCTCACAAATATTTTAAACCCTGCCAAAGTGCTTTACCACGTCTCTAAGGCCAAGTCCATTTGAGGACAGTAAAGGGACTATCTCATCACTTGTGGGGATAGCTGTTTTGTCAACTGCTATGGCTGATTTCAGCCTGGGAATTCTGAAAGGACTGTGAAGAAAGCTATGCTGCCTGGAATGATCTGGGGTTGAGGGTCCAGGAAGCCTGAGTCAGCTCTGGTGACAAAATAGGTAGTGCGCCCCTGAGCCATCACTCAGGGTATGCTGACTGCACAGTTCAGAGGTGCTATCTCATTACTATGACTTTGCCTTCCATAGGCAGCAGCTTGCAGGCAGCACCACCCTGCCTTTGCCACTGTTTCTAAACAGCACTGAAAGCCAAAAAGTGTCAGTTACATGGATCACAGAACCATGCGGCTTTTAAAAAGGAAATTTAAATAAGATCTCTTTTAGAATTACAAAAATATTCATATGAAACAAACACAATAGTATCTAAGCAAGAAATTCCACAAATTCAGAATACATCTATGTACAATTATGTGGCAATACTATACAGTAGATTGCACATTTCAGGAAAAACACTAGAACGTGAACCACTAACACTGTCCTATGAGGTTTCCTAGTGGATGCTTTGCTGAAATGTACAAGATGACCACCTACTCCTAGACTTTCAAAGACTTTACAGAAATTTTGGTATAACTTTTAAATTCATCCCACCCCCAGTAGGATGATCTGACTATCTACATACAGCAGAAAGGTAAGGCTGGTACTACTGTGTTTTGAGAACATGTAGGAAAGTAAGATGGGGATGTGAGATAATGCCTTTCTAGGAGTTATTTTCTTGGCAGTATGATACTTTACAATATGATATACAACAGTACCACTGCTTAAACCACACACGTGCATAATGAAAATTCAACTGGCGACTTTGACTTGTGCTGTAATGGCTGTGACACTAACCTAAACAACAACAACAACCAGTCTTTAGTCAATATCCACCCTTCCTCATTGCACTCACCATCACACGCACTGAGTCCGGTCAGAAGGGCCTTGTTTACAGAGTATCATCTTTGGTCATGTCACATGAGTGTGAGCACATAGCGCGTCCTCACTCCAACCTGGAACATGTAGTGGAGATCCTGGAGAGCAGCACTCGTGTCACAGGTGCCTGGCTGGTGACCCAAGCCAGGAGAGAGGAGGGTCAAGCGGAATGGTGCAAGTGGAGTGGCTTGCAGAGTTAATGGGTAGAGATGCCTTGTCTTTTTAAAAGTGAAATACTGGTTTATAAAGGTTTAAACACATATGTGAAGTGGGCACTTTAGCAATTCATAGGAGAGTAGGCCAATGAGATAGCATTTTCTTGCACTGCACTGTGTATTTTTGGAGAGCAACCTTCCTGTGGCATGTTTCAAACCCTATTTTAAAAAGCAATAAAGGGACCCGAGAGCTAGAAAACTATCTACACAATTCAGGATTATGGAAATATAAAGTTATTCAACGAGAGTCAATGGTACTAGTGTTCGGTTACCTTCTACAGTCCCACTGATATTTGGTGCTAATTTAATAAGCCATTCAAATCTGAATGAAGAAGATGCTCAGGGTCTAAGTATGGACCTGATAGGCCCAGACAGAAACCCTCAGCAAAAAAACTGTGGCCAAGAACTGTAAGAAAAATACTTTCCCAAGTAAATAGCCTGGCCCTGGAGACAGGCCCCTCTCAATGGAACTGACTCGAGGATTCACAGAACATCTAGTGTGGTAAACTCTTGTAGGGCTTGGTCAAATGACGGTGTTCTGGTTAACAGAGAGTTATTGTATCCCGTGTGTTGGTTTACCAATTTCTGAACACTTAAACTATTCATCACAGACTACACTGAGCACAGTGGCCTCTGCCTTGAACCGTCTGGAAGGCACATGAGCACTGTTAGTGCCTTTGAGTCAGGAAGTGCCAGTGAGCAGAGGGCTCCAGTGTGCTCATGCTGGAAAAGCAGACTTTTGTTACACGTAGTAAAATTTATAAACCACACACACACAAATCAGAAATAAGATCAGCTCTTAGGCAAAACACAAACCCAGAAATAATTCACAAATTCTTTCCAAATAACGGGTCAGGCTGCCTCCGGCATGTCAGTATGGAACATTTACCATTTTGTGACCCAGGGGAACCAACCTGACCTGAGGGTTTACACAAGGGTGAGGTGGAGAGCACAATATTATTATTTAAGAAAAATCTCCATGCTCTTTTGGTAGATTTCAGTTTTTTGTTATTTACATTTTGTCATATACCTCAATGACTAGCTTGAAATAATCCTGTGATAGTTGGCATTTTAGAAAATTCTTAAGAAATGACTTAACACATATGTAATAACTGTTTTCTATATAAAAACACTAATAAAGCCTCCAGTTTTTCAATCTTAGGCTTGACAATATAGTGAGAGCTCTGGTAGAATATCCAGTTACAAGCCTGTAAAATGATAACCAGGGTTAGTGACAGAAGAAAGAGGGCCAGGGCAGGGACGTGGAGGCCCACCTTGTGGCACAATCTGACCTGTACTCATCATGGGAATGTCCTGGGTAGATGACAGACCTTCCCCTTACCTTCCATTCTTCTAACTCGCCAGCTCAGAAAGATATTTCATGCTAAAGCCTTTTCTTGGTTCTTTGAGATGGGTCTGGTTACCTGAAAGTTAGTCAGCAATTCTTTAAATACAGAAATACATGTGGCTCAAGTACTCTAGAAATATTCGAGCTATTAAAAAAGTAGGACCTTGGATACCCATTTCCTTACCCCAGCGTAGGCTGTACAAATCACAATGTCAGAGCATACATACAAATGTCTAATATATACATTAAAATCAATCTAACCAACCCAGAAGGTTGCTAATAGAATTTTCAGTGTTATCAGTATACCTGGACTTCTGACAGTATTTTGTAGGTATCTTCTGTTTATGTTGAAAGATCTTGCATTTAAATTTAAATTTGGAAATATAAAGTACGATTCCAAAAAATCACAAAATAAACTACAACACCAAAAAAACGACACAGGTTTCTGAATAGAACCAAAAGTCTTCAGCCAGAAGCTGTCACTGAACTGGCCAAGGCTCTCCACTGCCTTTGACCTCTGCTGTGTCTTGGGCCTGGCTCCGGCCGTCTCTAGGAAGTACCAAGTGCAGTGACCTCTCACCTCCCTCACATCAGCCTTAGTTTTTGAGTGGAGCTGTCTGCCTTTTATTTAGGGTCTTAAAGTGACCAGAGATTTAAATGTAGTTAATTACCAGAATCCTAACGTCACTGTGCTGCATATATTACTCTTCTTTGTTTTTATCTAAAGGTACTTTTCATTCTTTACTGAAGTCTGGAGAAATAGATGAGTCGTCTTTGACAAGTGCGATTTTCAGAAGGCCCTGTGCTATGTTAAACTGTAGAAATTCACTACTGAACACAATGAAATGTTTTCAAACTTGGGTTCCAGGCTATGACCTTCCACCTATTCTTTCTGTGACAACATATTTTGATTGCAACAATGCAACTATAGATCTATCTCTAAAAACTGACCTTTTAGAATCTTCATGTTCTTAAACCTCATCAACTCTCAGAAAAGAAATCTGTGACGTTAGTCCCATGGCAGCGGTAGGTCCTGTGGGTCTAGAAAGTCAGCAGAGAACATGCTCGGCGCGGTGGTGCTGAGAGGAGTGAGTCCTGAAGAGGAGTT
Organism: Homo sapiens; assembly: GCF_000001405.40. Classification (NCBI taxonomy): domain Eukaryota; kingdom Metazoa; phylum Chordata; class Mammalia; order Primates; family Hominidae; genus Homo; species Homo sapiens. The sequence goes on along the minus strand of NC_000016.10, from coordinate 14,261,345 downwards.
GGGCATGGTAATGTCCAACCACTCCATGTTGTCCAAGTTTGAGTCTGACAGGTCGAGAGACAGACAGGGAGTACCTGCAGCAAACTGGGTCTCGGAAGTCTCCATGGGTGAGTGTGAATGGTCCAGCATACCTGAGTGACTCAGCAGATCATTCTGGAGGTCCTCGATCAGAGAGAAGGGCTCTCTGTCTTCACTGCTGCTTTGTAGTGGAGGAATTTCATTGGCTGAGGGTAAAGTTCCATCCAAGAAAGCTTCTAGTTGGTTCTCTAAGCTGGCAGATAAACTGCCCATAGGTTCTAAAGATACAGGTGGTGCCATTTGGACTTGGGGTGGTGGCCGGGACACCACTGTATTCACTGGCATTGTGGTGATGCTGGCTGTCACTGGTCTCATTTTGGAAATAGGAGAAGGTTCTTCTTTTATGGGGAGGGAGATCTCTGTGTAAAATAAATGAAGTAATTAGTAACTGAAGATTTACTACTACTTAAAAATTTTTATTAATTACTAGGACAGTTACATTGCTATTATGCGATTCCTTCTATGCACGTCCGTCTTAGAAGTAGGAAGAGAATGCTATTGGTCAGGTACAATCCTTGACAACCTTTAGGATGATGGATCATTTTAGTCAAATAGATAAACATAAAAGTTTATTACATTCCTTTTTGTTGTAAATTTAGTCAGCAGACTGTCCAAGACCAGTTTATTACATTCTGATATGCTTTAAATTCTTCTCAGTAAGACTAAGCATTAAAAGCAGTTATATCTCACTAGATAGGTATCAATGGTTTTAGATTATTTTATCTTTGAGTCGTTATTTTGTCATTAAAGTTTTAAGATAGGGCTCATATCATCCTATGAATCTATCTATAGCAACATGATACTCCTAATATAAATGTTGAAATGTACATCCTGAGTTTGTGCTGAGACATGAAGTACATCCTCAATGTTATGAAAGAGGTAATTACATTCTTTTTTCCTTTTTTTTTTTTTTATCATTACAGTTGGACTGGGTACCCAATTTAGCCATGTGCATTCTGTGTAAAGTTCTGAAAATATACAATGACATTTGATTTCATTTCTGAATTAAAGCTAACATATGGTTCCTTTGATCCTTTTCTTTTAAGGTGAGGTGGATCACTTGGTTATCTCTTTCACTTTTTGGTCTTGTTTTCTGAGCTTATATAAAATTTTGATGATTTGGTAAATGTCTTCATTATGTGTTATTCCTTGCCAGATCAGGCAGCAAATTAACAGACCATCTTCTATAAATACTGGCGTTCACTAAACTACATAAATGAATGAAGTATCTTAAGTTTTATGAGGCTATGATTGGTTTCATTTATATGCAGATACACTAGGAAAAATAAATTAACAATACCTCTTAAAGCTCAATGATTGCTATGTGCAAATGGCTGAGAGAAGGAACTTAAAATTTGATTCCTATAAATGAATTGTCAACTGTGTGTACTGCATTTATTTTTGAATGGTTTGTTACTTTTAATTATCAGTAGTCATCTCTAAAACTGTTTTGAAAGCTTTAAGTGTCATCTAAGTAACTAGTCTTTTTTATTTTTATTATTTTTATTTTTTTGAGACGGAGTCTTGCACTGTTGCCAAGCCTGGCTGGAGTGCGGTGGCATGATCTCAGCTCATTGCAGCCTCCACTTCCTGGGTTCTGGTGATGCTCCTGCCTCTCAGCCTCCTGGGTGGCTGGATTACAGGTGCCCTCCACCATGCCCAGCTAATTGTTGTATTTTTAGTTTCACCATGTTGGCCAGGCTGGTCTTGAACTCCTGACCTCAGGTGATCCGCTTGCCGTGGCCTCCCAAAGTGCTGGGATTACAGGCAGGGCAAGGCACGGTGTCACAAGTAACTAGTCTTGTAACTATATAAAACTTGGTTCTCGTTATTACTGATATTAGTAGACAAGATGAAATAATATACTTACTGGATACTTTGTCATTAAAAAAAATCTCATTTTAGAAAATAGCTTGATTGTGTCACATTTTAATTTCCAAGTTTAAGGTGCCTGCCACCACACCCGGCTAATTTTTGCTAATTTTTGTATTTTTAGTAGAGACGGGGGTTTCACCATGTTGGCCAGGCTGGTCTTGAACTCCTGACCTCAAGTGATCCACCTGCCTCGGGCTCCCAAAGTGCTGGGATTATAGGCATAAGCCACGGGGGTTGGCCGGCTGAAGTTATTTTTGTAAGGCCAATATAATTCTTAGCAAAAAATACTATTTGTGTGTGTAGATCTGTAGTCAAATATCAATTCTCTATGTCAACGTCAACTTCAGTGTCAAATAATACCTGCTATAAATGGAGAACTTCTGACCACTATTTGAAAATTCAAATAAAACTCCTTTCATCAGGGTAATTTTAAGACTACTCCAAATATGCAAATACTATCCAGGAATTTTTTTTTAAATATTGATTTTTATACTTCAAAGATATGTAAGCTGAGGCAACAATATCCTTGATTCTTTTTGTGGCTAATGTCTCTTTTTAATAAAGATGATATAAATCTAAGACTTCATATTATATTGTAGAAAATGCTTTAGCATTGACTTTGAATTTTAATAAAGATACTGGAGCCCATGCTAAGTGGCTTGATGTAACATAATTAAGATAGTATTGGCATGTTTTCATCCCATTACAATGACATACGCATGGAACAAGTTCTGAAGCTATTCAACATGGAATTTAAATCTGGTTCTACTTTGCTATCTGGTCTTTGTTTTTTAGCAGGCATCTATCTGTGGATAAATCTCACATTGTATTACTGTTTTAAGCTATCACAGTTCACTGCAGCCTTGACCTCCTGGGCTCAAGCAATCTTCCTACCTCAACTTCCTAGTAGCTGGGACCCCAGGGGTGTGCCATTACACTCTGTTAATTTTTAAAATTTTTTGTAGAGATGAGGTCTCATTATGTTTCCCAAGCTGGTCTCGAACTCCTGGGCTCAGACTCCCAAAGTGCTGGGATCATAGACGTGAGCCACCGCACCTGGCCATAAGTTCTTTTAATGGCCTAAATTTAACAGATTTTAAAACAGTAAATTCAGTTAGAAGAACACGTTTCTCAGTATCTAAAGATAAGCTATGAGTGCTTAAGAAAAACTTTCATGAACTTGGGTTAAGAGATGACTTCCTGGGAGGATCTGATGTGACTTTTGACTTACCTCCACTCTTAATGAGGATATCAAAGAGGTCATCCATCTGCTGACTGTGAGCGTTGGAAATCTACAATGAAGGAGAGTACAAATTAGGTTTCTTTCATACAAACCTGGAAGCATTATATAATTAGCAGTCCTAAGGGACTTTCTAGATGATTTAGTTCTAATCTATCGTGATAATTTTGAAAACACTGAGGTCACCTGAGAAGTTAAGCCATTTACCCAAGCTGTACAGCTGGTTAGTTGACACAGCAAGAACAGGGCTAGTTAGTACCCAGCTCCACCGATTTCTATGCTTCCCTTTTTTTCTATCACTGAATTGCATTTTGAGAGGCCTCTAATACCTTATTTTAAAAGTGTCTTTATTCATTTGTATTTAGGTAAAAATTTGTACAAAGGTGATCACACTATACATATTTGTTCAGTTCTATTGAGATTTACCTGACATATAATAAGGTGCACTTATGTAAAGTATACAATTTGATATGTTTTGACATATAAATATACCCATGAAACCATAAACAAAATCAAGATAATGAACATATCCATCGCCCTTAAAGTTTCCTCATCCCCTCATCCCCTCATCCGTAGGCAACCCCCGGATCTGTTTGCTTTCACTATAGATTAGTTTTATATGAATGGATTCATACTGTGTGTAGTTTCTTGGTGGTAGGGGAAGGACTAGCTTCTTTCACCCAGCATAATTATTCTGAGATTTATCTGTCTTACAGTGTGTACCTCAGGAACAGTTAATTTTTTTATTGCTGAGTAGCATTGCATTGTATGGAAACACAGCAGTTTGTTTATTCATTGACTTGTGGATGGACATTTGGGTTTCCAATTTTTGGCTATTACAAAAAAGTTGTTGTGAACATTTGTGTACAGGTCCTTGTATAGACATGTGTTTTCTCTTCTCTTGGGTAATTAGGAGTGGAATGACCGGATCACAGGACAGGTGTAGGTTTAACTTTTGAAGAAATGGCCAAACTGTTTTCCAAAGTGACTGTTCCATTTTACACTCCCACCCTCAGTATATGGTATAAGATTTCTAGTTGTTCTCCATTCTCACCAATACTTTGTAGGGTCAGTCTTTTCAATTTTAGATATTTCATTAGGTGTGTAGCGGTATTGCACAGGGGTTTTAATTTGCATTTCCCTAATGACTAATGATGTTGAGCATCTCTTCAAGTGCTTATCTGCCATCCATTTATCTTCTTTGGGAAAATATCTGTTCAAATCTTCTGGCTACTGCAGATTTCTTCTGCTGTCTGTTTGCATGGTCTATCTTTTTCCAGCCATTTACTTTCAGTGGTCTTTGTATTTAAAGTATGCCTCTTGTAGATACATGCATTAGTTACCTATTGATATATTATAAATTATTCCAAAACATAATGGCTTAAAATTATTATGTCACAGTTTTGTGGGTCAGGAATGGTTTTGATGGGTGGTTCTGGCTTCGGGTCTTTCATGAGGTTGCAGCCAGGATGTTGGTCAGGTTACCGCCAACTCTAGGTGTGGCTGGGGAATGCCCTTGACTGGCAAGTTAGTGCTGGCCATTGATGGGAGGCCTCAGTGCCCCTCCATGTGAGCCTCTCCAGATGGCTGCTGGCATGTCCACATGGCATGACAGCTGGCTTTTCCAGAGTGAGCACTCCATGGGAGAGCAAGGAAGAAGGGGCATGCCTTTTATGACTTAGTCTCTGGAGTCACACACCATCACCTCTGCCAATTCTGTTTGTTAGAAGTGAGTCGCTAAATCCAACCCAGAGAGGAATGTCAAAGAATTTGCAGACATATCTTAAAACTGCATACAGTTGAGTCTGGCTTTTATATCCACTCTGACAATTTTTTGCATTTTAATTGAATTGTTTAGTCATATGTGTTATAATTACTGACATGGTTAAGTTTGGGTTTACTATTTTATATTTTATATTTGTCTTCTATTCATCCCATCTGGGGTTTTTTTTTTTTTTGTTATCCTGTTTTTCTTTCCTGTCCTTAAAAAAAAATTTGACATTTTTGTATCTAATTTTTCTTTCTTTCTTTTTTTTTTTTTTGAGACAGTCTCGCTTTGTCACCCAGGATGGAGTGCAGTGGCACAGCCTCAGATCACTGCAGCCTCAACCCCCTGAGATCAAGTGATACTCCTACTTTAGCTTCCCAAGTAGCTGGGACTACAGGTATGCACCACCACACCTGGCTAATTTTTGTCTTTTTTGTAATGATGGGGTTTTATCATGTTGCCCAGGCTGGTCTTAAATTCCTAGGTTCAAGCAATCCTCCCACTTCGCCTCCCAAGGTGTTGAGATTACAGGCGTGAGATGCCATGCCAGGCCTTTCTATTGATTTTTTTTTTTAAAAGCTATCTTGAATCTTTTAAATTGTTACTATAGATATGCAATACATATCCTTAACTTCTCATAGGCTACTTAATGTTGTACACTGAATAAAACATAGAGATCCTACAACCACACAGATCCACTCATTTCCTCCCCCATCCTTTATTAATTATTTTAAGTATTGTCTACACATGCTATACACTCCTCAAGACAGTGTTATCTTTGGTGATGAACTAACTCAATTTTTCTTTATCTGAAAATATCTTTAGTTCACTTTCATTCTTAAGGGATATTTTAACATGATAATAGAATTCTGGGTTGACAATCCCTTCCACTTCTTCCTCCCTAAAAACTTCTAAACGTGCTGTTGCACTCTTCCAGTTTTCATAGTTTTTGATGAAAGGTTGACATTAATCAATTAGTTGTTTGCTCTGTGTGAAATGTGTTTTTTCTCTTGATGCATTTAAGATTTTCTCTGTCTTGTCAACAATTTGACTGTGATGTGATTTATCCAGCTTGTTTATCGAGCATCTCAAAGCTATAAATTTGTCTTTCATCCTATTTGTGAACATGTCAGCCATTGTTTCTTCAAATATTTGCCTCTTCAGTTCTTTCTCTCTTCTTCTGGGACTTCTCTTCTACCTATGCTAGACTGTTTTGTTTGAATTATATAACAGGATTCTGGGCTGTGTTCACTTCACAATCTCTGTTATTCAGATTGGATAAGTTATGATCTATCTTCAGGTTCATGACATTTTTTCCCCTGCCATCTCCATTCTGGTAAGTTCATCTATATATTTTTTTCATTTCAGATACTGTACTTTTTTAGTTCTCAAATTTCCATTTAGTTGTTAAAAATCATTTCTGTATCCACATGGATCCCTTTTATTACAAGCATATTTCCTTTTCCATCACTGAGGACAGCTGTAATAGTAGTTGCTTTGAAAACCTTGCCCGCAAGTTCTAACATCGAGATGAGCTCAGGATTGGTCTCAGCCTTTTTCCTTTGAGATAGGTTACATTTTCCCAATTCTTTGTATGATGCATGTTATGGATAAATGTTATGGATGTTAAATTGTGGCAACTGTGAATTCTGCTGTTATTCTCAGATGAATGGTTTCTATTGTTTTAGCAAGCTATTAACTTGGTTAGACTTAAAACTTCAAAATGTTTCTTGGGTAGATGTTCCAATCTCACTTTAGATCTTTTGTCTTCAGCTGAGCTGCTAAGCGTCCATTCCACGCCTGTATGGCTTAGGGGTCAGCCAGAGATGTGGGCACACAGAATTTGGGGATCTCCTCTCTGGCTTTTTCCCTCTGGTTGCTCTCAATTCAGTTATCTGGATTTCCAGGCCATAAAGACTATGGCTTTTCTCCAGTAACCCTGCCACTTAGCTGGACCCCAGAGTAAAAGCAGCACAAAGAGGGAAATCATGCCACATCACTCCCTTCCTGAGTGTGGATTCCCCACCAGAGAATGACTGCTTCTATTTACTCTTCAATGCGTTCAGGTAGTTGCTTTTTGTTATGACCCACATTAATAGCTATTATCTGTGGGAAGATTGAACCGGTAGGGCCTTACTTAGCCACTCGTGGAATTGCAAGTCTGAGTAAATGTATTTAAACGAAGTTTGGTGCTCAATGGCATATAAGCAGGACCTACAGGTGGCTACTCATTTGAATAACCAAAAACCAGTGTAGAACCTCAGTCTATAAACAGGAACCTAGAGACATGTAAATACCAGAGATTCCAATCAGCTGTCTTAGGTTACAGTGGAAGATTCATCAAGTAAGCAGGACTTAGAAAGGATGGGTACTATCTTTTTGTTTTCTTAAAAACTGCAGTTAAGCTCTTGGCAATTCACTTCGTCTCTGCTCCCCTGTGAAGAGAATAGATGTCACTCCGAATGGACCATGAGGGAGGAGTGTAGTCCAGCACCACCTGTTTGACTTCTTATTGCAAATATTTGAACCCGTCTTTGAAATCTGACTTTTCCCTCACAGACAAGGGCCTTTGCTGAGTCTGTAACTAAGGGACATCTTACAACTCAAAGTTACGTTCCCTCGGTACTCAGGGAATACAAAGCAGCATGTGGTAGGTTCCACTTCCTCCAAGAGGCAGCCCCCTACGGGCCCTGAGCATCCCTGGATGTCCTTGGTGAGGGTGCCAAACTGACAAGGTCGCCTGGACTGAGCAGCTTCTGTAGATGCTCACTGAGGCAACCAAGTGGGTCAAGGAAGCGTAGGCATGACTGCATACTCCCTGGGTGAGGGACTGGCTTGTTTGCTGCTTGCTAGAAAAAGCACAGAGCCCTTGGCCCCACGTTCCTTAGGTGCAGCTTGACCCACTGCATACACAGCCACCATGTGGCCCCAACAAGTTACCCCATGGAACACGGGAGCGGGAGAACTGGTACAACTGCACTGATGTTCCTGCTGTTTGCCGTGGATAATAAACAGTACCGCTTGGATATTGTCTCTTGGTGTCCACCTTTAGCACCCATGGAGCGGTGTCAGGGCCACTCCTTGAATCCTCTATGAGGCTGGGGTTCTTCCCTCAAAGGTTAGTTTTAAGCTTTGACAGAAAGCTTTAGAGAGAAAGATTGGAGGAGTGTTTAGGGTAATGTATGACAAGTACTCTCATGACTGGGCACCCACCATGGGCCATATGCTTTTACAAATAGGAACCCTAACTTCTTCCATTGCTTGGTATGGTTGGGGCTACTTCTGTTTTATCAGTCAAACAAGGAAGGCTCAGAGGCCACATGGTCACCATGTGTGGTGAAACCAGGAGAACCTCAGATCTGTTACCTCCAAGTGCATTTGCTCAGTGTATGAGCAAAGTCATTTGGATGGGCTGGCCTGCTGGGGGCAGAGGTTGCTGGAGACCAGAGAGAGACCAAGTCAATTTAGGTGCTGGTGGCCTTGAATGTCAGCCAGGTGTAACAGTGATACCATGTGTCATTTTGATGCTGGCCTGACACATGGTGGCTTTAGAAAAGAAGGGACCTGTATAAAATGTGTCCTGGTCATAATCACATCTATCTCTAACATGACTGATGCCCCTACCCCAAAAGAAAAGTTAAGAGATAAACCCTTAATTTCTGAATAAACAGTAAATGCAGTTATACTGCTGCTGAAAGCTGTTTAAGGTCTTCATGATAAATGACATTTTGATTTTAAATAACCATGTAAAATACAAGGTTATTTTTGTATTTCTATTGAGGCAAGTCAGTTTCAGACAAGGGATTCTGTATAGGTCTGCTCGAGACTGAACGTGGGCACATCCACCATAGCCTTATGCACCATGACCGTGCCCTCACTTACCTCTGGCAGAGGGGCCTGTGTGCTGCGTGTCTGCTTGATGGCCTCCTCATAGCGGGGGGGATCTTTTGTCTTGGCGACTGGACTCCCAAATAGAGAGTGCTGGACGACAAATTGCTGGGGTGGCGGGGGTGAACTAGGCTGTGTCAAATAAAGGAGGAGTGCACATTACCTCTTGGCAATAAACCTCTCTTTTCCTGGCTAGACTCGGCTCTGCTGTTCTCTATGTAGTGGCCAAATCAGGGAATTCATGAGCAGGTTCTTTTAAGCACCTGTGAGGCTGACAGCACTGGTGGCCACCTTATGTGCGAACGATCATCTTCACTGTGATAATAGCTGAGCTCCTCCTTCACAAGTTATCACTGTATTTTCAACAATTTTATCCCATTAACATTAGTCACTCCAAGCCCAAAGCACTAGGCTTTGGAATGATTTGATGCCCCTGCGGCACTGTCACTGACACACAAGCCTCACAGGGTTACCTTGTTGGGTGTGTTAGGTCCATTTTGCAGGGATGGAAGCGGAGCATTTCTGGATTGAAGAACACTGTTGGAGGCCTTATTGATAAAGGGCTGCTGGACAGCTGGGGCAGGATGTCTCTGATATGGAAGAACTGTATTTGATGATGCTGAGTTTGTGAAAACCTGTAATGAATAAATGTTTCTCCATTAATTTGTTCTTTGGCTTTTCTTAATGAAGTAAAGAAAACCATGTTTTAGGACAGGGGTCAGCAAACTTTTTCTGTAAAGGGCTGCAGAGTATATAGCTTATGATTTGTGGGTCACCTGGCCTCTGTTGTTACCACTTGGCTCTGCCATTGCAGCCTGAAAGCAGCCACAGACAGTACATGGATAAATGGGTGTGGCTGTGTGCCAATAAAACTTTATCCATACAAACAGGTGGTGGGTTAGATTTGGCCCACAGGCCAGGGTTTGCTTACCCCTATTTTCGAGCATATGTGGTCCCTTTACGCAGTAACTTGCCTTTGATGGTGGTACAGACAGAGCTTTGTGGAAAAACAGTGCTTGCTCTTTATAATTCTCCTCTTAAATGATAGCTGAATTTCTTCTATTCCTCTCTAAGGTGGGCTCATCTACTCTCAAGTCTTTTTTTTTTTTTTTTTTTTTTTGAGACGGAGTCTTGCTGTGTCACCCAGGCTGGAGTGCAGTGGTGCGATCTCGGCTCACTGCAAGCTCCGCCTCCCAGGTTCACGCCATTCTCCTGCCTCAGCCTCCCAAGTAGCTGGGACTACAGGCGCCCGCCACCACACCCAACTAATTTTTTGTATTTTTAGTAGAGACGGGGTTTCACTGTTGTTAGCCAGGATGGTCTCAATCTCCTGACCTCGTGATCCACCCGCCTCGGCCTCCCAAAGTGCTGGGATTACAGGCTTGAGCCACCGCGCCCGGCCTACTCTCAAGTCTTCAATGGCCATGACTAAGCTAATAATCCCAAGCCACTGCTCTACTTCCAACCTTGCTCCCAGGCGTCAAAGCCACTTACATCATCATCTTAGGTATCTCAAATTTAAAATATTCCAAACGATTTTTCTCCTTTTTCCCATTACCCCCTGCCTCTCAGCTTCTGAGGGAAAATAATTCTTGGTTCTGCTTTTTTTAAAACTTAGGTAAATAGGACTATCAGTCAACTCTGCTTTCTCCCTCAGTGTTCACACATCTCAGCGACGCCGCTTGAATCTGCCTCTGCTCTCTGCTGTCCTGCGCCTGGCCTTCACTATCTATCACAGGGATTCTGCAGCAGCCTTGCGGCATAGACCCCCTGCCACAACGTGTTCTCAAGGCATGGCCCCTACCACACTCCTTGGCTCTCCTGATTTGGGTAAAACCCTAATCTTTGGCTGGCATGTAAGCTTCTTACTACCTGGCCCCCTTTCCATCCTACCTAAAACCTCAACCTGCTGTGGTCACACTCAATTTTCCAGTTTCTTGAAAATGTCTTCAAATACAAGCAAGGCCCCATGTAAAACTGGTCCCCTTTGGAGAGGCTGTTTTCTGTTCCAACAGGCAAAGGTGAGAACTTCTTGCTGTGGAACTCCAAAATGTTTTGTTTAGCACCTCCATCAAGAGCCACAAGTTTTAGGGTCTTTTACAAATATGTGGCCATACTGCTGATATTGTAACTGTATTTCATAGAACTTGGTTTGCTCAAAAATACTTAACACGTTCTATACCACTAATATTCTAAAAAACCTCTGTATTTCATAAGCAGGAAAGTCTATGTGTATATACCTCAAACAGTACAATCTCCATGGTGATGAGTTCTGTAAATATACTCCTATTTGAAAAAATTAATTTTCCTTAAATTTGGTAAAAAATTACTTCCTTTAAACTAGAAGTAATGATTCCTAATTCTAGTGTTTACAGACTTAGTGAAAAAGCCCTTATTTATCCTATCTACATATTATTTTTTCCTTTCCTCCCTAAAACAAATTGTCTTAACATTGGAACATTTACTAAGCTTTTAATTACACTAAAATGGTATTTCGAGCTTTCCCCAAACTCAGTAACATACAACCATGATTCCTCTCGCAGAGGAGATTCTGAAGCAGCACACGTGTTACATGTGACTGCAGCTGTCCCCAAAGCTGGTTTCACCCAGACAGTTCACACTATCCTGAGGCAGATCACAGGCACAACTCATTACCTGGGTTCTTTCATGTTGAAGAGTAAAACTCTGGGATTAATAATTTTCAAGGTTTAAAAGAGTAAGACCTATTTTTGAGGCATAAGATTTTTCTGGCAAGGAGATGTGCACATAGCTCCACCTACTGGCTACCGGGGAATGCGGGAGAATTTTTTTGGTAGTTATTTGTGTAGAGGACACTGAATCCTAGACCACCAACTTCATTTTAAAGATGAGGTAACTGACTCTCAGAGAAGGTAAGTGAATTCTGCATGAGGCCAAACACCTAGGCAATGGTGAACTGGAATTGATAAGACCTTCTGGGCTCTTAATCTGAGATGGCAAAGTCTTACAAATGTATTTCAAGATCTTACTCAGCATAAACATTTTGGGAGTATCTTTTTCATCTTCAAATACCTTTTCCAAGGGAACAGCATATCTTTTTTTCCACAGTATGTTTAATTTGAAAACATTTATTTTAAAATTCAGTAAATTTAATATATGAGGATTGAAAACAAATACTTTTGAAACTTTCCCTTGGAAAAGGGGTTAACTGCGAAGGCGAGCTATCTTTCAGTAATGAAAAGGTCTTTCTCCATTCCAAATAACTGGGAAATCTGCAGCCAAATGGCATCTGACCTAAGGCTCATTCTATGGGAGATGGATCACAGAAAAGAATGAACAGGAACTTCCCAGGGCGTTTACAAAGATGCTTGTTGAATGGATGATCGGAGGATGGTAAAAATCAGCGACATTCTATTGCTCCTTGGCATTTACAAACCTTTCTGACTTGTTGAGGCTGACTGAGCACATGCTGCGGGAACGTGTCTTGTGTCTGAGGTACAGTTGGGGCCAAGCCTGAGGCCAAGGCAGCAGTTGGTATTTGTGCAGCAGTTGCTATCTGAGGCTGAGTCTGCATTCCTGCTTGTGGTGAAGTCTAGGAGGTGAATTGAAAAAAACATCAATTTAATTGTCAGAATCAAAGTTAGAAATCAGAACTTAGGTGTAGAATCACTGGTCACTTGGGGATTGTATCTAAATGAAATAAGACCAAGGTTACAGATACACACTTCATCTGCACAGAAATCTGAACTTTAATGATTCTAAACCAGAGAGGGAAACATCAGACCAGTCACTGCATGCTCTTATTATTCCTAAGTAGCTAAGATTTTTCATTTGAAAATTTTGAGAAAATGGAAATGGAAATAATAAGAACCTAAGGCAGTTCTACACATAATAGCTCAGGTACTGTAATACTTGAATAACAGCAAGGCAACTCGTGAGACCTAACTGTCCCAATTGCTGCTTGCAAGCGGTGTGTGCATTCCCTAGGGAGAGCCAGCAATGGGGCCAGGGCGCCCTCAGACCCAAGGATAAAAACACGGTTCTCGTTTCTACTACAGCAATGGAAGATTTGGACCAAAAAATTTAAGGATTTATTATGGAATAGACTTTCAATTTCACAGATACCCTAAAGATAAAACAGAGGAATCAGAATTTTTGCATCTGCCAAAGGGTCTGTGGGCCCTGCCTCCTAACCACAGGGGTACGAGATGATTCCTCTCGCCTGTTTCAGGTATTTGGGTGTCGAGGCTGAGGAGCACTGCTTCAAATGGTTTCTTGTTCACTCGTGCTCCATGTTTGGTGAAAACTTACCAAAACTGCATGACACGGTAAATACATAGGTTATGTACGCACAAAAGGGAATTTCATGCTCATCAGTGTTTTCTCATCTCTTTCAATTACATCCTCACTCCTAAATTTGTGGTCATGTTTTCCTTAGTTTAGACATCTTCATATAAGCAGTGACTTTCAAGAACTAAATGTGGGAGGCAGAATATAAGAATGGGCATAAGAATAAAGGCTCTGCGGGCAGAACACCTGGGTTTAAATGCCAGCTCCATCCTTGGGGGAACTCCCTGAGTACTCCTAGGCCTCAGCGTCCTTATCCAGAGATGGGTGGTATCACTTAGATCTTCTAGGAGAAGGGAGGATTAAGTGAAGCCGGCCATTTAAAGTACTAGATGCTGTGCCTTGCCAGAAAGTGCTCAGCGGCAGACTATGATCACAATGATCACGTCACTGGTGTGTAAAAAAATGTCTGCATGGATGATACTGTGTTCATTCAAGGGAAAAGGTAACAGGACTAGAAAAGCATCCTGTGTTTTTTTCACTATATAAAAACAGTGCTAGATATTCAGATTTCTGAATAACCCTCTCACACATGCATACGTTTTCTCCGTGGGGTCTGCTCTGGACGCATTTATGGAAGAGCTCAGGTATGGTGCCTTCCTTAGCAGGGTTTGCATTCCATGCATGCTGTAAGGCAAAGTAGTTAGAAGACACACTTCACACCTGGAGTTTGAGGCTGCCTACAGGGAGTTGCACTGAGGTGACACTCGAGCCCTGGATGGACACTGGGAGCAGCAGCTGAGCAGTCTGCGTGGTCAGTAAAGCCTGGGGCTGAGCAACAACAGCAGGCGGTGGCTGTCCCTGGGAACTCACATAAAACTGCGAGACGACACTCTGCTGCTCTGCCTGGCCCACAGGGACCTCTTGCTTGATAACTACAGCCTTTTTGGCAACAAGGGTCTGGCCACCTGTAGAGACGGGCTGGCCTACAGCGTGGCTGGCTACTGGGATGGGCTGCCTGGAGCTGGAGCAGTCAGGGAGTGAGGCCTCATCTTTGATGGAGGAGCCAAGGCTGCCGTGCTTCTGATCTGACTTGACAGAATGACCTGGGGCACTGGGCTGGGCTTCCAGGGGCCGCTGCTGCTGCCCTCGTTTTTCAACCTCAAGTTGCATTTTCAGCACTTCCACGAGCTTCTGCTCTTGTTCCAGTTTCCTCTTCAGCTCTTCGATTTGCTTCTCTTTCTCCTGAAGCTTGCGATCCTTTTCGGCTGCATCCAGTTCCAGGTTTGACAGAGTGCTGCTGGTGGGACTCAGACTGTCTTCATTATTTGTCATTCTCAAAGGAGATGAACTCAAGAACTGTGAAGGCGACATCATGGTCATAATCTCGGTGAAAGTGTCTGCCATGTTTGTGTCATCAGTACTGAGACTGGACTGTTCGGAGGGAGATGGTGAAATGGGCAGAGGGGAATGAACATTTTCCACACGGGTTGCGTTGCTGGTTCCTGTAGGTGGCAATTCTGCCTTGAGAGTAGAGACTGAGCTAGTCACAGTGTTGTGTAGTGTTGTAACCGGCAAGGCCACAGTGACTTCTGGGTTACTGGTGACAATGGCTGATGATGACACTGCCACGATGCCCCCAGCAGCAAGGCCGCTGCTGTTCACTTCCTGGTAGGGTTTTAGGCGCTCAATGAGGTCCGGTTTGGTGCCTGACACTGGCAGACCCCTTAACTTCAGTTCTGTCTTCAGTTCTGATACCTGGAGGTACAAACAAAGCAGATATCTTAGTATTAGAGCTTTCTGGCAAATCTACAGTACGCTTTTGTGATGGGAAAGGTGCCTATGTCTGTCAGACAACTCTGCGTTACGGCACACCTGAAAGTAGAACTGGTTTTATATTTAAGCACACAGAAACAGATAACTACAGACTAGAAGCACTTGAGGAGCCAGTGATACGGTAAGGGTTTTTAGAGGGTAATTCCGCTTTTACGTCAAAGCAGAGAGATACTACCAGGAATTATGATGATGATACAGCTGCATTTATTGAGTAGTTGCCTTGTGCAAGACACTTTTGGAAATGCTCTACTCTTTCCACTCATCTTCACACGACCCCATGAGGTGTCCGTATCATTATTCTTCCCATTTTACAGATCGGGAGGCAAAGAAGAGAGAGGCTGAAGCACTCACTGAAGGTACCACAGATAATAGAAGGCTGAGCTGTGGTAGAAACCTAAAAAGGCTGGCCCTAGAGCTCATATTCTTAACTGTTACATTTTCCTGCTTTTCCCAAACTTGGCATTGAGCAGGGAAGAAAAAAATCACAGCCTCTGGAATCCAGCAGAACTGGTAGGTGCCTGCACAAGGTACACACTCAGTAAATGACAGTTATTGGTTGTTTTACAAGAAAACTTAGTGGAAGTAAAAAGAAAATACCTTTTATAAAGATTATCATATTGTTGGTAAAGTTGAATGTCTACTGAAAACTACTTAATGTCTGCTAGACAACGCTGGCAAATCATTTACATGTTTGTGGTACTTAGGGGTGAATAAGCTCCAGTTGCAATTGTCACCTTTAAGTCATCCAGGCTAGAAGGCAGAGGTCCTGGCTTTCTCACAGGAGTAGATGTATTCTGTCTTGGTGTGTTAGGTGTGGCATTGTTCAAAGCTGAATTCCCACTGTTACTATTTTTGTCATTGAGTGGCCTTCAAAAGAAAACAAAAATTAGAGTTTATAATAAAATAATTTCTAGATTTGACATTGCTTCTATTAACAATTTGACTAACTTATGAAGAGAAAAATACCATGGTTATGGATTGGAAGGCTGAATATTGTAAAGATGCCAATTACATTAGATCTCAATGAAATCCCTGCAGGTTTTGTTTGTTTGCTAGCGTGACGGAAATTTAGAAGGCGATTCTAAGCTTTATATGGAAATGCAAAGGACCAAGAATGGCCATGAATCCTTGAAGAAAAGCAAAGCTGGAAGAGTCACACCACCAGACATCAACACGTAATTAATGTGTGATGTTGCTGATACAGGGACAGAACAACAGGCAAATGAGAGAGCCCCAGCAAATCCAGAAACGGCCCTCTGCATACCCGGACCCTTGAGTTACCAAAAAGAGGACACTGTGATGTAGTGGAGAGAGGGCGGGACTTCAATGGTGCCATGCTACGTTGGAAATTCACACAGAAAAAAACATGGCTCTTGACTGGCCCCATCTCACCTTGTTCCCAAAATCTACATGTGAATTATGAAAATAAAGCTTTCAGAAAAACACTCAGGATAGTATCTTCATGGCCTTTGGGTAGACAAAGATTTCTTAAACAGCACATAAAAAGCACTAAGTAAAAGGGACATCTTTAAGACAGTGAAAAGTCAAGCCACAGTGCAGGACAACATATCTGTAATACATATTTCTGACAAAGACCTCATATCTAGAGTATATAAAAAGGTCTTTAAAATCAGTAAGAAAGAGACAGAAAACCCAGTGGAAAAGTGGGGGGAAAAATCTCAGATGTATCACAAGAATGTATATCCCAATGGTCAATAAATAAGTGAAAGATGATTCAACCTCATTAGGTATGTGGAAATTGCAAATCACAACAGAATAGCCCTGCATTTTCAGTGGAATTGATATAATGAGTAAGACTGATACCAAGTACCTGGGACAACCAGAACAATCACACACTGCTGGCAGAGCTGTGAATGATGCAACTACTTTGCAAAACTGTACTAAAGAAAAACATCTTTTCTTTGAAACTTTTCTTTCGTAGTACTAAAGGAAAACATCTGCCTATCCTATGATCCCACAATTCCATTCCTAGATAAGACATCTAACAGAAAGACACATGTATGTATGCCAAAAGACACAGACTATTTACTGTGGGGTTATTCCTAATAGCCCCAACTGGAAGCAACCCAACTACGCATCAAGAGTAAGCTGGATGGCTAAATTATGTTATAGTCAGTCACGAAATATTAAACAACAACAACAAAAATGAACTGCTATCAGCACCAACAAAGATGCACGTAGGTGTACTGTAAGATTGCGTGTATATGAAGTTCAAAAACAGGCAAAACTGCACTTTGGGAGGCTGAAGCGGGCAGATCATGAGGTCAGGAGATCGAGACCATCCTGGCTAACACGGTGAAACCCCGTCTCTACTTAAAAATACAAAAAATTAGCCAGGCGTGGTGGCGGGCGCCTGTAGCCCCAGCTACTCGGGAGGCTGAGGCAGGAGAATGGCGTGAACCCTGGAGGTGGTGTGAACCCGAGAGGCAGAGCTTGCAGTGAGCCGAGATTGCACCACTGCACTCCAGCCTGGGCGACAGAGTGAGACTCTGTCTCAAAAAAAAAAAAACCCAAAACAGGCAAAACTAATCTCTGGGGATAGAAGTCAGGATGATCATGGAAAAGGGAGACAAAGGGGGCTTTTGGGGTACTGAAAATGTTCTTGGTTTGGGTATTGGATACAGGAGTGTATTTATTTTTGCATCAATTTTCACTTATAATTTACGTACTTTTCTGTGTGTAAGTTATACTTCAATTTAAAAAGCTTACTTAAAAGAAGTTGGTGCATCACTTGTCAAATTCTACTACAGTTAGGTGCTTTGTACTAATTTCCCTAAACTTTCAGTATTAAAACGAGATCCCCACCTAACATCTTCCAACTGTGATACTCTTGGTAACAGTGGTGTTTCCTTTCTGGATGGTTGCTACCGTACAGCCGATTCCATTGCAGCTTCAGGCTTTATTATCACACAAAGCCTTGGTGCTGAAGCCAAGAGACTTGGAATTCCACATTCTGAAACAGGGATTTGAGGTGACAGTGCCTACGGGGTGACAGCCATAGTTGGGTGAGCTTTCTCTGAAGAGTTCTGGGAAGCCTGTGGTTGAAGCCAATGCTGGCTTTGTCACTAGCTAACTCTTGACATTCATTTTGGGGTCTTCTAAAACCTGGCTGAATTTTGTTGAAGTTAAATAATTGAAATCTTTGGGATGAAGTTTCTTATCATTGGATGAAGTGGCAAATATTTTATGCATCATTATTATCCTTTATAAAAATTCAACTGTAAAATCTCAGAGTTATGAAAACATTTTCTTTAAATCAGTGTTTCTCCACCTTATTTTCATTCATTATTGTCCCCCGAAAGAGCCTTTTAGACATTTTTCTCCACATCTCTCTCCCCATGAAGTTTCAACACCACAGAGATAAAGCATGTGTTTATGGACCGCAGGTAAGTCTGTGCTTTATTACGTAAGAGTAGTCTCCCTGCTGAGCCACCTTTTGCTTCCTTGTGAGTGGTATTACCCCCTTGAAAATGAATGTAATTATTCTACTCAGGATGTTTTTTTTTTCCTGTTGAGATTCTATAATACTCTACCTATTAAAATGAACAGTTTGGTATTTTACTCAATCTTTAAAATAACAGAAACATGTTAATCTATTTTTCTCCCAAATCAATAGAGGGGAGAAAAAAGAGAGAGGTTGCTAACGAATGTGATCGGCAGATGAGAGACCTGCGTTCAGAGGGATGCAGTGGCCTTCGGGGACCTCCAGTGACCTCCCATTGTGCAGACAAGCTGGGCTGGACTAAAGCCTAGTCCCTTTGGGCGCTTGCTCCTTTGTGGTGGCAAAGGGCTACATGATTCAGGTAAACTCCCACCACTATGGGCACTCTATGACTTCCACATTCAGTTTCTTGTAATGGAATTTTGATAAATATAAACAATGCGTTAGGAAACAAGGCCTCCATTTTTAGGATCTGGAAATTGAACAGGACTTATATTCTTTTTGTGGTTAAATAATACACAAAAATAAGTGTTCTTTCTCCTTCTAATATCCTGGGTCTTTTTGTATGATACTATTCTTGGGTGAGCTTGGTTATTGTAGAGGTGCTGAATGTCTGAGGAGGAGAGGGGAATTGAAGCCTTAATGGAAAGACAAAGAACTGGTAACAGTTCAGCAAGCCCACACCTCTGATGGATTCTTCCTATCTACAAAGCCAGTCGCACAGCCAAATTCTTTCATTACAGAAAAGACTGTTTCAAAGATAAGGTGAAAATCCCAAAGGATTTTTTTTTATAACAGCGTCCTCATCTGGGAATGGGGTCAATAACAGCAATTCCTCCTAGACTTGAGGCGAGGATGAGGATGATGCACGGTTTTAAGCACAACGCATTGTAAGTAGTAACTGTGAGACATCATTACCATTATTATTATTATTATTATTATTATTATTATTATTATTATTATTATTGGTGCCCAATGCCAAAGGAGGATGGCAGTGGAGGAGGCCTCCCTAAGGCCTGGACAAAGCTGCAAAGTAGCAGCAGCTTGTCTGTGATTCTCTTCCAATTCTCTTTGGTATCCCCTGATTCCCTTCCAATGTCAATAGCTCACTCGGGCCTGCCTGCTCTTAAAATAGTAACTGGATACAAAGTTCTTTCTCTCTTCATCTCCATGCCCTGATGTTTTAGATTTAAGTACTTCACAATCAGGTCTGAATTACTAATAGGTTTAATCTTCCTCAAGATATTTGAATCTTAAGAGGGAAAAGAGGGGCTACCTATGAGGGAATGCTTACGCGACATGTAGAAAGCAGAAGTTTCTACAGGTCGTATAATCATAAGTTGAATAACCTGATCATGGCTAATAATTTTTCATTATAATGAGCTTTTGCATCTCTTTCTAGAGTTAAATGCAAATATTTCTTTTTCATGAAAAGTGAGGAAAATGAAGACAAGATCTTTGCATTTTTATCTCTGTTTCCCAGAAAAAGCATATTGGGAATGTATATCCAGAAATTTTCTTTATTACGTAATTAAAATTAGCCATTGATGTCTTGCTGTGAATTCAGTTTCAGAAATTGTCAGAATTCACTCCCTTCCGTCCCCCACAGTTGGGTTCAAACTTTGAAAACACCTTCCTTCTCCGCAGTTGTTCGTCACCAAGGCCTTTAACTGTCTTCTGAAACACTCACTCTGCTGCCAGAGCTCTTCATTGTCTCCAGACGTCCCTTCAACACCAGCATCCAGCTGTTTTTTCTTATATTTTGGCCTCACTGCGTCAGCAGCCTGCTCTGAAGCACTCCGTTGTCTATCTGCTGTGTTGAGTAAGGTCTTCTGCCCAGCTTCAAGTCCCCTTAGACATTGGCTGTACTCGATTTTTGTCTTCCACTTTTTACTTAAAAATTAATCAGATTCTTTGTTTAGGCAATTTTTCTCACCTTCCAATGAAGAGGCACTACTTACTCTATTCCTTCCTCTGTACTAGTGCTCACAGCATTCCCCTGTGCCTGGAAAGGCCCTTCTCGAGCCTTCTATATACAAAGATCCTGTCTTTTCCACCAGGCTTTCCTTTGACCACTCCAGCTTTCATGCCCATCCTTCTCTTCTTTTAGCTGTTTATGCCAGGTATTATACTACTTACGCTTTTCTCAGAGCATCTAGTACTATTTTGGTGTTCTAATAATAGGCAAATCTGGATGAATAATTGTGAAAAGGCATTTCTAACTTGTAAAAATTCAGAACCTATTTTGGAGGACAGAAACTGGAATGGAATGCAGGCCACTCTCACCATGTGGACTTCAGACACTGTGTGATAAGCTCTGATAACAAAGAAATGAAAATCATTACTGAGCACAAATAAATGACAACATTCAACTTTTGGTAACTTATAGTTCCTCATAAAAAACCACAGAAAACCCCGCGTTGAGGATAGCATGGGCCCCGCCGTACTTGAATGGTGCAGGCAGGATGGTCTGGTAGTTGTAGTGCTGCTTCTGCTGACTCAGGATCTGCAGTTGCAGGAACAGCTGCTGCTGCTGGAGCAGGCGGGCGTAGTTAGAGTCCATCTGCGGCTCATTCTTCTCACCCTTCTGATCTGGTGGAATGTATTGGTGGTACTTTAACTTCTTTACCCGTGGTTTGGGATCTTTGCACTTTTTGCTACGGTGTTTGTCATTTGGATTCTTGGGATGGCTTTGCTATTTTTGAGAAAAAGAAAATAACATTTAAAGAGATGTCACCACATAAAATCTTTTGTACTGCGTGACTAAATGATTTGAAATTAAAAAGAAATGTACCTTAGATACGGGTACAGCCACTTTGGAAAGCAATATGCTAAATTCGTTTCAAAAGCCATGAAAACGTTTGCATATTAACTTTGACCAATAAATTTTCTCCTGCTGCACTGTTCCCTCAGGGTATGGGCAAGATGCTCAGCATGAGCTGTTCAAACTCAATGCACGCTGACCTTGGGTCTCCCGTGTGAACACACTACCAAGTGCTTACACATACAATCTCCTAGTAAAAAACAAGCTGCATGCTAAATATACAATGGGAAAAGGTTAAGTATACTTCACCAAAACCATGTAATACCTAAAAATTCTGTGGAGAATATGTAAAAATGAAAAAATGCTTCCAATGAGAAGAAAACAATATAAACTATCTTTAAGCAATATAATACAAAAACAAATACTGAATGATATGAACATGAATTTGAAAATTTTTCAAATACTACATTTTTCCTTTGAAACTGGGATGTGAGACCATGTATCCCTCATCTCAAGATTAGGAATCAGATGATGTTTTCCTGAGGTCTTGTTGTCTTCTCAGTTTTTAAGTTATCAGATCACTTTATACTTTTCAGTATTCAGATTCTAAGATAGCGTCATCTGAAAAAAACCCATCCAAACAAACAAAAAAGAAAATATACGAAAGTATTGCTAAGCTTCTGTAGGGAACATACCCAACTTAATACAAAGACTTTGAGAAGTACTCAATTAAATGGAGCTATTGATATGATCACATTATCTATATTCATATCCAAAGAATTAGGACACTGCAACCAAAGAAGAATAAAACAAAACTCACTGCATTCTGCAGGTTAGGAATAGTCTCATTTCTAATGTTAGGCTATTCTAACATTCATAGAATGTGACTATTAACATTCTTGTTTATATCCTTCCTTTGGATATGTTTTAATATAATTGGGATGATACCATATATGCTTATTAGAAATGTGCCTTTCTCTCTTCATCTGACATGTCATGAATTCTTAAATCCCTGGTATAAAAGAATGATTCTGCAACAAGATTTTTATGGCCATTTTTACATAACAGTTTACGGACATAGCCAGCGGGGTGCTGGAGCCAGCTCTTACTCATGAGAACCAAACGTGTGCTGTTTCTCCCAATTGTGCATTCAGCAATATCACACCGGTAGCCTGAAACTGGCCACTGTGGGAATATTTACACCATGGGAATTGGCAAAGGCTATAATCTGCCCTCTGAGCCCAGCCAGTTATTAAACATTTACCGGCATACTACTGGACATAATATAATCCAATTAACTAGGAGCCTATTTTTAAACACTGGTAAATAAGAATTTATAAAAAGTAATTATGTATTGGAAATGATTGGTTGTTAATCTCATCTCATGCTTTCAGACTTGAGCATCAGGACCTGGCCTCCTAGTTCTTTACTGACTTCTACGACACATATGACAATCCCAATGCTCTTTACTTTCTTCAACATAACTTTAGTGACTGTTCTTGATGATTTTAATATCCACATGTACAATCCTTCTAACATTCTGGTCTCTTAGTTCCTCGACTTCATTGCTTCCAGGTATCTCATCTCCTCTCTCAGCCAGTCACTGTGTGATGATAGCCTAGATCTTGTAATTATTTGAACCTCCCTCGCTTCCCAGCATCCCAATCTCTGATACCCACCACGTATTTTGTCAATTCACTCCATCCAGGATGCCAACTACAACAATTATTTGATGCCACTGAGACCTACAATCCTTTTCTGTTACAACCTTTACATGTTCCTCACTTCCCTCCTTACCAAGCTATATCCCACGGTCCCCTCACTTGCACAGTCCCCCCCTTTGTCATAGACACCTGGCAAAACCTTTACCTAATTCTGTCTCCTTCTGCCTCTCGACAGTGTCTCTACTGATGTTTTGAGCTAAGTAATTGTGTTGTGGGAGCCCATCCCGTGCACTGTTGGATGTTCAGTGGCATCCTTGGCCACTACACATTAGATACCCCTAGCAACCTCCACCCACCCACCTCGTCCCCCGCATTGTGACAACCAGAAACGTCTCCAGACATTGCCAAATGTCTGTGGTGGGAGGCAAACTTACCCCTGCTGAGAACCAGTGGTCCACTTCATGCCTGTACTCATATAACTGAAAGTGGCTACAGGAAAAACATAAAACCATGCTGACAAGTCTCACTTTAAACTTGTGACCACCAACTTCAAGGGCTCATCAGTGCTACGTGGCCATCCTGTTACATTTTTCTGGTCCTTTAATTTTCCTACTCTTACAGAATACTGTCTATCTTTTCTTCTCTCTCCAAACCTATAGTATTTCACCCCCATCCTCACTGTCAACTGATGACCTCACTGCCTAAACATTGAGAACGTATAAGTGATCAGCACAGAGCTGAGTGCCTGCCTGCACCGAGACTCTGCGTTTTCCTTCCTGCTGGTGTTGCTGTCTCAGGCTGGCCCTTCCCTACTCAACTGGTTTCTGTACTCCCTTGCCCACACCTGGCTGTGGTTCCCCACTCTTCTCCTGGATCACTCCCACTGGATCACAAACAGCCTTCCTTGACCCTACAGTCTAATCAAGCTACAGACTCATTTCTGTGGGCTCTCAAGAAAAGCTTTCTATAATACCATCTCCAGCTCTGCCTTTCAGGCTCTCTTGTGCCCACTCCAACTAAGCTTTCAGAAACTGTTCTTGTCAAGGTCACTGTGCTTCAACGTTAAACCGAGGCCAGTTCCCAGCACTCATCTTAACTGAGGCACAGCAGCCTTTGATACAGTTGCCCTCTCCCTTCTTCTTGAAACATCGTGTCTGGCTTCAGGGCTGCCTTGCCTCACTCTTGCTAGCTGTTTTTGCTGAGTCTCCTTTGCTGGTTCTCCTCTCTAAAATG
This sequence comes from Homo sapiens, assembly GCF_000001405.40. Taxonomy (NCBI): domain Eukaryota; kingdom Metazoa; phylum Chordata; class Mammalia; order Primates; family Hominidae; genus Homo; species Homo sapiens. The sequence goes on along the minus strand of NC_000016.10, from coordinate 14,237,270 downwards.
TTGGAGGTTCCCAAGAACTCACTTCTTGCACAGCTTTTTCACCTGTACTTAGACCCTAGGTAATTTAACCGGGTTTCATGGCTTTAAATGCCATTTATACACCGATGACCCACATTTCTATTCCCAACCTAGACCTCTCTCCTAAGGTCTGCACTCATCTATCCAGCTGCCTCTAGGACATCACGCGGTGCCTGCACAGCACCTCACACTCCAGGTGTACTCCTTTCCATTACAGGACGTGGCAACTGCAAGTTGCTAGTCACTTAGACACACAACAGTAGATGGTTCACAACTCCTCTTCTTCACACCACATATCCAACTTGTCCACAAATCCTGGCAGCTTAGCCTTCAAATGCAGCCAGAATCCAACCACTTCTGTTATCTCCCCAGCTGCCACTGTCTCCTGCTGTGCATTTTACCTGTCTCTGCTTCTACCTTTGCGCCCTACTGTTTCTAACATATCAGCTCAAAAATGTTACAGCAGCTCCTTCCCTTAGCAGTAATACAAAGCCTAACTTCTTACAAGGCTCTACAGACGCTGGTCTCTGGCCACACCCTGTCTGCCTCGGCCATTGCTGTTGGAGTGATACTGGCTGCCTTGGTCAAATTTTCTTCCCATAGATAGATATCTTCATGGCTCACACCCTCAATTCTTTCAGATCTCTGTCCAAATGTCATCTGCGTATCCCCAGACCACCTCATTTAAAAGACACGTCTCTCCTTATCTCCCCAGCACCCCCATCATCACATTATTCATCACCACCCGGCACACTCTCTATTTGGTTGTCTGTTTACCCTAAGGGTGGGGATTTGTGATCTTTTGTTCCTTGCTTTATCTATTCCTAGTACCCAGAACAGTGCCTGGCACATAGAAGGTGCTTGAATAAGTATCCGTTCAACAAATGAATCGTGAATGTGCATGCTAATTGGAAATCACTTTAATTATCAGGCACTTAAGGTATATACCTCGATGTCAGAAAACACTTTCCCCCACTTATTCCTTCAATCCCACAATATTAATCAATTAGCTATTTACCTTCTTATTTCGTTATCAATAATTCATTTTATTTATTTGCTTTTGAGGCAGGGTCTCACTCTGTCACCCAGGCTGGAGTAGGCTGGAGTGCAGGCACATGATCTCAGCTCACTGCAGCCTTAACCTCCTGGGCTCAAGTGATCCTCCCACCTCAGCCTCCGAGTAGCTGGGAGCATAGGTGTGTGCCACCATGCCCAACTAATTTTTTTGTACACTTTATAGAGATGGGGTTTTGCCATGTTGCCCAGGCTGGCTCAAACTCCTGAGCTCAAGCAATCTGCCTGCCTTGGCCTCCCAAAGTGCAGGGATTACAGGCGTGAGCCACTGCACCTGGCTATACATTTTATTTTTAGTCTTTTAAAACTGATCATAAGAATGAACGGGGTCTAGGATAATTTACACTCAAAATGCGGTTCGAGTATAATCGTTGTAGAGTGATAAAATAATTGTCCCAGCCACTGTCAGGAAGGCACCTGTAGAGGAGGGGCACAGAAACATAATAACTAGTGTTCCTCAGATGGAATCTGCTACTACCTATCAGCCCCCACAAGTGAAGGATGGGAAACAGCTTTCCTTATAGAAACACTGGAAGAATTCTGGTCTGTTTCCTAATGTGTTCCTGTCCCCTCCTCTCTTGGCATAGTCCTAGAATTATCTAACCAACCCCTGAATTTCACATTCTTAAACAATGCTTCTTCCTCTAGAACCAAAGCCTTCCTTAAAGACATCAGTGAAGAGCAGACATTCAGAGAGAGGGAGAGGCAGAGAACCCGTTTGAGGATCGGCAGGGAAGGAGGGCTGTGCACGCAGACCCTCTGTGCCGTCGGGGTTGCATGCGTGGGGATGTTGGGAGAGGAGGTATAAAACTGATTTCATGGGGATGGTTGCCACTTGCAACCCTCTGGAATTTCCGACTCCAATGCTAAGCAACAGAAGATGGGGAAACACACTGATGTATGTCCTGAAGCCACCAATACTCGGCCACGCTGACAAGGGCCTTCTCTCCAGAAAGGTCAAGGACAGGGACAGTCCCGGCGACTTAGGGCCGTGAGGAATATGCATTGTGTTCATCTGAAAGATGCTCCCTTGCCTCAGAAGAGTTCTGCAACAGGTTGGGGAGGCAGGAGAGAGCTAGACTTGGATTCGGGAGGTTGGGACCCTTCCTGGCTTTGTCATTTCTTCTTTGGGCCTCAGTCTCCCCATCTGAAGGGTGGTGAGAAGTTAGCTAACTGTAATATCCTTTTTTAGTTTTAAAAGTTTGAGATCTATATTCACCTAAACTATTCCTCACTTTATTCTCCTCACCCACCATATCTAGAAGTTCTAAACACAATTCTAAAAAGTTTAAATCTGTTTTTCTCTTGTTTCATCTTAGTGGCCTGGGTGGCAGAACCAGGGCTTTCTGCGTAGCCCCAGTAGTTGGTTTTGTTTTTTTTTAAAGAGACAGGGTCTTGCTCTGTCACCCAAGCTAGAGTGCAATGGTGTGATCACAGCTCACTGCAGCCTCAAACTCCAGGGCTCAAGTGATCCTCTTGCCTCAGCCTCCTGAGTAGCTGAGACTATAGGCATGCACCACCACCTCTGGCTAACTTTTTGAATTTTTTGTAGAGACAGTGTCTTGCTATGTTGCCCAGGCTGTTCTTAAACTCCTGGCCTCAAGTCGTCCTCCTGCCTCAGCCTTCCAAAGCACTGGGATTACAGAGGTAAGCCACTGCATCCAGCCCCTAGTGTTTTAAGTAGACCAAAATTTGTGCCATTTTTCTATGACTATAGCACAATTTCAAACATGAAGACCCCAGTCTAGCAAGTCTTTGCATGGCTTAGTTTTTAAGACTTTGGGCTAAAAGGCAGGCTGAGCAAGTTGGATAAATGCCTTTGTCTTCCATTCACAGGGTTATAGACAGAGTCACAAATAAAGCCACCAAACCCAGGGTGTATCCAAAGTACCCACCTTCACCAGTGCTGGGCCAGGCTTTGCTGAGGACACAGTGTTTGTGGGGAGGACAGGAGCTGCAGGCCGTGGGGGAGGCTGATCTGCAGTTGGAGGAGTTTTCAAGAATTCAGGAACTGTTGGGGACACTGAAGCAAACTGGTGGAAAAGGCAAAAAGGAACAAGTCTGTGAAATTAATGATCATAAAAACAGAAAAATTAGAATTACAAGGGAATGACCTGGTTTTTAAGCCCACTAGAAAAGAAGCAAAGGAAAAATATATGATTATGTCTGAGGCCAGATGGTGGAATAACATGCTTTACGCCTCAGTGGAGCCAATCATTTAGTCTTTAAGAGCAGTGAATAACTAAAGCCAAGTAAGGTAGACTGACGATACTGGAGTATTTTCTCAAAAAGACAGTCAGAACCCACTCTTTATTGGCAGGGAAAGAAAAGTCCAAGACACTTGTATATATGATCAAAACAATACATGGCATTCTTTTTTTTTTTTTTTTTTTTTTTGAGAGGGAGTCTCACTCAGGCTGGAATGCAGTGGGGTGATCTTGGCTCACTGCAACCTCTGCCTCCTGGGTTCAAGCAATTCTCCAGCTTTGGCCTCCCAAGTATCTGGAACTACAGGCATGTACCACCACACTCCGCTAGTTTTTGTATTTTAAGTAGAGATGCGGGTTTCACCACGTTGGCCAGGCTGGGTCTTGAACTCCTGACCTCAAGTGATCCACCTGCCCCGGCCTCCCAAAGTGCTGAGATTACACCCATGAGCCACTGTGCCTGGTCAATACATGGTATTCATAAAGTCCCTTTGCTATACAGGTCATGCTGACCCTGGCTGATCCAAACACGACCTTCAGGCTTCCCTGCATCACACTCGACCTACCCTCCGGCAGCATCCTTCCCGAATGCCCATGCCACCCATGTGTCCATAAATGTGCTTTACACCCTCTGTTCCTCTCTCCAAATCTGACTAGAACTCTCATTAACCATATTCCCCCATTTCTTGCAACAGAAGATTTGAAGAATATATTTTGGTAAGACTGATCTGTTTTACCGACAACATTATCTCTCCATAGTTAAAACAAGAAGCTACTTTGTTACCCAGGCCAAAATTAACAATTGCTGAATCTCAGTTTGGAGTCACATATTATTAACAAAGGAAGCTACAGAAGGCGTTACTAGGTTTTATCAATTCTCACTAGCAATCTACTTTACATAGATTTTAAGTATTTTATTGTAAAGAACAATTACTATTGTAATAAACTAGTCAAAATTTGCATATTGATTACTACTTGGACTTACTTACACCACCCTTATCTTAAGGAAAAATGTCCTCCTTTAACACTTCCACTTCCCTGAACAACTCTTAAATTCACTACACCAACAATCAAAATCTTGTTAAAGTATTTGCATTTTAAAATAGCAAACTGTATTTTTCCTCCTTAAAATAAATGACCTGAAAACTTGGAGGGCTATTAGCAGCATGAAATATGAAGCTTGGCACATACTAGTTAACTCAAACAAATATTTGTTTAATTGATGAATGGGCATTTCTTCTGGCTTTACTCACACTGGGTCACGTTCTCAAGCCCCGCTGAGACCGTGGGTGTGCGAGTGTGCAATTAATCGTGCATGCCCTTGTCAGCTCTCTCGCTCCCTGAGGTTTCAGCTGCTGATTTCAGCTTTTCAGTTATTAGTAACTGTGAGTGTTGACAATATGAAGGACCTTACTTTGAAAGATGGCTGCATTCAATTTCATTTTTAAACAGACATGAAGGGAAAGGGCTCATCTAAGAGAATGGACACCTGTGTTCCAGCAGACTTCTGCCCGCAAAGAGCCCTGAGACATCTGGCTCCTCAGTGAATCTCCGACCAACCAAGCCTCATACATAAAGTGGAAGATGTTAGCTGATCACTTCTTTACTGAATATGACTTTACGTGGTTGGTTTTCCTTTCATCTTGCATATTTTTTTGAAATGGGGATACTTATCTCTGGGTCAGTGTTCACAGAGGGGAAAACATTCCTTGGCTATTATGTAACTGGTATGTGAAAGAGACTAAAATGTTTGAATTCTGATCTCTATATAGATTTCTTTGCATATAAATCCTTACCTGGCAAGCTATTTTACCAGTCCAGCCCCCAGTGACTGAAGATAGTGTGATGAATCTGAGAGCAGTAAGTGTTAATCACATGAAAAATAACCCAGGAGCATGGATGTAGTATCAAATGTAATATTTATGATGTCTTGCCTAAATTTCTAGACTGTGCCTATCTTATTAGCTCTTTTGGTATTTCAGTGTGACTTTGCTACTCAGAAAACCAGACTCCAGCATAACACAAGAATAACCCAACTGAAATACAGTGATTGTTGACTCTACCTAATCTGAAGATAAATATATCAAAACTTCTAATTTTGCCAGCCATTTTAATGTGCTTTAGAAAGGACCAAAACACAACAAAAGCCCCTCCGTTCCCGTACCAAACCCCACTTAGACCGTATCAAGGGGTCAGGCTCCTAGTGGCTAAAGTTAGCAGAAGAATCTAAGTGTGAGTAATTTTGAAGTGATGTATTCCAAAAAGGATTAAAAGAGTATCCAGGCCTGGAGCTGGGGGCCATTACAGTAGTGAACGAATGCAGGAACAGAAAACCAAATACTGCATGTTCTCACAAGCGGGAGCTAAATGATGAGAACACATGGACACATAGAGGGGAACAACACACACTGGGGCCTACTTGAGGGTAGAGGATGGAAAGAGGGAGAGGAGCAGAAAAAATAACTATTGAGTATTGGGCTTAGTACCTGGGTGACAAAAGAATCTACATCAAATCCCTGTGACACACAATTTACGAATATAACACACCTGCACAAGTACCTGTGAACCTAAAATAAAAGTTAAAGTATTCAGGCCATAAGAGATACTTAAACTTATTTTGTTCCACAGTAAATTCAGCAATATGTCAGAATCTTTTTTTAATTTATTTTTATTTTTTATTTTATTATTATTATACTTTAAGTTTTAGGGTACATGTGCACAATGTGCAGGTTAGTTACATATGTATACATGTGCCATGTTGGTGTGCTGCACCCATTAACTCGTCATTTAGCATTAGGTGTATCTCCTAATGCTATCCCTCCCCCCTCCCCTTACCCCACAACAGTCCCCAGAGTGTGATGTTCCCCTTCCTGTGTCCATGTGTTCTCATTGTTCAATTCCCACCTATGAGTGAGAATACGTGGTGTTTGGTTTTTTGTTCTTGTGATAGTTTACTGAGAATGATGATTTCCAATTTCATCCATGTCCCTACAAAGGACATGAACTCATCATTTTTTATGGCTGCATAGTATTCCATGGTGTATATGTGCCACATTTTCTTAATCCAGTCTATCATTGTTGGACATTTGGGTTGGTTCCAAGTCTTTGCTATTGTGAATAGTGCCTCAATAAACATACGTGTGCATGTGTCTTTATAGCAGCATGATTTATAGTCCTTTGGGTATATACCCGGTAATGGGATGGCCGGGTCAAATGGTATTTCTAGTTCTAGATCCCTGAGGAATCACCACACTGACTTCCACAAGGGTTGAACTAGTTTACAGTCCCACCAACAGTGTAAAAGTGTTCCTATTTCTCCACATCCTCTCCAGTACCTGTTGTTTCCTGACTTTTTAATAATTGCCATTCTAACTGGTGTGAGATGGTATCTCATTGTGGTTTTGATTTGCATTTCTCTGATGGCCAGTGATGGTGAGCATTTTTTCATGTGTTTTTTGGCTGCATAAATGTCTTCTTTTGAGAAGTGTCTGTTCATGTCCTTTGCCCACTTTTTGATGGGGTTGTTTGTTTTTTTCTTGTAAATTTGTTTGAGTTCATTGCAGATTCTGGGTATTAGCCCTTTGTCAGATGAGTAGGTTGCGAAAATTTTCTCCCATTTTGTAGGTTGCCTGTTCACTCTGATGGTAGTTTCTTTTGCTGTGCAGAAGCTCTTTAGTTTAAGTAGATCCCATTTCTCAATTTTGGCTTTTGTTGCCATTGCTTTTGGTGTTTTAGACATGAAGTCCTCGCCCATGCCTATGTTCTGAATGGTAATGCCTAGGTTTTCTTCTAGGGTTTTTATGGTTTTAGGTCTAACATGTAAGTCTTTAATCCATCTTGAATTAATTTTTGTATAAGGTGTAAGGAAGGGATCCAGTTTCAGCTTTCTACATATGGCTAGCCAGTTTTCCCAGCACCATTTATTAAATAGGGAATCCAAAAGAATACTTTTATTATTTAAAATATAAATAGGTTTAAATTGCTGCCGAGACCTAAGTTCAACCTATGTTCTACAAAAATTTAATTTCAAAATGATTGAATTGTTTCCCCAAAGAAACAAAAAAAGCTGCAAACTTTGCTTTGTCTTATTGGATCTGACCACTGTTTCCATTACAGGTTACAGGTCTCACGAGGGCCAGATCTTTAATTTTCATCAGAAACCCATACAAGAAAATGTCAGAAAGATGGTTTTTAATGGATATTTATGCATTCAAAAAAAAAACTAAAAAGGCACTGTTGATCATAAAGACTGACTTTTCTCCTACTAGAAATGGCTACAGGAAAGCTTTGCTACAATATAAAAAAAACAGAAGTCAGAGCAAACCTCTCAGCTGATTAAAGCTCTATCCTGTTTCAGATGTCTGCACTGTTCCTGCTGCAGAATATGGTACACAGGACAAGGGCCAGTCATTGCTTCCGGACTGTTCCTCTTTATTAGAATTTCTTTATGTGGTCTTGAGGGACAGAAACTAGGTATTTAAAAACAAAGCTTTTTTGTATTATAGATTTTAAGTCAATAATGTTTTTAATTTAGGATGCAGCAGAGTTCTTAACTAAGATGGCAAAATGCAATTACTCTTTAAATATTGTTTTCATATTCTAATCCCCAAATAAAATGAAAAATGAGTTGAATAAAACAAAAATCACGCATTGCATATTTAATAGATGAATATTTTACGTAAAACTCTAGCTTTGTTAAAATGTATCACCTAGCACTGACTATTTGTTCCTATAAGTTTAAGCATTTCACTTTTAGAATAAGTAAGTGAATATTAAAAGTGAATTTCCTTGCACAGAATCTAGTGGACGTTCAGTGGGTACTTGATGACCTGATTGGTAGTGAGGATCTGCACGTATCCCTGCTTTAAAAGTGCATTTAAAAAATTATACTAAAATGTATATAACACAAAATTTACTATTTAACCATTTTTAAGTATATGGCATTAATTACATTTATATTGTTCTGCAACCATCACTACCGGAACCTCCAGACTTGTTCATGTTCCCAAGCAATACACTATACCCATTAAACAATGTCCCCCTGGTTCCACATTCCCCTCACCCCCAGGCAATCATCATTTTCTTTTCTGCCTCTATGATTTTTACTACTCTAAGAATCTTATATAAGTGGAATCACACAGTATTTGTCTTTTTGTGACTGGCTGAATTTCATTGAACATGAGCTAGAGTTTCATCAATGACGGAATGCAGAATTTGCTTCCTTTTTAAAGGCTGAATACTATTCCAACGTATAAATATAGCACATTTTGTTTATCCATTCATCTGGCAGTGGACGTTTGGGTTGCTTTCACATTTTGGCTATTGTGAATAATGCTGCTATGAACAGGGATATACAAATATCTGATCTAACTTCTGTTTTCTATTTTTTTTTTTTTGGGACGGAGTCTAGCTCTGTTGCCCAGGCTGGAGTGCAGTGGCGCAATCTTGGCTCACTGCAACCTCCACCTCCTGGGTTCTAAGCAATTCTCCTGCCTCAGCCTCCTGAGTAGCTGGGATTACAGGCACGTACCACCACGCCCAGCTAATTTTTCTATTTTTAGTAGAGACAGGGTTTCACCATGTTGGCCAGGATGGTCTCGATCTCCTAACCTTGTGATCCGCCCAACTTGGCCTCCCAAAGTGCTGGGATCACAAGTGTAAGCCACTGCGCCCAGCCCTGTTTTCTTTTGGGCATATACCCAGAAGTGGAATTGCTGGTTCATTTGGCAATTCTAGTTTAATTTTTTGAGGACTGAACATTGTCCACAGTGGCTATACCATTTCACTTTCCCACCAACAGTATACAAGAGTTCCAATTTATCCACATTCTTCCAAACTTATTTTTTGTTCTTTTGATAGTAGCCATTGTAATGGGCATGAGGTGGTATCTTGTGGTTTTGATTAGCATTTCCTTAATGATTAGTGATATCCAGTATCTTGTTAGATGCTTATTGGCCAATTGCATATCCTCTTAAGAAGGATGTCTATTCAAGTCCTTTGCCTGTTTTTTTTTTTTTTTTAAGATAGACTGCAACAAAAACCACATTCAAACCTTTGCCCATTTTTGAACAGTTTTTTTGTTGTTGAGTTGTGGGAGTTCTTTTTGTACATTAGATATTAGTCCTGTCTTAGTCTGTTTTGGACTGCTTTTAAAAAATATTTGGCAGGGCGTGGTGGCTCCCTCCTGTAATCCCAGCACTTTGGGAGGCCAAGGCAGTTGGATCATGAGGTCAGGAGTTTGAGACCAACCTGACCAACATGGTGAAACCCTGTCTCTACTAAAAATACAAAAATTAGCTGGGCGTGGTGTTGCATGCCTGTAATCCCAGCTACTCAGGAAGCTGAGGCAGGAGAATCCCTTGAACCTGGGAGGTGGAGGTTGTAGTGAGCCGTGATTGTGCCACTGCACTCCAGCCTGGGCAACAGAGCAAGACTCCATCTCAAAAAAACAAAACAAAAAAAAATTGAGGCTGGATAATTTATAAAAGAGGTTTATTTGGCTCACGATTCTGCAGATTGTACAGGATGCGTGGCACCAGCATGTGCATCTGGCAAGGCCTCAGGCTGCTTCCACTCATGGTGGGAGGGGAAATGGAGCCAGTGTACAGACATTACAGGGGAAAAGAGGAAGCAAGAGAGAGCGGGGAGGGGCTGGGCTTTTCTTTCTTTCTTTTTGTTTTGTTTTTGTTTTTTTAACAACAAGCTCTCACGGGAACTAATGCAGTGAGAATTCACTTATCTCTAAGGGAGGCTGTTAATCTATTCATGAGGGATCTGCCCCCATGACCCGAATGCATCCCATTAGGCCCTACCTCTAACAATGGGGATCAAATTTTGACATGAGGTTTGAAGGAGACAAACATCCAAACCATAGCAAATCCTTATAAGATATATGATTTGCAAATATTTTCTTCCATTTTTTGGATTGCTTTTTTACTCTGTTGATGTCCTTTGATGCACTGAAGTTTTTTTCTTGTTTCTTTTTTTTTTAAGAGACAGGTTCTCGCTCTGTCCCCCAGGCTGGAGTGCAGTGGTGCTTTCATAGCTCAATGTAACCTCAAACCTGGGCTCCAGTCATCCTCTCATCTCAGCTTCTGGAGTAGCTAGGACTATAGGTGCACGCCACCATGCCCAGCTAATTTTTTTAATTTTTATTTTTTGTAGAGATGAGGTCTCACTATGTTGTCCAGGTTGGTCTTCAACTCCTGGCCTCAAGGGATCCTCCTGCTGTGACCTTCCAAACAGCTGGGATTACAGGCGTGAGTCACCATGTCTGGCCAAAACGTTTTGAGGAAAGATTTCTTTCCTCAAATTATTTTTTCTTTTGCTGCCTTGGTGTCATATCCAAGAAACCAATCCAGTGTAATGAAGCTTTCCCCTACATTTTCTTCTAAGAGTTTTATAGTTTTAGTTATTATATTTAGATCTTTGTCTATGGAGTCAATTTTTGCCTACGATGTTAGGTAAAGGTCCAACTTCATTCTTTTTTGCATGTGGATATCCAGTTTTCCCAGTACCATTTGTTGACGAGACTATCCTTTCCCCACTGGATGGTCTTGGCACCTTTGTTGAAGATCATTTGATCCCATATCTAAGGGCTTATTTCTGGGCTCACTGTTCTATTTATCTTATGCCAATACCACTGTTTTAATTACTGTGTCTTTGTAGTAAGTTTCGAAATTAGGAAGCATGAGACCTCTAACTTTTTTAAAATTCAAGACTGTTTTGGTTTTTCAGGATTCCATAAGATTTTTCTATTTCTGCAAAAATCAACATTAGGATTTTGATATGAACTGTACTGAATCTGTAGATTGTTTGGGGTAGCACTGACATATTAACAATATTAAGTCTTCCATGAACACAGGATGTCTGTGTTTGATGCTTTGTAGTGCCTTGTTTTGATTCCATTCTCCTCTCCTTTTGCATTGTTGAAAAATAGCCTGTCGCATGGCCAAGAGTGTCTGATGCCATCTTGAAACAAAACTACCATGATGACTGGTGGTTGGCCCCTCCACAGCAAGGTGTTCTGCAGTAAGGTCTTTACACAATGCCTATGGCATAGATAACCCCTCATAAAGATGCTATCAAACTTCCCCAGTGGTCACGTCCTGACAAGAAAGTCTGAAGATGTGACCAGCTGCACATGTTTTATCCTAAAAGCTTGCTATATAAAGAATATCTCTGGGAGGCTGAGGTGGGCAGACTCTCTAAGCTCAGGAGTTCGAGACCAGCTTGGTCAATATGGCGAAACCCTGTCTCTACAAAATTAGCCAGGCATGAATGAATGAATGAATGAATGAATGAATGAATGAATGCTTTCTGGATGGCAGGTGTGGACAGCCACCCAAGACATTGCTTCTGTTTTTAAGTTCCTATAAAATATTTCTCTCTGAGAAACTGGGTTTGTCAGCCTCTTTCTTTGGCCTCTGAGCTTCCTCAGCTTTTGGGGGTAGGTTTGCATATGCCTGTTCACAGATTCTACGGATTTTTTGTTTGTTTCCATAGGAATTACAAATAACATCTTAGAATTACGACATTCTATCTTACATTGATAACAACTTCAGTCACATAAAAAAATGCTACTTCTTTACAGCTTCACCCCCTCTATGTTACTGACATCATTCACAAACTACGTTGTTATATACTGTGTGGCCATTAACATAGATTTGTAATTTTTAATGAATGTGTATTTTAAATCCTGTAGGAAAAAAAGTAGAGTTACAGACCAAAATTATAATACTGTTTTAATATTTGTCCATGTATTATCTTTTTCTTTTTTCTTTTTAGATGAGAATTCTGCTCTTGTTGCCCAGGCTGGAGTGCAATGGCGCGATCATGGCTCACCACAACCTCCACCTCCTGGATTCAAGCGATGCTCCTACCTCAGCCTCCCGAGTAGCTGGGATTACAGGCACGCGCCACCACATCTGGCTAATTTTGTATTTTTAGTAGAGACAGGGTTTCTCCATGTTGGTCAGGCTGGTCTTGAACTCCCGACCTCAGGTGATCCGCTCGCTTTGGCCTCCCAAAGTGTGCTGGGATTACAGGTGTAAGCCACCGTGCCCAGCCAATTTTATATTTTCATATGGCTTTGAGTTACTATCTGGCATCCTTTCACTTCAGATTGAAGGATTCTTTTTAGCATTTCTTGTAGAGCAATTCTAGTGGTAATAAACTACCTCTGCTTTTGTTTGTCTGGGAATGTTTTAATTTCTCCTTTATTTTTGAAAACAATTTTGCTGGATATACAATTTTCAGGTGACTGTTTTCTTCTTTCACCATTTTAAATATATCATCCCACTGCCTTCTGGTCTTCAAGGCTTCTACTGAGAAATCCACTGATAGTCTTATTGAGGATTCCTTGTAGGTGACCAGTCACTTTTCTCTTGCTGCTTTTAAGATTCTGTCTTATTTGACTCTAGACAGTTGATTATAATGTGCGTTCCTGCGGGTGTCTTTGGAGTTTATTGAATTTCTTGTACAGGCATTGTGGTCAACAATGGGCTGCACATAAGAAGATTATAATGGAGCTGCTCTATACAGGTGTAGTATTTTAAAAAACCATTTACACTGTAAATGTAGTAAAAAAACCATTTACACTGTAAAGGCACACTGTAGTAGGTGTAGTAGGCCATACCATCTAGGTTTGTGTAAGTATACTCTATGATGTTTCACAACAACAAAACTGTCAAACAATGCTGATATAATTTGAATCATGACCAAATCTCATGTCAAATTGTAATCCCCAAGTGTTGGAAGAGGGGCCTGGTGGGAATCATGGGGGCAGACTTCCCCCTTTCTGTTCTCATGATAGTGAATGAGTTCTCATGGGATCTGGTTGTTTGAAAGTGTGTAGCATTTCTCCCTGTGCTCGCTCGCTCTCTCCTGCTGTCATGTGAAGACATGCTTGCTTTGCCTTCACCCTTCTACTGTGACTGTAAGTTTCATGAGGCCTCCCCAGCCATGCCTCCTGTACAGCCCGTGGAACTGTTAGTCAATTAAACCTCTTTTCATAAATTGCCTAGTCTCAGGTAGTTCTTTATAGTGGTGTGAGAACTGACTACTACAAATGCTTTGCTCAGAATGTATCCTTGTTGTTAAGCAAAGCATGACTGTATTTGTATATCCATGTCTTTCCTCCTATTTGTGAAGTTTTGGGCCATTATTTCTTTAATTACTGTATTTGCCCCTTTCTCTCTTTCCTTTTGGAACTCTCATAGTGAATACATTGATCGCTTGATGGTGTCCTATAAGTCTCTTAAGTCTCTGTTCACTTTTCTTCATTCTTTTTTCCTTTTGTCTTCAGACTCAATTTCAAATCATCTGCCTTCCCATTTGCAGATTCTTTCTTCTGCTTGTTTGAGTCTGCTGTTCAAGCCTCTAGTGAATTTTTCAATTCCATTATATCTTCAATTACATAATTTGTTTGGGTTTAAAAAATAATTTCTACCACATTCTCAGTTTGTTCATATATAGTTTTCCTAATTTCCTTTAGTTTGTTGTCCATGTTTTCTTTCTTTTAGTTTTTGAGTATATTTAAGATAATTACTTTAAAGTCTTTGTCCAGTAGGGCAGATATGTGTGTTTCTTCTAAGATAGTTTCTGGAGATTTATTTTGTTCCCTGAATGGTCATATTTTTCTTTTTCTTTTTTGTGGGGGTGTGTGTAGGGTCTCGCTCTGTTATCCAGGCTAGAGTATAGTGGTATGATCTTGGGTCACTGCAACCTCTGCTCCCTTGTCTCAGGTGATCCTCCCACCTCAGCCTCCTGAGCAGCTGGGACCACAGGTATGCACTACCACGCCCAGCTATTTCTTTTTGTATTTTTAGTAGAGATGGGGTCTCACTATGATGCCCAGGCTGGTCTTGAACTTCTGAGCTCAAGCAATCCACCTGCCTTGGCCTCCCAAACTGCTGGGATTACAGGTCTGAGACACTGCACCCTGCCTTGTTTTTTTTAAATGGGATTTTGCTATGTTGCCCAGACTGGACTTGAACTGTTGGATTTAAGTAATCCTCCTGCCTCAGCTTCCCAAGTAAGCTGGGATTATAGGTGTGTGCTATCATGCCTGCCTTCTTTGTATCTTTTGTTGAAAATTTGGCATGTGAAAAAACAGCCACCTCTCCCTATTTCTAGTGTTCTTATTTCTCCGCAGCCTCACCAGCATCTGTTGTTTCTTGACTTTTATTCTGACTGGCATGAGATGGTATCTCATTGTGGTTTTGATTTGCATTTCTTTAATGATCACTGATGTTCAAGGTGTCGCTATGTTGCTCAGGCTGGTCTTGAACTCCTGGGGTCAAGTGATCCTCTCACTTTGGCATCTCAAAGTGCTGGAATTATAGGCCTGAGCCACTGCCCCCTGCCTCAGTCAGGAATAATAATAATAAAAAAAAAAACCTAAACAGGGAAATTAGAAAAATGTGTTTAAGCCAGGGGTGTCCAATCTTTTGCCTTCCCTGGGCCACACTGGAAGAAGAATTGTTTTGGGCCAAATATAAAATACATTAACATTAACGATAGCTGGTGAGCTAAAAGAAAAAAAAAATCACACAAAAAAACTCATAATGTTTTAAGAAAGTTTATGAATTTGTGTTGGGCTGCGTTCAAAGCTGTCCTGGGCCGCATGCAGCCTGTGGGCTGTAGGTTGGATAGCTTATTTTAAGCCATAGGATTAAACATGCAGCACAAAATGAGTAATAAATACATGACAAAATTTGGCTCAGGCAAACAAGAAGGAAAGTGAAATCTAAGGCAGAGATTTCACTCAAAGTATGGTCTGTGGACCTCTGTTACCTGCCTGTGACCAGTTAGAAAGTCATATAGAAATTTGATGTTACCCCACCACTTGTACTTTACAAGGATTAGTCCACATGCATCGAAAATTAAATGGGCCAGGTGCGGCGGCTCATTCCTGTAATCCCAGCACTTTGGGAGGGCGAGGTGGGCAGATCACCTGAGGTCAGAAGTTCAAGACAGCATGGCCAACATGGTGAAGCCCTGTCTCTACAAAAATACAAAAATTAGCTGGGCATGATGGCGGGTGCCTGTAATTCCAGCTACTTGGGAGGCTGAAGCGGGAGAATCGCTTGAACCCGGGAGGCAGAGGTTGTAGTAAGCTGAGATCACACCATTGCACTCCAGCCTGGGTGACAGAGTGAGACTCCCTCTCAAAAAAAAAAAAAAAAAAAAAGGAAAGAAATATCTAAAAAAATCAAGCTAGTCCTCCACTACAGCCAATTCGAGGACTGGTCAACAGCAATGAAATTTACCATCAAACTCTTACAATGAGTTATTTTCAAGATTAAAAATTAAGAATCTCAAAGAACCCCTGAAAGACAAGACGTGTATGTTGCTCTTTTATTATCTTGCTTTACAAGCACATTTTAGTAAATTGTGTCATAGCTCGTCTTTGTGGCAGTGGTATGATGGTAATTCTAAAGCAGGAAAAAACAGACTGCAGAGAGAGTCTCCAAGGATCTGTCATGCATTAAATCAGTTAAGTAAAGTAAGTACTTGCTGTGTGCTGGACCCCTGTGCTGAGTATGAGGTTACTAAGATAAATCCCTGTCCTCTAGGAACTTTGTGTCTAAGGAGAAGCAATGTGTCAAGGTCCTTTCCCCTTGGGCTACGAATATGAAAGTAAGTATATTTAGGTAGATAAATATATTTTATATACATCAAGTGAGATGCCTGGGCAAATTCTATAACCAAACACTGGATAACAGTGAAAATAAAGTATAAAATTTGCCAAAACAAAACTTATCACCTCTAGATGACATAAAAATCCCCAAGACTTTACCAGCATCATAAAGTTCGCCTCTGTAGTTAATTAAAAAAAGAAACCAAAACGAAGCACCTACAACGTATTAATAATCCTACTTAAGAATTATCTTTCTTTGACATCTGTATGGCATAGTTACCATGGACATGCTTCTTTAATTACATGAATAAAAGTATAATAAGAATCTTTGTCAGATTCCTTACTTATAAATACTAGAACACTTAATACAAGGGGGTTTCATGAAGGCCACAATTTTAAGAGGTCTCAAGGCACATAGGACAGAAATGATTTAACAGGCAAAGCTACAGTGGAGCCAACCCTGACTCCAGGTTTTTTTTCTTGAATGTATACATAGGAACTGTTAACATCCTGTAAAGTGGGTCTTCTCCCATCGCCCTAGTTGACAGATAAAAAGCTGACTGTTAATGTGGTCTGCATGTAACAGGCAGAACTGTACTGCAGCAGCACTGAAGGTACTACGAAAACTAATGCTTAAATTCAGGAATGACCCAAGGCTTAATGTGTGTTGCACTGGGAATAAACAGACCATATTTATTCTTCAAGAAACACTGTTATTACTATTTTCCTTCAAGGAATTCTGGAATGTCAGCTCACTGTGTGGGAATGCCTCTTGTTAAAGCGTCTCAATTAAAAACTTAGCTGGAGACCACGTTTTAAGAGTATGGAAATAAAACACAGTAGTACCAGCAATACAAGGAAGAGAATTATAATCTTTCATGCAGGTGAAATGATCATGGAATTTAAACAACTGATGGCTGTTGTGACACATTCTGTATTACTAAAAGTTAAGGCCATGCTAATTGCTGTCTGACATCCTAACCTACTCAAAACAGTAGCAGAGAACAAACAACCCAAATGGATAAGTGTAACTGTTTGTTAATGGTATCTACTTGCATACTTGACATTCTTTTTACTGAATTTTTAAAGCTCAAAACCAGGGTGCAGCAAATATGTGAGAACACAGTAGGGTTTAGTCTCCCTTGCTCTCGCTTTCTGCCTGCTCAAACCTCAGACTGTGGGTTGGTCACTGACCCTCATACTACTTCTAGGCCAGGATCACCCCTGCCCTGTGAACTTGGAGAGGACAATCGGAACTGTAGCCATCCACACTACCACTGATGAGTCCAAGCTGTAGCGGCTCTACATTCACATGGAAGGAGAAGAGAAACAAGCTTCCACAACCATTGTGTCAGTCTGCATTCAAGGTGCTGAATTCAAGTCAGCATTTACTAAGCACCTTTTCTGTTCCAAGCCCTGTACTAGATGCTCAAAATATACTTGCTCTCTCTCCCCTTCCCTCCCTCTCCAAAGTAGCTCTTATCTGCTAACAGTCAAAGTCCCTCTCATAGGCTCACATTTTAGCTGCAGGCATACAGACAACAAACAAATAAACATATTTCAGATCATGGTGATAAATGCAATGAAGAAAATAATGCTGAAAGACATAGCTCCTAACAAATCAATGGTCATGAATGAGAAGAAATGCTGTAAGAAAATGGGCATTTTTAATCCCCAAACTTCCATACTTCTGTGAACCCAGACTGCCTCTTGTATAAGGGTTAAAGCAGATAATTGCTAAATTCCTTTCTAACTCAAAAATTCTATGATGCCAGGCTTATCAAGAACATTTTCTGCTGACTTGATCACTCCCATTAAGTAGTTCAATAGTTTTGACTTTAAAATAACACTATTAAAATTTCAGTAAGGCAAAAGCACTATAAGGAGAGAAAAATTATGTACAGCACAAGAATTATTATAAAGCCAAAGGAAACATGGACACCCATTAAAAGACATGTAAATTTCCAATGCAATTACCAAAATATTTCTTACATTCCTTTGTATGCACTAGATTCTCAGTTCCCAATAAATTTGAAACATAATAGGTGCTCAATGTGTATTTGTTGAACAAACAAATTCAGTTCCATCAATGATCAAAACATTCAACTCTCCAAGATTTCAGGAAATGGTATTACCTACTTGTGATGAAGACATAGTGGCTGGAAATCTTTATTACCTTCCTGGAGGGCAGTTAAGTGCCTGCTTTTTGCTTAATAAATCAATTTAAATTCAATTCAGAATTTTCTTCTGGTCAAAGTGTATTACCTTAATATATTAAAAAAAAACAAGGCATTTTCTTTCTTTAGGGGTCAAAACCAGAAAGATAATACCTGCGCTGGAGTGTTTGTAGTCACAGGAGATGGCGATTCACTAACTTTTGGCTCACTTGGGGACGCGGCTGACCCCTGTGACTCCTGACTCGCAGGCTGGTCCGGAGACAAAGCGTCACTGCTGTCTTCATCAAATGAGAAATCGCCCTGAGTGTGGGGATAGTCCTCCTTCCCAACGCCTAAAGAAAGAAATGATTTTTGACTTGACTTATGTTGGCTTTGGAATACCAAGCTTAATGTGAAGGAGGAAAACATTGTTTCCTATGAAAATTTATGAAGCTGCTTAAAAAAAAAATTGAACACAATGTACCTCCCAGTGCAAGAACACACCACTAACCATGATGTATTCTTGAGTGAAAAAGAAAAATCTAACCTGCATTAGATTAAGACTTTGGGTTCAACTACCAGTTACATGAAGTACAAGCGCCAGGAATCTTAACACCTGGGGATGCAAATGCAATCAGTAAAATCCAGAATGTGGGACATGCTAGAGAACAAAACAAGCCTTTTTCTCAACAAATAAGAAAAAAAAAAGATCCACCCAATAGATTAAGATTTAACAGAAATATCAGGCAGAGGCAACGTGTGGACCTTGTTTGGATCCTGACAGGAAATCCAACTGTTAAAAAAACACGTGACAGGCTGGGTGCGGTGGCTCACGCCTGTAATCGCAGCACTTTGGGAGGCTGAGGCGGGTGGATCATGAGGTCAGGAGATCGAGACCATCCTGGCTAGCGCGGTGAAACCCCGTCTCTGCTAAAAAATAGAAAAAATTAGCCGGGCATGTGGCGGGTGCCTGTAGTCCCAGCTACTTGGGAGGCTGAGGCAGGAGAATGGCATGAACCCGGGAGGCAGAGTTTACAGTGAGCCAAGACTGTGCCACTGCACTCCAGCCTGGGAGACAGAGCCAGACTCCGTCTCAAAAAAGAAAAACAAACAAACAAAAAAACGTGACAAGGAGGAAAATGGGGCCATGACTGGGTGTATGTTGATACGCTCCCACTTTAGGGAGCAACCCAGCTACACTGACATCTCACCTGATTTTTTCTGTTTTTCTGCTAAAGCTTACGCCAGAAACAAAAAGAGAAACATCAGTAACTAAGTGTGGTAAGACGAGGATAAAACAGAGAGATACTACCATTCTGTACTCATCTGCTCTTCACCTTCCTGAACTAACACTGAACATGCTATTTATATTTCCTAGAAGTAGACAGAAATAAAAAGTTAGTAAAAATATTAAACTAAATAAGTTTAACTTAGAAAATTATTTCAATAATAATGCTACTTAGCAAGCAATTTGGAAAAGTTAATATCCTATCTTAAAAACTATTGTAGTTTTCATCACCCCTGGGGACCTCCTATTTTGCACTGGTATGACTTTAAAGCTTAGGCAATTTGTAGTCAAGAACTGTAAGCAGTACAATCAACCATGATTCCATGCAGTCCTAAAGAGATGGACCCCAAAAGGTGAGATGAAATCAGAATGTTAAGAATTAAAACTCAGACCTAACAAGGGAATCTGTTAATCAGCGGCAGATACTAGACTTATAATACATAATGAAATGATAGTAACACAAATCACTGTGTTAATTTCTAATTAACCCAGAAAACAATACTCACGATCGGTGCTAGCCTTTAAATTATATTTGTTTTATCTAAAATTTCCAAGTTTCTCTTTCTCACCCCAAATAGTAAATTTTTAGAGTCTTGCCTATAATTGCTTCTTTAACACTGGAGTCCACAGGAAGGATGTTTTTCTCTACCAGCTCCATAGGACCAGGTCTTTGAGCAATCTTTTCATTCAGATCATCTGCTAGTCGAGCTCTTTTCAACTTCATCTGAGTAGCCTGCAGGGATGGCTCTGCAAATGTTTCTAAAAGAGGAAACACAGTTTTAACCATTACTCGAATTACTATTTCTATTCCATAATGTTATTTCAGGCCAACAAACTGAATTTAAACTGATTTAGACACATTTTTGTGTTCTCGACATATTTATGGAAAGAGAAAATGACTGTTTAAGAATTCTCCAGTATGCATTTTGTATTTTTTAGTTCTGGATAGCTTTACTTTGTCTATGTAATTTGGATGCCCACAGACTCAAATTAACAGGACCTTAAACCAAAAGTGGGGCACTGCTATTGTTTGTTTATGGCAGGAGGGTCAAATTCACATTTACTAGGTATTGGGGATACAGAGGATGGGCAAGACGGATGTGGCCCATGGTTCAAGAAGTTGACAGTTCTGGATTTGGCTTCATTGGAAAGTCAATTCTTAGAAGGGAGACACTGCCTCTTAGGGTTATAAGCTTCTCTGCAGAGGTCAATGGGAAGAGCTATCATTCATATTCTTGAATTGATCCCCTGTGTCTCGGTCGGTCATCATAATTAAGAATTTGGGTTTATTTCTGAATACATATCCTTGTGTCTGTTAGGAACATTCAACTATAATATACAGTAATTAATGGTTGTATACAGGCATCAACTCATCTACTTACAAATGCATAAAATTGGTACAACCAATGTAAAACTATAAATACCATAATTCATCCATCTGCTTTATTCTGTCATACTTGTGTTTCTGGTAACTCTTGTTAATGTTTTTTCCATTGTTCTAAAAAATGTTTAGAAATGATGAAAAATAATGATGTGGTGTCTACCCAAAATTCCAAGCTGAAAGTTGCTTGCCTCTTAAGCTATACAGTAGAAGGTCTTTCAATGAAACTCCCCATAAGTCGGCTTAGGATGAACTGATATTCTTTAGTCTGTAGGTATTAATAGACTATTCTTGTGAAGCCCAAGGCTCACTGAAAGCACATGGCTAGGAGGTTACCCTGCAGCACATCTGTGTAGCTTCTCTATCCACCAGCTGAGCTGTATGCTTGCCAAAAGTGAGCCTTGATTGTCCACAAAATGATTCATATCTGTTGTGACCGCTATTGCGAATACATAATTTAACTAAATGTTATGAGAAAATGATAAAACTTCAAAAATAAAATGTTTATTTCTTGGAAACTTAAATGCTTTGGAAAGATTTGATAAAGGTTGAGTCATTTAAAAAATCACTGTCAAATTCGTTTGGGCAATTAACAACTGTAAGAAATTTGAGAAAAAGATTGCAACATCTAGGATTTTAAAGCTCCGATTGATGTGAACTCCATTCATTAAAGTCTTACCCAAAGAGAAGGCCCTAGCACAAGGTTGGAATATTGGTAAATAAATGTAGACATCTACAAGTTAAAATGTGTGTTCATCTCATTTTTATCATTTTCCCATACAACCAACTGTGGCCCCAATCTTCTGAGATAACACTTCTAACCATACAAGATGATACTTGGGGAGAATCAGAACATAAGAATTACTCTCAGGTTGATATTTCAATGCCTCTGGTTAAGATCTAGGTAGGACAGACTTCTGTCTTTCTCCTCTCTTACATTACCATCACCGAAGTGATAGCAATATGTATGGAAAGAAAATATTCCCAAGTAAGTAAGTAAGTAGAGCCTGGAATTTTGTTATGTTTCTGTTCCTGGTCTTATTCCTCTATCTCCATGACTGAGGCTGAAGTTTAGCTGCTGAACTTCAGGAAGTAACTTAGACCCTTGCCTGCCAAATATCTAATCCAATCAAAATCGGGTTAATGTTAAAATACAGTTGGGAGTGGTGGTGGTTTTAAGATACTTCAAAAAATAAAATGACATTCTTTCTTATTTCAAAACTCCCAACTTGAGAACAGATGTCCTAAAAACATCACTTATGGTTAATTCATAAATACAGTTAAATTTTTAAATGGTGGGTAGTCTTAAAAAAAGATTTATTTTGAGAGTTAAATGTATTTTCCTTGATTTTAATTATATCAATAAAGCTTGTTACAGTTAGAAGGCAAATTGAAACAGATAGCATTGTTACTACAAAAATGTCCCTTATAGGTCAAGATGTTTTCAGGCAAAGAAGCAACCACTTACTTGGCTACTTACCAGTAAACTTGCTTCTTTGAAGATTCACTTATCCCTGACTGGTAGCTGCTCTACCCTACTACTGGAGTTCTGGAAAAGCCTTTTTAGTCCAGCGGACTTCTGAGAACACAACCCAAAGTAGAGAAAGGGACATACCTCTCACCTCCTGCCCCTGGAATGAGGAGGACAGCCATATAATCAAAGATTCTTTACAATAGAAGAGCCCCTACTTGGGGTCATAGAGACCACCTTGATGCTTCGAAGTTCTCTACCACATCCTTAATATTGAGAGTTTTTTCTCTATCATAGCAGTCGGTTTACTCCCCACAGAGCTCTTCTCACAATCTGTAATTCACTTGTTTTGCTTGTTTATTAGCAAAAATAGAACTGCCAGCTCCGTGAAGTCAGGCATCCATCTGTCTCGCTCACTTGTTGGGTCTCTGGAGTCTAGCACACTGGCCAATGAAGGAACACCTCTAACAATGGTAGCCATATCACCTCCTGAAGATTTCATTTCTGGACATGTCAGACCTTTAAGATATTACTTCTTATGTTGAGTTATAATCTAATACTTGGTAATATCAACCTAACTTAATACTAACTCTAATCCTATCATTAGGCCCAGAGAACAAACCTCCCTTCTACCTGACAATTGTCTCTCAATGTCTGAGAAGTTTTCAGATTGTTTCTGTATCTTCTCAATACTTAACACACCCAAGACTACCACAGAATCAAGCTCCTAGTCTTAATAAATTCGTTGGAGAAGCAAAACAATGAAAGAAAATGTAACTTGGGAGTTGATGGTGGAGGTATAAGCTTTCGAGAATGCTTTGCCTTTAGAGAGAAAAACATCCTGGCCTGACCCATGTGTTAACCAAAGATGGAATGGAACTGTCCTTACCAGCCTCGTAAGTGATGAGGTTAGATGACTGAGATCATTTGGCGGAGGTGGATGGGAGGTGCTAATGGTCAGCTCAAGGTGGCTTGTTGTGGGTAAGTGGCAATAAAGAGAAAATGTTGGGTGTGGGCACTGTACAGTTAGACACAGACAAGGTCCAAGTAGTTGAAAATCTAGGGTTAGACTTGTGCTATTGCATTCTTTATGACTTAATAAGTGGATACATGTCCCTCACTGATAAAGAAATCCTCTGGACCCCAATTTTTTTAGTGGAACAGTATGGTAGAGGCATCTGTGGTACCAGCTGGTGTGGAAGTGTTAGTCCATTAATTGGTTATGTGAAGAATCAAACCTTCCCTGTGTATCTAACATGTTTTAGTTTTGGGTCTTCATGTTGCTATCCAGTTTGGAGGAAGTAAGGCTGTGGGTTAAAAAGTTATTAAAATGGGAATAAACAGAAATGGTGGAAATTCTCACTTCTTTTCTTGAAAAAATACAGCAGATTAAGAAGAAATAAATCCTTTACCTTCTAAAATGTGCATCCTGACAAGTTCAGAACGATCTGGTCGACTCCGAATCTTGTGTTTCAAAAAGTTTTCAGTCTTTAAAAAGAAAAAAAGTCTTACCATAAATCATTTATTATTTATTGTGGTTTTAAATGTTCTTTAAGGTATTCCATTTAAATAAACGATACGCTTATGGTCATGTGTTTGAGACGAAGAGTAGAAATTAGCACTTAGAAAAACTAGTATCCAACACATGATTTAAACTGTAGCCTTCAAAATTGTACACAGACTTGAAGAGTATGTTGGTATAAACTAAGCATTTATAAACTTTTAAAACTTATGAACATCGAAAGGTCGTGTTTTGAAGATAGTTTTTTAATAAACATAGGATTTAAATCACTTAAATATCTAAACTCAATAAAATCTATACTTCAGGTCCAGTAAAAATCCACCTAGATAACAAATTTCCTAAAAATCTTAATGTGTTTTCTTTGGTAAGTTCATATCCTTGATCAGATTTTCTTAATTAGAAATGTATTCAACTCTTAAGGAAGAAAGCCTTCATACAGGTTTTATAAGACTGTAAGAAATCATTATTGCATTCTAGAAAAATTCTTAAGAAAATTTTGGAATATGTTTATTTTCATGTTGCATGATAGAAATTTTCCCCAAAACAAAATGAATGAATATTCATAATGGCATTTTTAAAGAAAAATCTTAACAATTATCACGTGCAAGTATGATGGTGCCATCTTAAAGAATAAAGCAGAGTTGAATGTAGCAACGTTTTCTGATTTAGCCATCTTCCCCTACCGTTGGTCAAATGTACAGGTAACAAAGACCCAGTAGGGAAATCATCTAAGGATCTGGTGTCACCACATCCTTGGCTGTCTCTCTGTAGGGGTAACAAATGACAGAATTACCCCCTCTTATGCCTCTAAAAACTGTTGTTATGCTCTGAGAGCAAGAAAGCGAAGAAGTATGATTTGTTCTTTTTGTACAAAACTAGTTACTGGCTTTAAAAGAACAAAATTTGAATGTCATGTATTTTCTGCAAACCTCCAGATCAAACTATCCCAGAGTAAATATTCTCTATGCCATGTATCCTGAAAATACACTATTTTTTCTCTATTGACATATTTAGGAGTAACACTGCTACTTGTACACAGGTATTTTAGAAGAGAGGAGAGAAGGAGAGAGAAGTAGAACATTTTAAAGTGAAATGTCTTACTCTGGCTCGTTCCAAGCTTTTTATCTGTTCATGGAATGCCGCTGGGCTCTTCAAAGCTGTGAGAAAAGAAATGGTTTCCACAGTATAAATAGAGTTCATACTTCAGTCCAATGTTATAGTATACCATGGTGATAACCCTATTATTAACAGATCACAACTACAGTTCCATTAATTTACCAGTTCCATTAGGAGACCTGCAAAATTTGAAATCTTAAATGTTACAGGATAAAAATTATGTATTTCACAAATAAAGTAGACATTTAAAACACGATTGTATACAAAATGACAATGCAAATATCAGTTCAGACTAGTTCTGACTACTCATAGCAAATCTCCATTGCCGAGGGGACTGTCTGATGACTCCTTGATGAGTCTTTGCTCTTAATGGTCATATAAGCTATAGAAAAAGTCCGTATGTCCTTGGGAGTGATGTAACCTTGAACATCACACTGCACTTTGTGTCCAACAGATTTGAGGTATCATTTATTTAGAACCCGTAATGGGCTCTGTGCTTAACCATGGCTATGTTGCTGTTGGTCCCTGCAATAACCTTGCAAGGAGGTGAAAGGCTCAAAGAAGTTAAGTGAATTCTTGAGGCCATACAACCAGATGGTGGTCAAAGTGGTATTTAAATCTAGAATTTTGAATTTGAAGGGTTCATGCTCTTTCTACCATACCACAGTGCAACTCACAGTAAAGACACAGTGACTCCTTAATATGCTACCTGCTGGTAAATCCAATATTCTGGAATCCTAGTGTGAGGGTAAGCAGTGCTTACCAAATCGTCACCTACAACCGTATTCTATCAATTATCTTTGCAAAATCTTGTCTGCATATGTCCACTATTGCCTGGTAACACCCTGCACTTCCAAGCATGGGCAGTCAGATGAGTGGATGGGATAGAGGACTGGGATTCCTTGGGCTGTCACCTGCAAGACTTGACCAATCAGCTCTTACAGCATTATTTTCAGCTCTGGCACATGAAGCACCACAAAGACTCCCAGGAGCCCAGTCCAATCAGGTTTGGCTGAGGACCAGCACCCGAAAGCAGATTAGAGCTGGCCTAGCAATGGTGTCTTAAATATCATAATTTGATCCTCTTTGATTAGTTGGTTCATAGTCAGGGATGTGGTGGTGGTGGTGGTGGAGAAATCTGGCAGATTATCAAAGCACCTTTTGCCTATCACAATGCTAGATTTAAAATATTTAGATTCTCAATAGTAGTCCAGAAAAAAAAGGTTTTACTGGGAAAAATATCTACTAAAGAGAAAAATCATTCCATATCATAAACCAAGAAAGCAGTTTATCATAGCCATGATTCAGAAGACTGGAAAGCATAAATTAATGCTGTAATTTCTTTCTAGTGTTTTGAAACTGAATAAGTTACCTCTTGGAAAGGTCCATTTTTACACAAAATCCAGATACACAATCCTAATGGCCTATACAAAACAGCCACTCCTCCCCACTAAAATATAAAACCACCTCCAAACTTGGTGACTAAAGGTAAAGAAACAACTAGAACAAACATTCTAAAATTAATCAACTCTCAAAAATTTCTGAAAGGAACAAACCCTAGGGATAGAAGGGAAATAACTGTACTTGAGACAAAAATATGAATTATAAATGGAATGTTTATCAGTCCTGTAACTGAGATACATTTAATTACTGTACACAGATCATAGCATAGCATTAAATATAATTAACTGGAACTAAATAAGTCTAAGTAAAAATTGTAAATTAATTTTATGTTTTTTGGCAAGTCTAATGAATTTCAAATCCATTAGTATAGTGATTACTTTAGTCATTTCAAAACTAAAACAAATATTAAAGTTTAAAGAAAGAATGAATGTTAGCCTAATTACAGTGTAAAGGTGTTCTGTGTGTAATATAAAATTCAAGTTCCTCTTTTAAACTGCATCTGGTTTTTAAAATGTATTCTAAATGATTCACTTAGGTGCCTGATTTTTCCTTGGAAATTCATTTGGTAATTGTTTGTTGATTAAATGGATACAACTGAAAGCAGAGCAAGATGCAGGCTCTTCTTGGACACGCCCGTCATGTTCTGTCACGTTAGGGATGGCAGTGATGGTATAAATCTTACGTGGCATGATGCCCTGGTCCACTAGTTGTTCTCTCGTCCTCCTTTGTTGCAGCCTCAGCTGGAGCACTGTGAAAAGGAAATAATCACCATTGGAGTTTATCGGCAACTGTGGGATCCGATTTATGTGATTCCAGAGGAGATGCAATTAAGCTTTATCAAGCATCTTCTATTTCACAATTAAAAAGAAGGATATTACCTGGCACCACGTAAGTTGTAAAAGGAAAATTATTTTGTAATTTCTGCCTGTTTAGTGAACACTAAAGTTTACACAGTATAAATTTTTTGGTTTATCCTATTTTGATGACCAAAGCTATGTATTTGTTGTTTAAAACATTCATAGTACTCAAGAAAATAAAAATAGTTGGCTTATATATTAAGACTTGCTAATAAATCTAATTTATAGAAATAAGAGACGTGAAATTCTTTGACACATCTTAGTTTTTTAAAAACAAATTAATAGCAAAAACTTATTTTAAGACTGACTATAAGTGGCTTTAAGGAAGGCTGCTTGCATAATAAAAATTAGACCTATGAGATATTCCTAATGACTCAAAGGGAAATTTCTAAATTAGGAATTTAAAGTTTAGTAATCTTTGCACAAACATGATACCATGTATCTCACTCTATAAGTTCTAAGAAAGTCACAAATCAGTTGACACCTTATTATTTTAATAAAAGAGTAAATTATTAGAACTGGCAGAGAACAAGATATACATTATGAAATGGAGACATCCAGTTTGCCAAATTTAATAAAAAATTAATTTTTTTCTAGTTTTCTCAAGCAGATTCCTTTTATAAGCATCTACATATTTTTATCTGGAAAATGAGACTATTTCAAAATAAGGGGAATACAGGAGGTGACTCTGAAAAATATTTTTCTTGCTTTGCTTTACATTCAAACCAGTTTCCACTGTGATTTTAAGTTGCCATTTTGATTTTTGTTTCAAACCATGGATGAAAACCAAGATTAGAGTGATTAAGAGTCTGCTTAATGGTTGTCAATATGCTTAAAAAAATTACTTATGTGCCTTTCTTACTTAAATGGTGGGAAGAGAAGACACAATTTTCTAGTGAGTGGTGATGGCTGGAATGAGAGGCTCAAATGCAGTGCACGTGGTGTCTCCTCCTTGCAATAAAACCTTGAGGCCTGCAGACGCAGGCACGTGGCCTCCATCCCTTGTTTTTCAGTTGGTCTTGCGCTGACTGCAGAGCAGAGCACAGTCTTAGGTAAAGTTCAGAAAGAATCTAAGCTGTCACATGGCTTTTAAAAATATTTTATCATTGTTTGATATGAATGTCATCATCTATTAGATACAGAAATAAGTTTGGGTTTTTGTTTGGTTTGGGGCCACAGGATCACAAAACTTCATTGATAGCCTATTTAGAACTGAAGCAACTGACAAGATTCTGCTACACAAAGCAAAAGAAATAAAATTTCTTTAAAAAAGATATGCACATTCCTGACATTAAGATGTTCTGTGATACTTTCAATCAATTGTGCGCTAACAGAAAGATCTTTTCCCTAAGTTGATTGAGGATAGTATGTTCCCACTGTACTTTACTAAGAACAAAATAACCAAGGAGCTGACCTGTGCATCTTACAGCACCCAAAGACCTGCGTACTTTAACATTCTTCTAGGAATGCTAAAGTAAATGCTTGTCTGCATTTAAGATAATCATATTCAAGAAGCAGAATCTCAAGAAAAAGACAACTGAGAGGAGAAAAGGGTTAGAACAGTTCTCCAGATCAAAGGTTGATACTTCTGGAACATGGTGGTCCATGTCTGTTGGAGAATCTCTAGCAGGAAAATCTTTCCTTTCTCCCAAGGGAATCCTCAAAAGAGTAAAAAAGAAAGAGTAATGAAAATATCAACCACCCCCTTTTTGGTTTAAAACAAAAACCAAACAATGAAAGCACACATTTGTGAGACAAATCTATCAGACACAATACGTTTTTTGGGTGAATGGCATCTTTGAATGATGCATACATCTGCAACAACTTGATTTGCAAACCAACACTCTGATGACAACAGCTGGTTAGTCCTGGAAGCATCTCTTGATTGTACATTGGTCATTTCAGGTGCCTTCATTTACCAGGACAGCAGTCCTGTCAGCTGTATCATCTATCACCAGAAATCACACTTTCATGCTAACATGGAAAGAAAGGTACCTGCTACCATGAGGGTAACATACAACACGGATGCGTGTCATTCTGATCTGTTTCTATTTCCAACACTTCTGACACCAGATGTGTGGGCTTTTCCCTCATACCAACCAATTCTCCAATTCTGGATGCCCAACTGGGTGTCCAATGATTCAATTCTGACACTAGGTACCTGGAGTTAGTGTCAGATCCTACAAGTTAAAGGGCTCCATCCCAAGAGACTGCCCTCACTTCAGATGCCAATTGTTAGGCCAAGCCACTCAGACTTCTGACCAATGAGTTATAAAGTTGGGAGGTTCCCATAATCCCCTCCCCAGGTTTGATAATTTGCTAGAACAGCTCACAGAACTCAGGAAGGCACTTTACCTATTATTAGTAGTTTATTCTAAAGGATACAACTCAGGGATAGCCAAATGGAAGAGACACATAGGGCATGGTATGGGAGAAGGGGCACAGAGCTCCCATGCCCTCTCTAGGTATACCACCTTTCCTCTGGCCATGCCTTGGTCTTTCTGGTGATCAGCCCCTATCTGGAAGCTACCTAAAGACCTTCAACTACCTGTCATCTCAGTAGCATACAAAAACCACTCTCATCACTCCAGAGAGTCCAAGGATCTTAGAAAGAAGCTCTTTGTCAAGAACTGGGGACTAAGACCAAATGTATAACAAATGATGCTCCTATTACTCAGGACATTTAGGAGAACTTTAGGAGTTCTGTGCCAGAAACCCAAGACAAAGAACACATATACATTTCTAATTATATTCACAATATCGTAGACACCAACCACCAATTATTAAAATAAAACAACACACACAAACATTTGTGTTTTCTATCCCATTTTCTATGTGGCCAAACAAGCAACCAAACAACCCTACTTATACTGCTTGAAGGTAGGAGAATAATTTCCCCAATTAACGCTCTCATCATTGCCTATAAAACTTTCCCAAGAAGCAAGAACCTCCCACTACAAGTATTATTCAAAGCAGCTGTGGCCATCGGCCTCCCCCAGGCACATTCATTTATTTAGAGCATATCTGTTAGGTGTCTGGGTACTGCATGGGGTACAAATCCATGGGAAAGAGCAGCAGCAGTAGCAGTGAAAGGAAGATCTTTTTTAAGCGACGTTAGGAAGAACATGAATGGAAGGGGAGGCAGAATTGCAAGTAACTAGCCATTTTGTTAAGTATGTTGATTACCCAGTTTTTTTTTTTTTTAGCTTTTATCTGCACCCATAGGTGGACACTACTGCACATATTATATTGAATATGAGGCACTATGTTCTAGCAAGAGATCAGGTACATTGCTACTTTGGGTAGTATTAAAACACAATTATACTTTGGGAGGCCGGGACGAGACTGGCAGATCATTGGAGCTCAGGAGTTTGAGACTAGCCTGGCCAACATGGTGAAACCCGTCTCCACTGAAAATATAAAAACTAGCCAGGCGAGGTGGCAGGTGCCTGTAATCCCAGCTACTCAGCAGGCTGAGGCAGAAGAATCGTTTGAACCCAGTGAGCCGAGATCGTGCCATTGCACTCAAGCCTGGGCAACAGAGCGAGACTCTGTCTCAAAACAAAAACACACAATTACAGTATTACTTGTTGATGTCAACTAAAACCAGTCATTCACAATTGACACAGGCTATTCTGAGAGCAACTACTACTTATAAAAAGTACAGATCATATAGGTATAGACTTATAATTTTGGCAGATATCAAACTTCCTTTCAGAACTTCTGTTCATCAAATTACTAACAAAATTAATGTATAAGTCACAGCAGATATCTGCACCTTAGACAGAGACCATCCAGGAAGAACATGGCTTGAATGATAGACAGCTTAATTGTCATGAGACACAGAAGTCAGGCAGAATGTACTGGTGCTTATCCACGACTGAGGAAGGGGTAAGGGACCCTGAAAACAGAGGACCAGACTCTTCTAATGATCAGAGAGGCATTCACGGTTGTGGGATCAGGAATGCTTTATCAAGTTTTCCTGGGACCTTCATGGATTAAGCCTGGAGACCTCCTTCCTCCCTTTTCAGCCTCCATGCTTACCCTCCATGTTTATATCTGCATGGAGGGGAAAAAAGGCTTAGACCACTGAATGTCACTCAGCCTTGCACAACTGCCTGACAAATTGTGCTTGTGTTGACAAGATTTCATATCTGTAGCTGCAACCAAAGACTAGACACTGGCCTGGTACTGTTTTCCTGCAGCAGAGGCAGTCTGGCAATGGCCTCATGTGTCAAAACTGAAACCAAGAGCATTCTCTCCCGGTGCCTTGCTGAGTAGATGAACCATACTATTGGGTTGACATCATAGCCTCCGTCTTCTTAGTAAGTTGAGTAACAGTATCTTCCATGGCCATCATGCAAGAAAAGGATACACGTACAAACTATAGAATCCTCAGGGGACTAAACAGTTCAAAACACTGAGTGTGTACATCCTTTCAGAAACAAAGGACATAAGTAATAAAGATAAACAGACTTCATGTTACAATTGCTCACATTTGAACATTTTCAAAGAATATTATTTTTGAAAAAGGTAAAGGCTAAACAATCCAACACATGGTCCTAAGAAGTCCTGAAATTTAGAATCATGGTTTAAAACAAGGTGTAAACCTGTTTCATTTTATCAAAAAAGGGGGACAGATATAAAAAAGCATATCTCATACAGGTAGCATTGTATTCTCTGTGCAAAACATTTACCCCAAGTTGACAATTCTACAAGAGCTGTATATTTCCAGATGACAAAACTCACAAGAGGCAGGCAAAGCACCCTCACGGATGGAGGGAGATGAGGTTATAAATCCATTTACTTACTGTATGTATCCCATCTTTCCTAACTAGCCTGGGTCCCAGGCATTTTTATTAAAAAAAATCTTTTCACACATGATAGGAGCCAAATATGTTCATTACACAAAATATGGAAATAGAAAACAGTAGGATAAAAAAACTAAAAAAGAAAATCACCGATAATATCATCATCCAGAGAGACACAACTAGAGTTACCATGTATTTCCTCTGTCTTTAAGCATAGATTTTGATTCTCTGCTTCTACATACTCCGATCACTCTGTAACTACAATGATAAATATTCTTATTATTTTAGTGGCTACATAAAATACTCTGTTAGGTGGATATGGCATAGTTTACTAAATAGTCCCTGTTTATCACTTAGGTTGTTTCCAATTTTTTAACTATAAATAATGCTGTGGTGCAATTTTTGTGTATAAAGTTAATTCTTCATTTCAGTTATTCCCTTAATTTGAATTCTTAAAAGGAAGACTATTCCAATGTAATATATATAAAGCATGATCATAAAGTAATGAGACTAATTTCCTCACGTATTAACCATTGTCTTTTGCAATTGTAGCAGACATATGTGAACATGGATACAGATGGCTATTTCATTTAAAGAAAAAAATTTATTGAATTATGATCTTTCATCTCTTAGGGCTAACATTTACAGTTTTCTATTACATTTCAATAAGGAGAAAAGGGTGTATAATTTTGAAATTTTTACTTAATCCTTATTCCTTATCACAACAGATAAAAACAATATTATGTCAATAGAGGTGTTTTGAATTTGCTCTACTTTTATGCAAGAAAAGTAAAAATTTGATTTTAATCCCAATTCCAAAAAAATGAAAGGTAGCTTATCCAATGATAAACTGAAAATGTCATTCCCAGCAATATGGTAGTTTAGATATAAAGTATCTTAAGTGTTACAGCTCTTTTAGAATTTGTCTAGCGGGTTTTCCATAAAAAAAAGTATCTTCTTTTAGTTCCTTTCCCCTGCTTCTTAAATGGTTTAGAGTGCTTTTAGAACAAAATTTTAAGATTCGTTTCCAATATAAAAAAACTGTAAGGCCAAACTCGGTGCTTCATGCCTGTAATCCCAGTGTTTGGGGAGGCTGAAGAGGGAGGATGGCTTGAGACCAGGAGTTTGAGAACAGCCTGGGCAACATAGTGAGACCCTGTCTCTACCAAAGAAAAATAAAAAATAAAAAAAATTAGCTGGCATGGTAGCACACACCTGTAGTCCCAGCTACTTGGGAGGCTCTGAGGTAGGAGGATCACTTGAGCCCAGGAGTTCGAGGCTATACAGTGAGCTATGATTGTACCACGGCACTCAAGCCTGGGCAATAGAGCAAGAACTCTGTCTCAAACAAACAAATAAACACACAAAACAAAACCTTTAAAATACAATAACTTCTTTCATGTGATACTTATAACCCTAATTCAAAAATTTCACATGCTTTTTGAACCAAGATATGTCTTTCCTCTTTTGTTTCCGTAAGTAGAATGTTGAAATTTTTTTTTTTTTTTTTTTTTTTTTCGAGACAGAGTCTTCCTCTGTCGCCCAGGCTGGAGTGCAGTGGTCTGATCTCAGCTCCCTGCAACCTCTGTCTCCTGGGTTCAAGTGATTCTTGTGCCTCAGCTTCCTGAGTAGCTGGGATTACAAGTTGTGTACCACCATGCCCGGCTAATCTGTTGTATTTTTAATAGAGACGGGGTTTTCCTATGTTGACCAGGCTGGTCTCCAACTCCTGGCCTCAAGTGTTCCATCCGCGTTGGCCTCCCAAAGTGTGAAATGTTGTCTTAATATGATGTAATTAAAGTGCCTTTTCCCCCTAAAGGAAACAACACATTGTATGCAGCATATTAATAACAAAGAGCAGTTTAGTTTGAGTTGAGCAAGCCGAGGCAAAGCATGGCTCTGGCCCTGAGTTTTCAGTGGGACATAGAGGACTGTATGTTACCAAAACAATGCAAAAATGACACTTTCTGGGGAGCATAATGGCAGGCAGCCATGGTCTTGGAAATTCTTTACGAACAGCTGGATTTCAGTTATGGGTATGAAGGAGGGTGGGAAAGGGGAGAGGGGAGAGGTGATGAACAGCTATCTGTGAGTTAGAGAGAAGCTCCAATGTATATTACTTAATTACAGGACAATGGACAGAATAAACTTTAGGATCATGAGGAGTGAAAAAAAAAAGCCTGAGCAGTCAAGTGAGGATTAGATGAACCATCTCTGAAGATGGAAAACTAAAGAATACTCTAGAATTGACTATGTATTGACTCTGAAGTCAGTACTAGGTAATAAACAGATCCTAGTTTCAGTTGTTTATTTTTCAAACAGATGTCAGGGTAGTTAAGAGAATGAAGTGGTTGGACTTTGGCAAACATTTATTATGCATTGTTTAAATAGTATTAAGTGAAGGCCTGATCCTGTAAAAACAAGACAGTTTAGAAAAGCCAGCTTCCTCATATTATCTTTTGAGCTTGGATACAGGAGGGATTAATTGGATTCCATTCAATACTTGTTTCAGTGTTTGATCAGATAGCAGTGTGGTGGCCAAATGTAGAATTGCACTTGTTTAATCAGGTAAGGACTTGAAAACAATTGTACTGAAAGGGCAAAAGACTGATGAACTACTTTTCCTTTCTCTTAAAAATAAATGTTTAAAATGGTGGTGGCTATTACTAATTATTACCACTACTATTACATTAGACACTTGGTGAAAATAACACTTTTTTTCTCCAAATATAAAACCATAAGGCTTTAAAAATTTTAGTTCCACAAAGATTCACAAATTTATAGTTCTCTGCTGTGAATAGTTTATTTTGCAGTCAAAGGGGAGAAAGTCAAATCACGAAGGGTCTCCTTCTGAGCCCGGGACTCAAACAGAACACTATGTGTACTGTTAGTATCTTGATTTAAGAATCCCTGTTTTATAATACATTTTTCTTTTATTTGTTAAAATAAAGTATACATGCACATAAAAAGAGATTTTAAAAAGAAAAGTGAAAGTTAATCCATTCTACTTCAGACCTTCAGTCATTCTCCCCAGAGGTAACCACTGTTAGATTTCTATGGCTCGGAGAAGATGTCTTGTGAATTGTCCACCAATGTTATATATAACATATGCAAAGGAAGTATATGTGTCAGATAATAGTATTTATATAGTTTGGTAATTTGCTTAAAGAATATCAAGGAATCTAGCTCTTTTTTTTTTTTTTGCCTTGTAAACAGTAGAATTTTATACAAATATAAAGTTTTGCACCTTCAAAGCTATCACTCTAATAAGACACTTATTCAATTAAACAAATAATCTTAAAAACTATTTTAACAATGTACAAATACATTCACAACATAATCTGCTGATTAAGACTTCAACAAGGTTTATAATACCTACGACAGAATTTACAGATGCCTACAATAGTTTGTAGATTGGTTTAGTTTACAGTTACATAGATTGCTTTAAGAAATACCATTAATACAAATGCATAATTTACAATATCCCCATTATAGCAAGAAAACGATAGATTCAGAAAATAAAATGTCTTTTAGGCATTTATTATGCCAAGTATGTAAATGATTATTCTCATTATGACATGAGAATAATGCTCTTTTAGTGGTAAAAGCTCTATTAGCTCAAGGTCCACTGAAGAGCTTTCAATCTAGCTATCCTTTCTGTAAAATAAATAGAACAGCAGCAATCTCTGGGTATTCCTTAAACTACGATGATTCCACTTATATTAACTGGGCCTTAAGTAGATGACTTCTTACAAATAAAAATAAAATTTTATAAAGTAGTTAGTACCACTGGCCCTAACTGTTTTCACTTGCTTGCAAACATCTAAGAAATTTCCCCAGGAAGTACATATTAAAAACTAACAATTATTTCTAACTTACACAGAAGCCAAAGTGCTCACTCTTACCATGGAAGCAAAACTTTCTCCTGAAAACAATCTACAGAAATAATATGTAAACATATAGAGCTTTGAGACACACTAAGAACATCCTCCTATGTTCTATGGATCACAATGCAAAGGTCTCCATTGCCTATGTAAATGAACACTTTCGTTAACTTGGGATATACTGATATTACATGGCCGTGTGCATACCTATGGAATGTGCATACCTACACCACAGAATAAATCTTGACAATGTTTCTAGTGCCAACATATACTTTCTCGCCCCAACTGCTGGAAATAAAAACTTAATACGAAAACTATTTTTCCTTTTTATAAATAAAGTTTTTAAGTGGAAAAACAAAGCCAACACTCCTCGTTGCAACATGGACTAAGCTCTAAAAGGTTCAAAGTCAAGACTTATCTCTTCAGTTGTTCCCCAATGTAACAAAGCACATAAGCTTTCTCTCTTCAGGAAGTCTGATCATCTCCAGTGTTTTGTCTTAAAAACTGCTTTCCAAAATATAAAGTAGCCATGCTGGTTAAATTCTTTCTGCTGCCCACCTTACACCTGAGGTAACCATACAGGTTGGCACCTTGTAGCACCACACCCACGATAACCACCGCCAACCACTTTTTACTCTGAAGGAGAAGCGTGCACTGAAGGCAAGTATCACCCACAGCACTGGACAGGCAACAAGTCCCAACCAAAAGATTCCTGATTCAGCCTCTGACACAGTTTCATTCTCTTGAGAGGACTCCTTTCTAGATTCAAACACCCAGTGGCTCTTTCCATCTTCATCAACGTGATTCCACCAACGTAGGCCAACCATTAGTCTACCTGTGATATTCTTCACTGCCCAAAAGTCACATGACAACAAGATAATTGTTACCATACAGGTAATAAAGCTGCTGCTGAGCAATTCACAGAGAAGACAGACGATGATTGCACTGACTCGAAAGAATAAGTGGAAAAACGATGCTACTGGATGTCTGATTTTGACTTTTCTTGGTCTATTAGTCGTCTCCTCTTCCGCATCAAACAGTGAAACATCTTTAGTGTCATCATTACTATCCTGCTGCAACATGGCGGCCCTACGCCAGCCTTACTTCCGGGAGCCACGTCAGCGCAGCAGCGTACGGGTCCGGGTCGGAACTCAGAATCTAGCTCTTTCTTAAAGGCTGTATCTAACATATGGATGTATTATTCATATACTTAAGCTACCAGGTTTTTTGCTATTACAAATAATGCTATAATGAATATCCTCATTCATTTTGGGGGCATCCTTTGATGATATACCTATAAATTAAATTTCTAATAATGGAACACGCCCTTAAAACTTTGATAAGGTCACTTTGCCTTCCAAATGGTTGTGCCAATCTGTAGTCCAGCTTACAAGGTAAGATAGTACCTTTTTATTTTTCCCCTTCCCCACAATGTATAACATTAAGTTTTAAGGTAAATTTAAATTCAGAAACAAAGATTACCTCCTCTCACCTAAGGGTACTAGTGATATCATGTCAAATAATATAAATAACTAATAAGCAGTGAAGAACTGTAAGATATAAAAAGAATTAGTGAGGACAATGGGGCTGGGTTTCTGACTCAATGGGGAAATATTTACCGTGGTTTTCAAAAGCTCAGGGTAAGCTTTCTCTTGAAACCAAACATTTATTTCCAAATTTCATAGAATTTTCTGATGTTCCAGGATAGAAACTTTGAGCACAGGACTTATTTTTTCTTCAACTCCATCATGGCTGAGAGATGTAATGAATAGATTTGAGATACATTTAGAATCAAATCAACAGTGTATGGCAAGGGAGTGGACAGTGTGTTTGAAGGAGGAAGAGGTCACAAAGATGATCCTGGGTTTCAGGCTTAAGCACCTGGGTAGACCATTTACTGAGATAAGGAATGCATGCTGGCTATTAGGAAGCGCAGTCTTGGGCATGTTTGAATAGGAAGTGGAGATGTTAAAATGGCAGTTGGCTACATGGGTCCCGATTTCAGAAGGTCTTGGCAGAGAGTGGAATTTGGAAGTTGTCACTTATGTAGTATTTGAAGCCACAGGAGTTTGCTGAGGTAGAGAATATAAATAGAGAGGAAAAGAAAGCCCGGGACTGAGCTCTTAAGAAAGCCAACAAATAGAAGCCCTGTTACAGGTCAGATAGGGAAGGAAGATCCAACAAAGGAAGGCAGAGGAAGCTGCCTAAAAAGGCGGAGGGAACCAGGAGGGTGTGTGTAAGAGTTTTTAAAGGAGGCATGATCAAGTGTGTCAAATGCTGCTGTTTTAATCCCTGGAGGAGCTACTTTTGTAAAGTGATGGATGTAAGTCAGGTTGGAGGAGGTCAGGTGTGAACGAGAGGCAAGAGTGTAAGCATGCTTTCAAGATGCTGCCCAGGAAGAGCAAGGGAGAAAGTGAAAACTTGAGGGTGTGAAACTTGAAGTTGGAAAATAATTGAGCAAGTTTATAATTGATGAAGAGCAAAAGAGAGGGAAGGGGAGAAGAAAGAAATAAGAATGAATACAAATGAGAGAATGAACAAGAGCATAAGAGATAGCAGGTACCTTGAAGGCAGTAGGAAGGGGACAGATGTACAAAGACATCCTTTATTAAGAGACACTTCCTCTATCATAATAGGAGGGCAATGAGGATTGGCGACTGCTGCAAGAAGCTTTACAGCTTTGGTCTGGGACATCTAGGGAGTTCCCAGATAATGGCTTTTAACTTTTTGGAGAAGTTGAAAGAAAGGTCATCTGTTCCAAGTGAGATGGGTAAAGGGAAAGTTAATTTTGAGGCCAGTGAAGGAGGTTTGGAATAATCACTGTAGACTGTGAAGAGAAAGTCAAGAAGAGAAACATGGTTATGCATTACCGAAATGCTCCAACTAGTAAAGGCAACAGCCAGGGGGAGAGAAATCAGGAAACTGCATGGCAAGTTATTCACTGGCTCTAAATGGTATCATTTTTATCAGAGGAAAAGACCATAAGATACAAAATTAGAACATTTAGCAGTTCTTTCTAAAGTCTTTCCTAAAGAAGTTCTTTTCTAAACTGAATATAATTTTAGTTTATAACAATTGCAGCCCAGCAATTCTACTCCTAGGTGAAATAAGAATTGGAAACAAGTACTCAAACAAATACATGTACACACATGTCCATAGCAACTCTATTCACAATAGCCAAGAGGCAGAAACTGCCCAAATGTCATCAACAGATGAATGGATAAACAAATTGTGGCATATCCATACAATGGAATATTATTCAGTCATAAAAATAAATTAAATACTCATACTACAATGTGGATGAAACTGAAAAACATTACAAGGAAAAGAAGTCAGATATAAAAGCTCACATATTGTATGAGTCCCCATTTACATGAAATATCCAGAACTGGTAAATTCAGAGACAGAGTGCAGATTGGTGGTTGCCAGGGATTGCGGGGAAGGGAGCATGACAGCAACTGCTTAATCGTTAATTTTATGTTATGTGAATTTCACTTCAGTAATTAAAAAAAAGGAACAGTTAGCAGAACAGACATTATGAAACTAATTTCTCAATAATCACATTTCTTATTTCCTACCCACCCCTGGCTGGCCCCTCTCACCACCATAATTCCATTAACCATTAATAATGATTTGATCTTTTAACAATTTGGTAACTACAATAACAACTACATTATATATTCCCCATCACACTGCACGCTAGATATCTATATTTTGCCTCTATTTGCCCTACTAGACCTCATCCTTATATTTCTAGCACCTTCCACAATGCTTACCATATATATAAGTTTTAATAAACATGTTTTACTTAAATTTGCATGGTATACTTAGAGCATATAACTGAGTTGCTATTTTCTAAGAAAACAGAATACAATGTCACATTTAAGAATAAATTAACAAAATAATTTTCTATGGGCAAGTGATTATCATGGGGGCAAAACCAACACCGTTTCACTTCATTGCGGGAATTTGGAGTTTGGAGTTATTTTTGAATTGCTGATGATGGTAGGAACGAAGACAAAATGTAATTATGTTGTTCTGAAGGGTAAAAGACTAAAAAGGAGGGGCTATGAGTAAAAAAGTAAAGAAGGCCATGAAAAAGTGGTAGATTTCTCCACTTAGAATTAATGCGAAATTCAAGCTGCATTAAAGAAGAGAAAGCACTGGCCAGGCACGATGGCTCACGCCTGTAATCCCAGCACTTTGGGAGGCTTAGGCAGGCGGATCACTTGAGGTCAGGAGTTCGAGACCAGCCTGGCCAATATGGTGAAACCCCTATTAAAAATACAAAGATCAGCCAGGCGTGGTGGGGCACGATTGTAATCCCAGCTGCTTGGGAGGCTGAGGTGGAGGTGGGGTGGGGATCGCTTGAACCCGGGAGGCAGAGGTTGTAGTGAGCCGCAATCACGACACTGCACTCCAGTCTGGGCAACAGAGTGAGACTCCATCTCAAAAAAAAAAAAAAAAAAAAAAAGAAAAAAGAGAAAGCACTAAAGTACTCTCATAGATGATAAAAAGTAGTAACTGAATATCACAAATTTTGGGTTATATTTCAAGGGTGCTAATTTGCCAATTATAAAATGGGTTCTTCTTCAAGGAATTTTAAAAAGTGGAATGCAAACAGGCCAGAAATAAAATGGTGGTTTGTTCTGTAAAAGCTGTGCTATCTGCACTGGGTAAGCAAACTTCCACCAGCACTTCCTGTCTGAAACAAAAGCAGAGCTCCACAGTGTGCACATAAATATCAACCCCAGACACTACAAAGAGCAAACAGCATTTTGATCAGGAATTTTGATATTAAGACTATTTTCTGATGAAAAAGGGAGCAACAACATCAAGTTAACTGAAAAACTATTCAAATTAGTGTTTGAAAAAAGTTAGGCTCTAGACCAAGTGGAAATATTGCCTTTGATTTCAACATAAAGTTTACTGCATTCTTATTAAGTATACAGAATTGGAAAAGGAGGGGAAGTGGCAGGTGGTATAGACCTCGGAATTCTAAACCACCATCCCTTGCCTGTAAGGAAGTCCCACAATCTAGAATGTAGCATTTACCTTCTCTTAGAAATTAAAGAGCAAAATTAAAGTAAAAACTAAAATGCTAACAGGACCGCCATTATTCCAGACTAATACACTGTAGGTTTCCTACGATAATCTGCAGCATGAGGTCAGGAAGACAATGTTTCAACACTCAGCTTTGGAAATTTACAGGAGCTTTGATAACTCTCTGGCTGGCTGCTGCTTCTGTTGCCATGGAAACAGACAGCTAAAAATGGGGCATGTTTCTTTAAACTCATCATACCTTCACACAAATTCCCTTCTCCTTTTTGTCAAAAGTTGGAATGAATTTAAAGTATGCTTCTTGTGATATGACAGTATGTTGTCAAGCCAGGGGCCTGGTACAGAATGGCAGAGATAACATTAGCCTGCGACAGATGTACATAAAGATATTAATCATCCACTTAATTGATCACCAACAATGCAGAGGTTAAAACAATACTTGATTTTTCAAACAATTCATTTTTAACCTGTGAGATCATGTTGGTTCTATCCTTAAAGTTCTAAATTCCTTATCTATACAGTTCCCAAAGAAGATAATGTTTATTTTTCTTATTTTGAGGGCAATAAAAAATTCTACACTCCATCATGGTTTAGAATTTCAGTGTGCAGCTATAGGTAGAGCTAGTGCTACAAGCTAAAGCTCTGCTTCTGAATCCCTCTATAATGGAAAAATGTACATTGTATAGAATGTTCTCATGTTTCTTAATACAAATGCGTAAGGTGGGCTCTCTGAATAAAAGAACAATTAACGAAACAGGAAACAGTGGAATATTGTTTACCTCCAATTTTTCCCAGAATAGTAAGCACATGCTACTCTGTTGAAGTCAGATGATCCAGACTCAGTATCTCGGTTTTCCTTTCCATTTTGTGGATTCAGGAATGGGGCTGATACAAACACACACTCAAATATATTTACATATACACATTTGTACATATACCTATGTATATATATACACACACATGTGCAATGTGCCTAGCAAAACATAAACTAAGAACTGCCATAACTTGTGTGTTATCCTAATATCATAGCAACTGTGTGAGATGATCCAGACGATGATGGACCAAGCAGCCATGCACAGCATAGAGGATTGCCACATTATCCCTTGCCACGCACAAAAGCCAATTGTTCTGGTATTAGAATGTCATGTTTCGTGACATGTTTCAATGTCAGTAGTATGTGGAGAAAAGTTCTGATGTTTGGATGTTTTCGGTGTTTAAACTCCAAGATAGTCAATCTACTTGCTCTACTGTTTAGATTCAAATAAACGAGAAAAAGGGCAACTCTAGCAGATGATCATGCATGCTAGAATGCAGACACTGGATACTTGCACCTCCTCAGAAATCATATTCAGTTGGGAAATTGCCAGCCTGTGTGCATTCACCTGCTTCAATAGCCTAGAAATTGGTTTTACTTTGCCCCACACTGGGAAGGATGGCCAAGTGCGTCAAACGGAGCTTTAATGTGGGCTCATTGTTTGTCAGACTCCATCCTGGGAGCTTTACGGCTATCACCACATCTAATCCTCATAACAACCCTACATGGCGGGTACCAATACTGAGTTTTACAAAGGAATTAAGCATTTATCCAAGATCACACAGCTAGTGAGAAGCAGAGCCAGAATTAAAAAGGAAAATTTAGTCTTTCCACAAGATAATTAAAAAAAAAAAAAAAAAAGAAAAGCATACAAAAAGAAATACTTCCTAATATGCTATGAAGTTTTGGCCACTGTACCAATTAACCTCATCAGTGCTTTTGCTCACACTATCTCTATTTTATAAGAAATCTTGTACCTTAAAATACCACTAGAAAAAGTTCTTACATCAATAAGAATTCACTGCTGTTATAGACTGAACTGTGTCCCTCTCAAATTCCTACATGGAAGCCCTAACCCCCAATGTGACTGCATTTGGAAAAAGGGCCTTTCGGAGGTAAAGTTAAATGAGGTCACGAGGTTGGGACCCTGATCTGACAGGGTTAGTGTCCTCATGAGAAGAGACACCTGAGGGCTCACCCTCCCTCTTTCTTTCTCTCCCTGTGCATGCACAGCAAGAAGGCTACAAGCCTGGAAGAGACCCACCACCATTAACTGGCCTCACCAGGCTTCCTAGCCTCCAGAACTGTGAGAAAAGTAACTTCTGTTGTTTAAGCCAGGTAGTCCACCGGTATTTTGTTATTGCAGTATAAGCAATACAAATACAACTGGGAAGACACAAAGAAATGTTAAGATCTTCTTTGCCATTCTGATGCCTGCTAAAAAACCCTGATAAAGCTATCTTTAGGAAACAACGGAAAACCCAATGTTTCAAACGTATCTATACTTTTTCCTGAAAGCTTTTAATAAATTAGAGTGGTGTTATGATAGTACAGATGCTCCTTCACTTAGGATGGGTTTAAGTCGAAAACTGTAAGTCAAAATGCATTTAATACTCTGATAAACCCATCATAAAGTCAAAAATCCTAAGTTGAACCACTGTAAGCAGGGACTATTATCACCTTAATGAGGTGAGACTGATATGATGAAATACTAATCAAGGCCTACCCTGACGCTGAATGTAGGCCTTAAAATGGTTTAAATGGTAATTTTGATGTGCCTTTTTCCTTTAGGTGATGGAATCAGGATAACCACAGCAGCCCCACGAACACTTTCCTGGTTATTCTATCCCAGGAAATAAACATCCTCCTGTGAAATAGTATTTACCAAGTGAGTAGCAGATGTCACAGGCCGGCAGGTGCAAGCACAGTGGTGAACAAAATAGACTTAGCGCCATCCTCATAGATCTTACAGTCTAGAGGGGGGAGGGATATTGAATAAAATAATAGTGATGATACATACAAAGACTAAAAGGATCTAAGTCAGTTTGAGGAGGGAGCAGTGGTACTGAAGGGCCTGTGTGAGAAGGCGACATCTGAAGTGAAACTGAAAGGGTGAGCTGCAGGTGCTCAGGCCAGGGGCTGGGGAGGGGAGGCATTCTAGAGAGAAGAGAGATGAGGGAGAGCAAGTCCAGCGGCTTCTGGAAACATAGGCAAGGCTTTTTACCCCACAGATTTTTGATTTTATCCCAAGTACAACGGAAATCAATTACAAGGTGTGAGCCAGTGACACAACGGAATAGGATTACATTTTAAGATGATCATTCTTTTTTTTTTTTTTTTTTTTTTTTTTTTTGAGACAGGGTCTCACTGTTGCCCAGGTTGGAGTGCAGTGACGCAATACAATGATCACTCCTGACATCAGTGGAGGGTGAAGGAATGAAAGGGGCCAGAATGTGTGTAGGGGGAGGGAAAACCAGCAAGGCTGCGCTCTTTCTGCTGGAGTAAAGATGCCCGTAAATATGTGATCTGAGTAAAGGGGACCTGGACAGGGCTGTTGGCCGTGATGATACAGTGCTGTGGACAGATGAAATATTTCTGAGGTAGAATTGGCAGCTTTGGCGGCAGGACTTGGTGACAGGTTCTGAGGAGGTCAAGGAAGGTGTCAAGAATTGCTCCCAACTAGGTTCCTGGCAGGAGCCACTGGGTGGACAGGGGTGCTGTTTATTGAGATGAGGAACCCTG
Organism: Homo sapiens; assembly: GCF_000001405.40. NCBI lineage: Eukaryota > Metazoa > Chordata > Mammalia > Primates > Hominidae > Homo > Homo sapiens. Next base: position 14,192,821 of record NC_000016.10, on the reverse strand, counting down.
GAAGAATGTTTGGTGGCAAGGAATAAAAGGCCCATTGGAAACATCAGGGAGGCAGATGGCAGCACAGGTCTGCAGCACAAGAGAGGCCCAGCCCCCAGTCTGTAATGCTTGCTTATTTGGACCAAAGCATACATAGCTTTTTTCTGTTATCTCGTGTATGTGGGTGTGTTTTAACTTCTACTATCATTTAGTTTCTCATTCTTTAGGCTATCAGCTCCCTGAATGTAGGGGCTTACAGAAGTTTAACATAACTGGCATTGTGCTATGTGAAAGCACTCAAACTTCTGCTAAATAAAATTATTTCTAATAAAAAAATTATATAACTTCATCTCAATAGTAGTATGCACCTTTTAAAAATACTGAATAATGTCTGTGAAGAGATATCTTTTACTTTTTCATTCCTATTGTATAAGAACCATATCTCGTATCTTTTCAAATTTACTTTTTGATACAGGGGTCTTGTTCTGTCGCCCAGGCTGGAGTGCAGTGGCATGATCACAGCTTACTGCAGCCTCAAACTCCTGGGTTCAAGGGATCCCTGCATCTCAGCTTCCTAAGTAGGTAAGCCTACAGGCTTATAAGCCAGCACACCTGGCTTATTTTTTTTTTTTTTGTAGAGACGGAGTCTTGCTATGTTGCCTAGGCTGGTCTTAAACTCCTGGGCTCAAGTGATCCTCCTGCCTCAGACTCCCAAAAGTGCTGGGATTATAGGTGTGAGCCACCGTGCCCCACTCCTTTAAAAAACATTAATTTAGTGGCAGCTCACTTGTACAACACTTTTAATTAGTAGAATGTCGGCAGAAAACAAAGAAGACATTCCAAAAGAAATCAAAATAGACGTTGCAAAATTCATGTGCTTTGTAATACCTTCTATATGTTTTAACCATTTATTTTAATTGTCTATTTTATTTTTAAAGTTAGAAGCAGCAATCAGAAAAGGAAGAGCAGCCTGAAGTGGCAGATGATAAAAATCAAACAATAAATAACAATTTGAGTAATCTAGTAATGACCCAGCAATCATTCTGTGCATGGACAACAATCTTACATACCTTAACAGTGCCTTCGGGGCACCATGGCATTACATTTGGGGTAAGCCATTAATTTATAATGGAATTATAAATTATATCTGAAGGTGATAATTCCAATTATTATATTCTGTTTAAGAAGGCAGAGAAGGGTATAATACTCTTTAAATACTTATGCATAATAATAATGTGTCTATGAGATGCAGGGTATTGGGGGATGAGGGGGACAAACAGGCCAGACAACAATTCTTTCTCCAAGAAATATTATGGGGCTAATAGCAAAGACAGTGCAGCTCTATATTACACTAGCATAAGGTGAAATGCCATAGAATGGTACAGATACAGTTACTGGGAATATACAGGAGAGAAGAAATTATCATTAGCTGATGGGATCAAGTGCCTTTCTTTAAAAAATGGCACAGGAATTGGGTTGTAAGAGACAGGGCCTGCAAGGCAGGAGCGAGAGGAGCAAAGCACTGAGTAGCGTTGTCCAGAGCTTTCTGTGAGGGCAGAAATGGAAACATTCATTGCAGCAGCCACTAGCCACATGTGGCTGCTGAGTAGTTGAAATGTGGCTAATGTGACTGAGGAGCTGAATTTTTAAAACAATTTATTTCATTTTAATTATTTTAAATTTAAGCAGCCATATGTGCGTAGTGGACAGTACAGGTAGAGTATGCATAACTTCCATCATTTAAAAAAGCTCTGGTGCTTTGGTAAAGTGATTTATTTAATCTCGATGTATTTCCAGGTTGGATTATTCATAATATTTCAGACAAATGTTCATTTTCTTCTCAAAGCTACTATAGACACATCCCAGTACAGTATGTTAATTTACTGCATTGCTGGCTGGGCCATCTACCATAAGCTTTCATGTACTTCATCTCGGCTATTAGCCAGTCTGTGGCAGAACTGGAAATGTGGCCCCCCAAGTCTGTAACTCCTCCCCACTCCGTTGACACTCCTGGTTGAGCCACACAATGACAGGAGCCCAGGTCCCCAGGTCACTTCTTGGAGGACAGCTGCCTGGGATAGTTGTCCTGCCCACACTGGACTGCGTTTTGAGCAAGAAATGCACTTTGAATGGTTAAAACACTGCGATTGAGGGTTGTCTGTTAGGGCAGTTTTAGTCAAAGTAATTAACACACAACTTGGTTTTCTTTCTGTAGTATCTTATTTTTCACCATTAGAGAGTCCTTTATATCAAATATCATTTTTTCCTCTTAAAATCCATTTGCTACCATTTGCCTGTGATAAATATGGAACATAACTAGCTAGTAGCATTAGAATTATGATTCATTTATCTCAATAATGACCCACATTAAAACACTTATCTGAATTAAATCATCTCAATTTATTTGATTTTTCCTGAAAATTCATAATTATCAACTCTTCAGTTGTCATGTCAGAGTGGTTTGTAATACTCTTCTTAGCTGTAGATCCAGAAATTGAAAGCTCATGTATGTTGAGTGTAATCAGAGAATGTTTGAAGCCGTTTGTAGACAAGTTAAAAGTTGAGATTTCCTGTTGCTGCTTTGACAAAAGAAACTAGTCTAAGGAGAATTTTCTATTTTGAATTTGTTCAGGGGAATTCATGACATTTATTGCTGTTCTCTCCTAGAGAAGAAAATAATTAAATTCTCCAACCACATATACTGGCTGGTGTCTATCAAAAAGCTTATATAAGCATCAACAAAGCTGTGAGATGATATGCTTTATTATCCACACAATTCTCTGCACTGTGATGACAACTCTTCACAGGTGGTCAGCAGTTAGAACTTTTTCCTCTTTTAAATTTTCAAAAGGTATTGCTAAATTTTCTTGTTAAGGCATCCCGTCAATTCTTGAATCCTACAGCGTTTGCTAATAAAGGCTGTTTTCCCCTCATAATAATTTCAGCCAACTAGCACTGTCAACAATTACAAGATTCTAAAACATCCCAATATAAGGAAGCAAGCAAGCAACTACTTGAGAAGCAGAGTAGCCTTCCAAGCCCTGAGAGTGGACACGTATCAGACATATAGAGCCCAAGCTTGTGTCTATGTGATTAAAAAGTTAAATGAACCCAAATTTATCCCTCCTTCATTACCCAGAAACTTATAATTCAGACATTTGAAAAAATTCTAAAGGTTGCTTTTTCAAACAACCCAAAAACAAGTTTTCCAAAAATGAGTAGAAAACCACTGTTGATATAAAATATGATAAATATTTTTAATAAGTGTCCTTTAAAACATGAAGTATAAACTATTAGGGATTATTAATAGTCATTTATATATTTGTCTCTTTTGACAAAACAGCACAAATCTAATTAGACTCCAGGGTATTTTAGAGTAAAACATTAACCAAAAGTATTTGAACAACTGCTGCCATCTCAATTAACTTCCATGGATTCATGTAAACGATGCAGGACCCAATATTTAAAAGCAGATAAAGTAACCAGGAGCTTGTCCCAAAGTTAAATTCTACAAATCTGATGAGCTAAACACTGTTGTTCATCTGCAGGCAGGATCAGTGACATACTGAATTTTGGGAGTTCAATTTTGCAAAGAGAACCGAGTTATTTTTATATGACTCCAAATTTTAAAAGTGCCTTTCTATAATTTTTATTTTTTCCATTCTAATTAAATCCAGATCTAATCCTTTCAATGTCACTAACTTTGAAGCAGCAAATCGTCCTTAATGTCTACATACATTATTTTAGCCTCAACCCTATCTATTAGATGAGTAGAATCTATTAAATGAGGAGAAATATTTAGTCTGTTGAGATATAAAGCAAAACCCAGTTCAGTGCAACTACAGTGAGACATTAATTTTATCATCCAGTTATTTCTGTGGAGTGTTTTAAATATAAAGTTTCTCTCCTCTACCTCTTTATATCAACGAATTTAACAAAACAATAAGATATATAACACTTCTATTTTGTAAACATATGCAGGATTTTAAAATTTAAATTTAAACAGAAGGAAAAAGAAATACGAAAAAAGCAAGAAGAGAGATGAGAAACTGGCATTAACAAGGCATCTTAATAAAATCACTATGAAGTAGGTATTGTTTCTCCTCATTGTACAAATGAGGAAGTTAAGGCTCAGAGGAGTAAGCTTGTCCAGGATCACAGACCCGGTAAATGGTGCATGTAGGATTTGAACTCAAGTATTTCTCACTCCAGGGTCTATGCTGTTTTGCCATTATACTATTACACCTGTATAAATCGAAAGCATAGTCAGAATTGTTAGGGAAAGAATCTGTACTTTATGTAACCATCACAACTCTATTTTGTGGTTCCTGTTGATGATTCTCTTACTCTGTTTTTATATTTTTAATCCTTGCTTTCTATGTGCCTTAATCCCATTGCTGTTGTGACATCTTTTTATTTCTCCTATTCTGTTTTCCTCTACTTTCCTAGTTTCTCAAGTACGCAAAAATGTTTTAAATTTATGGTATTATTAGGAGCTTGACACTTGAACTTGACTTAAATGATAGATAATTCTCAAACTTTTAAGAAATTAATGATTTAAGAAATTTAAGTTCCCTTCAATGAGTCTCCAGAAATGCATCCTAAAAATTCCACTGGTATCGATTTTTATAAAAACCGGCAGTAAGACATGCCGTGCACAAGCAGAGGCAACTCCATTGTTTGGTTCCTAGCAACAGCTATTTATACTTCATTGTGTGTCATTTATTTCGACCTAGGAGTTTTTCCTGCCCATACCCAAGAGTAGTTCAACTCCAGCAAGTCTAACTCTTGTTTCTTCTTCTTATCTTTTAGAAGAAGCTCAAAGCACTACTTAGACCAATTAACTCTACATTTACTCTCTGGGTCTCTATAAGACGGGCAAGAGCGAGCGGGAGGCAAGGGGGTGGCTGCTGGCAGCAGCTGAAAGCAGAGGCTGAAAAAGGGGGATTGTGGGTTTTTGCTTTCCAAAGATGACTAGGAAACCAATTTTCAAATTAAACAAGCATTGAGAAGAGTGACCCTCATGTCTCAAATTCAGGAAAACTTATTCTCTGTAGACCCTGAATTTCTTAAACACTGGCTACAGGAAGGCAAGCTGTGTACCAGTCTTGCCATGCTTCTGTATGCCAGGACAGAGGACAGCAATGTCCACATGTTTGGCTATTTCCTTAAATCAATCAGTGAGGTGCCTGTGCAGTGTTTACTAACAATAATAATCGACAGTATTTATTCTCAAGCTTATTCTTTGCTTTGTTACAAAACAAAATCAAGCTATGCAATGTGCTTTTTAAAACAAAAAACGATGCAATGCGCATTACAACCAATTAACCTATCACTGTAGGATTTAAAAGCTAGCTACCTTCCTGGTTTTAAACAGTAAAAATCATAAGCATCTTAACTGAAAAAATGAATTTTCCTGGAATTATGTGTTTGGAAACCTAAAAGAAGCAGTGTTCTCACTAACATAAAAAAGGAAATGGCCTCTCCGAAAAGACAGAGGGAAGAGAAAAAAAGGAAGAAAATATACAAAATGAACCTGGGAAGATTTTACCAAAATGAGGACTGGCTGTACAAGTCCCCTTACTGCATGAATTACTGCAAAAGCCCTACAGTTCCATCAGCTAATGAATCTTTAGTAACAGCTACCCAGAACAGCATTAAGCTTTCATTTCAAAGAACTTAGAATGTGTAAGGTACATGAGTGAACAGAGAGAGCAGACACATAGCATGGTAACAGACAGACACGCTCAGCTGGCTGACCAGAATATGAATTTGGCAGTTTTGCCCCTGTCCACAGACAGACTGACCTTCCTTGAGACTTTTCTGGTTGCTCCCCTCAAGGCATTCCTTTTCTTTTAATGGTTCAAAATCCCCAGCAGTTAAAATCTCTGGGAAGCCCTGTTGCTGCTTCTTGGAGCTATCGATCATGGTGAGAGGCTTCTGAAGACAGGCAGCATCAAGCAGGAGAAAAGCTTAATTTGCAGAAGAGCGAAGTGCGGTGCGCAGAACACTCTGGTCCCTGGGTCCCTGGTTGCTCCCCACAATACCCCAATCACTGGCCAATTATGTCTTTAAGCAGCTGAAGGCAGCCATTACCCTTTAGTTCCCAGCTTGACCTGCAAATACACTCATGCCGCTGGAAGCCCTTAACTCTCTCCCACATCGGGAGGCAGAGCCACACAGGCACGATTCTAAAATCCCACCCCTTTTCCCAGCCAGCCCCCTTTCCCTTGCCATTCCAGCTTCCCCCGCGCTGGGGACTTCAGTCTGCAGTTTGATGGTCCGAATCATCTGACAAACACTGAGTCAAGCAGTTAAAAATAAATCTTCTAGTTGTTAAAAGAGAAGACTTTGCTGATACCTAAGAAGACAAATTGCTGCCTGTGGTCTCTCTCCCGCTCTCTATAAACACAGCCACAGGCTATGGAAATACTTTATATTGACCAGACAAGCACATCAATTACTCATTAAGTTCTCCAGCTACACAAACGGCAGTCTAGGGCATCTGAAGGAAGCGGCTCTTATCTCAGCAGAGGCACACACTGAATAAACATGCTACCAGCATATGTGAATGAAGACAGAGTCATTTCACCACCAAAGTTCTTTTGTGGTGTGCTTTGTGTTGCATGTGCCTCTTCCTGGCAAAGCTGATGCTCTTTGTAATAGGGAAATGTACTGCAATTGCAGCTTTCTTCCTTTGGCAATTCAGACCCAAGCAGCAGTTTTTCTTAGTGCCACTAGTTGGCTGGGAGAGTTAACATTGCCATGATTTTTTTTAAGGAAAATTCTCCCCCCATGCATTAAAAGCGGCAACACTGACAGCTTCTATTTCATAACAGAGTAAACCAATGACCAGCCTAAGTTTAATTTTACATGAGCTATCAAGGATGGGCACCTCTCCTGCAAGTCACAGGCTGCTGTTCACTGCATATAGGGACACTGCTGGAAGGAAATCTCTAGATACAGGAATTCCAGGCAAATGTGGAGATAAGCCAGTCTCCAAATACTCCAGATATATACCTCTGTAGCCAAAATAATCTGATTTTTAAAAATGGTTCAAAGTGTGTTCCTTTGCAAAGAGTTCCCATAAAACCCATCAGAGGTTATAAGAGCAGTAGACTGTGAATACTGTTTCATGAGGTTCTGTTTTGTCCTTTTTTTTTTTTCAAAATAACTTCTAGCAGAGTGCTTGGAATATTAGGTGTTCTCAATAAACATCTGTAGCATGGTTGAGTGAATGAATTAAAGCAGAAGACAGTGCATCAGGAAAACTTCCTTTAATAATACCCAGAATTCTAAAGAAGTCCTGGGTCAATAACTAAGAGCCACTAATTTTAGATGAGCAACTAAATAAGTTCTCTAAAGGAAGCACATTTTCTCTTCAAAAGAAAATATACAGACACATTTTAATCATGCACCTGATGAGACCCTCCTCTGGGATAAAGGCTTACATTTTTACAGACAGAAAAATCAATATTCTTTCCACCACTTAAACACAGGTGGGTCTGGATGAAGTATTCTGTCCTTTGTGCCTGGTTCCAAGGCTGGTGTGCACTAAACCCATATTGTTCTAGAAAGATTGCTATCTATCCTTTTTCAGCATCTCACAGGACATGCTTCTTGTCAACTGAAATTCCTTCTGAAGCAATTTAAGTCCATCCTCGGCAGTCCAAACCTCTGCAGGAACAAATAGTGACAAGCTTATCACACTCTCAAAAATGCCCTCAAACGTTCTGTTACTATCTCTGACCCTAACGCCTACATTCTTCTGAAGAAACTACTCATGCACTTTTAAAGGAGTAATAAAAATAACCATAGCTCTTTGAGGACATTCTTTAGGTTGGTCACTTAATTAGCTGTTTTGCAAGGTTTATCTAATTTAACCCTCCACAATTGGCGTGGTCGCTATGATTGTGTATGCTATAGACATTTTACACGCCAAGACTCAAGTCACAAAGCTTCTAAGTAGCAGGTATGGAATTTAACCAAAGTCTTAGTTCTCTAAAGCCCAAGTCTGTCTATGGCCTTGCCCTGCCTTCTGTCTTCTAGAATATGCTCCAGCTCCAGGCTTTAATTTCATCCTGAGACAGGCTTAATAGCAGAAGCCATGACTTTGATGGCCCCCTGGTAATTCTACTCCTGGTGAGAGGAAAGAAAGCTAACATAATCATACTAAAATGATTTTATGAAAGCATTTTAACTACTCATGAAATAATAATAGCAGCCAACTTTATTTAGTGATTACTGTATGCTATCCTACTGCAAGACTTGTGAGTTCAACATTATTTTCCTGATCTACACATGGGAAAATGGAGGCTTAAAAAAATCAGTGGTGGGTCACGCCTATAATCCCAGCACTTTGGTAGGCCGAGGTGGGCGAATGACTTGAGGTCAGGAGTTTGAGACCAGCCTGGCCAACATGGCAAACCCCATCTCTACTAAAGATACAAAAATTAGCTGGGCATGGTAGCACATACCTATAATCCCAGCTGCTCGGGAGGCTGAGGCAAGACAATCGCTTGAACCCGGGAGGCAGAGGTTACAGTGAGCTGAGATTGTGCCACTGCACTCCAGCCTGGGCCACAGAGTGAGACTCCATCTCAAAAAAAAAAAAAAAAAATCAAATACTTTGTCAGAGGTGGCATATCTCATAAGTGGTGGCCAGGATTCCAAAGCACGCAGCTTGGCTCCGGGGCCTACATGCTTAATTACTTTGCAAAAAGAACAACGAAAACAATAAATGCCAACTTTTTTTTTTTTTTTTTTTTTTAAATTTCAGGATGTTGCTTTTAAATCCTGAAAAATGCCCAACTGTTTTTAGGTCACAATCCTATAAATCTCAGTAGATGCACAACTACACCAGCCACTTTAAAATTCTTTACCATATCTGTGTGTGTATGTATCTTCAGTGTGTGTTAAATGTGTTTTTAAAAAGCTATCTCTTAAGAAACCTCTGCATGCTTATTTTTGTATCTAATAGATCTCAAAATCCCAATAAGAAAACACATTATTCTGCTGTAGGTTTATATCAAAAGTTGTGTCTTTGTAGTTCTCAAAGAAAGTAATTTCTCTAGTGGTGAATGTGCCTGAAAGAACATTTATTAAAAAAATTTTTTGAAATAATTTCAAATTTACAGAGCATTTCCCCCAGAATCATCTCTGAATAGGTTCTAACATGATACTTCTTTACCCTAAGTGTTCAGGTGTGTAATTCCTACAAACAAGGATATTCTCCTACAGAACCAAAATATAATAATCAATATCAAGATGATATTGATGACTGCTTAGTCGGTATAGATATATCAAATTAACATTGATAAGAAAAAAAACAAACACATAAAAAGAGGAAACAAGTTAACATTGATATATCTGCATTCAAGTTCCACCAATTGTCCCAACAATATCCTGTATAGTAAAAGGATCCAAACCAGGATCACATATGACATTGAGTTCTTGAATTATTAAGTCTCTTTAGTTTTTGTCCATCTCTAACATTCTCTCAGTCTTTCTTCACTTATCTTTCCTTGAATTTTGATGATTACAGGCCAGTTATTTTATAGTATTATCCTCAATTTGAGTCTGTCTGTTCTGTCCTTAGGATTAGGTTCTGGTGATACATTTTCAACAGGAATACCCCAGAAATAATGATGCAATCTTTGCATCCTATCAGGTAATACACAAATTCAAGTATATTAATTGTCTCAAAACTGATGATGTATATTTTGACACCTTGGTACTGGCCAGATTTCTCCATGGCGAAATTATTCTTTTTGTATATAATTATTCTGTGGGAAGGTGCTTTGAGAACAATCCATTGGTGTGTTTGGCTAAATTATTTATCACTATGATGGCTGCCAAATGGTGAATTTGAAAACTCCATCATTCCTTCTACATTTATTAGTGGCACATCCTACTATAAGAAAAAAAAATTCTCTTTACATGGTTTATGTTACCTACTTACAGTCTCCTATTTCATGCAATAGCTTATAATCTGTGACTTTCATTATTTATTTTAATGCCCAAATTGTCCCAGATTTGGCTAGTGTGAACTCCCAGTTTCTTATTGTCATGATTCTATCATTCTTTGAGCAGTTTATTACCTTCTTACTTCCCGGCACAAGATGTCCCAGACTCATGTTGTACTTTTTCCCTGCTTTGTTTAGAACCCAAGGTCTGAATGCTAGGTATGCTCACTGCTGCAAGGGTGTCACTGTTCCCAGGCCTTCTCTGCAGACAGAGCTGAGGAACATGTCTGAGTTTATATGTGTGTGGATGTATACACACACATCTACATAACATTTATATCTCTATATATGAATGGATGTAAATATACATCTATATTTAAGTACGTATGTCTGTATTTATTTATATGTATTGAAAACCATGAGTTCATCCCAATGCCTCCAATTCCATTCCAGTGCCACAGGTTCGCTCTCATTTTTTTCTGTATTTGTGGCCCCTTCTCCTACAGGGAGAAACCTGTCTCCCATAGCTTCTGCCACTCCACTCATGGACACCCTGTATACATCACCACTGCCACTGCTGTGGCTAAAACTGTGCAGAAGCCTCTTCACTCTACACTGGCCTGCCTCCCCCTCTCCCACGGGGCAGCTGCCTAGCTCAGCTCCACACAATGCCTTTTGGAATGAATTAGGGAGAGATGGAGGAGACCTGCAGTATCCCTCAGTAGGAGAAACCCCCACCACTGTCACCTGAATTGCTTTCCAGTAGGTTTGCCCTTGTTCCTCTACTATATGTGGTACATCATCTTCACTGTCATTTGGCTCTAATGTCACGAGTAACATTTAACTTCAAATAATATGTGATGAAAGTCACTTCTGCTATGATAAATCTGCTTCCATGGTGTTTGTGTGTATGCACACTGAAAAGAGCTCTTTTAGTATGAAAGAGATGACCATAAATCAAGTCCATTTTCCCACCACCCCAGGCAGATATTTAATAAGTGTGAGAAAAACTGTATGGCTTAGAGACTAGGAACAATCCAAGAAAGTCTTCAGGGAATCAGAATACAAACAAATGCAGCTCAAGGGACTTACACAAAAACTTGGCAGAGTTAATATATGCTTATAAAACTACTGATAAAAAGAATATTGCTGTGATGATACTATACTTCACTATGAAAAAAACCTCGTAATATTTCCAACTGGGCAATGTTTCACAATGTAAAAACATTCAAGAGTAATGAATAAAATAATTAGTAACAAATGCAAAGAGATGGGTAAATATTGAGGCATACTTTTCTGGTAGCATTCTTGACATAAAGATTGAGTAAAGATGACCTTTTCTCTTCATCTTCTATGTCTCAGTACTTGCTAATAGATCCTCAGTAGCTATTCACTCAAGTGAATAATAGTAAGCTTTGCAACTTCCTTCACACAGGCTGAGTCAGAGTATTACAAAATCTACACAGATAATGAGATTGGATGTATTTAGGAAGGAAAATTTCAGTCTAGGGTACACGTAAATTTTTTTCCTAATGCTACCATATTTTTAGTAAAATACATATTTGATCCATATTTTTCTCGCTTTTAACATTATAAACACCACCGTAAAATACTATACCTTTAGACTGTTACTAAATGGTTATGGTAAATCCCAACGGTTAATTAAAAAAAAATTTTTTTTTATTTAAACAAAGAACACTTAAAGAGTGCTATCTCTTAAATCAGATAGCATGTCTTTAAAGTTCTTTATGGTTATCACTTTTAAAATATATATTGAAAAAGTCCTTCACTTTATCACTTTAAAAATATATACTGAACATACAGTACTTCAGATGTAAACAGATTAACAAATTAGCCCCTATGAAAACCGCTGTTTCATAAGGAAGGATACATTTTTCTGACCTTTCTAGGGTAATAAGATTTTGAAGGAAATCATCCATGTTTCACAGTTAAGCACTGCAGCAGAATTGAACACCACAACAGGGCCAAACAGTCTGATCACTGGTTTGTCATCTGTGCTTGTTGTCCCCCACCCTGGAACAGACCGGCACACCAGCACATTCAGCACCTCCCTCCCCTCCAGGTTTGCTTCACCCTCTCTGAGGACATGAAAGGCAAAGAAGGCTTTTCAGGGTTGGAATTTCCCCATGCATGGTCCCATGACAGGCCTGTGCTCGGACTGAGGGAGAGTGCTGTGTGGGACAAGGGAATGGCAGCACAGGCAGAGGACAGCTTGCGTGGCTCCTCCTCAGGCAGCCATTCACATGACAGCGGCAGCCTGCAACACAAGTGTTCTGACTACACTTGTGTAAGAGACTGGGGCCATTTGTCTCTTCCTGCTCCAATCATTAGCATGAGTAATCAAGAAATGACAGAACACACTTTCATCAACTTAGAAAAAGTCATTCAAGTCCTGTCTCCATTTCTAAGCTTTATAGTTACTTATATAAATACAACTGACTACAAGATTTACAACAAAGAACTTTCCTCAGATGATATGATCAGTCTTCCTCAAATTCTGAGATAACTTCCCTAGCTATGGATATTTGAAAGACTTTTAATGTCATTTCATCACCTTATTGATACAAATATGTCTAGACATCATTAATGTAACTCACTGAAGGCCAATGTGCATTTACTAAGATCATTCTATGCACTGGGGACATGTTAGGTGTGTGTGTGACACAATCTCTGTCTCTTAAGGAATATGGTCTAGAGCTTTTAACTATTTCTGACTGCCACTTTCTCCTCTTTTCCATTCTTTTACTCTTATTAGAATGTTCTTTATACCGGTGCTTCTGTAATTATCTGTGGTTAAGAGAAATATTTTAAAACTTCCAATCGCTGTAGACCAATATGTGGTCCCACCATGCACTGCTAGTAGGGTCACATTAGTTTGGCAATAACCAGACTAATCTGCACTCTGTTCAACAAGAGGAGTCCACTAATCATGCACTTGAGCGTCTCACCGGTGTCGTGCTGCCGTTAAAGTTTCTAAACACTCCTGATTTCTCAAGTTACCTCACAGGAGAATGGTAAGGAAAAGCCTGTAGGATGGTACAGCATATGGACCACGCTGACTAGCACTGCTTTCTATTCATCGACTTCAGTCTAGTCCTCTGACCACTCCCCAGACTACTAGTTCATGCCTTACCTGCATTCTCTTCCTTAGTTATCGTTAAGTCTAGGATAAACTATTTCAACCACTAAAGAATTTCAATGTCTTGATATTCTGCCATTGCCCCTTGCTTATCCCCTGCCCACAAATGACTAATTTTAGTCAAGCAGTCAATCACAGAGTCTCAGGATTTGGTAGAACAAGCACTAGGACATAAATTTCCCGAGTCCGAAGATGTATTCTTGGGTGTTCATGAACTCCTTACGGAAATGTATGCAATTTGTTTTCATTTTGTTAACCTGGAAAAAAAAATCTCCTTGATCACCTGGATGAGTATTTTATAAAGTGTTGCCACACAGTAACAAAGCCAGACACTGTGAGAATATGTTTAAGCCTAGAGAAGGCAAAATGATAGCCAGACTGTAATAGTTTCAACAGAGAAAAGGAATGGGATCTATGAGTCATGATGGCATAAACCAGTGCTAGAGCAGTGAGGACCACTGTCAGGTGTCAAGCAGCAATCACATTTATGTAAAAATGCATCATGTCACAGTAAGTTAATATTTATTTTAATTTCATTAGCATTGTGGATTTCTATAATTAATATGCAAAGTGTTTCAGTTTTGTCATATAAGTGCTACTAAGTACAAGGAGTTTACACTTCATTTATAATTGTACATAATCCAACAATGTCATATTAACAAAAATTAAGTCATCTGGCTGGTGTGGTGGCTCATGCCTGTAATTCCCGCACTTTGGGAGGCTAAGGTGGGTGGATTTCTTGAATTCGGGAGTTCAAGGCCAGCCTGGGCAACATGGTGAAACCCCATCTCTACAAAAGAATTAGACAAGTGTGGTGGCGTGCACCTCTGGTCCCAGCTACTTGGGAGGCTGAGGTGGGAGGATAGCTTGAGCCCAGGAGGACGAGGCTGCAGTGAGCTGAAATGGGGCCACTGTATCCTAGCCTTGTCGACGAAGTGAGAACTTGTCTCAGGGAAAAAAAAACAAACAAAAAAAACCTCCCCTGCCCCCCATACACTGAAAAGCCCAACTAAGTCATCTACAAACTGTTTTTAAAAGGTCTGTATATTACTCAAGTTTGTGAAACACTAGTCCACCATATAACTCAAATGGAGAGAGGAGATCCTACTTCTTGGCTTACACAACGCTCTCTTAAAGTGGGAATTAAGCATTTGCCTTTGTTTACCTAATCTGACTGAGTGTCCTATTTTACTATCTTGGGAGTTACGGCAAAGGTAGAGAATAACAAAAGCAAAGCTTGAGAAGTTAAGGAGCCAAGATGACTACCAAATCCAGTATGAAGTCATGCCATGCCCTCATATAAACTCTAAAATGTTTCCTTCATCTCTTACTGACTTTGAATCTCCTGCACCTCTGTTCCACAAAGCATTTTCATTTTCCTCAAGATTACACTACCCTACTATCCTCATAGCTTTCTCAGCAAGTAACTTGGGCCCCTAGATTCGCTACCAATATTGAGATCTTCAGACATAAATGCTACAGAACCTTCCCACTCCCATCCTTCCATCTTTGAGGAAGAAGTAAATTTTTTTCTTGCCATAGGGAATCCAGACAATTTGTTTAGGTCTGTAATCCCTCCTGCCTACTTACAAAACTGTGATCAGTGTATTACACCTCTCCACTAGGATCCTTTGTGCATACCAAGATATTTTCATTTTCCCTCACACTCCTCTTTTCTAATCTCCTAAGATTTGGACTTTCCATTTCTGCACCATCTCTCCTAATAATTTCAAACTGTGTACTGGCATCAATTATTAACTCTAAACACCCACCAATGCGTGCACACACACACACACACACACACACACACACACCCTACCTCTGGTTCATGTACTTCTCGCTTTCTAAATAATAGTTTCTAAATGAGTTTTCTTTTCATTCTTTTTCTTTTTTTCAAGACAGAGACTTGTTCTGTTGTCCAGGCTGGAGTACAGTGGTGCAATTATTACTCGCTGCAGCCTCGACCTCCTGGGCTGAAGCAATCTTCCCTCTTCAGCCTCCCCAGTAGCTGGGTCTACAGGCTCATGCCACCATGCCCAGTTAATTTTGTTTTTTAGTAGAGATGAGGTCTTGCTATGTTGCTCAGGCTGGTCTCGAACTCCTGGGCTGAAGCAATCCTCCTGCTGTGGCCTCCCAAAGTGCCTAAATGAGTTTTCTTTCTGGAGTTCAGATATCCTTGATTTTAAGATTATATGCTATACTTAAGACTAAATCATCTAAGTTTAAGACACACTTTTGCTAGGTGAAAAAACAAAGATTAAAAAACAAACAAACAAAACCCAAAACACTCAACAGGGAGTAATGGGTTAGCCTAGACCTCAGGTTGGTCCAGCTCTGGACAATGCACTTAAAAACCATGCCATGCTATTTTATTCATCTCTGCAGTCCCAATGCCTTGGATACTATGCCTGCTTAATTAATGCTGCCTCTATGAATAAACAAATGCCACTCAACTGACCAAACCTCTTCCATGCCTCTCCTCTATCTCCTTAAGTCAGTCCACCTTTGTTAGCCTGGCATTCAAAGCCATCAGTGCTTTGTCTCCCACCTTCCTGACCGGCGTTATTAACTCCCTACATGTTCCCTATGCTTCAGCTAATTCGAACTACTTGGTATTCACTAATACACTCTGTGTTGTCCTTGTTTTTGTACAAGTTTTTTCTTCCTGGATTTCCCTATTCCCTATCTCTGCCCACGGAAACTGTACTTAAACAATCTTCAAGAACTAGTTCCAGTATCAGTCTCTTTCAGAAGCCTTCCAGATGTCTCTCTCCACCCCTGAAAGTCAGGTCTGTTCCTCTGCACACTCTGAACACTCATGATACCTGTCATCAAAGGACTCAGCACACCATGTGATGACAATAATGAAGATGATGATGATGCTAGTTGTTACTGTTTATATGCCACTCACATTTTACAGCACTGTATTTATGCATGGTGTTAAGTGTTTTACATGTATTAACTCAGTTTATTCCACTCAATAGCTCTCTCTACTACTATCTCCATTTTACAGTGAGGCAATGAGAGGTTAAGTCACTTGTCCAGCTACACAGCTTTTAAGAAGCAGAACAGCAGATTTTTTAACTTAGTATGATTTCAGTCTAGCTTTGTTCAATGGGTTCTGTGAGGAAATTAAGCCCTAATACTCAAAGGCATTCACTGTATATAATAAATTCACTTCTCTCCTAAGAATCTAAAATGGTATTTGCTATGTCATTCTTGGGAGAACTGAGAAAACAGTCACAGAAATCACATTTGTAGGGTTTAATTCTCTGGGCTGAGAAAGGCTGGATGTGTCTAACCTTTTATACTTTCTCTCAACATCAACACTTGTCTGTATACTTTTCATATTTCCGAAACCCCTTACCCCATCTTCGTAAATTTTATAATCTTTGCGAGCTGGAACTGTATCTCATTTATCTTATTCCTATAAGATCTATTCCAGTGTTTCAGCAATTTTTACATGGTCAAGCTTCTCTTTAATTAAATAAATTCTTGTATTTAGCAGTCCAGGCTAGTTGATAAGCATCTTCCTTATAATCAATCAACTGACAACAAAAACTACTTGTTATATATTTTTGGTTGTATCTAAAAGACACCTCAAAATCAATTTTGCTGAGATATAATTTAAAGATGATAAGGTGCATCCATTTAAAGTATATAGTGAGTTTTGATGAGGCATGCACCTATGAAACCACAGTCACATTTAAGATATAGGATAATTTCATCATTCCTAAAAGATTTATCCTGCCCCTTTGCAGTTTCCAGATAATCACTGATCTGCTTTCTATCACCATCAATTAGTTTATCTTTTCTAGAATTTCAAGTGAATGGAATCATACAGTATGTGGTCTTTTGAGTCTAAATTCTTTCCCTTAGCATAGTGACTCTGAGATTCATGCACATTGTTGCACCTCATCGGTGGTTGGTTCCTTTCTATTACTGAGTAATCCGCTGTATGGATATACCATATTTTGTTTATCCATTCATCTGTTTGATGAACATCTGGGTAGTTTTCAACTTTGAGCTACTATGAATAAGTCTGTTATGAACATTTGTCTATTAATCTTTGTGTAGATATTTATACTCATTTCTTTTGTGTAAAGACTTGGCCATGTAGAAAGTGTATGCTTAGTTTTTAAAGGAACAGTGGTTTCTTCAATATAAATGTATTGGCAGTCTTATTTGTAATAGCCAAAAACTGCAATCATCTGCCCATAATGAATGAATAAATGAGTAAATGCATATAGGAGAATGCTACTCAGAAATAAAAATGAATTACATAAACAACATGGATGAATCTCAAAATTATGCTGAATGAAGCAGACAAAAAGAACACATACCATGTATGATTCCATTTATACATGAGTAGTTGCCTAGAGACTGAGATGGAAAGAGGAATGGATTATAAACAGGCGTGAGGAAATTTCTAAGGGTGTTGAAAATGTTTGTTGTCTTGATTGTGGTGATGGTTTCACAGTTGCATACATATGCCAAAATTCTTCAACTTGAATCCTTTAAATATGTGTGGTTAATTGTATGTCAATTATAGTTCAATAAATATGTTTTTTTTTAAACCCACAAGGTTACTCGTGGGAACAGAGAAATTCCTTTACGTAACACAATAACCCTGAAACAGTCTTTACTATTACAAAACTTTAATGCAAGAGAAATTTACCTAATTTCTAATTAGGCATCTAATTTTATTTACCTGGGCATCTAAACCATGAAAATGATTGAGCAGCAGAACTGCTCAAAAGGATCTTAAAAAAGAAATAAAGAAAACCAAAACAACAAAACCTATTCATCCATTCAAATAAATCCCACCTGTAATAACTGAAGAATGATTTCTACAGTGCACACTGATGGTGTAACGCAATGAGCTGTGACTGACAAGCCTATACCATTTTGGTTAACTGATGTGTATTACAGATCAGGATGGCAAACGGGTGGTGATCCCGAAAACAGAAAATGTAAAATTCAAATTAAAAAAAATTGTATGTGACAAAGGAAGACATTTTTTTCTGGGGGGTGGGGAGCAAAGTTTCACTCTGTGGCCCAGGATGGAGTGTGGTCGTGTGATTTTGGCTCACCACAACCTCTGCCTCCCGGGCTCAAGTGATTCTCTTGCCTCAGCCTCCCGAGTAGCTGGGATTACAGGTGTGCGCCACCATGCCCTGCTCATTTTTGTATTTTTAGTAGAGGCGGGGTTTCACCATGTTGGCCAGGCTAGTCTCAAACTCTTCACCTCAAGTGATCCGCCTACCTCAGCCTCCCAAAGTGCTGGGATTACAAGCGTAAGCCAACGTGCCTGGCCAGGGCGACATTTTTTAATGCTAAAAGCTATATAATCAAAATGAAGCTGTAACAGTATGACCATGCACAAAACAACACACAGCAACCACTGTTACAAAACAAAAAGGACAACAGATACAATGTGACATAGACACAATTAATAGGAGGCTTTAATCTGCCACTCTTAGTACAAGACAGATGATGTAGATAAAAAATAAGGATATATAAGGCCAAAATAGCACAATCAATAAAGAGATCTTATTGATACATGTTGAACTAATCATTGCACTGATGATAGTGAATACATCTTCTCAAATATACATAGAATCCTCAAAAAAAATTATACATTAAGTCACAGGGAAAACAAGTTCCATAAAGTAAAAAAATTACAAACAACTCTGATCTCAATGTAAAACCAATATAATAAAAAACTAAAAAGGATTGTGTACCTTGAAATTAATTACATCTTCTATTAACTCATAAAAAAGGAAAAATACAAAGTAAAATAGAAAAATTTCTAAAAAAAATAGTTGTTTTGTATATCAGGACCTATGCCATGCATTTAAGCAGTGATCAGAGAAAAATTCAAATCCGTAAACCATTACATCAATAAAAATGGAAGAATGAAAATAAAGTATATGACAAAGAGGAAAAAGATTAAAAAACAAAGAACAGAGCCTCAGTGACCCATGTGATGATATCAAAAGTTCTATTTTACATGCAAGTGGAGTCCCAGAAGGATGGCAGAGAGAGAATGAGGCACAAGACATATTTCCAAAAATAATGCCTGAAAATTCCATGAATCTGAATTTGAAAAACACTTTGAATCTGAAAAACATAAATTTACAGATTCAAGAAACCTGGCAAACTTCAAGTAGGGCAAATTCAAACACATACAGAATTCAATAGCCTTCAGATACACAAATAATAAGCAGTTAGAGATTATAATAGTGGAGAAAACTCCATTAATTATAGCAAATAAAGATGATAAAAACTCTTAGGAAGAAACTAAACAGGAAATGTGTAAAACTCCTAAAAAATACTGAAATAGGGTAGGGCAAATAGAAAGACAGTCCTTGGTCTTGGATAGGATAACACATCATAAAGATGTCAGTTTCTCTAAGTTAATTTACAAATTTAGTGCAATCCCAGTAAAAACACCAACAAGCGTTTTAATGGAGCTAAGGCAAGTTGATACTCAAGTTCATATGGAAAAAATGAAAACATCCAAGGCAAGCCGGAAAAACACAGAAAAAGAAAAGCAATGTGGAGGGAGAGGCCTAACCAGAAAAAACAAAAAACAAAAAAACTCCAAGAGGATCAGAGATCTGGGATCTAAATGTAACAAAAGAAAACAAATCAAACCATATGAGTATGCTGAATAAATATTGATGGGATTTTTATGACCTGGACATAGGGAAAAGTTTTCACACTGTGACCCAAAATCTAGATGCAATAAAAACAGGACTGATAAATTTTGGCCACATTAAAGGAAAAACCCAAAAACATACTGAAGAGGAAAGGCTAATCACCCCAATATGTAAATAACTCTAAAAATTGAAAAGTTCAAAAACCTGACAGAGAAATAAACAGATAATTCATTCTTTCCCTCCTCCAAAAGATTCTGAAATGGTCCTTAAACATATTGAAAAGAGGTTCACCCTTACCCATAATTAGAGAAACTGAATCAAAATTACACCAAACATTAGATGGTAAAAATGTCTGACAACACTTTCTGTTTATTCCTCCAGGCTGTGGAGGAATAAACATTCTCTTACAGTGCTAGTTGGAATGCGAAGTGATGCAACCCTCTGGGAAAGCAATGTCTAACAAAACTACACATGCATTTTTCTTTTGACCCAGCAACCCTCTCTCTAGGAATTTACCTGACAGATAAATCTCTGACATCATTAAAAAAATGCCAAAAGTTATTTACTGCAGCAGTTTGTAACAGGAAAATCTTAGAAACAACTAAAATGTTCACACATAGGAGACTGGCTGAATAAAACTATGGTACAACCATACAATGGAATACTATATAGCTGTTAAAAACAAGGAAGATCTCTACAAACTGGTATGAAGTGTTTTTCACAATACAGTGAGTGAAAAAAGCAAATTGCAAAATAGTGTCAATATGTTATTTCGTGTGTGAGAAAGAAGAGGAAATAAAATATAGCTGCTTGTTTGTGGGGGGGAGGCGGGGAAGGAAGGACAAATTAGAAATCAATGAGATTTATTACCTTCATTGGGTGGGGACACAGGGTAGAAAGGATGAAGGGATGGGAATGGGATAGGAGAGAAAGGTGAGGAGTGACACTTCTCTACTGACATCTTTTTGTATATTTTTGACTTTCAGAACCTTATTAATATTTCAGTACTCAGAAATGAATAAAATTAGCTAGGATAGAAGACAACCCAAATTTGAACATAAAATAAATGAATGCAACTGCATTTCAAATAACATGGACATGCTGAAGGAAGGACAGAATCAACCTTAACAACTTTTGAATACAGATTTTGACTATATACCTGTAGGCTAAAACCAAAAAGGATATGAACAAATACTGAACTCCAGTTTGTAGGTATTTTTTAAACAGATGTGCTGAGATATAATTTACAAACCATAAAGTTCACATGTTTAAATGTAACACATTTATTTTCACAGTGGAATAGGTTAGCAATTCTAAAACTACTTTATGTGTATTCTAGAATTAAACACATAAAATATATTGTGGATAATGGGAGCCAGGTTCTAGGTTCTCACTGTCAGAGAGTGGAGTTACAAATACATAAAGGGGAAAGGCTAAAGGAACCCAGTGATGTGGGAATGAAAATGGAGTTATCATTAAGGATATCTGGTTTTTAATATATACAGTGATAGTGCCAGAAACAGAGATGTGTGTAAATGTATTTTTTTTTTTTTCGAGACAGAGTCTCACTCTGTCGCCCAGGCTGGAATGAAGTGGCACAATCTCAGCTCACTCACTGCAACCTCTGTCTCCCACGTTCAAGAGAGTCTTCTGCCTCAGCATCCCGAGTAGCTGGGATTACAGGTGTCCGCCACCACACCTGGCTGCCTTGGCCTCCCAAAGTGCTGGGATTACAGGCGTGAGCACCATGCCCAGACTATGTATATTTTCTATTTCTGTCTACTAAGAGGATCTAGAAACAATGAACACATGTAGTTCCCAGGTCTTAGTTTATAAATACTCTACTAAAAGGTACCATACTTTCTTCAAGAAATGGCTGGCTCCAGGGCTGGGGCAAGAAAAGCTCCAGTTGAGCCTAGAACATTTTGTTGTGCCAGAATGCAAACAAATGCTCAGAGAATGATGTTGGGCTTGTCAAAAGGACATAGAAGCTAGCTTGAAGGAGGTGGCCAAATCTGAGACACTTTGAGCATCAAAATAAATAACAGTAACAGATTATAACCCACAGACTCCATGATTCTATAATCATATAAGTTAATAAAAGGAGGAAGAACAAAAACTTTTTTTAAAAGTAGAAAGTCATCTGTTAACAAATGTAAGGAAAGATGGAATTATTACCACTTAGCAATTACCCACATTTAATAACAACATTTTTCAAGGAGATCAGAATACTGTAAAATACTTTCAAACACCGTCAATAAAGTATAAATAATATATTTCTAGAATGCAAATGGAAATGTATTCCAGAATCCAGAAACAGGTCTAAACTCTCTGACCCTATAATACCTATGACTATTCTAAATGAATATTCTGGAATATATACACATGATATATACTCTGATATATATGTATAATGGTTTATATGCAATGGTATTCACACCAGCATTAACTATAGCAGTAAATTCTAGGCATGATCTAAACGTTAATCAGGGAGTGATTTAAGTTATGGCACATTTATAATGATATTGTATAGCCATTGAAATTAGGCTTCAAAATCAAAAAATAACTATTGAGTGCTTACAATGAGCCAAAGAAGTAAAAAGTAATTTTATTTCAGAAGTTTTTGTTTTTTAACAGACAGGGAAAGACAGGATCTGGCTGTGTCACCCAGATTGTGGTTGCAAGGGAACCTCTCTCTTGCCTTCTGAGTAGTTGGGACTACAGGCGTGCATCACCACGCCCAGCTACTTTAAACATTTTTTGTAGAGGAGTCTTGCTATGTTGTGCAGGCTGGTCTCGAGCTCCTGGCCTTAAATGATCCTCCCACCTCAGCCTCCCAAAGTGCTGGGATTACAGGTGTGAGCCATCATGCCCAGCTGAGAGGAACATTTAATAACATGGAGGAATGTTCACTGTAAGGGTGACAGGAGAAAAGGAAGCCATAAAAACATGATCAGTACAGTCTCCAATTAAAAGAAAAAATCATGACAAAATACTTGAAAATGTTACAGTGGTTATCTAGTGGTAGGGCTTATAGCTTATTGAAATTCCTTGCCTTTTGTCACTCTGAATTTTATAAATGGTCTATAATGAACATGTGTTATATCTATGATGAAAAAAGGCCAACCCCTAAAATGACAATTTTGTATGTTAAAATTTCTTTAATTAAAAATTTTTGTTTATTTATTTTTATTGAGATGGAGTCTCGCTATATTTCCCAGGCTGGTCTCAAACCCCTTGACTCATGCAAGCTTCTTGCCCTAGCCTCTCAAGTAGCTACAATTACAGGCATGCACCACCATGCATGGCTTACAATTTCTTTAACTGGTAACTCAAACTGTCTCTTCATAGTAACTGCCTGTGTGTAATTCATTTAAACAAATTTTAAGGTATTATAATTCTAAAAACTGATCTTAAAAATGATAAATTAGACTTATTTAAAACTAAAGTTTTTGCTCATAGAGAGATAATTCAAGAAAATGAATACGGAAGCCACAGACCAGGAGAATATATTTGTAAAACATGTATTTGACAAATGATTAGAATCAAGGGTATATAAAAAACTCCAAAATTTCATAATTAAAAGACAAAAACGAGGTTAAAAAATGGGCAAAGTTAAAAAAAGGTGTTTTCATGCTATTATGTTTTATGAAATATTCAGAATCGGACCTGAGTGGGACTGACAATAATCTCAGAATACAAACAGGCAGGAAAAGCAGAGAATGGATTAGGGGGAAAGAACATAAGAAGGAGAAGCATGGATAATTTGTTCCTACTCAAATAAGGACATTTTAAGCAAACACTGAAGTTGATACATTTGCTGAAGTCTTTAGAGAGATGTGTACAGATATCTGAAATATGTCAAAAAATGACTGATGGTCGGAGGGGGATAGGTAAGAGTACACGAGATAAAACAAAGCATGTTAAAATATTAATGGCAGAATCCAAGTGGGGTATACATGAGAGCTCACTGTAACACTTCTTTAACTTCCTATATATTTAAAAATTACTATAATATAAAGTTGGAAAAAATGAGCAAAAGATTTGGAAAAAATCTTTCACATAAATAGCTCATAAGCACATTAAAAAGTGCTCAATATCATTAGATATCATGAAAATGCAAATCAAAACTTCAATGAGATATCAACACACACCCACAGAAATGGTTAAAATGGAGAAGACTAACTTTGCCAAATATTGGTGAGAATGTGGCACAACTGGAACTCTCATACATTTATGGGAGTATAAAATGATGCAGCCACTTTTGAAAAGGGCATGCAGACTTAGAAAACTAAATATTCACCCAGCAACTCCTCTCCCACATACATACCCAAAGAAATAAATACCTGTACAAGACTATTCATAGCAGCTTTATTAATACTAGCCTCAGATTGGAAAGTGTCCAGGAGTCCACTAAAAGGAAAATGGATAAATAAACTGTGATCTACTCATACACTGGAATACTACTAAGCAACAACAAAGAAGGATTGATACATACAACATTAATGAATCTCAAAAACATGCTGAATGCAAGAAGCCTTATACAGGAGCATGCATTGCATGATTCCATTCATATGAAACTTGAAACTGTAAAAAGAAAGATAAATGGTGAACAAAACCACAACAGTAGCTGTCTCAGAGGGGCTAGGGTAGAAAATGATTGCGAAAGAGCAGAAAGAAACTTTCTGCGGTGATAGCAATGCTCTGTATCTTGGTAAATGTTTCGGGCACTTAGGCATATGCATATATCAAAACTCATCCAACAGTGTGCCTTAGATTTGTGCATTTTGTTATATATAGATAAGCATACACACACACACACACACACACACACATTTTATCTTTAAAAATGTAAACCACTGACCAATGGAACAGAATACAGAACTCAGAAGTAAGACCACACATCTACAACCATCTGATCTTGGACAAACCTGATAAAAAGCAAACAATGAGGAAAGAATTCCCTATTTCATAAATGGTGTTAGGAGAACTGGCTAGCCATATGCAGAAAACTAAAACTAGGCCCCTTCCTTACACCCTATACAAAAATTAACTCAAGATAGATTGGCCGGGCGCGGTGGCTCACGCCTGTAATCTCAGCACTCCGGAAGGCTGAGGTGGGCAGATCACGAGGTCAGGAGATCGAGACCATCCTGGTTAACACGGTGAAACCCCATCTCTACTAAAAATACAAAAAATTAGCCGGGCGCGGCGGGCGCTTGTAGTCCCAGCTACTGGGAGGCTGAGGCAGGAGAGTGGCATGAACCTGGGAGGCGGAGCTTGCAGTGAGCCAAGATCGCGCCACTGCACTCCAGCCTGGGCGACAGAGCAAGACTCCATCTCAAAAACAAACAAAAACAAAACAAAACAAAAAACAAAGAAACAAAAAGATAGATTAAAGACTTATATGTAAAACCCCGAACTATAAAAACCCTAGAAGAAAATCTCGGCAATACCATTCAGGACATAGGCACAGGCAAAGATTTCATAATGAAAACATCAAAAGCAATTGTAACAAAAGCAAAAATTGACAAATGGGATCTAATTAAACTAAAGAGCAAAATAAACTAAATAAACTATCATCAGAGTGAATCGACAACCTACAGAATGGGAAAAAAATTTTGCCATTTATCCATCTGGAAAAGGTCTAATATCCAGAGTCTACAAGAAACTCAAACAAATTTACAAGAAAAAAAAAACATTAAAAAGTAGGCAAAGGACAGGAAATGAACAGACATTTCTCAAAAGAAGACATTTATGCAAACAACAAACATCTGGAAAAAAGCTCAACATCACTGATCATTAGAGAAATGCAAATCAAAACCACAATGAGAAACCATCTCATGCCAGTCAGAATAATTATTAAAAAGTCAAGAAACAACAGATGCTGGTAAGGCTGCGGAGAAATAGGAACGCTTTTACACTGTTGGTGGGAATGTAAATTAGTTCAACCATTGTGGAAGACAGTGTGGCAATTTCACAGAGACCTAGAACCAGAAATACCATTTGACCTAGCAATCCCATTTTGGGTATACACCCAAAGGAACATAAATCATCCTATTATCAAGGTATGTGCACATGTATGTTAACTGCAGCACTATTCACAATAGCAAAGACTTGGAATCAACCCAAATGCCCATCAATAATAGACTGGATAAAGAAAATGTGGTACATACACACCATGGAATACTGTGCAGCCATAAAAAGGAACAAGATCATGTCCTTTGCAGGGACATGGATGCAGGGGGAAGCTGTGATCCTCAGCAAACTAATGCAGGAACAGAAAATCAAACATACCATGTTTTCACTTATAGGTGGGAGCTGAACAATGACAATACATGGACACAGGGAGGGGAACAACACACACTGGGGGCTGTCGGGGGTGGGTGCGGTGGGCAGGAGAGCATCAGGAAGACAGCTAATGCATGCTGGGCTTAATACCTAGGTGATGGGTTGACAGGTGCAGCAAACCACCATGGTGCACATTTACCTATGTAACAAACTGACACATCCTGCATATGTATCCTGGAACTTAAGCAAACAACAACAACAACAAAAATGTAAACCACTTTTGTACTTCACATAAGGATGTTCACTATGAACTGTTTAGAGGTAAAGTGTACTGATGTTGACATTCTTTTTTGAAATGCATGAATAATTTTGATGGACTGTTAAGTGGATAAAAGAATACATACGTAATAAATGAAGTATAAAAAAAGGTTAATTATAGAATCTATGTGTTTATTATATGGATATGTATTGTACAATTCTTTCAGCTTCTCTTTATGGTTGAATTGTTTCAAAATAAGATGTTGGCAAAAAAAAAAAAAAAAAAGAAAAGAAAACCCACACAAAACCAAAAAAGTTTCCTCCTCCACACACAAGGTATCCTTTAATTTCTGTAATTAGAAAGTAATATGTTATCCCATTCTTCTTAATTGCTAAACAATAAGATTGACATGCACATTTGGAAGTGGCTGCTCTATTTTGCATAGAAAGCGAGTATTATAATTTCTTCTTTCAAATAATCATGTCCTACTTCTTACTTTCAACTATGGGGAAGGAGAAATAGAAACATATGGCTCTCACTGCACAAATGCTATACCTCTTGTCGTTTCAAGTAAAACATCCAAAGAGGGTTAAATTACAAAGCAGTATCTGAAAAACAGGGAATGCTAAATATTTTACAGAACAAAGTATACCAGAACTGAAAAGATACATGTAACAGTAATCACAAATTCAAGTTTAACACTGAAGGCAAAGGCTATTAACCATTTTATGGCTCAGAACGACAAACTAAGAACTATTTACTCTGAATCATCTAGTTGGATGAACAGGGAGAAAGCAGGAGTGTTGGAAGATGGTGTCACATGAACAAGGTTGTAGGGATGAGATGGGGAAAGGGGAGGACAGTGAGAACATGTCCAAGAAGGCAAAGAGAACAACATGTACAAAAATACCAAGTCCCAAGAGAGAATAATGTATGGCAAAGAGTGAGTAGTGCAGCAGGGCTGGAGCACAGGGTACAGAAGGCAAAGGCGGCCGCATGGCTAGGCAAAGTCCAGGACATCACAGGACACACAGTCTGCAGGGTGTTTGGTCTTTATCCTAAAGGCAAATTGGTGTCACTGAAGAACTGCAGACAAGAGTGGCATGCCTAAATACATACATCAGAAAGATCACTCAGCCATCTCTGGGGCACAGAGGAGCATCAGACTAGAAAGGAACAGATCAATTAACAGCCTATTCCAATTCTCCACGGCAGCAAACATGAAAAAGGAACAAATCAGAAGTCACATCTCAGATCATCCATGCACCACATGCTCTATCCTCAACTGGTCATGAGGACTAAACTTTGCAGCAATATATCAAGCAACTGAATTCTCTAAACTTACAACCTACTAATACTAGATACAACCCCATCTGATAGGAAACTAAGCATTGGAACAAAAGATTCATCACGGAAACTGTTTCTAGGAGCCAAGACAGCAGCAACCATGTGACCCTTTTTGGCCTGGAAAAAAGTGCTAAAATCTTAAATCTGAAACCTGAAAAGAAAGGAAGATGCGATTAGAAATATCAGGTAGTTTTTTTTTTTTTAATTTTGTCTTCAGCTTTTTTTTTCCTTCTTCTACATGCAGAGTCAACCCTAACCCTCGATAATTATTTTACTTTAAGCAAGCAAAAATGCTCATAATTGAGCATCGGCTTTGGTGTCATAAAGATCTGGGTTCAGACAAATCCCAGTCTGCCACTTCCAGCCACGTAACTTTGGGTTTCCAAATCTCTCAAAGCTTCAGTTCCTATTAGTCCCTTATTTGTAAAACATAAAAGATAATTCTTATCCATCTTGCAAAACTGCTGGGAGGATTAAATGGGACAATGCAAAAAGCACCAAGTGCAGTGCCTGGCACATGTGAAGCCACTAATAAAATTAGGTACCAAAGGAAAGGAAACTAGTCTATCAAAGGGATACCTGCACTGCCATGTTTAAGGCAGCACTAATCACAATAGCAAAGATATGGATCCAAATTAAGTGTCCATCAGATGAATGGATAAAGAAAATGTAGTGTGTGAACACCCCCATCCCCCACCCCCGCACACACATGGCAAACACACAACAGAATACTATTCAACCATTAAAAAAGAATAAAATCCTTTTATTTGCAGCAATATGGATGGAACTAGAGGTCATTATGTTAAGTGAAATAAATCAGGCATGAAAGACAAATACTGCACGTTCTCACTCACACATGAAGGTAAAAAAGTTGATCTTAAGGAGATAGAGATACAGAGTAACGGAATGATAGTTCTGCGGCTGAGAAGGGTGTGGCAGTGTGGGGCGGGTGCTGGGGATGAAGAGAGATTGGTTAATGGTGTAAACATACAGGTAGACAGAAGGAATTAAGTTCTAAAGTTCAACAGCAGAATAGGGTGACTTAGTTAACAACAATGTATTATATATTTCAAAATAGTTAGAAGAGAGGATGTGAAATGTTCCCAACACATAGAAATGATAAATGCTCAAGGTGATGGATATCCTAAATACCCAGACTTGGTAACTGCACATTCTCAACGTGTAACGAAATATTACACCACTCCCATAAATATGTACAAGTATTATGTATCAAAAAAGGTATTCTTTCCATTCCCTCTAGTATGTTTTCTAGTGAACATAAATATGAGAAAATAAATAAAAGCTGCTTTTTTTTTTTTTTTGAGACAGAGTTTCGCTCTTGTTGCCCAGGCTGGAGTGCAATGGCATGATCTCAGCTCACTGCAACCTCCACCTCTAGGGTTCAAGCGATTCTCCTGCCTCAGCCTCCCAAATAGCCGGGATTACAGGTGCCCGCCACCACACCTGGCTAATTTTTTGTATTTTTAGTAGAGATGGGGTTTCATCATGTTGGCCAGGCTGTTTTTGAACTCCTGACCTCAGGTGATGCGCCTGCCTCGGCCTCCCAAGGTGCTGGGATTACAGGTGTGAGCCACTGTGCCCGGCCAAAAGTTTGTTAAGTGCAATATAGATATATGTGAACTATTTGGAAAAATGGCTTTCATGTGGCCTTGATCTTCCAGTGAGCAATATTACTGGACAGTAAACATAGCTGAGGCTTATATGTAATATAAATTGATAGGACAATGCTACAATATTAGAAAATGTGTTGAAGATAGTTAACAGTCTAGGCTGCAATGACTTGATCTCCCCACAAACTAAAATATTTTCCTTACATGAGAAACTGAATCACTTCTTTAGTCTCTTTAAATGGTCATACCTGACTTATTTCCAATTGGGTTCCAAGAAAATCTATCCAAAAGATATAAAAATATAAAAAAAACTAATATGAAAGAAAGCAGCTTTTGAATGCAGTCTTGATTGTATACCCTCAATGAGATATAGTCTAAGAACAAAAAGAACTGCAAATAAATCTTGACCTTAATAGATTTGTTAGCAGTAGTAATATTGTTGGTGGTGTAATTCTGAAATGATTTTATATACTATAGAATTGAGCAAATGAATAAATACGTTGATGTTTTTGGGAATCAAGCTTTTTCATTATAGGACAAAAAGATAGACAAACAAGAACTGGGAGAAGCAGAAGGAAAAAAACCTATGGTGTTAGATTGAAATTTAAATTAGATTTAGGATTTCTATTTGTTACCTATTTTAGTATAATAGACATGCAGAAAGGTACACATCATAAGTATACGATTCACTGAATTTGTAAAACTGATCACATCCACACAACTGGCATCAGGAAACCAAACATTTTCCACATCCTAAGAGCTCCTGCCTTGTAGCTTCCCTTCTAGTCACTTCCTCCTGACAAGTGTAACCACTATCCTGATTTCTAACGCCACAGAGTAGTAGTTCAGCCTGTTTTTGTACTTTGTGAAAATGGAATCATATAGTATATACTCTTTAGTGATTAGCTGCCTTTGCCCAATCTTATTTTCGTAAGATTCATGCACATTCTTGCAAGTAGTTGTAGTATGTTCATTCTCAATGCTATACTCCACTGTGTGAAGTATTACAATTTATTTAACCATGCTACTGCAGATGAGCATTTGGGTAGTTTACAGTCTTTCTCTACAACAAATAGTGCTGCTATGAACAGCCTAGTAGAATGAACCATATAGAATTGCTGACAGTACCTACAAAACACAGTAATGTCATATAATTAAAAAAAACCCATCATCTTTTTGGGGAAAGAGAGGGGGAAACAGGGTCTTGCTCTGTTGCCCAGGGGAGAACAGTGATGTGATGATGGCTCACTGCAGTCTCGACATCACAGGCTCAAGTGATCCTCTGGCATCAGCCTCCTGAACAGCTGGGACCACAGGCATGTGTCACCATGCTTGGCTATTAAAAAATAATTTTTTTTTTTTTTTTTTTTTTGTAGAGACAGGGTCTCCCTATGTTGCTCAGGCTGGTCTTGAACTTCTGGGCTCAAGTGATACTCCCACCTTGGCCTCTCAAAGTACTGGGATTAGAGGCATGAGCCACCATGCCTGACCAAAACATCATCTTTTGATGAACATATACACGCATTTCTGTTGACTATCAATCTAGAAGTGTAATTCTGACACCCAGGGTAGAATTATACTTAAGATGTTTCTCAAATGGTTATACCAGTTTATGTACCCACCAACTGCTCTAAATCCTTGACAAAATCCGGTATTTTTCTTTTTCATATTTTAGTCATTTTTGAGGTACTAATGAATACACATCTTTATCCACATATATGTGCATGATTTGGATATCCTCTTTTGTGAAGTATCTGTATCTGTGAAAGCTCTTGTCCACTGATTATACTGGCGTGTAGAAGTCCTTCTATATGCTAAAGAAGAGTCTTCTGTTCAATATATATATTGAGATTTACCTCTTCTTACTGGACGAGTTGATTTTCTCTCAGTGATGTCTTTTGGTACACAAGAGTTCTTAATGTAAATATAATGCAATCTATCAGGTTTTTTCTTTTATGGGTAGTGCTATTTGTGTCCTATTTAAAAAATTTTTGCCCACTTCAAGATCATGTAGATGTTTTTCCCCTGAAAACTTTACTATCTTATCTTTTATAGTTGGATTTTTTGTGTATGAGTTCAATCCAGATGAATTTCTTTCCACAGGACATCCAACTAATCTAGAACCATTTATTTAAAAAGACCATGCTTTCTCCATTGCACAAATGTGTTACTTTTGTAATGAATCAGGTGACTGAATATTGCCTATTTCTCACTCTCCATTCTGCTCCATTGGTCAGACTATCTGTCTAAAGTACTATATGTTATAACAGGTCTTCGTATCTGGAAATGTAAGTCCTCTGGCTTTGTTCACCTACTTCATGATGGCATGGCTATTCTTGGCCTCAACTCATGATTTTTTAAAAAAATGTATCCTAGCACTGCCTACTAAATCATGGCCTGAACTCACGATTACAAAAAAAAAAAAAAAAAAAAAAAAAAGTCCTGGCATTACCTACTAAAACAGAACAGAATAGAAGCAGTGACACTCAACTAACAAAAAACATGTCTATTTCTCAGATCTTGGTTCCTAAATATTATTCCTCACTAAAAGGAACCAGAAATTCTTACAGCAAGGGCTAATTCCAAGATGAAGCCAATGAAAGCATAAGATGATTCTGAAATATCTTGTGCCAGAAGGTAGGAAAGTACTAAAAAATTAAGGGGGATGGGCCAAAAGGACACAAAAACCACCATGAAAGGGGTCACAGTTACCAAATTTGGGACAATTTATGCATCAAAAATGATGACCATAATGGATAGACTCTTTCCAATTAAAAAAATAAAATATCTGTAAGTCCATAGTGATACTTCCCTTTGAAAAGAAAGCTTTTTTTTTTCCTCAGAATAGTGCTAGTGAATAGAGAACTAATGTCAGAATTAAAACATCATGATTCTGCAAGTACCTTTATAATTATTTAGGGAATAATCATCATTCAAATCACAGATGAAAGGAGGTTGGGAAACAGAATAGTCTTATAGTCTCAAGGTATTATCCCACACATTACTTATTAATTACAAATGGAAATAGTACATTTACATAAGAGAAATAGTAGGAACAGGGTAATGCCACCTTAACCAAGTGATCAAACTTAATCTCACCAACAATGGGACAAAATTGTCATTTATCTTCTGATGTGATTCCATGAGGATCCATCACCTATTTAGTGTTATCACCAACAATATTTAGCCTAAACTGATCACTAGGACTGATCTGACAAATTCAAATTGGGGTCATTCTGCAAAATAACTGGCCTGGAGTCTTCAAAAATGGCAAGTCATGAAAAAAAATTTTTAAAGGTGAGGAACTCTGCAATGCTAAATAAGACATATGACAACTAAATGCAATGAGTGATACTTGACTAGATCCTTGATTTTTTAAAAAAGCAATAAAGGCCATTTTTGGGGAAAGTGGGGATATATGAATATGGGCTGTGCATTAAATAATATTACTATGCCAATGTTAAACTTTTTGAGGCTGATAACTATATTGTGGTTTACAGGAGAATGTATTTATTCTTAAAGATGCATACTGACATATTTGGGCATACCTGTAATTTATTTGTAAATGATTCTTTTTTTTTTTTTTTTTTTTTTTGAGACGGAGTCTCGCTCTGTCGCCCAGGCTGGAGTGCAGTGGCGGGATCTCGGCTCACTGCAAGCTCCGCCTCCCGGGTTCACGCCATTCTCCTGCCTCAGCCTCCCGAGTAGCTGGGACTACAGGCGCCCGCCACTACGCCCGGCTAATTTTTTTGTATTTTTAGTAGAGACGGGGTTTCACCGTTTTAGCCGGGATGGTCTCGATCTCCTGACCTCGTGATCCGCCCGCCTCGGCCTCCCAAAGTGCTGGGATTACAGGCGTGAGCCACCGCGCCCGGCCATGATTCTTAAATAAAGTTAATAAATTGCTCTAACTTCAGGCGTTACAAAGATCATGTAATAAAGATTGTTGCCCTACTTTAAGGGGAAAATGTCCATTTGCATTTTTCCACAGAAAAGATACAACTGACTTACAGAACTAGTAAAGGGAGATTTTTATTTTAGTTTCTAAAATGATATAAATTCCCATAATAATCTATTTTCAGGCTTTCAATTTTACTGGCCAATGTGAAAATGTTTGTTTAAAAGGTAAAAAAATTATTTGGACATCTTCTACTAGAGAAATTTTTAAAATTTCTTCATTCATTTAGCTGAGTACCTTCAAAAGTACTGAGCTAGAATGAAAACACACAAAATTGACTACAGCTCTGTGTTCTAGACTACCAAGGTCCTTGGTTGTAAAGTAATTCTTCCTAGCATGGCAACATTTTCTGAGAAAAGTATAAAGAAGAATACAACTTGAGAACACTGAAGAATGAGTTTTTCTTTCTTTGTATGAATATCCACATGAACACACCTAGTGAGGTCTCACACTGTTGCCCAGGCTACAGTGCAGTGGTGTGATCCTGGCTCACCAATTCCTGGGCTCAAGCAGTTCTCCCTCCTCAGCCTCCTAAGTAGCTGGGACCACAGGCATAAGTCACAACACCTAAGTTTTTTTTTTTTTTTTTTTTTAATCTTTATGAGACAGGGTCTTGCTAAGTTGCCCTTGCTATCTTGAACTCCTAACCTCAAGTGATCCTCCTGGCTGAGACTCCCAAGTGGCTGCGATTACAGGCGTCAGCCTCTGTGCCCAGCTCTCCACATGAATAAACTTTATATAGCACCTATTATATATGAATAAACTTAAATGAAAGGGAATCTAGGCAAGTTCAACAAGGTAGATGGTTGACTATAGAATGTCTTAACCTTCAACAGACTTTTAAAATAAAACTATTCCCTCAAGTAAAATCTTAACTCTTTTTAGCTTTGCATATGATTATATTTATACCTTTTATAGCCATATTCATTACATAAAAAATAAAAGCATCTTAATAATCTTAAACATATCTTTAATTAACTACCTTTCATGTGAAAGTTATATTTTTTCTATTGTAATAGCACTATTTATAACCATCTAAACCAGGTAGCTTTAGAACCAACAATATACTTTAAAACTTTATACCTCATTAGCTAGCTGGGTGTTTTGCATTATTTAATTTCTCTGACCCTCAATTTATAGGTTTTATAAAATGGAAACAATTAAAACCTACTTCAAAGGTAAAATATCTTTGCCTAGTCAGGGAAGACATCCTCTCACTACTGGCAGAATTTAATAGTTTAACTTGCTATTTACCAATTGGTTCTAGGCCTACCGTGTAAGCAAGAAGGAAGAATGTGGAAATATGCAGAAACACATGGAAAAATCTAACACAGTGCCTTGTTTGTAGGTGGATCTATAAAAATATGTGTTGATTGGTTACATTACCAAAAGGAATGAGAAAAAAAGTGGTTTGTTTTTGTGAGAAGACACATGGTAACTAAGAAAGTCAAAATAGAAGTGCTAGGTATTTAATTTACATGATTATAGTCCTTAAGAAAGCAAAAGTGGGGGAACTATCCCTTATAAAAACCATATAGCTTAAAAATAAAAATTCTATTGGAAAACATTCTGCAATAACACATTAAAACCAATTAATGCATTAATTCAAATAATTACATTTTCAAACATTTGGGCCAATAAAATGAAACTATATATAAAAGTCATTTGATAAAAATAGAATATGATATATTCTAAAGTACAAATTATACATTGACAATTCTAATTTTCAAAAACACAGTCTTTCCACATTTCCTTTATTCAGTGATGTCTCATTTATTTGGCTTCTATCTGTAGTATCAGTATCAGTATCTGTAGCATCAGCAGGTCACTTGGACCAAATGAACCTGAGAACCAAACTCAATAGTTCCTTGTTGGAGCTGCATCTATCTGCTGTAGATCAGTTATTCTCCATCTCTGTGGCCAGTTTTGACATGGAAGCCTCCCTCACCAAGCCCACTACTAGAGATTCCCATCTGTTCCCTGTCTCCTAACTCCCATGCTGGCTTCTCAGCAACTGTGAGACAGGCACACAATAGCTCATGTGGGCAGTAAGGGGTGGCCCTGTGAACCAAGGTGGGAACCTTAAACCACTAGGCCCAAGGCTAAAAAGTAGGGAGTACAGACTTTGGGGAGCCAGACCACAGAGATTTTGATCAGATTATGTTTCCATGATCATGCTGATGTGTACTTTTGAGTGGTATTATCAGATAACCTCAGTGATATTCTATCTTATTTCTATTCTACCACTCAAAACTCTTTATCAACCTAAATTCTTCTTTAAAGCTCTGGTGTTCAATAAAGAATGAGAATCTATGACATGTTGTGAAGATTTGACTGGACAATTAGCTCTAAGTAGAATCCTCCCAATATCACAATATAATCATGAGCTACCAAGTCACTCTGATATTCCCTATTATATGACATTTGTTTAAAAAAGATTTCTACCTTCATTGATATAAAAGTACTATGTGCACATTATGAAAAATGCAAACTATAGAAAAGAGATGAAAATAGTTTATATGCATGTAAATTTCCAAAATAATTTGATATATTTCATTGCAAGACCTTTTCCTTTGCATGGGGGAGTGGGGAGTGGTTGATGGGAGGAACGCATGATGGGAGGGTGTGAAAAGGATGGTTAGCTGCACCCGTGATAGATCTATTATTCCTTGCTTTTTTTCTTACTATAACCTAGATTATCCTGACAAGAAAGTTCCCATTTAATATACATGTGAGAAGGAAAATACAGTCTTTAGTTGTCTCTTTTAAAGGCTGAATCTTTTGCCAAGTTGAATCAAATTCAAATACTGAGGAAAAGAGAATATTTTAAAATTTCAATATTTCTATAAGAGAAAATAATACACAATTAATTATTTATTAATGAACAATGGATTCTGCCAACCAGTGAAACCTT
Source organism: Homo sapiens (assembly GCF_000001405.40). Classification (NCBI taxonomy): domain Eukaryota; kingdom Metazoa; phylum Chordata; class Mammalia; order Primates; family Hominidae; genus Homo; species Homo sapiens. Next base: position 14,156,652 of record NC_000016.10, on the reverse strand, counting down.
TCCTCCTTGAGGCTTCAAATTTAAAAAAAGAGATGACTTCTTGAACCAATGGAATGACCATGCCATTATCTCCAAGCAATCCCAGAGGCCCTAGCACGGTATCTTCTATGACAGTCTTGCTGACCATTCTGTATCAACAGCAAAAGTGAAAAGCTACTTGCCATGAGAACCAACCATAACTATTAGCCTGGTCTTTAACCAACAATTTAATTTCGTTCATCCACTGATCAAAAAGCAGAGCAACTTGGTACTTCCAGTAAGGTCTGAGCGTTTGGGTGGGTCCAAAAATAAACTGATATTGCTACTGTAGTCCTAGTCAGAAAGTTCATCCATATGTACTGAGAGGAAGCATGTGTCACAGGAAAAGCAAAGGTCCTATGTGAAAATCCCAATTCCAGACCCTCGTTTTCCAGCCATGATGGAATAACAATCATTGGACTTAACTTCCTGCCATAAGAAACTAGAAAACTGGGCAAAATACATGAAACAATTGCTTTCACACATTGGCAAACAGGTAATGCAGGGCTGTGGCCCCTGAGAGGAGGGAAACAAATGAGATGAGCCCATAATTGCCCTAACTTTCTGCCTGGAGGCAATTTCTAGACTGTGGGTAAGAGGAGGGAGAAATCACACAGGAGCTTGTTAGGCTTGCTGAACTGAGGAGACAGAGATGAGAGGAGAGCTTAAGCAGGCTAAGGCAGCTGAAGTTTCAGGGAAGATTTGTGAAAAACAGGATCTATGCTGAAAAAGAGTTCCAGAAACCTGCCTAATGGTGCCCTGGAGTCTTTGCTGAGTGCTAAGCTGTATGTACACAGAGTAAAATCTCACAAGTTTGGGCAAGAAATGACCAGGGACTATAAGCTAAATACTTCCCAGAGTGCATACAAGGTCGGGAAACGTTCGAACTGCAACCAGCCTGAGTGAAATGTCCTCCCTGGGGCACTTAGCAGGGCATGCAGCAGAGATACCTTTAAGGGGAGTCTCCCTGGCACGAATGCTACCCTAGATCTTTCCTAAAAAATTTAAGAAAGGCCTTGAAGGTGATCCAAAAGTTACTTAGCTGCCTACCAAACCAAAGCCCAACTTTCTTTAACTGAAGACAACAAAAACAAATTCCACTCAGTAATGCAACATTCACAAAATTATATCCAATGAAAAATTACTATACTACTTACACCAGGAAGCAGGAAAATGCAACTCTTAAATAGGAGGAAAATTCATCAATAAAAACAGACCCAGAATGATGAAAATAAATGAAACTATTAACAGCTACTATAACTATATACAAGTATTTAAAACATAAATATAACATGGAGAAACATGGACAGTAAAAAAAGAACAAAATAAAACTTCTAAAGGTAAAAGGAAAATAATAAACTTTTATTGGGTGGGATTAACAGCATATTAGATATGCATTTTAAAAGATCAGGGAATACTTGAAAAAAAGAGGTATATCTAATAAGGCACTGTAAAATAAAAATAAAGTAAAATGGGAAAAAATTAAACAAGGTAAGACAAGAAGAATGAAGTGAGACAGAACACATAAGACAAAAAAATATATATACATAGAGCAAGATGATGGATGATAGATTTGAACTCAATTGTGATGGGCAGCCTTTAGGGTAGTCCCAGGGATCCCTGCCTCCTAGTATTTATGGTCTTGTATAATCCTCTCCCTTAGAGTAATTTGCTTCTAATCAATCGAATATGGTTAAGTTTAAGGAATGCTACAAGAGATTATCACTCTGTCTTGCCAGAAGACTTCTCTCTTACTGGCTTTCATAAAGAAAACTGTCATGTCAGAGAGACCCAGGTGGCCTCCAGCCAATGGTCAGCAAGGAACTCAGGCTCTGAGTCCAACAGTCCTAAAAGAACTGAATCTTGCTAAAAGCAAAGTAAGTAAGCTTGGACATGAACCCTTCCCTAGTTGAACCTTCAGATGAAACTCTGGCCTTGGCTGACACTCTGATTACAGACTCCTGAGAGACTCTGAGGCAGAGGTACTCAGCTAAGACATGCCTGAATTCCTGACCCACAGAAGCTGTGAGATAATAAATGCATGCTGCATTTGGCTGTTATGGTTTAAAGAAATTCACTACAAAGCAATAGATAACTATTATACCACATATACCAATAATTACCTTAAATGTAAATGATCTAAATATTGCAATTAAAATTGTAAGAGATTGTCAGACTACATTTTAAAAAGATTCGGCTCTATGCTATCTATGAGAAATCCATTTTATTTTTAAAATTTCTTTTTTAATTTCTACTTTAACAGCAAGCTTATCCTTAACATTTAAAAAATTTTTCAAAAACGGAGATGAGTCTCGCTCTGTCACCAGGCTAGAGTGCAGTAGTGTGATCCTAGCTCACTGTAGCCTCAAACTCCTGGGCTCAAGCAATCCTCCCACCTCAGCCCCGCAAGTAGCAGGGACTACAGGTGTGTGTCATCATGCTTGGCTAATTTTTAAAATTTTTTTGTAGAGACAGGGTCTAGCTTTATTGCCCAGGCTGATCTTGAACTCCTGGGTTCAAACGATCTTCTCACCTTGGCCTCCCAAAGTGTTGAAATTACAGGCATGAGCCACAATGTCCAACCAGAAACTCACTTTAAATATAAAGATGCAGATGGGTTAAAGGTAAAAGCATGAGAAAAAGATATTTCATGTAGTTGTAAGCACATGATACTTAGAGGGGCTATTAATATAAAACAGAGTAGACTTTAGGAGAAATAATCCATGTTGGTGGTTGGAGTTTTCAACATTACTCTCTAATTGGTAGAACAAATAAAAAGAAAATCAATAAAGGTATAGAAGACTTGAACAACTTTATTAATCAACTGAACCTAATTGACATTTATATAACCCTCAAAAGTACATGAAACATTTGGGGTCATTTAAGAAATATATGTATTTTCATGAGAGAATTTATTTTAAATAGTTTCAGTGTAATAACACCACTGGACCCTGACAGTTATAATTTAAGACTCAGTTCTTGAATTTCTTCAAATTAAAATTTTTTTAGTCCTAACTTGATATGAGTTTAAATTCCATTATCTAGAAAATCCTTCAAATTATAATATTTGGGTATTCAAATAAAATCTTCAACTTTTTGAAGGTGCAATCATTTTCCTTCTCTTGAGGGTTCAGAAAGCGCTGAGCAATCCAAACAGCTACATGATTTCTATGCACAAACAAGTACAAAAGTATGCAACCAGAGGTTTCATTGGTTCAGCAAATTGTTATTTAACCAAATTCCATTTTTCTGAAAAAGATGGAGACTAACAAATATACAGAGATAAAAAAGTTGTTAGAAAACATACTAGAAAAGCAATACTTTTTCATATTAAGATCATGACTAGTTAAATATCACTGTTATTCTTGGCTTGAGAGAAACAGTAACACACACATTTATCTTTTTCAGCATACACATTTTATTTATATTTTAAACATCAATTAAGAGCCACACAATTCTCTAGTACAGCCAAGAACTCAATAACTAATTTTGACCAATTAAGCAATTTATTATTTCACTTTCATTTCCTTTCTTTTTTTTCCACTAAGGAGACCTAAAATATGCTAGGTTTATGACAGGTTATTAGAATATGATAACATGAATTTTATTTTTAGTACTAATTTTGTGAAGCTTGGTTGAAAGCATCATAAATCAATTTACTTGCCTGTGTCCCATTTTTAAACTCATTCCCAAAATATATTACATTCCTACAACAGAATCAGATATCAAATCTTAAGAAATTTTTGATTGTATAGGACTTTTATTTAGCAGTTAAAACTCTGTTAATTCAGTTAAAGAATTCATTTAAAGGATTAAAAAGAAACACACGAAGAAGGAAACAAACCATACAAAAATTCCCCAACAAACCTGGTCCTCCCAATGTGGAATGCCGTTCACCCTGGAATTTCATACATGCCACTCACAGACTTCAGATGAGACCACCATGAGGCTGTTAGCAGTTAAGGACAACTACAAGCCAAATAAATCCCAACTACCCATTTCCTTAAGTTCTCCAGGCTCCAAATCTCTTGGGTTCTGCCCTTCTCCTTTATTTTTAGCATTATATTCTTCTTTTTAAAAAAAGAAATGCATAAAAATACACAATAAAATATTTTAAGAGGATCCAGATTAATTGAAAAACAACTTATAGATCCACCCCCTCTAGTGACCTTACAGCATCATCTAAACAGCTGCCATTACACCAAGATTTCATAGAAGAATATTCTATAACAACCGAACTGTTTCTGTTTCACATATTCTAAAGGTCATTGTAAAACATATGATATATGTATATCATATGTATATATTTATATATATGCATAAACATGTTTTTAACATACTTGTTTATACAAAGATAATTTCTGAATTTATTCAATTTCTTTGTTAAATGATTGGGTTTATAATGAAAAAAACTTAATTTAGAGATGTGATTATGACATAGATTTCCTGGAATCAAAAAGAAAAAGAACTTAGAAGACAACTCAGAACACAAAATCTCTTTAAACATTACAAATAACTGTTTTATTACTTCAAAATACCAAAAATCTTCTGTATAGTACTTATCATATATATCAAATGACTTTTAAAAGAGTCTCAGCAACCATATCTACTATCTTAATCTCTTCAGAACAAGCACATAAGGAGAAAATTCTATAAATCAGTCCTCGATGACAGAGGGTTTGTTTAGGAGTTTACCAAATGGAACAACCCTGCTGGAATTCCTTCAAGTAGCCTGTGAAAATGTCAGAATGGAGTCTGTTTTGGAGGTCATAGTCCCTAGAGAGCTCTGAGTTTTGGCCTGTTTGTCTTTTCACATGCTTTAATATTTGAAAATCCTTTTTTGTAGACACTGACTGATGCCCAGAGAATGCTAGGATTGTGGGAACTGGCAGTACCAACAAGAGATGAACTTCATGGGAAATCAGTGCCCACTGCCTTTGCCCTCTCAGCACTCATCAGATAAGCTGCTCTTCAAATGTTATGAAGGTACATGGTGAGACATTAAGAAACTGAATGTCATTTTGCCTTTTTAAAAAAGAAATACTTGTAGAAAATGGGAGCAAAAGTTACTGGGACGACCAAAAGAAATGCTAAGTTATAAAACATCATGGTGAAAATTCTGAAAAGCCACACTGACTTAGTAAAAATTAAAACACAGTTGACCCTTGAACAACATGACTTTGAACTTCATGGGTCCACATATATTTGGATTCTTTTCAATAAATGTGTTGCAAAATTTTTTGGAGATGTGTGAAAATTTGAAAAAGCTCAGATGAACCACATAGCCTAGAAATATCAAAAGAATTAAGAAAAAGTTAGGTATGTTGTGAATGTATAAAATATATGTGGAAACTAGTCTATTTTTATCATTTACTACCATAAAATATACACAAATCTATTATAAAAAGTTAAAATTTACCAAAACTTACATACACATACAGACCATACGTGGCACCATTTATAGATGAGCAATGTAAATCAACATAAATCAACTGTAGTGGATATTGTACTACTGTAACAATTTTGTAGTCACCTCCTGTTGCTATTGTGGTGAAGCTCAAGAGCTGCGAGTACTGCTTAAAACACCAAGTGATGTTCATCATCTCCGCGTGAGCAGTTGTCTCTCCAGGAAATTGCACATAGAAGTAAAAAGTAATCTCTTGAGGTTCTCACATATTTTTCATCATGTGTAGTGCAGTACCTTAAGCTCTGCATAATGAGACTCCTACGAAGTGCCACTAGTGATTCTGGAGGTGCTCCCAAGAAGCAGAAAAAAGTCATGACATTAGAAGAAAAAGTTGAATTGCTTGATATGTACCATAGATTGAGATCTGCAACTGCAGTTGCCCACCATTTCAGACAGATGATTCATTTTATAAACAGACTGTGTAAACTTCCAGTATTGATAAATACAGTAAAATACTGTAGATATGTGTTCCTCATAATTTCCTTTATTTTATTTCTTATGATGAGGTCTTGCTATATATTGTCCAAGCTGGTCTTGAACTCCAGGCTCAAGAGATCTTCCTGAATAGCTGGCACTACAGGGGTGAGACACTAAACCCAGCTCCTTATGATTTTTCTTAATAACATTTTCTTGTCTCCAGCTTACTTTATTGTAAGAATACAGTACATAACGCATATAACATATATGATATGTGTTAATCAACTGTTTATGTTAAAGGAAGACTGCCAGTCAACAGCAGGCTATCAGGAGATAGGCAGCCAAAAGTTATACATGGATTTTTTACTGCACGGGGGTCAGTGCTCCAACCCCTACATTGTCCAAGGGTTAACGATACTGCATTCTCAAAATATACATACTAATAAAGTGCTAATTATGTGCTTGCACTATTCTCTATACTTGATTTAGATTACTTGATCTAACCCTCAGAGCAATCTTATGAAACAAATACTAGTGTGATCCCCACTTTGCAGATAAGGACACTGAGGCAAAGGGAAGGTAACTAATTGGTCCACATTCACATAGCTAGTAATGGTGTGGCTAAGATCTAGGCTTAGGGTGGCTCCAAAGTTGGTGCCTCCATCATGGTATTCTCACATCAGGCATGCAAGACTGGGTTAATTAAAACATGTACTGAGAGCCTAAGATGTGCCGTATGTGTGCTAGTCACTTTAGATGCTTTATTTCATTCAATCTTCCCAACAATCTAGAAGGAATACGTAAGATTATTCCAACCACGGCTTTGAGGGGCCTGCCACCACACATTTAGTGCAACAGAGCACGCTCCTGCCAGGCTTAACTCTACAGCCCTCCTTCTTTAAAACTAGGTTCTTCTTTTTCAGTTATCCACAAGAATCATCTCCAATCATTTTTCTGTATACAGTCAGGGAAATGTCTTTTAAAGATCTTTGTGTAACAAGTTTATGAGAATATACTACATCATGAACTTTCAACATTGTACTAGAGGCTTAAAAATCTAGGAATTATTTTAGAGTAAGAGGCACAATGATCATTCAATAAATGTTTGCTAACAATAATTTTAAAAAGTATCATTTCCATTCTTGAAATATCAATTTTTTAATACTTTGGGAGAGCGGAGTATTCTGATACAGCGAACTTTTCCTTCCTATAATACGTGGCAGTGGTTTGATCAAGCAGTCCAAGCAACATTCTTCTTAACTGCTATGTCAGGATCAAGGCTTCTGTCAAAGAGGGTCTTCTATTTTGTAGCTATGAATCGCAAATCTGCAGAGTGCTGACCAACTGTAACACTTGTCAGTTTTTAAACTTAGACTACAAGAACCAAAGGCAAGCCGTGAATCAGACTTTTTGCTTTTCTTGTTATGTCTTCATTAAACGCAGAGGCCATATATCAAAAATTTAACTGGTGAAATAGACACCCAACGATTAGCATTTTCTTAATGAAAACAACAACATAAATACCATAAAAATATGAATTTTGGCTTTAAAAAGAGCTGAAAATTATCTTTTAGCTGACAGTTTGATGCTATTATAAAAATCTTAACGCATACGTGCCAACCCTTAAAAACCATCAATAGAAACTACATATTCTAAATCAGACACATTATTTTTGAGAATAACAAACAAGTCAATTACTCTCTTCTTTAAATATGGCAGGAAAGTCTGACTAATTGAGAGAGCTGGCAAGTATGTTTACTAATACAGATGTGAGGTCTGTATTAAACAGCAACACGACTAATTTGTATCTAAGGAAAAGTCCATTGGTTAGCTGAGATGGAAGTTATCTTCCATTCTTTCTGTTCCTGCTGCCCAATGAATAGCACACGGCAAACACGACAATGAGATATAAGAACACATGATGTAATGAGGAAGGGCCGCCAGGGAGACACATGGGCTGGAGGCTGCTGTACGGATGTCATAATGGGCAAGCTGTGACACAGAGAGCACCTTAGACTTACCCATGCTCACAGACTGAGTCAGCAGAGGAGACTGAAGTCCTGACTCCCAAAAGACTACACTTCCTGTCAATAATAGTGAGGGCAGTCGGTGAGGGCAGGAGAGCCAACGTACGGATTAATGTAAAGGAGTCAGAAAAACATGATATTTGCTAATTAGTCTAGGTAATTATTAATTACAAGCCAAAGAGAAAATTCCAACACGTTACTTTAACATATCAGTCTTACTGTTTTCTGTCACAAGAGTACTTTATTATTGCTGTCTTAAAATACAAGCTAAGTAACAAAGAAAAATTGTCATGGATCACTTTTTTCCAGTACATTCCCTGTATTCATTAGGCTCTTTTATAGGTATGGTAGAGAACAGGTGTCCAAAACTATCTTTTCTCTTTTTTAGCTACAAGAGGTCCTTGTGACTGAGTTACGTGGCAGACATAAGTAAACGGAGCCCCACTTTAATTTTCCTAAGTCTCTCAGCCCAGCAGAGGAACTAACTACTTAATTCCACAAAGTCTTGTGAGGTCTAAGTAGCTAGGAGGTTATAGCTGAGTCATACTTATTTAACTGATCATTTATATTATGTATATTATCTTTCATAATTGCTTTCTGAGGAAAAGCAAAGACTATTTCTTAATAAATTTGTTTTAGTTTATTCACTGGTCCAATGTGTAATATAAATGACATGGTGGGCTCTACTTTTATGAAAGTTATCTCAATCTATATAGAAAATAATGTACTTCTGTGACTTCAGTAACTATAGAAAAGTTGTCTAAAATGTTAAGTAAACATAAAACAAGTAAACAAGTTTAAGATGATGTGGTCTCATCATCGGTTTAAACTGCTCATTACTATTACGTTTTAAATCTTACTGTTAATAAATGTGTTAATTATGATGCCTCAAAGGTATTTCAACAAGAGGACACAATTTAAAGACTAAATAAATTACTCAAAATGAGCTTCAGAGGTGCTGTAATGGGGTCCATGGTCTTGCTGATGCACAAAGCTTCATCCACCCCCTCATTGATAACTAAAGCAAGCCCATGTTAGCATTCTGATGCTGCTACTCCCGCAGGAGATCAAACTCACTGCCAGCTACAAACGGGAGAAGGTAAAGTCACACACAGCCCCCTCCCTCGCTCCAAACACACTGCATGGGTGTGCTCTGCAATGCACTGAAGCAAACAAAATCCTCAGTAACAACAAAAACTGTCTAAATAAGACACTCAGAGTAGAAAAATAGAAGGCAGACAGGGTTACAGGTGCTTATTTACACTGTGAATCAAAACATACTAATAGGAGACATCATAAAGGTTATTATGAAAGAGAATACCTCACCCTTAAGGTACTTACAAGGCTTCTTTTTCATTTTGAAGGGTTCAAGAGATTTTCACAAACAAAAAGTATGAGAGCTGCCACATTTTCATTTGCAGTTGTCGGGAGGCTTACAGCTTGCTTTTAAAACTATAATTGTGTTTACTATAAATCCCAAAGCCCAATTTTTAAAAATATTAATTTAAAACAACCAAGGAAAATTATATTCACAGAGTATATACTTCTTTTCTCAGTGTAAGTACTCTAACTCCTGAAAGCAGGAAAACAAGCTACTATCAGAATGTTTATTGATGTCCTTGAGAATTACATGAAACACTCCAGATCCTAAATATGTTAACAGCAAAGCCAACGACAAGATTTTAGAGAAATTTATTCATTTCTAATACTTCCAGTTATAGAAAGGGAAAGCAAGAATTCCACAGCTCTGTCTTGGCTATTGAGCATCTATTTGTTTCCTGCTCGTTTATGACACTATGACAGCTTTCTGTCTGGCTATCTGCTCCAGAGAAAAGTAGAAATTTCCTCTTTCTCCCTCACCAATCTCCATTCATTCATTATACCAGCTCACCTATGGCCTCAAGAACCCAGTTTTGCCCAAGACAAATGTTCATTGCCATTGTATATTTCCAGATACTTGGACTGACAGTAAGCCTAGCAGGTTAATGAGAAGCAGGGAAATGCTTTCAAAGTGAAACCCCCAAAAAAGGCCAGCTCTAAATATATGCCATTCATTTTCTATAGTGTGAGGCAAGCAGCTTTCTTTGGCTGGGTTCCATGGCTAGGCAAAGTTCACCTGACTGTTTGCAAATATATTAATACATGTATTGAAACCAAAGCAAAGAGCCATCTTGGGTTCTCTTGTGTGCAGCAAACTTCTGAATAAATTATTTTCTCTCTAGTAAGTGATCATTTCAAGAACTGAAAAAGAGATTATCTAAAGTTATTCTGTATGATAAATTTAATGGATGGAAAATCTTAGAAGATTTCAAGATAGGACTATAAGCTCAAAACCCTAACAACTGCAGTAACGTTGTAATACCGAAGTTTAAAATAAGAACGGCAAATGTCATTCCTCTTTATTGAGGCCTAAAACACACTGACTACTTCATAGTGAACAGAGTTTGAAAAAGCCTTTTAGTTCAGGAAGAGGGAGGTAGATGATACTGATTTTACAAAAGTCTAAATCAGCTGGCCTGTGCTATTTCTGTGACCATGTCAACATGACTGCTCCTCACCTTAAAAGTACCTGGACTCAAGACATACCATAAAGTATTAAAATACCAAACAGTTTTTAAAAATGAAAATCTGTATTAACTTCTCTGCTTACTCTGTAATAATACTGGCAATGACTTAAAACCTTAAATTCACCAGCCAGCATCCCTGAGGGTTGCTCTGCCTGTCAGCTTACCGGTCTTGCACACGACCTCAGGAAGGAACAGCTTCTCCCGCAGGGTCCCCTCAGAGTGTAGGCACAGGCAAAGGGCTGCAGCTCTTTCAGTGATGTTGTTTCTACCCACTTTGTCTTTCCTTGCTGAGCTTTTCCAATTTAAACACTAACGTCCTATTCCTTTGACTGGTTTCCTTTTTATTCCCAGTCTGCTCATGTGAAGGAATGCAAATCGTGAGAAAGATGGATCTAACGTGTATTTAAAATGTTAAAATGAAGCTCAATCCCCTGTATATGCATTGTTTTAGTAAAGGTAGATTATGCATGTGTTTCTGTATATCCATTTTCCTTCATTAAGGCCTCACTTGTTAGGAAAAGTTAATTGCCTAAATATGGCTGCTTTACTTTGAGGTACTATTTTGGTCACATTCAAGAGTAAAGGAAAATCCCAGCTTCTCTTTACTAAGTATCTCTCCTATGTGCTCCAATAGTGGGAATATCCTGCCGCTCCACTATCATCAGTAACATGAATATGAATGTAAAACAAGGGAAGATCCTGGAATCATTAAACGTCAACTTCATTTTCCTTGTAAAGTGTATTTATAAACTATTATATATTACCCTTTTAGACACTAATCCCAAACTGAAATATCTCCATTTTTCCCTCAACAGAAAATAATTCTAATAAGTGAAATTCAAATGTCTAGGAATAATAACACAATCACCAAAAAAATCTGAATTCATTTATTTCATAATATCTAAACAATACTTTGTATTGATTAATTTTGATGCCAACACCTGCATTTTGTATGACTTAAACACTGCATTAAGAAGACCTAAAAAATGAACAACATGTCTGAAAAAAATCATTAAAGTAAGAATGTTACGGTCCTTTCATCTATATATTACTTGATGTGAACATACTCTGCTCACATAACTGTCAAAAACTTAGATTTAAAAAAAATTAATATATTTGCTTTTATTTTGAAACTGACAAAAGTTATATATATATATATACATATATATATATATGTATGTATATATTTATTTATTTTTTTTTTTTTTGAGACAGAGTCTTGCTCTGTCACCCAGGATGGAGTGCAGTGGTGCAATCTTGACTCACTGCAAACTCCGCCTCCCGGGTTCATGCCATTTTCCTGCCTCAGCCTCCGGAGTAGCTGAGACTACAGGCACCCGCCACCACGCCCGGCTAATTTTTTGTATTTTTAGTAGAGACGGGGTTTCACCGTGTTAGCCAGGATGGTCTCGATCTCCTGACCTTGTGATCTGCCTGCCTCGGCCTCCCAAAGTGCTGGGATTACAGGCTTGAGCCACTGCGCCCGGCAAAAATTATATATATTTATCATGTACTTTTTTTTGAAATATGTATGCACTGTGGAATTGCTCAATTGAATTAACACATCATTATTTCAAATGTTTACTATTTTTTTCGTGGTGACAACACTTAAAATCTACTATCTTAGCAATTTTCAATACAATACATTGTTATTAACCTTGGCTACCATGTTTTGCAATAGATCTCTTAAACTTATTCCTCCTATCTAACTGAAATTTGTATCCTTTGAGCAGCATTTCCCCAAAAACCTAGATTTCTGACAGCCAAATAAGGATGCCTTTTATGCCTTGGAATGTATATGCAAATTAGGTTAATATATCATAAGCCTGAAATTATATGTCTGAATATAAAATAAGGCTTCTATAATAACTTCCTGAAGTCATTTATTAGAAAAGAGGGAACAATCTCATAGTGGAGTCTTTGCACAGTTTCTCAGAATGAGATGTTCTTTCATTTACTCCGTATTGAACAAAAAAGGACTCTTGAAGAAAACACATTGGCTTAAAAACCAACTTCTTTTGAAGCTACTTTCAGGCTTACAGAAATATTTTAATCAGAATTAGAAAAAAGAAGGAAAAGAGAAAAAAACCAATACATTATTCCCAGTTAGAACCTTAAAATGCAAAGTGTTGGGTGTCGTTACAAAGTAGCCTTTTAAAAACTGCTTTTTAAAACGTAGTCAAATATTATTCTCTCAGAAAGAACACTAGTAACAGTTAATTCTGGGAAAGTAACTGTGCAGGTAAGGGACAAGATTGGGAGGGTAACCTCCTTTTCACTAGGTAATCATAACATTTTAAACCACATGAATACATTATCTGCTTAAAAAAAGCCAAATTCTAAAACAGAAACTAGACCCCATAAAATGTAACAACCAATGACAAATCAAACAAGTATTATGTTATAGAGATTATGAGTATACAACTAAGACAATTTAAAAAAAAAAACTGTTTTGTGAATGGTACTTGTGATTTAGACATGAAATTTTCAGTGCCGGGGGGAGGGATAGCATTTGGAGATATATCTAATGTTAAATGACGAGTTACTGGGTGCAGCACACCAACATGGCGCATGTATACATATGTAACTAACCTGCACGTTGTGTACATGTACCCTAAAACTTAAAGTATAAAAAAAAAAAAAAAAAGAATCAGTACTACCAAATATGGGATTTATTCAAAGATACCGGGAAGATTATTTGTGTCTAAAACATGCACCTCCATCCTTCAGAGGCCTGGATTTCCAAAATTATGCCCTATCTTCTCATAAGCTAAATAATTATTTTGTCTCCTACAAAATATCAAACATCTTTTGAAGAAAACGTATTAAACCCAATTGGTCAATAATAACACTGTGGTTAAGTTTTAAGTTATTTTCTGTGTGGTATTTTGACTGTTACTAAAGAAAGACAACATTAAAAAATGCGTCTCCCTTGTCCCTTGTACATATTAAGTGCTTAATAAATGTTTGCCTAATGAAAAAAAAAAAAAAAAAAGAAATGTTCAGTGCCAAATCATGCACATGTTACAAAGCTGCTGTAACTCAAACCAAAGAGACAGAAATGAAGATGTACCCTGGAAATTAGTGCTAGATGGATGATGCACAGGGGTTCTACTACTGATAAAAACACTGACCACAAAGATTCACATATAGACTTTGAGTAGGATGGTTTTATGAACAATGAGAGTGGTTAAAGCAATCCTTCTACATTATTGCAATGCTTCATAAAATGTAACTACATTAATAAATTTAAAATTTTACCATTTAATCTATTTCCTTAGAAGTTTATAAGGGGAGACTGCTTTATATTTGGGCTTGCCACCTTATATTCTGGCATACATATTAACTTTTCCTGTAAATGACCATAAAGGATAAAGTCTCCTCACTCTTCCCTCCCCATTACAGAAGACCATTATTGTGCACAACTGTGTGTTCTGATTTTATAACAGTTCAACTCTTATTTTCTTTTAGGGTAATAATTTGGACATTATACTGGTCCAAGTGTACTGTGTAAATCTGATCACACTTAGTCATGTTTCAGTAAATATGGCTATATTCTCTCAGCTACTGTCTAAGGTAAATGTGGGTTCTTAAAAGATGGAAGGTTTAACCTGGGCGTGGTGGCTCACGCCTGCAATCCGAGCACTTTGGGAGGCCGACGTAGGTGGATCACGAGGTCAGGAGATCAAAACCATTCTGGCTAACACTGTGAAACCCCGTCTCTCTACTAAAACTAGAAAAAATTAGCTGGGCGTGGTGGTGGACGCCTGTAGTCCCAGCTACTTGGGAGGCTGAGGCAGGAGAATGGCGTGAGCCCAGGAGGCAGAGCCTGCAGTGAGCTGAGATCGCGCCACTGCACTCCAGCCTGGGCGACAGAGTGAGACTCCGTCTCAAAAAAAAAAAAAAAAAAAGAAAGAAAAGATGGAAGGTTTAAAAGTCATCACCAGTGAGTTAACCACAGCATCCTGAAGGTTTCACAGCACCTAAGCTAAGATGCTGCTTTAAACCTATCAAAATTGGCCGGGTGCTGTGACTCAGGCCTGTAATCCCAGCACTTTGGGAGGTCGAGGCGGGTGGATCACAAGGTCAGAAATTCGAGACCAGCCTGACCAACATGGTGAAAACCCCATCTCTACTAAAAATACAAAAAATTAGCTGGGCATAGTGGTGCGTGCCTGTAATCCCAGCTACTCAGGAGGCTGAGGCAGGAGAATCACTTGAACCTAAGAGACGGAGATTGCAGTGACCAGAGATCACGCCACTGCACTCAAGCCTGGGCGACAGAGTGAGACTCTGTCTCAAAAAAAAAAAAAAACACCTATCAAAATGGTCAAGGGCTGTGCCTAGCAACAAGATTCAGATACAAAGCAAAACACATTTTATTTGAAGGAGAACAAGTACATACCAAAGACATGTACTAAAGGCCTAAGAAGAACGGTATATGTATGGTTTTTTTAATCCACTTTCCTAAATAAGGTAAGTCTAATAAGTAGGAGGACTGGAAAACACTCAGGACCCAGGAAAGTAAGTGACAAGGTACATAATGAGGCACTCTGCAGGGAAAGCAGTTTTATTTCTTCTGGCTTTTAAAAAACTGAAATTTACAAATATACTTGTGAGTGTGGGACTCATCAGAACTGTGGAAGGTATAGTAATTCCAGAAAAAAACCTTAATTCTATTTTTTAATGTGCATGCTTAGAGTGTTTGCAAATTTTAACATTACTTTGTTAGATTTTGTATCTTAAGTATTAAAAGTATATGTCATCTATCTCTATTTGTTTATGTTAAAAATTGACAGTATTGTGTCTTCTGGAGACTCTGGAATATCTCTGTGAGCGATGAAAATTTCCTGAACAGATAATGAATAGAAAATATTCATTTTGTAGACAAAGATGAGGCAGCCAAAGACTGAGAATATGACTATATCCAATACCCATTAATATAATAAATACTCAAATAAGAAGCTCCTGACTTCTTAGTCATCACTGAGATAGCTTTGCCACTTGTGAAATTACGGTGCAACACACCGGAGATGGAGAAAGTGGGAGGAGAATGCAGTCATATCCACAATGTACTTCCCCGGCATCAGCACAGGAACCTACTTTCCAATGCCATTCCAGCATGAAATCATCTGCTTGTGCTAAAATGGCTGAATCTAAAGATTATTTCCAAAGGTAACGTCACTACCAAAGATACTTACTGGGAAAATAATGAAAGAACTGAATGGAAAGTGAAATTCTGCCTGTTATTAAAAACCATCCAGTACCTCTACAGGGTTCTCCTCCATGACAGACTGCTGAACTGACCAAAATATTACTACCAAACAGGAATAAACTGGGCTCCCAAAGAGGGGAAATCTTTAAATCAAAGATCCCATTGCACATGCTGAACTCACCATTTTTCCTTTCGTTCAGAGGGGGTAAGTTTTGACTGGACTGCAAGGAGAGTTCCTGGAATTCATGAGCCACAGCTTCACTCTGAGGACTTGGAGCAAGATGGGCTAAAGGTCCCACTTCATCCTCGGTGTCTATCGCCCCTGTGTGATCCATTGTGTTCCAGCCACTGGCAACAGGGAGTGTAAGACGCCTCTTAAACACGGCCTATTGAAGACACTGCCAAAATAAAGAATGTGTAAAGAGATGGTGCAGTTATGTTTCTCCAATTTGCACAAAAGTATTAAAACGGGAATCCTGGGTTCTAGTCCAGTTTTACTGCTGTATGGTCATACTAATCCATTTACCCTCTCTGGACCTCAGGTTCTTTATCTAACAGGAATAACATACTTCCCACCTAAAAACAAGCAATTATAAGGTAAATAAAGCTGAAATATATTTTGTATATTTTTTAATACCACAGATTAAAGAAAGTCATAGCCATTGGTGGCACTAAAGATTTAATGCATGCTAAAATGAAAAGACAGTCAACAAATGCTGATGAAAATAAAGAAGTAGTCTGGCTTGAAAATTCATCTTAACTCCTATATATCAAGCAAGTTTAAATTAGTCAACATTCACAGCAACCAGGAAGGTTTCAGACAATGACTTCTATCAGCCTGAGTCTCAGGGTGAGAATAACAGAAAACAGAACTTTCAGCTAACCCACAATGGACATACAGTTCATGACAAAGAAACAAACTTTTAAGTCACTGAAATTTGGGGTTGTTATCACAGTAAAACCTGGCTCATTCTGACTGATATGGAAATCAGCAACAGAAGTACCAAAGATACAACAAAAATTCTAAACATGTGACACTGGCTTAAGGACTACAAAGTCGGCAGCAGAAAACTGTTACTGGAGGCTAGAAGGATGGTCAGTCCATGTTATGGCAGTGGCAAAACATTCGATAAAATTCTTTGTTGTCTGCTTATTTAGTAGCATTTCATAGCACAGTGTGTTCATCCTTTCACCTACTGATGGACATCTGGGTTGTTTCCAGTTTTTGACTATTACAAATAAGGATGCTACAAATGCTCCCGTACAGGTATCTATATGGACATGTGCTTTCCCTTCTCTTGGGTAAATACCAAATATCCAAATGGTAAATACCAAGATTGTATTTACCCAAGAGAAGTAAAAGCATGTATCCATATAGATACTTGTACAGGAGTGAAATGGCTGGATCACATGGCAGCTCTATGTTTAAATTTTTAAGAAACTGACAAACTGTTTTCTAAAGTGGTTGTACCACTTTACATTCTTACCAGCAGGGTATGAGAATTCCAGTTGTTCCACATCCTCGGTACTTCATATGGTCAGTCTTTTCCATTTCAGTCACTTTAATGGGCAAGCAGTATCTCACTGTGGTTTTAATTTGCATTTCCTGAGTGACTAATGATGCTGTGCATCTTTTAATTTGCCATCCCATCCCTATATCTTCTTTAGGTAAGTATCTGAGCGAATATTTCTTTTTTTAAATTAGGTGGTTTATTTTCTTATTATTGAGTTTTCAGAGTTTTAAAAATATATTTTGGATACAAGTGCTTTATCAGATATATGATTTACAAGTATTTTATCCCAGGCTATTTTGTATGTTCTTAATAGTGTTTTATGGAGAGTATTTTTAATTTGATGAAATCCACTAATGATCAATTTTTTTTCTTTTATGGATCATGTTTTTGTTGCTGTAGCTAATAAATCTTTGATTAGCTCAAGGTAATAAAGATTACTTCCTGTTTTCTTCTAGATCTAGTTTCACGTTTTACATTTAAGTCTATGATCCATTTTGAGTTAATTTTTATTTATGTGGTGAAATACGAATCAACTTTTTTTCAGGTTTTTTTGGCATATGTGTATTTGATTGTTCTACCATCATTTGTTGACAAGATTGTCTTTATTAAGCTGCCTTTGCATCTTTGCTGAAATTCAACTGAGTATGCATAAATAGATCTATTACTTGACTTTCTATTTAGTTCCCAAAAATGAGCGAGCCGCAAAGTGGGGTGGGGGGCAGGTGTATGCACTGTGCTCCAAGTCTCTGGCTGATCCCTCAACTATACACATGCAGGGCAGACTCCATGCAGCCCAGCTAAGGCAAAAAGAACTGAACTGAGATCTCTGGTGCGGCCCACCAAAGAAAAGACAGCTTGCAAGAGTTCAGCAAACTTAACTGCCTGCTCTTAACAAAACACCACTCTTAAGAAGAAACCTAACAGAATCTAGAGTCTCTACAACTGTCAATCTGAATTACATATCCAATGGAAATATCCTTTAATAATGAAGGCAAAATTGTCACCAGCAGATCCACACTACAAGAAATTCTTTAAAAACTTACTTAGAATAAAGAGAAGTGATACCAGATAAAAACTTAGATTTCAGAAATGAAAAGCATCAGGAATAGTAAACATGTAGATAAAAAAACTAAAGACTAGCTTTTCTTCTGAATTTCTATATTATTTCTATATATATTCTACATTATCATCATTCAAAGTAAAATTGTAACACCCTGTTGTGAGGTTTACACTACATGTAGATGTAATATACATGACAACTATAGCATAAAAGATGAAAGAGGGGTAAATATCTTCAGTGTCTTTACTTTCCCATACATCATAAGAAAACAGTGTAATTTTAACTTTAAGTAGACTGAGAAGATCTTATGCAACTACTTAAAACAACTATTTAAAAAATACAAATAGTTTCAGCTAAAACATCACATTCTTAAAAATACCCAATTAATCCAAAAGAAGGAAAAGATGAGTAACTAAAAAGAGATGGGACAAGCAGAAAACAAATAGCAAAATAGACCTAAATCCAACCTTATCAATAATTACATTAAATGTAAATGGTCTCAACGCTCTAATTAAAAGAGACAGAATAAATTTTTAAAAGTCTATAAATGTATGCATATAAGTGACATACTTTAAATATGAAGACACAAATAGGGTGGAAAATGGATAGAAAAAAGACGGGTCATGCAAACAGGAATTCCAAGAAGCCTGTGATGACTATATTAATATCAAATAAAGTAGACTTCAAAAAAGATGTTAGGTGAATCTGCATGTCAAATTACTTATTTCACTAAGGAATATTAAAATACAACTCCTAGACTTTTTCAAAACTCTGAATTTTCATTTCAAATTATTTATTCATACAAAATAAAATCTGTTCACATCAAATTAATTCTAAGATACAAGTACCATAATGCCCTTATAATTGAAAGATGTACAAGCTCTGAACATCAGTGCTAATGATTTGGAAGATCCTTTAGGTATAGATTTAAAAAAATATTTTCATGCAGTATAATCTGTTCTTCATACTGAAGAATTTTTTCAACCTATTATGGCTTGACTTTATGCTCACCTTAAACTCCCACACATCTCTCCCAATTATGAAAATTATAAGCTAAGGAAATCTTTATAAAATGTAGCAAAGGCAAAGATTAAGTTTTCAAAAAATTTTAACTTAATATTCATGAACATTTTTGAGAGGGTATAGACTAATCTACTCTGACATTTTGCAAGCTGTCACCTTAAGGTCTACTTAACTACTTGATGATTTTCTTTTGAAAATAAGATCCAATATCACACATAGAATTGACTACTCTCTGTATAGTCGTCAATAATTGACATATTAAAGAAATGGCACTAGAACAGATTATCTCATTGGGCCATAATTTAGTTACAAAAGTAAAACAATCACTTAGCTTTCACTGGACAAATTGTGATAAAATATTAATTTGTCTAGAACTGACAGCATGAATGAAGAAAGTTACTATCTTACAAATCCCAATAACGTAACTGCAGTTCAAAATGAAACAAAGCCAACATTTATCCAGCATTAAGTAAAAATACAGCATAATACTGTAAGATCAACCTGGGATACAACTTCTCTCAAAAAACAAACCAGTTCATTGTGAGATACTATGCCAGAGGTAGGGGAAAAAAATACAGGGGGAAAAAAAAAACCCAAGAGGCATTACACTTTCATTTTTCATCTATTCATTCACTAATTTTTTTGAATGGAGTCAAGATAGAACCAATAATAATTGTCTTATATTTTAAAATATACTGGGCTACTGGGCTAAGGTAGTCCCCAAATCAGTGCTAATATGTGTTCACAAGTGCTTCTCAACTCTCCTCACAATATGATAATAATTTGGGGAGGTTTAAAAAAAAATCCCTGATGGGTAGGGGTTGTTGGTGGGGAATCTCCAGAGATTCTGCTACAATTGGTTTGGGACAGAGTGATCCTACTGTGTACCAAGCATTGAGAATCAATGGTCTAGCTGAACCTCTCATCTTACACAGAGGATAAATCATTTGCCCAATGAGTGGGAAGAGAGGTCAAAGGCAATTATTAATACACATGTGAAAAGTAGTAGAACATAAGTAGGATAAGTAGGTACAAAGTGCTATTTAGGAACTTTTTTTTTCTTTTTTTTTTGAGACAGAGTCTCGCTCTGTCACCCAGGCTGGAGTGCAGTGGCACAATCTTGGCTCACTGCAGCCTCCACCTCCCAGGTTCAAGTGATTCTAGTGCCTCAGCCTCCCAAATAGTTGGGATTACAGGCACCACCACCACGCCCGGCTAATTATTTCTGTATTTTTAGTAGAGACAGGGATCTCACCATGTTGGCCAGGCTTGTCTCGAACTCCTGACCTCAAGTGATCCACCCGCTTCGGCCTCCCAAAGTGCTGGAATTACAGGCATGAGCCACCGCGCCTGGCCTCTATTTAGGAACCTAAAGAATTAAATGTCTAATTGTATTGGGGTAAGTTAGGGAAGTCTTCAAGGATGAGTAGGAGTTCACCAGGCACAGAGTTTTTCTCATCAGTAAAAGGAAAGCAGCATAAACAGAGATCACCTAACAGCAAAAAGCTGGATGGGGCCAGTGTAGAGGGCATGACACAGAGTGGTAGAAGATAAGGCTGGTGCAGTAAAGCACAACTGTAAAGGAATGTGGACTCTAAAAACCAGTGATATGATTGATTTTGTATTTTAAAAAGATAATTCTGACAGAGACCAGTTACTGATAAAGTCTCATGCTGAAATGCTGAGGAATGAAGACAGTGGAAATGCAGAAACAGGAATAAATTCAAATATAGTCATGCTTAATGACAGGGATACACTCTGAGAAATGCTTTGTTAGATGATTTCGTTTTGTGCGCTCCACAGTGTGCACTTACACAACCCTAGATGGTACAGTCTACTACACTCCTAGGCTGCAGGGCATAGCCTATGGCTAGTAGGCTACAAAAACCTGTACGGCATGTTACTGTGCTGAATGCTGCATCTGTTACAGGTGACTGTAACACAATGGTAAGTATGTGTGTCTCTAGACATAGAAAAGGTACAGGAAAAATAAAGCATTATAATTGTATGGGACCAATGTTATGTGGTGCATGATTGTACTATTGAAGAGACAAAACGTCAAGGCTTGAGGATGGCCCATTTGCAAGGTAAAGATTAAAGAGGTGAGGATGGCTGAGGTTTCCAGATTTGGGCAGTTGGAAAGGCTGGTGGTATCATTAACACCAAGGCAGGTATAAGTAGTGAGGGGCTACTCACAAAGAGTGTTCACTTGGAGAAACTACAGGTCCCCAAGGCCAGAACGCTGAAAAAAGGGTATGGCTGGAGAGAGAGCCGTTTGACTTCAGGCAAATCATTTCTCTCTTAGAGACCTAGTTTCCTAATTTAAAAACATGGAAATGACAACTGAAAAGAAGAGATGGGAAGAATATTTACTCAGCTTGACACTAAATCTAATCTAGACTTTCCTTAATTTTGCCTTAATGACCCCTCTCTGGGTATCAACATTCCCATTTTATAGATGAGAAAGCCAAGGCTTGGAAAGATTAAACAAACTTAAGAGACTAACATCAAAGCCATGTTTCCAACTTCAGAGCTCACATTCCTGCCCTGATAACATGGTATATGTATGTGCCAAAATGCACATAAATTGGAGCAAAGAATTGGGAGAGAGAGATGTTGGGGAGTGGGGTGATGGGAGACGGGAAAGAGGGACACGAGGTTGTGAAAAAAATCCATTTGTCCAAATCCTTAACATGTGTACTGAAGGCCTACATTATTAGGCATTGTGCTGGGCACTGGGCTTCCAATGATGAACCAATCATGATCCCTGCTCTCAAAGGAGGCAAGACCTAGTCAAACAGGCAGTTACCACACTTTAGTGCTTAACAGGAGCTTCATGGCCGATGAAGGAAACCCTCTCCTCTTGTTCCATTTTGCAAAATGCTGAAAGCATGACTGGAATTAAACTTCAGAGAGGAAGAAAATGAAATCTACAGTAGTAGATGCACTACATATAAACAGGACATCTTTTTGTTGCTAGGTTATAATTCTTTCAAATAAATAACTTCTAAGTAGAGTTTTTATTTGTAGCTGTTGGATTTTTACGTGTAACCATTAAGTATACAGAAAAAATATACTATAAAAATAGCAAATACTGACAATACACTGTATAGAAAAAGTTATATAACATTCCTGTGCTGGAAGTGGCTATTATAGTTCTAAGAATGCCAGTGTGAGGGTTTATTTAACTTGTTCACTAGAGGAATAACTTTCAAATGAACACAACATGGAGCAAACTGCACACTAACCCTCCAACATGATACATTCTTAGTAAGTACTATAACACTTAAGTAAACACCATTTTTTGAAATATTCATTATGATCCATCTATAAAAATTTGAACTAGCAAAAGTTTCAAACACATGTAGCTTTTAAATTACTACATAAAAAGACAAGGAATTAGAAAATGTTATTTGTTCTCCAAGTAAAATGGCCAAAACCCAAGTCTTTTCAGTTTGAACAACTGTGTTTTTAAGTGTATTCATAATGAATGAATTTCAGAGAATAAGAATTGATTAGAGGATTAATTTTAAGCAAGGATGATTTCCATATTTGGCAATTATTGGGTTAAAAACAAACTGTAATTTTGTTGAATTATAATTAGCATGATTTAAATGCTAAGAAGTAAATGTTTATAAACAGAGTAAACAAATATTTTATTTAACAGATAAAAAATATATTGTACTCCTATTTCCAAGTTCTCTAAGGCAAGGAGAAAAAGCAGAAGGGAAGAGGACAAAGGGAAGAGATGAACGAAAGAAAGGGAAAGAGAAAGGGAATCTAAAAAAAGGGAAGACTTTGTTTTCCAGTGTTTAACTTTTGCTATTAGGAATCAATGGAATTTAAATTTACGTTTAAAATACATGAAAAAAATGTAGTTTGATTTACTTGTCTAAGACATGACTAAGTGCAGTAGTGGGACCATGAGTCCCCTAATTTGGAATTCTGTTCTTTGGCACTTAATTAGCCAGAGTCAGAAATCCTGACGAATCATGCCAGTTCGTTGGTAAACTGAAAAACTAAGTTTAAAGAGGAGTCATTAAAAATGATACACACAAATCTGAAAACATTTTTCTTGAATTATCGAGTGCATAAATATCAGTTCATTTGCCAGCCTTCTGATACAGGGTCAAGGCTATCTCTTGTCTCTTTACAGATGTGCTGGTCTTCTGGCATAAGCCACCACTGTCTATGACTTCGAGTTTTTGCTTCTTTAAAGTAGAGTAAAAATTGAAAAGACTCTTGAGTACAGAATGCATCTATATTTTACAATTTAACCCAATATTTTTAGTTTCTCACCCATACCTGATATATTGTAGTATTATTTAAGCAACATATCTTTGTTTCTAAACATCTAAATTTTTTTGCATTCATATTTTGTCAGTTTACATAATATTTAGTTAAATTACTACGACTGGCATAAACAGATTTAGGAACAAACACAGCTGACTTGTGGTTAGGACACAACTCAGTTAGTCAGAACAGAACTACATCACCAGACCTTAGCACACCTCCTGGCCATAACCACTCAGCATGTCCTGAAACAAAGGGAATGGAGAGAGTTGGTAATCCAGAAAGCTGGTCAAGAGGCGGATGGCTAAGAAAGCTTCTGCCACGAAGCATTTTAAAAAATACGTTAATTCCAGGGGCATCTCAAATCAGCAACCTGGGTCTTTTTAAGTTTTCTGGAGTCTGTTAATACAAATTACAACTAAGATATTTCATTACTGTTTAACTTCTTGTAAAATGTGTTAATATTGTACTCTTGAGACAACAGCTCAGAGCACATACCAAATAAAAGTTAATCTTCAGAGTTTCACAAAAGCACTTTAGCAGGTAGTAGAAATACAAGTTTCTAACACTATTAGTTAAACATGAGATCATCTATTCTAATTTTATCAAAGTCCTTCAAAATACTTTTGGGTTCTTAACCATCTTAAAGTGCAAAATTTGGTCGTCTTTTAATATATTCAGAAGGTATGTAACCATCACTATCCAAGTCCAGAACATTCTCATCTAAAAAAAAAAAAAATCCTGTACCCATCAGCACAGCAGTCATTTCTTAATCTCTCCCTCAGACCCTGGCAACCACTAATCTACTTTCTGTCTCTATGGATTTGTCTGTCCCAGACATTTCACATAAATAGAATCATAGAATATGTGGCCTTTTGTGTGTATTTTCTTTCACTTAACATAATATTTTCAAGATTCCTCTATACTGTCCAATTATCAATATTTTACTGCTTTTTATGGTTGAGTAATATTTCATTGCGTGAATTTACCACCTTTTGTTTACCCATGCATCAGATGATGGACTTTGGATTGTTTCCACCTTCTGGCTACTACGAATGTTGCTATGGAATGAGTTCACACGTTTTTGTGTGTATATATTTTTTCCATTCTCTTGGGTATACACATAAGAGTGGAATTGCTGGGTCATAGGGTAAGTCTGTGTGTAACCATTTGAGAGAATGCCCAACTGCTGTCCACAGTGACTATACCATTTTACATTCCCACCAGCAAAAGTTGGGGTTCCAACTTCTCCACATTCTCTCTTTTTTTTTTTAAATTATAGTTATCCTTGTGAATGTAAAGTGGTAACTCATTGTGGTTTTGATTTGCATTTCCCTAATGACTAATGATGTTGAATTTCTTTTCATGTTTTATTGGCCATTTATATATCTTATTTACAGAAATACCCATTTTTATATAGGGTGACTTGTGTTTTCATTGTTGAGTTAGAACAGTTTTTTCTTTCATTATATGTAAGTCTAATGGATACCAGATCCTTATAGATTTGCAAATATTTTCTCCCATTCTGTGGGTTGACTTTTCATTTCTTGATAATGTGCTTTGACAGACAAAAAAAATTTAATTTTGAATAAGTCAAATTTTTCTATTTTTTTCCTTGGTTGCTTGTACTTTTGATGTCATACCTAAGAAACCATCACCAAATGCACATCCATGAACTTTTGCATCTACTCACAATTCTGGTCACGCTATCCTAAATTAGCTAAAAAACAGTTTAACTACATTCTCTTAAGTATGAGATTGTGATTGCCTCACCCACTGATGAGGCTCTTACTAATTTGGTTTGAATTTATATTAGATGAATTTTGAAATCCTTTTCCACAACAGAGACAGTGTAGTATAGGGTATCAGTTCAGAGTTCATGTTTTGGAGTTAGATATGGGGACAAAATCCAGCACTATCACTAATAAATTATATGAACTTGAGCAATGTATAACCTCAATAAAGCTTAATTCCCCATATATAAGCTTGGGTCATAGCACATGATATGGTTTGGCTGTGTCCCCACCCAAATCTCACCTTGAATTGTAGTTCCCATAATCCCCATGTGTCATGGGAAGGACCCAGTGGAAGGTAACTGAATCATGGGGGCAGTTACCCCCATGCTGCCGTTCTTGTGATAGTTAGTGACTTCTCATGAGATCTGATAATTTTATAAGGTGTTTTTCCCTCTTTGCTCATTGTTCCCTCTCCTGCTGTTCCGTGAAGAAGGATGTGTTTGCTCCCCTTCCGCCATGATTGTATAAGTTTCCTGAGGCCTCCCCAGCGCCATGCTCTTTCCTTTATAAATTACCCAGTCTTGGGTATGTCTTTATTAGCAGCATGAGAATGAACTAATACAGTACCTAACTCATGGATTATTATAAAGATTAAATGTACACCTACAAGTAGCTACTATTATAGTGGTTTCACCAATCAAAATGAATTTTCACGTACACAGTATTGGCAAAATTCTGGCAGTTTAATAACATACACCACTGGCAAGTCTGGGCTATAACTCACATATTAGAGGAATATAAATTTTCTTTTTATGGAGAAAAATTTGCCAACATCTATTAAAATTACAAATGCATTAATCCTTTGACCCAGGAATTGATTTTCTAGGAATTTATATGTTCAAAATGAAATTGCAGGTAGCAAATCCTCTTTCCAAGGATAGTGTAAAACAGGACAAAATTGTCAAAAACAATGGTTTCAGAACTCTAGAAATTGACAAAAGGCATAAAACAAATAAGAGAAGTGTTTATTTTAGACAAAACTACTGACCCCTTAGTAAGAACAAAGGATTCTGTGGCATTTTGCAAATCAATTATTTGATAAGGACTTGTATCCAGAATATAAAGAAAAAAAGATAAAAACCCCAATTTAAAAATGGGCAAAGGATTTGAATAAACATTTCATTAGGCTGGATGCGATGGCTCACACCAGTAATCCCAGCACCTTGGGAGGCCGAGGTGGGCAGATCACTGGAGGCCAGCAGTGCAAGACCAGCCTAGTGAACATAGCAAAATCCCGTCTCTACTAAAAATACAAAAAAATTAGCTGGCCATGGTGGCACGAGCCTGTGTTCCCAGCTACTCAGGAGGCTGAGGCAGGAGAATTGCTTGAACACAGGAGGCAGAGGTTGCAGTGAGGGGAGATCACGCCACTGCACTCCAGCCTGGGCAACAGAGCGAAACTCCATCTCAAAAAACAAACAAAAACCATTTCACTAAAGAAGACATATGCATGACTAATGAGGACACGAATAAATGTTCAATATAATCAGTTATTACGGAAATGCAATTAAAATCTACTGGTGGGTGTGAGATACTAAAAAGACAGACAAAAGCAAGTGTTGGCAAAGATGTGGAGAAATAGGAACCCTAGCACAGCACTGGTGAGAATGTAAAACACTACTTTGGAAAACAGGCTGGCATTACCTTAAAATGTTAAACATAATTTTACCATATGATCCAGCAATCCCACTCCTACGTATCTACCAAAGAGAAATAAAAACATATGTCCATCTGAAAATTTGCAGGCAAATATTCATAGCAGCATTATTCAAAAGAGCCAAAACATTAAATGTTCATCAACTAGTGAACGGATAAACAAAATGTGGTATATCCTAATGAAATAATATTCAGCAACAAAATGGAAAAGAAATAATCATACAACACGGATGAAATTTTAAGACTCAAAAGTGATGACTGTACAACTCTAAATTTACCAAAAAAAATCAAATTTTATACTTTAAATAAGTGAATCTTATGGTATGCAAATGACACCTCAGTAAGGCTGCTTTACAAAAAGATATTTTGTATCTGTGTGCAAATGTTCCTAACAGCTATATTCATAATTGTCCCAAACTGGAAACTACCCAAATGACCTAAATGGATTGGAATAAACAACTATGGCACATGCATCCAATGGAATACTACTGAGTAATAAGAGGAATGAACTACTGATAGGTGAAACAACATGCCTGAATCTCAAACGCATTATGCTAAGTGAAAGAAGTTGTACTCAAAGGGCTTCAATACTTGGACATGCTGGAAAAGCCAAAGCTACCGGGACAGAGAACAGAGTAGTGGCTGCCAGGAGTGGAGCTGATAACAAGGAGATTTTTGGGTGATGGAACTGTTCTGTATCTTGGTTGTGGTGGTTACATGTCTCTGTGTGTTTGTCAAAACCTAGAACTTATGCCAAAAATGGTGAATTTGATGACACACAAATTACAAATAATTAAAACAATGATACTGTACAAGATTATTGCGATATGGTTTTTAATAGCAAATGACTAGAAATAACTCTAGCCACGATCAATAGGAGATGGGTTAAATTGTTGTACATTCATAAAATATAATACTATGCAGTTATAAGGAAGAATGAGGAAGCTCTCTCCAGGTGATACTGATATGGAAAGATATCTAAGATCTGTTGCTAATGAAAGCAGGGGGTTAACTTGGTCAGGTCTGCCTGTCCCGCTTGCTTTTGGTCACTTGCTTTTTGTTGCTGTTGCTGTTGTTTTCCTTTTTCTAAGAAGCTGAAGGCCGCAGTAGGTGAAGGCATTACTGCTAAACACTGAAACTTCACTGGCTATGTTATAGATAACATCATAGGTCATCAAAGTAACGGTTATTTCAGTTGTCTTCCAGGAATGTGGGCCAGCTCCTGCCCAGTTCCAACTGGTCGAGACCACGAACCCTTCAACTGGGCCTGTGTTAAGAACCTAAGAGGTGACCTTTTGAGGTCAGGGAGGCCAAAAACTCCACTCTCAGATCACGCTAACACCATTTTTGGCACATATGTCCTATGAAATGGCATGAAACCCAACTACGCTTGCACAGAATAAACCTCTTACTTCATTTTTCCCCATGCCTTAGACTACCTCACTTCCTCAACCATAAACATCCCTAAGCCTTATCTTCAGGGAGGTGGTTTTCAGAGCTGTTCTTCTGTCTCCTTGCTCGGCAGCCTTGAGAATAAATCTTTTCTCTTTTGCAAAACCCAAGTCACAGTAATAAACTTACTGCATGCAGACAGAATGGACCTGGACTTGGCCAGTAACACCAATGAATTAGAAAAGGGGAAAAAAAGAAAAAAAAAAAAAAAAAAAAAATATATATATATATATATATATATATATATTCAGTTTTGCTAAAATTACACCCTGGACAAAGATATAGGAGAGACTTGGACCTGGCCAGTAACACCAGTGAATCAGAAAAGGGGAAAAGAAGAAAATATATATATATATTCACTTTTGCTAAAAATGACACCCTGGAGAAAGAGGAAAGGAGTAGAGTGGTTCTCAGCTGTGTGTGAACAGTAGTGGGACGGTGCAATGGAGTGGTCACTGGCCAAGGCTAGAGGGGATTTTCGTCATTATTTTTTTTTTTTTTTTTTGAGACAGAGTCTCGCTCTGTCCCCCAGGCTGGAGTGCAGTGGCATGATCTCGGCTCACTGCAACCTCTGCTCCCGGGTTCACGCCATTCTCCTGCTTCAGCCTCCTGAGTAGCTGGGACTACAGGCGCCCACCACCACGCCTGGCTAATTTTTTTTGTATTTTTAGTAGAGACGGGGTTTCACCATGTTAGCCAGGATGGTCTCTATCTCCTGACCTCGTGATCCACCCGCCTCTGGTGTAAGACAAAGATACTTACCGCACCCGGCCCTTAGTCTTGTTATCTTTGAATGTGTGAATGTGTTGTTTATGCTTAAAAAGCAAGCAATTTAAGGCTGAAAATCTTTTTGAATATTGTTCCATTTTGTAATACCTTCACTCCGTTTTGTGTCATCTGAAATTTGTTTGCCTTTTGCATATTCATCTTAGTAACTGATTAAAATACCGAACTGAACAGAACTAAAGCAATCCTTGCACAAACTAATAAAAATATTTAATAAATGGATGTTAATCAATTATTCTGCACCATCCCAGCTTCACAAATTACAAAAATCGTGACTATGGGCAAGTTAGTTAACCCCCTAAGCCTCTTTGAAAAATGAGTATAAATAATATATCCCTTGCAGAGTGCAAATGAAGTGAGATACTATATGTCAGGTGTTTGGAATTACACTTGGCTGTGAGAAACCATTAAAAAATTGCTCACTGGCTTCATTTTTAGCTACGGTTGTTTCCTGGATGAAGTATTCACTTAACTATCATAGTATTTAGCCCCTGTTTCAGGAGAGATCTCGTCAAATTAGAACTGTGATGGTTAAAGTTTCCTCCTCTGTTGTCAGACTGCTTGGGTTCAAATTCCAGCTGTGAAATTTTTTAGCTGGTGGGCAAGTTACTTAAACTTTCAAAGCCACAGCATCTTTAGTTAAAGCTGGGGGTGACAAACGTACTTATTTCACAGGATTGATGGGAGAATTGAAGAGATAATAGATGTGAGGCGCACAGCAGAGCTATGAATAAATCAGTAAATGTCAATAATGTCAGCAATTAGTGTTATTATTCTGTCTACCACATTCTTGGTTTCCCGCATCGATTATGTGAAATAATATAAAAAGTATAACATTATTATTTTTAAAAAATTTAACCCCCTTTCTAGCTTGTCTTGACTTTCTAATTAAACTTCAAACTTCCAAATAAAAAAAGTTTATTTCTACCAACTGTTCTGACACACAAAGAAAAATATTCTGATGAATA
The DNA here is from genome assembly GCF_000001405.40 of Homo sapiens. NCBI lineage: Eukaryota > Metazoa > Chordata > Mammalia > Primates > Hominidae > Homo > Homo sapiens. Next base: position 14,126,393 of record NC_000016.10, on the reverse strand, counting down.
AATGATAATAGGGTTTTAAAGTTTTCCTAGCCCAGGCATAATACAGGTTAGCTCTTAAAGTAACAGAGGTTGAAATTAATATTTATATTTTGCATTGTTAAATCCAATATTTGGGATTTAACAGACATTTGGATTTCTAGGTATCTGGCAACATAACACGGCTATACATATAAACTAAGGTTTTTTTAAAAAGGAAAAAAAAACCCTCTGGCTTTTAGAGAGTGGGTATTGTTTCTAAAGTTACTTCTTGAAACTAGGTAACCAAACTAATCTTAGTGAATTAAGAATTTCCTAAGGCTTTATTTTCTAAAGTTCAATCAGTAAAATAAATTTCTCCATGTACTTTTTATTCCTTACCACATTATCTCTTTAGCTTTTCCTTAGAGTAGCCAGAGAAGTTAAGAAGTTTGAGTGTAGTCCTTGAAAGTAATTATTCAGGGTTACAATTTCTGTGCTGGAAATGACTAAACTAAGGAAAGGGAGGGCAGCTCAGGTTTCTGTGTTCCGCAAACTCTTTGTTTTTCAAGCGGCATTATTTTAATTATTTCCTATAAATACATCACTGTCCTTAAGAGAAATATTTTTCAGATAAAGATGAAAAATGTTAACCATCACTTGAAAAATCACTTGGAAATGACCTCAGCATATTATAAACCTCAGACAGACGTAAAGTACAAAAACCCATTTGCCAAATAAGAAAAGCAACTACTACCAACAATTTCATGAAACAAGTTATTCCAAAAAGAAAAAGATTTAGAAGGTTTTATCAGGTGAGTGGAAACAATATGTTTACAAAATTTCTGGGAGACACTGTAAAAAACTACCAACTGGAAAAACAGAGGTGCTTGCTAGAGAAGAGTCTGCTCACTCTCACCCATCCCTACTGCTAGGCACAGCACCTCTGGGGGTTCCCCTCCAAGCTGCCCGCTCCAGCTGACATAAGCAGAATCTGTTTGCCAGGCTAGATTGCCATTAAACCGAATTCAGATTTTCTCTGAAATCTAAGATGAGACCTCAAGCCCACAGTATTTACCCCCAGGAATTTTGCCCATGAAACAGAAATGGCCTTGCTGGAGGGGCTGGCAGCAGGTGTGCCTAGTGCTGCCTTTGCACACACCCTTGCCGAGGTGGCCTCAAGAAAGGCAGAGGCAGTTGCAGCCAGCCCACCTCTCTGAGAGAGACAACAGTGGGCATTCATCCATGTTGATGTAACATTCCAGTCTCTTTCTCTTTAGCACACCGGACAGCAAGCAATCAGAACCATTATTACTGCACTAGTGAAAGACAATATGCCAACCTTAACCTGTAGGCTGCAGCCAAGGATTCCAGTGGGGTCTTTATTTGAAGTTCTAAGGGAATTCTACTAGGTATCAAAGTACAAAAGAAAACGCAGATTTCAGTTTTGAACAATTCAACCCTATACACCAGCAAGGTACGCAGAAAACACAAAGGAAAACATATAACAGGAAATACTGTAGTGGTTAAAAAATATTTTATAGGAAAAAAAACTGAAAACAACCTACTACCCATCAGTAGGGTTAACACATGTTAATACACATTCCTTCCGAAACTGTTCCAAACAACAGAAAAAGAGAGAATGTTTCCTAACTCATTTTATGAGGCCAGCATCATCCTGATACCGTAAAACCTGGCAGAGACACAACAAAAAAAGAAAATTTCTGGCCAATATCCCTGATGAATATCGATGCAAAAGTCCTCGATAAAATACTGGCAAACCGAATCCAGCAGCACATCAAAAAGCTCATCCACCACGAGTCGGCTTCATCCCTGGGATGCAAGGCTGGTTCAACATATGCAAATCAATAAACGTAATCCATCATATAAACAGAACTAATGACAAAAACCACATGATTATCTCAATAGATGCAGAAAATGCCTTTGACAAAATTCAACACCGCTTCATGCTAAAAACTCTCAATAAACTAGGTATTGATGGACCATATCTCAAAATAGTAAGAGCTACTTATGACAAATCCATAGCCAATATCATACCGAATGGGCAAAAACTGGAAGCATTCCCTTTGAAAACTGGCACAAGACAAGGATGCCCTCTCTCACCACTCCTATTCAACACAGTATTGGAAGTTCTGGCCAGAGCAATCAGGCAAGAGAAAGAAATAAAGGGTATTCGAATAGGAAAAGAGGAAGTCAAATTGTCTCTGTTTGCAGATAACATGATTATATATTTAGAAAACCCCATCATCTCAGCCCGAAATCTCCTTAAGCTGATAAGCAACTTCAGCAAAGTCTCAGGATACAAAATCAATGTGCAAAAATCACAAGTATTCTTATACACCAATAACAGACAGAGAGCCAAATCATGAGTGAACTCCCATTCACAATTGCTACTGAAAGAATAAAATACCTAGGAATACAACTTACAAGGGATGTGAGGGATCTCTTCAAGGAGAACTAGAAACCACTGCTCAAGGAAATAAGAGAGGGCAAAAACAAATGGAAAAACATTCCATGCTCATGGATAGGAAGAATCAATATCGTGAAAATGGCCACACTGCCCTAAGTAATTTATAGATTCAATGCTATCCCCATCAAGATACCATTGACTTTCTTCACAGAATTGGAAAAAACTACTTTAAACTTCATATGGAACCCAAAAGGAGCCCTCATAGCCAAGACAATCCTAAGCAAAAAGAACAAAGCTGGAGGCATCACACTACCTGACTTCAAACTATATGACAGGGCTAGTAACCAAAACAGCATGGTACTAGTACCAAAACAGATATATAGACCAATGGAACAGAACAGAGGCCTCAGAAATAAGACCATACATCAACAACCTGACAAACCTATACAAACAAGCAATGGGGAAAGGATTCCCTATTTAATAAATGGTGTTGGGAAAACTGGCTAGCCACATGCAGAAAACTGAAACTGGGCCCCTTCCTTACATCTTATACAAAAATTAACTCAAGATAGATTAAAGACTTAAATGTAAGACCTAAAACCATAAAAATTCTAGAAGAAAACCTAGGCAATACCATTTAGGACATAGGCATGGCAAGGACTTCATGTCTAAAACACCAAAAGCAACGGCAACAAAAGCCAATGGCATCTAATTAAACTAAAGAGCTTGTGAACAGCAAAAGAAACTATCATCAGAGTGAACAGGCAACCTACAGAATGGGAGAAAATTTTTGCAATCTATCCATCTGACAAAGGGCTAATATCCAGAATCTACAAAGAACTTAAACAAATTTACAAGAAAAAAACAAACAACCCCATCAAAAAGTGAGCAAAGGGTGTGAACCGACACTTCTCAAAAGAAGATATTTATGCAGCCAACAAACATATGAAAAAATGCTCGTCATCACTGGTCATTAGAGAAATGCAAATCAAAACTACAATGAGATACCATCTCACGCCAGTAAGAATGGTGATCATTAAAAAGTCAGGAAACAACAGATGCTGGAGAGGATGTGGAGAAATAGGAATGCTTTTACACTGTTGGTGGGAGTGTAAATTAGTTCAACCATTGTCGAAGACAGTGTGGTGATTCCTCAAGGATCTAGAACTAGAAATACAATTAGACCCAGCAATCCCATTACTGTGTATATACCCAAAGGATTATAAATCATTCTACTATAAAGACACATGCACACATATGTTTACTGTGGCACTATTCACAATAGCAAAGACTTGAAACCAACCCAAATGTCCGTCAATGATAGACTGGATAAAGAAAATAAATGTGGCACATATATACACCACGGAATACTATGCAGCCATAAAAAAGGATGAGTTCATATCCTTTGCAGGGACATGGATGAAGCTGGACACCATCACTCTCAGCAAACTAACATAAGAACAGAAAACCAAACACCGCATGTTCTCACTCATAAGTGGGAGCTGAATAATAAGAACACATGGACACAGGGAGGGAAACATCACACACCAGGGCCTGTTGCAGGGTAGGGGGCTAGGGGAGGGATAGCATTAGGAGAAATACCTAAGGTAGGTGACCGGCTGATGGGTGCAGCAAACCACCATGGCACGTGTATATACATGTAACAAAACTGCATATTCTACACATGTACCCCAGAACTTAAAGTATAATAAAAAAAAAGTTGGTACATTAATTCCACTGAAATTACGCTATTATTGAAAAAAAAAAAACAGATCCATATGTACTGAAAGGGGAAAATGTCCATGATACATAATTAAATAGAAAAAGTTAACTGCTGAACAGAATGTCCTATGTGTATATATATAACACTTACATAGAAAGAACAAGAGAAAGAACGGGGAAGGCAGGGAGAGTGGAGGCAGCCTGGCAGGCTGCATGCCAAAGAAACAGAGACAGGAGGTGAGAAAAAAGGGACAGAGCAGAGGTAAAAGAGAGAAGAAAGTCAGGAGGCTGGTAGAGAGTGACAGAGAATGTACACACCCAACCGGCTATCTCTGAGTGTACCATACAGTAGCTACTCACCACATGTTCTACTTAAATATAAATCAATTACAATTAAATTAAAAAACTCAGTTCTACAATTGCACCTGTCACATTTTAAGGGCTTGACGGCCACATATGGTTAATGGTTACTACACTGATGGTACAAAATAGAACATTTCCATCATTGCAGAAAACTCTATGGGGGAGTGCTATTCTACACCCTTTGGTATTGCGTCAAATTTTTATAATGAGCGTGTGCTACCTTTACAGTCTGCAAAGAGAATAAAGACATTTCCAATTTGAAAAAAACAAAAACAAAAACGCTTTCAGGGCTTTTCCCCTCATTCTGCAACTCTTTTTATACTTCCTTTTCAAACACCACAGAAGCACTAGAGTTTGCATAAGAGGTTAACAATCTAAGTAGTAGTCAATTTTCTCTAACTTATTTAATTTTTACTAACTCAATTCTACTTAATAAGAGTTCAAATGTCACCAAAATAAGGAATACAACAAACATTTGGAGCATCGTGACATCGCTCTTGTTCTTTAAAACAGAAAAAAAGGTCATGTTACTCATTCTCAGCAGAAGCAGAAGTGGTTGACAGAAACCCCTTACAGTTCAGACAAACATTTTAAATGGAAGCTTTTCTTCAAAAGAATAATGGCACTTAAAAATAGCATTCTTTTTTTTTCTGATTCAATTCAGTACAAAGTAGAAAGGGGAAAAAATAAGCCTAAAGCTCAATGTAAAAAAAAAAAAAGCCATATTAACTGAAAAAGAAAATGACAATGCTAAGAACCAGCTTTCAAATGAAGACTGTAACACCAAAGCAAAGAACACTCACAATAACCAGTTTTAAAGAGTTTCTGATGTAAGAGAAATTTGAGGTGAGGTTTTAAGAGAGCAACAGCTTAAAGAAGAGTTAATCAAAAAGACTTCTGGAAAAAATATACTATACATATATATGAGTTTATGTGGAATGCACAAATAACTTCTTGAGACCCTTAATCTTCTTTGAAAAAAACCACTCATTGCTGCTGAAAGATTATAGCCCAGGCCCTACTTCTATATCTACCAGCACCCAGTGACCCATGGTCCCACAGACAGACCTTACCTGTGTCCTCAGAGTTCTCCTCAAAGCCCTCCACAAAATCAAGTCCACCTACTTTCCTAGCACAACCACCCACTATTCTATCCCCCACACACTAAGTTCCAATCATAACCATCCACTCAAGGTTCTTAACAGGGCCTTGCATAATGTATCAATATATAAAGCCACAGTGATTAAGATAGTGCAGAAGTGACACAAGCATATATTATTTTAAAAGAATGTATTATAAACCGATGAAGCTGCCCATGTATACTAAGGAAACTGAATACGTGATAAGGTGGCATCACAAATCAGTGGGGAAAAAGATAAGACTATGCAATCAGTGACACTGGCTTGTGCAACCAGTTTACTCACGTGGAAAATTTTCTCTATCTTATATGCACACACAGAAATAAATTGCACATGGATTAGACCTACACTGAAAAAAAACAGAACAAACTTTTAGAAGGAAACATGGTAGGATCTCTTTATGACCCCAAAGTACTTAGAGAACGGAGGGATTAAACATGATGTAAAAAGCACCAACCATAAATGAACAGACTGACAAGTATGACTTGATTATAATGTGAAACTGGCACCCAACAAAGCATACCACAAAGTGGAAAGATAAGCCATGATGGAGAACATATGTGAACTATGGAAAACAGGAAATGCAAAATATCAACAAAAGGTTAATCTGAGATATATAAGGATATAAACATACATAAGAAAAAGAACATACAAAAGAAAATCTGACAAGCCCCAAAAGAGGAAACGGAAACAGCCAAATAAACATAAGAAGTGATGCCCAAATTCACTAGAAATGAAGGAAATGTACTATTTCACATTGGCAAAAATTTGAAAGTCTGACAGTACCAAGTCTTGGCAAGAATATGAGGCAACAGAAATTCTGAGACAGTGCTGTCAGGAGCTGAAACCTCAAAGCTGCTCTGGAGAATGATCTGGCAACGTCCAGTGAAGCTGAGGAAATGTAGGACCCTACACGTCAGCTGTTCCACCTGCAGGTGCTGTTAAATTCAGTTTAGCCTAAAGCTGCTATGCGAGGCCATTATTTTAGACTAAACTCCTACACTAAGCCCCAACAGACCAAACCAACCAAAATACAATCACTTATACTAAATATGATATAATCAAACTAAAACTTAAAAAAAAATAAGTTTAAAACAGACCAGATTTTTTCTCCTATAAGCAAAAAATTCCAACAAAAAAAGGTTCCCTCTACTCTAACCCTTACAAAAAAATTATCTGAAGTCCTTGTTCCCACCTTGCAAAGTCCACTGGTCTACTATTTCCTAGTAAAATTTAAAACCAAAGTGACATTAATGCCTAAAGTTTTGGTCAATCTCTCAAAAGTGAAATTTTGAGAGACTGATCAAAAAGGAAAAACCATTCAATTAAATTTAGTCTAAACCTGCCTCCTTATGTATTTTAAATTCAGCTTAAAGGTTTCTCTATACATAAGAAACTATAACCTAACTAAATACATAAACAAACTATAACCTACTCTTGTGCCAATCACCTAGTTTCAGCCAATCAGAGGCAGCCAACTGCCAAACTATATTCAAATAAGACCAACAATGAACTATAACCAATCCGACGGTTTCTGCACCTCACTTCCATTTTCTGTATGGCACCTTTCTTTTTCTGTCCATAAATCTTCAACCACGTGACTATACTAATCCTAGCTTCTCTAATCCTGGTCTAGTTTGGGGGCTGCCCGATTCACAAACTGTTCTTCATTCAATTAAATTCTATTATATTTAATTTGTCTAAGGTTTTTCTTTTAACAGTACAAACCCTAGAAAAGCTGTCAAACATGCACGAGACACATACCACAATGTTGAAAATAACCAAAACCTCTCATTGACAGAAGAATGGATAAACTGTAGTGTAGTCCTAAAATATCATACAACAAAACTGAAAGAATTACTGCTATACACATCTACATGGCTAAATCTCACACGAAAGGCTAAATGAAAAAAGCAAGCCACAGAAATATATACACAGTATGATACCATACTATGCAAAGTTCAAAATCTTCAAACCAAATGTAGTTTTAATAATATACAAACAATATATAGTTTATATATATATGTGTGTGTGTATATATATGTGTGTATATATATATGTAAATACTTACACTATATATATATGTATATATCAATAGTGTGTACAGGCATGCACCACCACACCAGGCTAATTTTTGTATTTTTTGTAGAGATGGGGTTTGGCCATGTTGCCCAGACCGGTCTCGAACTCTTGAGCTCAAGCAATCCGCCCAACTCAGTTTCCCCAAAGTGCTGGGATTACAGGCATTAAGCCACCACGCCAGGCCTCCCCATCTTTCCTACATGGGAGATACAAACACACACTTCGGGATGATGGTGGTTCTGCAGAAAGAAGATGGGGAGGCTTGGCACAGTGGCTTAACGCCTGTAATTCCAGCACTTTGGGAGGCCGAGGCGGGCAGATCGCTTGAGTTCAGGAGTTCAAGACCAGACTGGGCAACATGGCAAAACCCCATCTCTATAAAAAAAAGAATACAAAAACTAGCTGGGTGTGGTGGCGTGTGCCTGTAGTCCCAGCTACTCAGGAGACTGAGGCGGGAGGATGACTTGAGCCTGGGAGGTGGAGGGGGCAGTGAGTCGAGATCATGCTGCTGCACTCCAGCCTGGGTGACAGAATGAGACCCTGTCTCACAAAAAAAAAAGAAAAAGAAAAAAAAAAAAAAAGATGAGGGAATGGCATCTGGGAGAGGCACACAGGGGAGCATCAACTCTATGTGCAATGTTCTATTCTATTTTATATCATTTTTTCTTTTAATGTAAATCAAAGCTAGCAAAATGTTAAGATTTGACTAAGCTAGGTGGAGGTTATATTATTCTCTATGTTTTTCTGTATTCATGAAATACTTTAAAGCATGAAGTAACATATTTTTAAAGAAAGAGAAAAAGGGGGAAGAGGCTGAAATTTACCAAAATGGTTGTCTATATTAAACCTATGAATGGCTTTTCTTTTTTCCTTTCTAGTCTTCCTGATTTTCTAACTTTTTTTTCCCTATAAAGTCATCCCAGGTACCTCTTTCTAGTCCAGATTATTCTCCATCTCACTCCCAAAACCAACCGTGCACTTTCCTATCCCTTTGGTACAGAACTGAGCACTGCAGTTGGCACCATCTCCTCCACTGGAATCCAAGTTCTTGGAGGGACAGCCACAAGCATTCTTATTTGTCTATAAATTATATTTTAAATGCCTACAATGTGCCAGTTATTGTGCCAGGAGCTGGAGAAACATAAACAAACACAACAGACATTGTCCCTTTCTCCATTGAACTTAGTCTCAAGGAATAGAAACATTTAAGTAAAACACAGAAAAAACTATATAATTAAAACTGTGAAAAATGCTGTGAAGGAAAAGAATAGATGCTATGGGACCATGTATTAGGAAGGCCTGATCAAGACTGGATAGGAGGAGTAGGAATGTGCCAGGAAAGGAAGGGTGTAAGGGCCTTCTGGACAGAGAGGCAAAACCCACCAGTGTCTTTCTCACTGGGCTGGGAGCGCCTTGAGGGCAAGGACTGCTTGTGATTCCTATCTGTGCCCATTATTTGTACAGTGGTTTAACAAATGCTTCCTGGTTGATTCTAAGGCAGCCTCCAGCAGATCAGGAGATTCTGTGGCCTGTAACTCTAAGGCAGGAAATAATTCCTTGGGGGATGGCCCAAAGGCAAAAGGAGTAGTTATTCAAAGAGAAGAACAGAGTGTGATCCCCTTATGTATGGTACCTCAATCCCTTGAAAATCATTTGCTATATATTCTCACATGCCATGTCCCGAGAGAGCTGAGCTAGACTCTTCATCTGTCTATCCATCCCTTTCCTTGCCAAGTACCCTCCTTCCCACATTAATTTAATTCAATATGTATAAGGTGACCCATGTGTACCAAGGCAGGAATATGAAGATGCCCTTAAGCATAGCCCCTTCCTCAAAGAGTCTTCCTTCTAGACTGGTAGATCTCAACCAGGGGTGACTGTGCCTCCCCACCCCTGAGGATGTTTGACAATGTCTGGAGACATTTTTGGTTGTCACAATGGGAAGGAGGGTTACTGGCATCTAGTGGGTGGAGACCAGGGATGCTGCTAAACACCTTACAATGGTGCTTACAATGACCACCCCCGCCCCACCGCCCCCACCAACAAAGAATTACCCAGTTCAAAATGTCAATAGTGCTAAGGTAGAGAAATCTGGTAGGCATTATTTAGAACCACGTCTAGAAGCTGACTGCTAAAGCAAGGCAAATGTCAGAGGCCAAGTGTGAGATGCACAGCAGGTCAAGTGTCAGAGGCTTAGGAGGGTGTTAAACACCAGGTCATGAAATAAGCATATAAAAAAAAGTTAATAGTGCTAAGGTTGAGATGCTTGCTCCAGAGAATTAGTAACATAATTATATCACAATGCAACAGGAGCATAAGACATTGCCCAAACACAACGGTAGGGTACTTAATCTAGAACTAGGAGGGGAAAGGTTTCCTTGGAAGTGAAATCTAATCCAAGACCTGAAAAATAGATGAGTTAGAAAAGGGACGTGAGGATGGAGGCAGGATAAAGAAGCTATTTCAGACAGAAGGTACAGTCAATAGGTAAGCAGGACTATGGAACAGAAGAAATATGTTTGCAAGAAAAAAAAAATGAGGAGTGGCTATTGAAGGGCAGGAGAGGTAAAATGGGCCCAGATCATAATGAGTTTTGAATGATGGATTAAGAAATGCGTGCCCCATCTGTAGAGCAGTAAGAAGCCAATGAAAGGATTTACAAAGAACAGCAATATGAACCAAACTTGTTTTAGGCCAATTACTCTGCAGAATGGATTGCTAAGGAACAAGAGGCAAGGAGATGGAGTGGGAGGAGGCCCCTGTGATCCAGGTGACAGTCATGGCTTGTCCTAATGGTGGCCCAGAGCATGGAGGGGAGGGGAAGCACTCAAGGGAGACTCAGACAGTAGAATCATCACACCAAAATATGCACCTATTACAGTTCTCTGCAAGTAACTCCAAAGACCCAAAAGTCTAAAACCAGGAGTTTTTTCATAATTCACCTGTGGCCCAACCTGACCAGAATTATACGCAGCAAAATCAGAATCTGAGCTGATTTGAGGCTATTTGTAGTGCATTTCCTATTTAGTGTGACTATTTCAAGGCAGAAATATTAATGTTTGATTATGGGGTACTGCCTCAAACTTCACTGGGTGGTACATGTCATCCTTTTAAAATTCAAAAAAACCTGTATTTAAAATGTAGCTGGGCCGCAGAGTTTAAGAAAAGGTGTTGAGGACCTGTACAAGGTGCTGAATAAACTTTCATCAAACTACATTAATTGGGGCAAATTAGGTTACTGAATGATTATTTGTTCAAAATATTTATCTGTCACTATGCTTACTTACAGTATGAAACATCCAGATAACACATGATTATTTTTTGGAACTCTACCTTAAAAACCCAGAAATTTGGCAATGTGATCATAGCAGACTTGAAGTAGTAGGATTTGGGGAAATAACTAAAAAAATACATATTTCACAAAAATCTACTTATTTAGTTGATAATTCCTCCTCCTGACATTGCTGCTCAGAAGAAAGAGTAGGTACAATGTGTAGCAAGAACAAGATCCTCCCCTCAGTAGCATAATTCCAAGTAGTGTCAGCGTGGTGCTGAAAAGGACTTGAGGTCATCCTCCCAATAACTGTTAGCACTGGACTTTTCCCAGTAGAGGAGACCCAAACCTTTCTATACTTGTGTCAAGTGCTGCAAATACTTATATTAAGTGGTCACTAGCCATGGCTGTGGTGGCAAGGAGGAATAACCTAGGACTCACTCTCATTCATTCATCCTTTCATTCAAAAAATACCTATGAAGAGCTTTCTGTGTGCCAGGCACTATTTATTGTAGGTGCTGAAAAATACAGCGATTAACAAGACAGACAAGGTAGCCAGATAGCCCCTTGGAAGTTATGGATTTGGACAGGAAGCATATAATTACAGTAAGGTGTAACAATATTATGATGGGAAAGCACAGTGATGACAATACACAGCAGCGGGGACCCAATGCACTAGAAAGGAATCTACAAAGACGTCCCTGAAAATGCAACATTTAAACTGAGACCTACAGGATAATTAGAAATTACTGGTCCAAAAAAACTACAGAGAGGAAGAAACTGAACTGAAGCAAACCAGAGAATAGGATAAAATAATGGTTGAAATTGAGGGTGGGAGGCAAAACTCAGAGCCAGCACAAGCATGGTGGAACGCAGCCTCAAGTGCAGGCAGGAAACGAGCTTTTACCCAGAAGAAATCCTATTTGAAATTGGACTACTCTTTCTGATGTTCTGGAAGGTAGCTGGAACCTAAAAATAGAATAAATGTGGGAATTGAGATTGAAAATACATACTTAAAAGTTTTTTGCTTATTTGGGCTAGAAGAAAATAATCCTTCCATGTATTAAAACATACCTAAAATGCTCTTCAAATGGGTAAAATGAATAGTTCTATACTGAAACATTTAGAACATTTACAATGAGTCCAAATAAAAAATTAGGTCATCAGCAATATGCTGCCAACTTTGTAAAGCACTATGGTCTGGCAGGGCATTTTAAAATAATAAATTTACCAGAAGCATAATTGAGATATTCAGATGTCAATTGGGAAGACATTGGCAACATTAAAGTTTCCAACCACAAATATATCAGTATAAATCATACTCTGTATTTTGAACCTATTACAGTTTGAAAAGCAAATACTAGTACTTGACCCTAAAGATCCAAAGGAACTGGCAATCCATAGCAACTATTTTTACTGACAGGCTCTTGGTATCCCATGTCAGAGTTAACAGACTTTTAAAAACTAGCATTGACACATTAGTTCTATGTATGTAATTTTTTTATTCTAAAAAAAATTCAAGAGACCTATGAAACCAGAAGAGTTTACATTTAACTAAATGTACCTGGAAAATTTAAGGAAACAAAACAAGCTTGATGTAGGGAGAGGGCAACACCTCATAACTGCTACTTTCTTTGTGGATATGCTTTTTTTAAACCAACCCCCTTCTCTAATTTTTGTTAGAGTTCTCTATTGATCACCCAGCCCCTCCTAAATTCCTTAATGATTATGGGCCTGACTGGTAGTTTTTCTCTCCATGTTGTCTCCCGCCATCGAGCTAGGAGCTGGAATTCCTTCTAATTATCCAATGTCCCAGTAACTCAGCTTCCTCAACAACAGGAATCATCCCATTCTCTCCACTTCAACCTCCCACAATAACAATCACATCCTACACCCACTCTAGATCCTGAATTCTGAAATCACCTACTGCGAATAAATCATTTCCTCCTTCTTTAGGCCTCCTGTACCTGTTTACTGATCCATTCGTTCATTCATTCTACATTCAACTCATATTTATAAACATCTGCTATTTGGCAATTTCTCTGCTAGGTGTAGGGAAAAGCAATTAAAAAAATAAAGACATAGGCTGGGCGTGGTGGCTCACGCCTGTAATCCCAGCACTCTGGGAGGCCAAGGCGGGTGGATCACCTGAGGTCAGGAGTTTGAGACCAGCCTGGCCATCCTGGTGAAACCCCATCTCTACTAAAAATACAAAAATTAGCTGGGTGTGGTGGCAGGCACCTGTAATCCCAGCTACTTGGGAGGTTGAGGTGAGAGAATGGCTTGAACCTGGGAGGCGGTGGTTGCAGTGAGCCGAGATCACGCCATTGCACTCCAGCCTAGGCAACAAGAGTGAAACTCTGTCTCAAAATAAATACATAAATAAAAATTAAAAAATAAAGACATAATAACCTAGACAGAAATTTCTGCCCTCGTGTAATATACCAATAAGTAAATAAGTAAAATATATACTGTCAAATTGTGGTAGGTGCTGAAGAACAAACTAAGGCAGGAAAAGGGGTTGTAACTGCTTGGCAGGAAGAGTGCCATTTCAGATAGGGTGTCCAGAGAAGCCCTGACACTTCTGTCCATGGAGACACTGGAACACAGACCAGAAGGAGGTGAGGGAATAAGCTATAAAGATACCTGGAGAACAGTGTTGGATGGCAATAGCAAGTGCAAACGGCCCCCAAGGCAAAAATATCCCTGGTGTGCTCAACACACCAAGCAGGCCAGTGCCTGGAGCAGAAACAGCAAACTCAGCTAGAGGTCAGGTCACACAGGCCTGGACAGATAGAAATGAAAACATCAGACTTCTATGTGAAGAACAGACTGTGGTGGAATAAGAGAAGAAGCAGGGAAACCTGGCTCTCACCTGGAAGACACTGCTTCCTTTGCAGCCCTTTTAAGTGGTGGTGATTTTTGCCTCTCACAATCCTCCTGCTTTACTAGGCTTGGAGGCGAGCCAGCTCATCACTGTTGTTTCCAAACCACTCTTCCTGCCAGCTCTCTGGAGCCCTCAGCTTTGAATTTCCTACCTTTGAACCCCGTCATCCACTCTTCCTCAGCCACTCACCTCATGATCATTCCCTAAACCAGGAACACTCCGTGATCTCCCCAGTTTCACGCACCTACCTCTGACCACTGCCTCCTAGCTATCTCTCAAATTCTGGATCCAACAATCCGTTAATCCCACCGGGGTCTCCACACCACTGATCCTGCCACCTTTTTCCTTTCCTACCTCCCTTGATATGGGCTCTTACTCTTTCTGCTTCAGGGTCACTCATTTAAACCCCATTGTTTCTTTATACCTGTTCGGCAGAGCTTCAGCACTGATTAAATCCCACTCTGCCCCTACTCCACACTGCCCTTGAACAGTGAAGAACTGATGGGGTGGGAGGACACAAATCAGTGAAGCAATGCCCTTGAGAGATCAGGGGGGATGGTACCCAGTAAGAAGGAGCGCCCTGGACGGGAGCTCAGAGCGCCCAGCCACCGTATGGAGGGACAGCTGAGCACAAGCACACACCCAGGTGGGTGTGGCAGTGGAGTCTGCAGATGTTCTCTTCTCATTCCTTCTGTGTTTTCAGCATTTGGAAGCAAAGCCATCAATTGAGGGTGAAAGGTAGAAAGAGGCGCCAGAGGACCGAGAAAAAGGGGGAACCAGGGAGTGAACGATGAATGGACACAACACCTCTCTGAGGCTTCAGCACCTCCCTCTTCCAGGTTAGTCAGCCCCTCCCTCTTGTTTGCCTCTTCATATAGGTTAGAAGCTGGCAGTGGGTGGTAGAGGGGATAGAGCCACTTCAGCAATACCAATACCCAACTCTCAGTTTGCCCATGCAGGTCCTTGAAGCCAAGCACCAAGCACATCCAGAAAACTGAAATGAGTCCACCAAATTCACGTTAAGCAACTTCAACTGGATTCTCAATGTTTCTGAAGTTCTTTATTCACCTCTAGTGAATGTTCACCTCAATGTCCACAGCAAGTGGGGATTTTCTACCTCCTTCAGGACCCAGCACCACCCCCTCATCACTGAGCAGATGAGCTTGGCTTCTATTTTATTAAGGGCAAAGGCCACTTGATGTGAGCAAGCTTCTTAAAACTTCCTTCTCTCTGACTCAAAATCTCTGCATGTTTAACATCTACTTGTCTTTCCCTGCTGCCTCCCAAATGTTATTTTCTTCTTTCCAGGGTTAACCCCACCTCTCCCTCTACCACCTGCACCTCCAATCTGCAGAACTTTATTCAGTTATCCTATCTCTTTTTACCTCTCAATTTCTTAAATTTATAGGCTAAGGTATTTAGGGGAAAGAAACAAAGGAAGTTACAGAAGTAGGAAAAAACATGGAATGCTCATATAAACAGCAAAAAATCGGTATTGTTACACTGCAGGGTGTGTTAGAAAGAGAAAACAAAGTTAGATGGATAGGGTGGGATCAGATTACAGAGGATCTTAAAAACCACAGAGCAGGTTGATGATTTCTGAGCAAGAAAATGCTCATGATGGAAGTACTGTTTAAGGGAGACGAGATTCAGAGCATGAGATGGGACGGGACAGGATGGGAAAGGAGGGATTCACGCTGGGAATAGGGGCAAGTTTGGGGCCTTGGGGCAGAGAAAGGGTGGAAGGCAAGAGGATGATGTAGTCATCCTGACAAATATAACTAAAGCCTGGTCTCACGTGGAGCAGCGAGGAGGAGAAAGGAAAAAGACAAGACATTTCCTAGAGAAAAAATGGACAGAACCTGGTGACTGATGGCATGCTGTGGATGAGTTTCAAGCCGAAATTCCAGGAGAGGGTGGTGTGGCTGCTGCAAAATGGAAGGCATGGCACTGTACTGGTAGAGAGCCTGGAATCACAGCACTTTGAAGCTTAAAGGGGCCAGGACCTCTGAGGTTATGGGATTCAGCTCCCCCAGTTTATAAATGAGGAAGTGGAGGCCCAAAGACATGAAGAGATTTGTCTAATGTCACAAAACTAGTTGCTGACAAAGCTGGCACTAGAACCCTACCTCCCTGACTGCCTTCAGAGCTCCTTCACTACTCCACCGCCTCTTATAGGATCCATTCTCAGTTTCCTATTTGCCCACCCTGACCCAAGGCCTAAACTCGCACTGTCAAAAACTCTACCAGGGAACCAGCCATGTGGTTTTGGCCTCTGCACATATCTGGTCCAGGAGGATTAGCTCTCAGCCACCAGGGCTTCAAGGCTGCTGGTCTGGCTTTACCCCAGGACTTTCCTGAAGATAAGCTTGCCTTGCCCCTTCATAGGGAGCCCAGCTCAGACTTTGAGACTTCTCCAGACACTGTTTTGATGTTTCTAGTAAGTCCATATTTCAAGGTAGTAGAGTAAATAAGACACAAGCTCTACTCTAAGGATCATTAAAATGATTTTGAGATTAAAGGGCAAACCATATTGACCCTTATGGTTTCCTTTTTCCTCTCCTTTTCTGACTCAGGAACAGAATTTAAGATGCTGTTTGGCTGATTTGTGATGAAAATCTTGAGCCATGTGTATGGTTCCCTGGCAAACACTGGAATTTGTATTTGATATTCTTTATACTGTCAGCTCATAGTACTCTACTGACAACAAGAAGTACTCTATAATTTTTAGCAGGGCCTCTACATTTCTTTACAGGCAACATTCATGAATAAAACAGGAGTTTCTAGATAATTTCCTACTGACTTCAGAACTTTGAAAGAAGTTTACAAAAACATAGCTTCCACGGTTCTTATGGTAACCAGGGACAATTACTTATACTAAATAAAAATGGACAACTTGGTGATCTCATCTTCTCCATCGGTGTCAACAAGGACTTTAACAAGGTACCACGGACTTTGGCAAGCTGTCCATATTAAAATAGCTATTTAGAGTGGACAGTACTGAACTATTTGAACGTATTAAGTACCAGTATCTGCAGTGATGACAATTCTGCAATTAAAATGTACCCAATTCAGGTATCAAACCTCACCTTTTGGTTTATGTTTTCTTCTTGATATCCTCATACTATTCATTTTGAAATTAAATTTTTTTTTTAACCACACACTTCAAGCATCTCAGAAACTTAAACTGAGTACATCCGTTTGCTTAGTGGCTTCGAGACATTCTCTTTTGTGACTAAGTGGCAGGTGCTGTTCAGTTTATTTTTATGCGTGTAAACTAAGCCCTTGAACTTAGAGTGAGGAAAAGCATTCAGCTTAAACTTTAGAAAGGAAGGAACTACACAACAGCTTCCTTGGGAACAGCCTGCTTTTTCAGCTTCCTGTATAAAAATAATACCATATTTTTATAGAAATTGCTAAGAAACAATGAAGAAATTATATTTAAGCCTTTGGACAGGTAAGCCTTAAATCCTTTAAAGATCAATTTCTTCTAATAATTTTGCTACTTAAATCAAGCCAGGAATAGAAAAAATGACAAATAAAATAGAAATGGGTACAAAGTTTAAAATGGATTATACAATTTTCGAATTACTACAGAGGGGTGCACATATGCTTCCAGTAAATAACAGACATTAACACTTCTGGCCTTAAAAGTCCCAAATATCAAGCTACTGTATTCGGCAGGGGAGACGATGGGGGAAAGGTTTTCTTTGTTGGTGAAGTTGCTGCTATCATCATGAAATCATTTTGATTAAAACATATGAACACACACATAATAAGTTCACCAATAACTACAGCTTTTCAGAATGTAACTCTAATAATTATTTTCTATTCTGAGAAATAACTGAGTATTCTCTTTAAAAATAAAAATAAAATGCATCCAGAATCTCCAATCCAAGGGGAGAGAGAAGTAACCTCCTGGGGTAGGAGTCTTAAATGTTACTTTCCAAATTTCTACAAAGTGGCCAAGTTCCCCCGCAGTTAGCTTACTTGACCATCTCTCACATATTGACTTTAACAGCTAACATGTACACAGCCAGACAGATGATTATGTTGTCCATTGGCTCTAAATTCTCTCCCTGCATAATTCAGTATGTTACCACTATGCATTTAGAAATGTTCTATCAAGGGTTGTTAAATGAACTTAAGCTTATGATGAAACTCAACCTCATGTCCTCACAGTGTTCTTTCCTGAACGCTAGAAGTTCATCTTATTCAAATATTCAAGATTCACATGTGGTAGAGGACTCCATATATACTTGTTCTGTCTAAGAAAGAGCAATAGAGACATGCAAAACTGTAAATAATTCCATTTCCTGAATGTTCTTTAACCCACCCCAATACTACTCCTTCACAGCATCTAGCATCGGGCCCAGCAGTTCTTTCAGATCCAGGGCTCCCAGAAGCATGTGACCCTGGTCTAAAGACTGAAGCCAGGTAGAAATTATTAGCTCAATTTACTCTAAGCACCAACCCTGGAAGAACCACAGTCCACTGCTGTGGCCTGGACCCACTGCAGAAAAGGGGTCCCTGGTAGAGACGCAGTGATAGGAATAGAAGGCAGGGGTGGCCAATATCTGAAACGAAAGTTCAGGTCTCCCTGTCCTTACCTGGGACTAGACACTTGGAGAAGACGATAAAGTGGTGTTAGACCAAAGGCAGGCATGTCTTCTACAGATCCCAACAACACCTACTGTGCCCTCTTCCTTGGTGTACCTCACACTGGGTATGCTGACCCTGTATCCTCCTCTCCAGCAACTGTTCCCCATGTGCATTACATTTATCTGTTTATCTTTATCTTTCCATCTGTCCATAAGCCTAAAGCTCACGGAGGTGGAGGAGCTCATCTTTTCACCTATGCATCTATCCCTAGTTTCTAACACAGTAGCTGGCACAGGGCAGTCATGCAGAATTGGTTCTTGAACTATTTGTTGGAGAGTGTCCTAGAGACCAAAATGAAGTCTGTCATCTAGTACATTCACCCCTCTTCCCCAACTGTGCTCACCATTTATTCTATGCCTAGTGTTCTTAAACCTTGTATCTGGTCCAAAACTATTGTCTGGAAATAATATGATAAACCCCTTCGTGCTAAAATGAAAATGACAGATGTGTGGTTGGCTACTCCTGGTGGTCCTGCAAAATGATGGAATTTCAATTCCATGGGAGAGAGATTCTAGGCGTGAATGGGAGAGAGATTCTAGGCGTGAGCCCCAGAATCACACCACAGAGGCAACTGCTTCTCTCTTACGGCCAGCAGGTCCACCACACAGAAAAGACTTTTTCCTCCGTTTTTGTTTTTTTGTTTGAGACAGAGTCTTGCTCTGTCACCCAGGATGGAGTGCAGTGGCACGGTCTCGGCTCACTGTAATCTCCACCTCTCAGGTTCAAGTGATTCTGCTGCTTCAGCCGCACGAGTAGCTGAGATTACTGGCATGTGCCACCATACCCAGCTAAGCTCTTTTCTATTAAATTTTTTTTCTGAGTTTTCAACTCTTTTGGTTTTAACTGCCATTTCTATGTTCTGTTTCTCTCTGGTAACCTACGCCTAGACCTCCTGGAAAACAGTAAATGGGCCACACAAGCAATACTACTACTGTGATATACTGAAAACCTGTATGCAGCCATTTAGCACACTTGAACATACAATTTTACTCTTATTTTCTATTTGTCCATTTTCATTCTCAACTAAGTTGGAAGCTGCCTAGGGATAGGAGCGATGTATAATTCCCCTCACTGAGTCCCAGCCCAATGCTGACCTCATACTAGGTATTCAATAGGGTACTACAAACAAGATTTGTCATCCAGCAAGCATGGGAAATGTTTTAAAAACATGATACCCTCACTCTTACAAAAGCCTTCAAAATTACCAGAAGATAATATTGTTACTGCCAAAAAGCAATTCATGTTTACTTAGAGCTTACTAAATGTCAAACTTTGAGCTCTACCCTTTACAGAGAGTCTCCCATTTAATCCTCACAGCAACCCCATGAGGTTTGGAGAGGCTAAATAACTCACTCACATAGTTACAGTCAAGTGGCGTAGCTGATTCAGTCTACACTCGATCAGCCCATGAATTCAAAAATTTAAGATCCCCCAAATATTTCTTAACAGTATAGGTAAGAAGTATAGTGATTTGAAAGAACTGATTTAAAGTAACTCCTCACCTCTCAGCCCTTACCTATGCAGTTTCCCTTGTAGGAACACCACCTTCGTCCCACCTCTCTACTGGCAAATTGCTACACATCCTTAAAGTCACGGCAAGCACTCCCCAACTCCCCTCAGCAGCACTCCCACTGCACCTGGCACTCACTGCCATTCTATCTACCTCCTGCTCTAGTCCATGTGTCTGTTTATTATTTACCAGGAGAATCTGAGCTCCATGGGGTTGAGAACCTTGCCTTTTCACCTCCATTCCCAGGTTTCTAGCACAGTACCTACCACACACACAAGTGTACAGTAAATATCTGTTCTTGAAATCATTATTGTGGTAGCATTAAGAGACTTAGTTTGCAACATCTATCTTTCACAGCAGATCTGTATCACAATCTACACCATAACTTTCAACAATTCATATTTGTTTCCATAGCAACTAGGGAAAGTGCTCCTTATAATACTAGGAAAGGCAAGCTCTACCTTAAGGTTCAACCCACTGAAATACTTCACAATCACTTGCTTTTTGTTCTTAGTGTGAAGAGACAGAATGACAGCATTTTAACTTTACGTCTTTAAGAACACCTTAACTTTAATAATGACAGTAAAGCTTATTTTTTCATAAGTACTAGAGTTTTCATTGACAAAAGGACAGCATCTTATTAATTCACAAATCTAAAATACCCTTAAGAGTCCAGGTGCTGTGGCTCACACCTGTAATCCCAGCACTTTGGGAGGCTGAGGTGAGAGGATCACTTAAGGCCAGGAGTTTGAGACCAGCCTGGGCAACACAGTGAGACCCTATCTTTACAAAAAATTTTAAAAATTAGCTGGGTACGGTAGCACGTGCCTATAGTTCCAGCTACTCGGGAGGCTGAGGCAGGAGGATTACTTGAGCACAGGAGTTTAAGGCTGCAGTGAGCCATGGTTATGCCACCGCACTGATGCCTGGGCAACAGAGCGAGACCCTGTCTCAAAAAAAAAAAAATCATAAGAGAAGGATACATCTAATCAGGGCATAGCTATACAAAGTGCAACTTTTCTTTTTTTAAAGTAAACATCATTCCTTTCTGATGACCTTTTATAAAAGATGTCATCAACAATTTAGGAAAGAGACAAAGGAGAAACTTCTCTGGTCTAATTTAAAAGACAGCAATGAGGTACAAGGGGTAGTATGAGAACTTCCCAAGGCCTCTATCAGCTCAGTTATTTTCACTCAAAGGAAAGAAATAATGGGTTCCATTTTTCATTCTTAATTAGAATGCTCACTTTCTGAGAGTTTACTGACTTCTATAACACTAAATTTTCCATTAGTTCTGGGCATCAGTTCACTTACTTTTTTTTAAACAGATGGCCTCGTACTTTCATCCACTCCCTCCACTCCTAATTATCAGACCAAGAAAGGGGCACTGATGGCATCCTGACAGCCCTAAGTTCTAACAAGGATAACGAAGCAGAAATGTCAATACGCTTCAGTGCCATGTGTCCTCTAACTACTCAGCTACAATGTCTTCAACATGGCAGGCCAACAAAATGTAGATATGATCAATCAAACATCCGAATTGGGAGGGCTATCCAATGAATGGAATAGCTATTCCGTGAAAATGGACTGCGGTGCCTACATCCCTGCATTAAGTAAATCCTAAAGGAAAAGATTTCATATAAAATTTACTGAGGTTCTCATGCTTATGTTTTAAAAACCTTTCTCACAACTTACTGCTGGAAATAACTGCATATAAACGAAAACAATTCTCATTTTTTTGTTTGGATTCCTTATGACAAATGGGGTACTTTTTGTTTATAAAGCGAAACCCCAACACTTTGAATAATGAAGCCTTCAAATAGTACTGAGATTTATTGATACATCTGAAAGCTAAGGCTCTGCTACAGGAAGAGACTCACAGAACTGCACCATGTCATCCTGCCTGAGTGTAAAATGTACAGGCATCAGTCTACTGGATAAGCTTCCTTGTAAAGTCTACTTGCTCACCAGTGCTTCTGCTGCTGTGGAGAACATGAATTTCAGGAGTAAATGAGACCATGTCATGTTGCTCCCTGATGTCTCTATCAGAAACCCTTAGAAATGGTGAAAAGGTAATGAAAGAGAAAGTGCTCATTCTATGCTCAGCCCAGACAGTCACACCTTTAGGGGTCCTTCCTATCTGAATAAATACACAGTGTTCAGTCTTTCTGGCTAAATTTCAGTTCAGGGCCTGGCCTCATACCTAAACACACCCTCCACTCTATAACATGTCAAAATTCATTTGTAATTTTTATAAGTTTTTTCACTCTGGTTAAGAGCACCCTCTGAAAAGAAACTGTCATCTATGAAGTAGGGAGATTATACTTCAGTACAAATGTCACTTTATCATGTCATTTCATTATTTTTTTCCTCAATCCCAGCCAATACTAAATCATGGTTTCTATGTCTCAGCAGCCAGAAACCAGGCAGAGTTTCTCCCACAGGGAAGTTACAAATTCATCTGACTGCAGAGAGCTTAAATTCTTAATATTTCTCTACAGTAAAGATAGAGAAACAGAGGCCAGTTGCCTCTTTAAAACTGCTACTCTTTCAATTTCAATAATTTCTATTTCAACACCTAATTTATGCCAATCCTTGGCTGGACTGACTTGGACGAAGGCATTAGAAGCAGACTATATTTGTAGCAAACTGGGCTAATTTATGCCAATCCTTGGCTGGACTGACTTTGACGAAGGCATTAGAAGCAGACTATATTTGTAGCAAACTGGCCAATGTGTATAACTGCAGTGTGTAGTACACTGCAGCAGGATTCCATTTCTCCTGATTTCAGCAATGGAAACAGGAATCCATGGGTGTATTCCAGGGTCCCATAAAGTCCCTGAATCTAATCAGCACTGAGTAAAGGCACAAGGGCTGTCAAGGGCACTAAGGAAATCCCTGAACTCATTCTTACAGCTCAGACATTTCCTTAGTGAAAAAACAAACAAACACCCTCCCCCATATCCCCCCTCCAAATATGGAAGAAGAAATACCCTTGTTAGGATAAATTGTATATTCTCATCACTCTCTGAACTTTATTCGCTGAACTCAAGGCTTCCTATTCAATAAAATTTCCCTGAGCACCTTTGATCAGGAGTTTTGCTGGGTGCTGGGATATGGAGATGAGTAAGATCTATTCCCTGACTTTAAGGTAAGTAAGGAAGCCAGACAAGAAAACAGACATCACAACATAGTGTGGTAAAGAATATTAGATGAGAGCAAAGTGCTGTGAAAGCAAGGAGGTGTGCAGAGGGAGGGGTTTTAACACAACTGGCCAAGGATCAGCAAAGGGATCCCAGAGGAAGTAAGTGCTGGAGCTGAGTCTCAAAGAATAAGATTGTAAAGTAGAGGCAGATGTGGAAGAAAGAGAGGGCACTCCTGGCAAAGGGAGCTGATATACAAATGGTCTCTCTACTCCAAGACTTTGTATCACTCAACATGCTCTACTTCACCTTCTCCTTTCACCTTAAAGCTAATGCAACAGCATGCCCCCAGATAGAGAAAACTGCACATTCTAAAGTACCTACCATGAAAGGGAAAAAGGCAGACACACATACTATGTGAATATTATTAAACTCCAAGGCATGTAACAAGAGAAATAATACCATGTTTTAACATACTGCATTGTTTGCTGGACACAGAAAGTTTGAGAACAAATGAAACTAAAGAGCCAATCTTTAACACTGAAGAGCTAACAGTTTTTAAAGCAAGTATAAACACATGGAAATTCAGTTGCATTTGTTTAATTAGAATAAATAATATCTGTAAGTCTAAACGTAGATGTGGTGGGTGAGTTGAATTTACTCTAGAAAACACAAAAACTCTAAAGTAAATATCTTCTTATCTGTATATGACCCTTAATTATTTTCTTGAGTCCTTGAGAGGGGGGAAAATGGTTCCCTACCCAAAATATTAAACATGTACGAGTGATAACTCAACACATTTTGTCATTTCACCCCCAACTGGAAGAAAGGTATCATTATCATCTCCACTTTACCAATGAAGAGGCGACGTTAAGCCCGTGATTAAGAGTCAGGATTAGAACCCAGTTTCCTGACTCAAGAGTCTGGATTCTGGTTCTTGCACTGTCACAAAACTAGCTGCTTAGCCCACTTGCTGTTTTCTCCTCTACAAAATTAAGTTTTAACTTTGAAAATCAAACTATCAAAGGAGCAGCTTGCTCTTTCAACCACAATTTCTTTTTTTTTTTTTAAAAAGACTCAGGTTGCACTTTATTTTTCTTTAAAGAGAAACTAAAATAATACACACAAACCCTCTGCCCTCATGGCCATTTGAAAATAACTCCTCTATTTTTCTCCTTTTGTTTCTTCCCTACAATTGACCACCAGTCCCATTAGTGCCTCTCAGCAAACAGCTGTTATGTATTTTTCAAAATACCTAAATATAGTACCTTGATTTAAATTGGAGAGGAACTCAAACTTTCTAATAGGGACACTGAGAAGATGTTATTACATTAGGCTGGTTTCACTCCACTTATTTAAAAAATCATAGAATTCTATGCCTTTTTAATGATGAAAATCCTTTTTTAAAAAAACTCAGAACTTGTCTTAAACAAGGAATAGTTTATTGGAGAAATACCTGTTACTAAGTGACCCTAAGTTTTCAGTGGGATACTGATGTAGATCTTTATAATAATCTCACCTCACTCTACCCCCAAGTTTTCCTCCTCTTCAACAGAATCTTGTCAGCAACACTTGCCAAAACTATTACAGCTACAGTTACCATGACCACCACAAACAGTGTTAATAGAAATTGAAAGTAGATTTGTCAATCAAACCCAAAGGAACATCAGCTGTGTGCAAAATTACTCCTGGCATATTCTAACTCATTTTTCACAATACAGCAACCAAGAAGGAGATGTGTAGTCAATGTAAAATAAACTTTAAGAACTAATAATTTGGGTTTGGTCTGATAGATTTATCCATAGAATTCACCAAAATACGATACCTGAGACACCAACTTCTCCAAGGGGCTCTCCTCATGCCACTCCTCACAAGCTAAGCACTATTCTGTGTATTCCCTCTGCACCTCTACTTGCTTCTACCATAGTTATTACACTATAAGAAAAAGGACATAGGCTATATATCTTAACTTTGTGTCTTAACTTCTCTGAGCCTCAATATCTTATATGTCTTAGAGAGGAAACAGCTCAAATCAGCATCTGAAATGAACTACACTTTACCCTTAAAATCAGAAAAACTTAGCAAAAAAAAAAAAAAACCCTACATAATTATGTGTACCCACAGAGAGAGTAAGCAGAAAAGAGAAAGCAGTGAAGAAAAGAGCAGAAAAATCAATGAAACAGAAAACAAAAAAATCGAGAAAAATCAATAAACCAAAAGCTGGTTCTTTGAGAAGGTAAATAAAATTGATAAACCTCCAGTTGGACTGATCAGGAAAAAAGAGAGAAGACACAGATTACCAATATCAGGAGTGAGAGAGGCAACGTCATCATAGATTCTATGCTAATAGGGGAATATTATGAAAAACTTTAAGCCAATAAATTCAACAACTTAGATGAAATGGACAAATTCCTTGAAAGATACTACTAAACTCACTCAAGAAGAAATAAATAACCTGAATAACCACAGATCTATTTTAAAAATTGAATTTGTAGTTTAAAATCTCTCAAAGAAAACATTAGATCCAAATAGCTTCACTGGTGAATTCTAGCAGATGTTTAAGGAAAAATGTAATACCAATTCTATCTAAATTCTTTCATAAAATTGAACAGGAGAAAATCCTCCCCATCTTGTTCTATTAGGCCAGCATTAACTTGATACCAAAACCAAAGACACTAGAAGAGGCTCTTATGTCCCTCATGAGCAGAGATATAAAAATTCTAAACAAAATTTTAACAAATTAAATTCAACACATAAGAAAAGGTACATGACCAAATGGGGTTTATCCTAGGAATGTAAGGCTGGTTTACCATGCGATACACAATACAATTCACCCTATTAACGAATTAAAAAATAACAACCATATGATTATCTCAATAGATGCTCAAAAATATCTAACAAAATCCAACATCCATTCCTGATTAAAAACTCTCAGCAAACTAGGAATAGAAGAGAACATCCTCAACCTGATAAAGGAGTCCACAATAAACCTATAGCTAACATCACACTTAATAATAAGACTTAGTGTTTTCCCTTTAATATGAGGAACAAGACAAGCATGTCCACTTTTACATTTCTATTCAACATTACACAGGCTCTGCTAGAGGTTCTGCTCGTTCAATAAGGCAAGAAAAATAAGTAACAGGCACTCAGATTAGAAAGGAAGAAGTAAAACTGTCTTCGTTTAAAAATAACATGATTATGAAAATCCAATAAACTCTACAAAAAAAGCTAGTAGTGAGTATAGAAAAGATGCAGAATGGCTGGGCACAGCAGCTCACACCTGTAATCCTAGCACTTTGGGAGTCCGAGGTGGGTTCACCTGAGGTCAGGAGTTCGAGACCAGCCTGGCCAACACAGTGAAATCCCATCTCTACTAAAAATACAAAAATTAGCTGGGCGTGGTGGTGTGTGCCTGTAATCCCAGCTACCTGGGAGGCTGAGGCAGGAGAATTGCTGGAACCAAGGAGGCGGAGGCTGCAGTGAGCCGAGATCGTGCCACTGCACTCCAGCCTGGACGACACAGTGAGACTCTGTCTCAAAAAAAAAAAAAAAGAAAAGAAAAGATGCAGAATACGGCTGGGCATGGTGACTCACACTTGTAATCCTAGCATTTTGGAAGGCCGAGGTAGATAGATCACTTGACCAGTCAGGCCAACAGGGTGAAACCCTGTCTCTACAAAAAATACAAAAAAATTAGCCGGACATGGTGGTATGCACCTGTGGTTCCAGCTTCTTAGGAGGACCACTTGAGCCAAGGAGGCGGAGGTTGCAGTGAGCTGAGATTACACCACTGCACTCCAGCCTGGGTGACAGACCCTCTGTCTTAAAAAAAAAAAAAAACCCACCAAAAAAACCCACGTAATTTTATATTGAAAATTTAAAAAATACTATTTTAATAACACCAAAAAATACAAAATATTTAGAATAAATCTGACAAAAGATGTGTAAGATCTCTACTTTAAAAACACTGCCTAGAGAAATTTTAAAAAATATAAATAAATTGAGAGAAATAACATGTTCTTGGTTTGGAAGACCCAGACTTAATGTTGTTAAGAAGTCAATTCTCTCCAAACTGACTATCAATATCTCAGTCAAAAATCCCAGCAGGCTGTTTTGTATAACTTGAAAAGCTGATTCTAAACTCCAAATGGATATGCAAAGGACCCAGAATAGCTCAAACAACTTTGTAAAAAATTAAAAAGTTGGAGGACTAACACTACTAGATTTCAAGACTCATTATAAAGCTACAATAATTAAGACAGTGTGGTACTGGTGTGAAGACAAATAGATTAATGAAACAAAACAGAGGCCAAAATAGGCCCACATTTATGAACAACTGATTTTTTTATAAAGATGCAAAGGCAACTCAGTGAAGTGAGAATAGTCATTTCAACAAATGGTGCTCGAACAACTAAATAGCCATATGCAAGAAATATGAACTTTGATCTACATCTTTCACCACATGCAACAACTAAATCTAAATGGGCCATATTGCAAAATTTAAGTCAAAATGGGTCATATACCAAAGTGTAAACCCAAAACTATCAAAATTCTACAAGAAAACAAAGGAGATACCTTCTCTGACCTCAGGTTAGGTGGAGCTCCTAGTTCTAACACCAAAAACACAATGCATAAAATAAAAAATTGATAAATTGAACTTTATCAAAATTAAGAACTGCTCTTTGAAAGAATGTTAAGAGGGTGAAAAGATAAGTCATAGGCTGAGATAAAATATTGCAAATCATAAATCTGATAATCTATATCCAGAGTATACAAAGAACTCTCAAAACTCAGTAATAATAAGAAAACAAACAACCCAATAAACATATAAAAGATTTGATACTTTACCAACTATTGGCAAATAAGTACATGAAAATATGCTCAACTCCATTAGTCATTAGGAAAATGCAAATTAAAACCACGATGAGCTACTTCTACACATCTATTAGAATGAATAATGTGAAAAGACTGACCATACCAAATTCCAGACACAGAGCAACTGGAATTCTCATGTACTGCAGTTGGGAATATAAAAGGAAATGACAACTTGGAAACAGTTTGGCAGTTCTGAAAAAAAAGTTAAACAGACACCCATCCATCCTACTCCTAGGTATTTACTCAAGAGATAACAGAGTCCATACGAAGACTTGCATATAAATGTTCAGATTGATTTTATTTGTAATAGCCCAAAACTGGAAATACCCAAATGGCCATCAACAGTAAACACATCAACAACAACAACAAAAACAGTGAACAGATATACAAATTGTGGCATATCTACACAACCAACTATGTCTAAGAAGAAATGAACTATTGATGTACTCAACAACATGGACAAATCTCAAAATAATTAGGCTGACTGAAAGAAGTCAAACAAAGAAGAGTACATACAACATGATTCCACTTATACAAAACCCTCGAACAAGCAAACTAATCTACAGAGACAGAAAGCAGATCAGTGGTTGCCTGGAAACAGGGGCAAAGGAGCATGCAGGAAGGATTACAAAGCCATACAAAGAAATTTTGGGGGGTGATGGATATGTTCATCATCCTTATTGGGGTGAAAGTTTCATGGGTGTACGTGTCAGAACTGATTAAATTGTACACTTTAAATGTGCAGTTTACTGGATGCCAATTATACCTCAATAAAGCTGTTTACAAAAAGAACAGTTTACATTTTATAATATCCCATTTGAATTGTCCCTTTTTAATTAGCATACTGAAAATCTTTCACTATTGCAAACCAATTGCTGTAACTGCTTCAAATACACCTTTTCCTTTGACCTTTACTCTATATAAACACAACTACAAAAGTTAATTACTACTGGATGGGAAAGTGAACAAACCGGTCTTCCTGGATTGCACAGTGGTCTGTTTATTAGCTTCAAATGAAACCTGAATGTTTAGCTAAACTACCAGAACTGAATGCTTGGTCACTTAATACTGAAAATATTACAACCACAATCTGCCCTAAAGGGATTCATTAACTCAAACGTTTATTGCACATATACTCTATGTCTGGCATTGTTGTAAGTGCTGGATTTCATGCAGAATGGTCAGTACTGAACTGCAAGGCCACTCTGCATCTCCTCTTAGAATAATTTATAAGGTCATAATCATTGCATTTAAATAACACAACTAAAGAAAATCAGTGGAAATAGGCTACAGGTAGACTAAAACAATGATTCTTCTAATACAAAGTTAAGATAATAAATGCTAATGATGACTAAAGAACTGTAGTCCAAGTGCTTAGAATTCTAGAATGAGAGGTATGTCTTGAAACCTAAGTGAATTCAGGACAAATATAAAGAAAACTACTTCTATGTACAGCAAGAAGAATGGAGCTTGACAGCTCCAAGAGGTCCTTCTGGCTTGCAAACACCAAAGAATGTAAAAAGCTTAGGAACAGGGACCCAAAATGATTTTTTAAAAAACATACTAGGAAGTTTTAAGTAAATTATCTAAAGGTTGGTATCAAAGACAACATTCTGTACCATAGCATATTCTTTACTGTCGATTTTAGAGAATTCTATAGACCAAGTATGAAAGTGACATTTTACAGAAGATGTAAGCTTATGAACTTATCACAAATAAAACCCAAAGGTCCACATCTCTTGCCACAATATGTAGGCTATTTTACAGCTACTCGAGGGCATCCATTTGAAAACCTTTTATTATCTTTTCTCCCCTGCAATAGTACTTCTTTTTTAGACTTTTTCTCTAAAAGAATCCAATGAACTCCTACACTGGACATATAATCAATAAAAATCTCTTGTTAGAGCTAACTGCTGGTGACACGTGCTTCAGAATTCCTTAGAAATAGTTATTCCTTTTCTAAATCTCAGGTTGCCGGCCAGGCACAGTGAGTCACACCTGTAATCCAACACTTTGGGAGGCCGAAGCAGGCAGATCACTTGAGGTCAGGAGTTTGAGACCAGCTTGGCCAACATGGTAAAACCCTGTCTCTACTAGAAATACAAAAATTAGCTGGGCGTGGTGGACATGCCTGTAATCCCAGCTACCCGGAAGGCTGAGGCAGAATTACTTGAACCCAGGAGGCGGAGGTTGCAGTGGGCCAAGATCGCGCCACTGCACTGCAGCCTGGAAGACAGAGCGAGACTTGTCTCAAATAAATAAATAAATAAATAAATAAATAAATAAATAAATAAATTTCAGCTTGCCTCTAAACTGTCATGTTCTTGTTCTCAAAAGAACAACTGTACTAACCAATAAACTTTTAGTAAATTTTGCCTGACATGATTCCCTGTCACATGTTCTGAACATATCATACCCAATTTATATCTACATTAGACACTACTTGTAAGCACTGTTGTAAATAGTGCATTCAGTACAGTTTGTAAATATTCTTATTCTGATAGAGAAGCAATAATCATGAAAACAAAAGATCAAAAAACAAACCACAGTATTCAGTCATTTTACCTTCTCTTTTTTGTTTTTCAGATTTTGAAAAGTGAAGATGGTTCTGTTTTGGGTAAAATGGTAAGAAAAGTATCCAAAAGCAGAGACATTCAACAGCTGATAGTTAAAATGATGAAATTTGTCCATTTCATTTCCAGTATTTACTTTTAAAATGGTGAAATGATGCCTGATGTAGTTTGAGTTTCACTCAAGTTCAGAACAAAGGTGTGGTTCTCATGACACCTGCACTGCCAATTATTGCCCTTTCTTTTGAAGGAAGATATTGTTCCATGGCTTAACATCTATAGGCAATTTATAATGTGTACTTTATATGTAGCATCTTCATTCATCCTCAGAACAACTCTATAATGGAGCATTTTACAGGCAGGTAGAGTGTTAACAAGCTTAAGTAACTTGCCCAAGGTCACAGAGCCATTTCCCATTATTAATAGCACAGAGGGCATCTTGAATCCTCTACAAGGGAGTCTCCCAAGTCAGGCCCCAAGTGGAACCACACTTGCCTGATAATGTGGACTCATTTCACCATAAGCACTTGATGTTTAATTATTCTCAGTGTGGTTATTATTCTCTAAGTCACTGTAATCTGACTGTATGTCTTAACATGGGAGAGAAACAACACTGTGGCAGGACTGGGTATACCCAACAATTTACCTTCCATGCACTGCCTTTCAGGTAGCCTTTGCTATCATAATCTTACAAAGTCAGGCAAGTTCTCTTTGGTAAGATAAGAAGACTATTTTAGACCTACGGGGTGCCCTAACCAGCAGTGCTATTATTATTCCTGGTGATGTTTAAAGTGGCTTTATATATTTAAAATAATTCTGATAGGAAATGTCAGTGTTTATCATACAAGCAAATAATTAGCATAAAGCTGTAACAAAAAGGATAGATAGATGGGTAATTTATCCTTTGTTTCTCCAAAAAAGACTCCACATTCATTAATGACAGCATGGAACACTGGCTTTTAGAATGATGCTCCTGGAGTGCAGCGGAGCGCCAGCCCTGCTTTCCACTATTCCCTGACCAAAACCCCTATTCTACCTGTATTATATACTGCAGTTTCACGGAAAACACACTAATTAAAGAAATTTACAAACCACATAATTCCCACTCTCTTAGAATTTCTGTACGCCATTTTGCTAACTTTGAGATGCAGGGTGAAACTTAGATTTT
The DNA here is from genome assembly GCF_000001405.40 of Homo sapiens. Classification (NCBI taxonomy): domain Eukaryota; kingdom Metazoa; phylum Chordata; class Mammalia; order Primates; family Hominidae; genus Homo; species Homo sapiens. Next base: position 14,094,609 of record NC_000016.10, on the reverse strand, counting down.
ATTAACAGGAAGAAGAACTAGGTGAATAGCTTCTGCTTTCTCTGTCCATTAAGAAAGATTATTCAATAGGGAGCATAAACAAGATTTGTCAGCTACTTAAAACTATAGAAACTACAGATGAAGCACATTAGAAATATCTCATCTGCTTACATATATATGTAAAACTTATAATCAATTATCAAATTCATTGTATCTGCTAGGCAACACTTCAGCCTAAATTCTACCCACATTTAAACAAATGCATTTTAACTGTTTTATACTTTCTACACTCAGACAAATTCTTCCCTTAATTCAACTAAATCTAGATAGAGATTATTTAATGCCCTATTATTTAATGCTCCTTTTTGAGTTATATTTATCAGTCATTAAAAAAACTGGAAATTAAATGAGTGGAAATACTGTATACCTGAAAGCAATCTTGTCATCTTACATGGTGCAACAGGAGTGAGCCGGACAAGCCCAGAGACAAACTCTGTAAGGGATTCAGGCTTCTTTCATCGGTGCCACATGTTTACCATCATCTAAAAGAGCTGCTTCCTCTCTCCCTGACATCTACACTGTAACTTTTTTCTCCACTTTGAATGACACTACCTTTGAAGACTTAATTAGCAAAGAACAAAGCTGACTACTTCTTAAAAAATAGAATCATTTCAGAAAATAGAAAAAGCTATATTATGTTAGATACATTTTTAATTCTTTTTTCCAGGAGCTGATAAGGGGTGCCTCCAGAAATTAACATTTTAAAAACTTCAGCTCTGTAACTGATTTTAGAAGTGATACAATTTGCAGGGGTCTGGGATCCTGGCACAGAAATTTTCCATGTAATTACTTAACTATGCAGAACTCAAACCCAGGATTTTGACCTCATCATTAAAATCTAAAATATACTTTCCCAGTCTTTGAGTCACTTTGGTAAAATTCAAAATATACAAAGTTTTAGTCTATTAGATATTTGTTCAAACTTTATCTGAAAGAACAAGCATTAATCTGCAATTCAAATGAAAATCTGTTTTTTTAAATGATCATAGTATCTATATACCCTAGATTAATTTAAAGAGCTGAGATGCTGTAACTCGATTTGAGTTCTTAGAAATGCTCTACTAAATTACAACTTGCTAAGATACTGACCTGCATTCAGAGCCAAATTTAATGAAAGTTCTTTAGTGAAAAATTAAGTAAATAAATAAAAATGGCTCACATCTGTACTGCAAATTTAAAAAAAGGAATCTAGGCAATATGCAAAAACACAAAATATATGCAGTTTACTATAATATCTTGTCATATGGAAGGGTGGCAGGACAAGAGTGCTTGGCCTATAAAAGTAATACAATTGTATTTATGCTTTAATTTGTAAAAAAAAAAAAAATCCATCTCTCAAGTATGAATATCACTCTTTATATAAATACAACTGTGCTTTTCTAATATTTACATAATAAAAATTATAGCATATCCAAGCTACCAATGGTTTGGTTTTCCTGACTACAGAGGGAAGACAGAGTTGGAAGCACACTGACTTCAAAAATTAAAGGGTAAAAAAACCAAAGTCAAATTCCATGTCTAGCCTAGTGTTCCAATAGTCATTAAGAGAGAGGAATCAGGAGTCAGATTTCAAGATGCCAAGATATGAAGTCTATAATTCATTTTATTTTTATATAAAAGATGAAACTAAGTTAACATCTGCTATTTAGACTACAAAATTTAAGTCTGGATGTAAGCTGAATTCTTACTTTTAAGGTGAACTTCCAGTCCTTTCCATTCACAAATAGGACTTGATTTATTAAGTTTCCTGCTTTGTATCTCCACAGTTGATCAAAGCACATTTTCTTAGTACAATCTGTATTGTTCCAAGTGTTTTATAAACATCTCTTGTGAGAGTTTACAGGAGTGATCTGAAATCATATCCAAAGTTTCATCCCATGAGTCAGTTATTCTTAAAAAGGAAATAGAATCTGTCTTTATCACCTTTATTTTCCTATCTATCACAAGTCTAATCATAATCTGTAACAAAATTTTAAAAAAATCATTGGCAGGACTGTCAGCAGATAATTACTGGCATTAAAAACTAAACAGGACAAAAAAGGAAAGAAAAGGCACAATTTCATTACCTGGACATAAAAATCACAGGTCTAGACAACATCTGAAGTTTTATAAAGGTCCCTTCCCCAATAACTTTCAAGAGTTGTCAACCATCTAGCCCTACACAGATAACTCCTAAATCTGTTTCCCACCCTTACCTGAGATCCAATCAAACAATCTAACTACCTACTGCACATGGTCACCTGCATTCATTCATTCGTACATAGATATATACTGTACACCCACTATGCGCCAAGTACAGTATGCTGGGATCTGGAGAATCGCAGCAAAAAAAAATAGTCCCTGTCCTCTCAGGGTTTCTAATAGTGAAGGAAGCCAAGTCAACCAAATAATCACAAAACTATGTAACACAGACACAATTTCTGAGTAGTGTGGTACTAAGCTGATCTAAACTTTGCTCATTGTACTTGGCTTGCATATCCCTGAACCTTTTTATTGGACAGAAGTGGTGCCATCATAGGTTACCAAAGCCACTAACTTGGGAGGCATTCTTTTTTTTTTTTTTTTTTTTTTTTTTTGAGATGAAGTCTCGCTCTGTTGCCCAGGCTGGAGGGCAGTGGCATGATCTCGGCTCACTGCAACCTCCGCCTCCCGGGTTCAAGCAATTCTTCTGCCTCAGCCCCCTGAGTAGCTGGGATTACAGGCAGCTGCCACCATGCCTGGCTAATTTTTGTATTTTTAGTAGAGACGGGGTTTTACCATGTTGGTTAGGCTGGTCTCAAACTCCTGACCTCAAGTGATCTGCCCGCCTCGGCCTCCCAAAGTGCTGGGATTACAGGTGTGAGCCACCACGCCCGGCTTTGGGAGGCATTCTTGACCTTTCCCTTATTCTCAGATCGTTTCGATCTCTGGGTCCAACCCATATGCCTAGAGTGGACGTGCACAGATGGCTCTGCCAGAACAACCCTTCTCCACTTCTTCCAGGAACTCTCAGTGTGATGGTGATAGAGAGCTTCCAACAAAGACCCCAGTGCCTGGCCGGGGAGCACAAACTCCCAAGGCCAAGAGTGCCCCTGGGATTTTAAAACCAAAGCTGGGAGGGAAAAGCTGTTTCCTTCCTCTTGGTTGGTGACTGTGAAGATGGCTCCTGCCCTGTGATGATGTACCACTTCTAATCCCTGAGGTCCCTGAAATTGTGCTGGTTTCTGCAGCATTTCATTCCTTTTGCAACCTTCTCTAGGAATCTTCCAATTAGCTCCCCTTTTAACTTAAGATAGTTTGAGTGAGGTTTCTGTTAACTTGCAGCCAAGAGTCCTGACTAGTACCTCCTAAACATTTCCAGCCTCTGTCTTCTACAACTCTACCACCAGTGCCCTAGTTCAGGTCCTCATCAACTGTCACCTGGACTCGTGTAACAGCCTAATGGGTTGCCTGTCTCTAGACCTGCCCCTTGCATCCAGCATCCATGGTATAGTAACTAGAGTGATCCAATCACCTCCCCGCTGCTGGACTCTTCAGTGACTCCCCATCACTAAGGGCAAAATCTAAATTCCTTAATGGGACACACCCAACTGTCTATAATCAGTCTTCCTCTCCAGCCAAGCAACTGTCACTCCTTGCCTCCTATTTTATGCTGTGACTATACAGAACTACACACACACACACACACACACACACACACACACACACACACCATGCTGAACTGATTTTGAAAACCTGAAAAAATTAAAGTGGTTTTCTTTGGGCTCACTTTTAGGCATCAGAGTCGTCACACCTCTATCTACATTTTATTATATCAATAATCCTAGATAGGCTGTTGTGAGATATCTGGTGCTAGTGTACTTGGCATACATGGCAGGAAGTAACCAGAAGAGAGACTCACAGACTATAACAAAAAGTTCTGATCACCCACCCATCTTTGCAGACTGAGCACCAGCACCAACTCTTCTATAAAGTATTCTCACCCGAAAGAGGAGACTGCTCCCTTCCCCCTCCTGGCACCACCACAGTCCTCTGTGGAAGCTTCTAGCATGGCATGTGAGCTCCTGTTCCTTAAAGATAGGGCCACATCCCACTCACCTCTGGATCCCCAAGCCCTGCAAAGTGCTCAGTATGTATTAGACACATAAATGCTCATGGGATGATGCGTGCATTTTAAGCGACGCAGAACAATGAAAGACATCTTTCTGATTTAAAAAACAAAAAAGCACATTGGGTGTAAGGTTAGGAGATTTGGTTTTCTCACATTGAATGAGCTGAGAATACCTGAAAACACAAAAGATGTTTAATACCTCTTACTCATTGTATAGTTAATAAACTAATTTTGTACAAATTTTTTAAATGGGAGATGTCTAGAAATAAAGAAAATTTCCAACAGAGAGAGAATGGCACAAGCAACCAAAACAAATTGGAAAACTGGACTTCATCAAAATTAAAACACCACTTGCTTCAGAGAACAACATGAAGAAAGTGAAAAGACAATCACAAAATGGGAGAGAAAATCTTACAATTCATATATCTGATAAGGGTGGGGGTGTTTGGGGGTGTGTGTGTATACAAAATATATAAAGAACTATCACCACTCAATAAAAAGACAGTCCATTTTAAAAATGGGCAAATAATTTGAGTAGGTATTTCTCTAAGATATACAAGTGGCCAAGAAGCACATGAAAAGATGTTCAATATCATTAGTGATTAGGGAAATGCAAATCAAAATCATGAGACACCACTTCACATTCATTAGGATGGCTACTACGAAAAACACAATCATGGAAAAGTGTTGCCAAGGACTTGGAGAAATTGGAACCCTCAAATGTTGCTGAGAACAAAAAAGGTGCACCTTCACACAAAAGCACTTTGGAAAACAGTTGGGCATTTCCTCAAAAAGTTAAATACAGAGTTACCATATAACCCAGCAATTCCACTCCTAGGTGTATACCCAAAAGAAATGAAAACCTGTGTCCACTAGAAAATTTATATGCAAATGTTCACAGCAGTATGATTCATAATAACCAAAAAGTGGAAACCACCACAATGTCCATCAACTGATGAAGAAATAAGCAAAATGTAGTATTATCCACACAACAGAATACTACTCAGCAATAAAAAGGAATGAAGTTCTGATACATGCTGCAACATAGAAAAAAGCCAGACACAAAAGGTCACATATTTTTATGATTCCATTTACATGGCATGTCCAGAACAGGTAAATCCAAAGAGATAGAAAGTAGATGAGTGGCTTCTAGAGGTGAGAGAGACAGAGGGGAGAATGGAGAGTGGGTATGAGATTTCTTTTTGGGGTGATGAAAGTGTCCTGGAATTAGTCAGAAGTGATGGGTGTACAACTCTGTGAGAATACTAAAAATCATTGAGTTCTACACTTTAAAAGGGTAAACTTTATGGTATATGAATTATATCTCAATAAAGCTGTTATTATTTAAAATGGTCAAAGTCATATAGCAACACCTCCGTGCAGAGGCCTGGTTGAATCACTCTGCTTGCTACAAGATAACCTGTTGTAAAAACACACAATCTGTTCAAATGAGGAAATAATTTATTTTCCTACCAATAAATCCCTACAGTGACCAACCATAAAACCAAATCCAAAATAAAAAAGAGGAAAGAACAAAAAAGCACGCAATTTGCAATTTGCTGGCAGGTACAGAATGGAATTAACCAAAGACTGCACAAAGAAAAATGGTTATCAGAACTGCTTCTCTTTGATTACACAGATTTAATAAGTCAAAGTCCTTTTTCCTCACGAAAAAATGTGCCAGCTTCTTTATTAGCACAGAGCAAGGAAAAACAAGCATTCTCTTCTATAACCAAATTAACATCCCGCAGAAGGTCTGTTTGTACTTGGCAGTCATGAACCTTTCATCTCAGAGTGCTGCTAAATTAAACAAGTCTCTGCTGTATTGAACATGATGAGCCAGACACCCTGGCAGGCTCCTTGGCTTCATGAGTTGATGATGAAGAGCATTAGAAATAGAGGATGGTGAAAATAATGCTGGGGGTGCTCATAAAGTAGCGTTATCTTCATTCTGTTCAGCATTTCCATGGTCTACAATGTCAACATTCTAAGAACTTTCGAGCATTCTAACACCACCTTTCCCTGTCCGAGGGAAGAAAGCATGGATTTTGGAGCCAGAGAGATCCGTATTCAAGTCACAGTTTTGTTTTGTTTTTAACCTACTAGCTGCATGCCCAAGTCCTGATTTCACAATCTCATTGAGCCCTTCTGCTCTTTAAAACTGGGGTAATTACATCTATCCTCACAGAACTGTTGTGAAAACAAAATGAGGTAATGCACACAAAAGACATTGCACAAGGCTCAATGTACATTCCCACCATAAAATTCCGCACTGCTCTCAACTCTTCAAAGAACACACTCATTTGAGAGTTTATATCACAGTATAAGTAACAGTCACCGGCCATCCTTCTTCTATCCAAGGACATCTAATCAATCAAAAGATCCTACAAAGATTTCGTATTACATAAATTATTCCCCTCCATCCATTTCCACCTCCCAAAGACCTGAAGGTAACAAAGCCATGAATTAAGTCTTTTAAATATATTAAATCAGGGCATGGCACAAAGCATTCATTCACCTAAGAGGTATTTAAAAGCACTGAACTGAGAGACACACCAAGAGAAACACTTACTATTAGAGGGAAATGCATATTTTGCAGTGCAATAATTGGCAACCTTTCCATAAAGATTGATGCAATCTGATTGTAATTCCCAAGTGTCAGTAATCAGTTCTTAAGGTAAAAGAAAAAGGAAGTGGGATGGTTTCAAGTACTCCAGAAAAGATGTAGGAGGATATCCTTTCACACTGACAGCAATTAATGTTTGAGTGATAGCTGCTAGAACAATCAGACTGAAGAACTTTGTTACATTAGAGCAGACTGAAGTATATTTAAAATAAAACTTACTGAGTTTAACATACACAAACACTTAATCTTCACCTTGAACTAGGCGTCCTCTCTGAGCAAACTGAAGAAGGAAAAGCTTGCATGAAATTCTAATATTTGCCACTGCCTAACTATGATAAGGGAGGAACTGATGGTTTTCAGCCATATTCCCACATTGGACATCTATTTAAAGAGAGTAGCCTAGACTCTGCAGCAATACAGTCAGACTCCCTCTCCTCAACTCAAGATAAATTTCCAGCATGCCGCAACACTAAACAAAGTGCCCAGAGTTAGGAAGGAAGGAAATTTCTCAAGGGGGATAGGACATTCAGAGGTTCAGTACATATCCTTAACCTAGAGAGTTTCACTGACTATTGAGCTCATCATGGAACTTATGGCCCAAAGCTACTGTTCTCTCCTCCCCTTTCCAAACTCTACTCTTAAGACTTTGAGATGAGAATACTCTTGGGAGAGACCAATTCAGCTGCAGATACTACAGAAGTAAGCCCCGAGTGTTGGCTTTGCTAGGGATCTATTCTCTGTACTGCATACAAGTACTTCAATTTTTTTTTCCTAGGGTTAGAGTTTAATACAATTCCATCTGAATATTCTACTGCTACAAATTCTGTATATGAAGACAAAATTTTTCTCCTCTGCCCAACTTTCCAATCAAACGACTACTTCCCCTGCCAGTCTAAACTTTAAGCTTTGTGCCTAAAATAGGAAGAAACTGTTGCAGATGCACAAAATCCAAGTCATTAAAGATGCTGAAAAATTCTTAAAACTTTCTGTTTAAGTACAATGTAAAAATTATTACAAATGCAGCTAAGAGGATAAATAAATAATAAAGCCTTAATTTTAATTAAGACTTCTGTTTAACTACTGCTAGTAATTCCTTGCTTTCCAGGAGTATTTTTAGAATCAGGGCTTTAAAGCATGCAATTAAATAAATTAAGTCATCAGTAAAATGAAAACTACCGTATAAGCAAATTCCTGCATTGCCACATAAAAGAGATTGAAGAAACCAGAAATTTGGTTATTTTAGAAAACAAATACAAGATTATACCATCAGCCACAAAAAGATATGAGAGTTTTAAAGTCTAAAAAAACTTCATTAATTTAGACTCTACTATTGAAGACTCAATTATTTCAAGTCTGCCTACATTTAATTTTGGATTATTTATTAAGAAAGGGGATGCTAAGCAAACTAAAGTGCAAATAAAAATTGCTAGGGGATTATTTAATCAATTTAAGACGTTATACATGCAAATAACTGCTGCTCAAATACTGATTAAAACTAGCTCATGAACTCTTTGGAATCCCATATTCCAACAGAAACAAAGTATATGGAAAGAGAGGCAAAAACACTACTTGAATCTATTAATTATTCTATCTTCTTTGTTTAGTTTGGCTGTGAAAAATTGGTTAGGAGTCAGAAAGGCTTAAAAGACAGGATACTGGACAAAGATTTATTATACATTCTTCTCAAAGGCTGGCAATCAATTTCTCTGCTTCTATTTTTAATGAAATGCGGAGCCACACTTAAAATATAGCTCAATTTATCTCCATTATAATTAAAAATATATTTTGGGACATCCATTTTAGCTTTGTCTTCAAATAACATAACTATGAAAAACTTTCCCATGTCTATACTATGAAACATAAATATGATTATTTAACAAGATCTAGTTTCCTACCTAGTTTAGATACTTACTTTTCCCTTGACAACAACAAAAACACACAAACAAAAAAGCAGAGTTGGAAAATAAATGGGATACAGGCCAATTCAACATTTCAAACAAAATGTCACACAATGTTATGGTAGCAAGTATCACTATAATTGTCTATGTTTAGATTTAGGTACGTATAAAAATCACAGATGCTAGTTTTCTTATCCAAATTAAAATTTAAGGCCCTTCTCATTTCCAACCTAATTCTAACAATGACAATATTTACCAACCATTCATTCCTTCAAACACAATGTGGGTGTTTGCCATGTGCATGCCAGGTATTATATTAGGTGCTGGATGTAAACCAGTGAATAAAATACCAGTTGTACTACTTGGTCCCTGGTCTTGGTGGTATATGGTCAACAATGTTAACTTGGAGTGAAAAGAAAAGCATCAATATTAAAGTATTAAAGGCATTCTATATTATTAAATGCTGTATTTTCCTTTTCGCTTTTTTTTTTTTTTTTTTGAGATGGAATTTCACTCTTATTGCCCAGGCTGGAGTGCAGTGGTGCGATCTCGGCTCACTGCAACCTCCACCTCCCGGATTCAAGTGATTCTCCTGCCTCAGCCTCCCAAGTAGCTGGGATTACAGGCGCCCGCCACCACACCTGGCTAATTTTTTGTATTTTTAGTAGAGACAGGGTTCCACCATGTTGGCCAGGCTGGTCTCAAACTCCCGACTTCTGGTGATCCACTCATCTCAGCCACCCAAAGTGCTGGGATTACAGGCGTGGGCCACCACACCTGGCCAGAAGATGTATTTTCTATCTGAAGAAAAAAGGTGACTTTTAATTGGCTTTTTTTTCTTTAAGAGATGAGATCTTGCTATATTGTCAAGGCTGGTCTCCAACTCCAGGCTCAAATAATCATCTCACCTCACTCTCCTGAGTAGCTGGGATTATAACCATGCCTTGCTAATTTTTTCTTATTTTAATTTTAAATATTTTTTGTAGAGACAGGGTCTCACTATATTGCCTACGCTGGCTCTCTGATTTTCTTGTTTGAAATAGCTCCTGATAGTTAATTGGCTTTTTATTAAGTTAAAGAACAAACCATAGGTCAATGACAAAGTTGGTATATGCTTCATATGAAACCTTCCTCAAGTAAATCTTATTTGATTAAAATAAAATCTAAGGCAAATATAAAATTAAAGATCACACTCATATCAGAAACTGTTAAAATCCTTTAGACAGAAGAGATTCAACATCAGTAAACATAGGTTTACATATGAATGCACAGTCACATAATCCACATAACTCAATAATATCATCACCCAAGTTTGTAAGTCATATTCTATATGCTATTCCACAATTGATATCTACGTTTGAGGCATGTTAAGAAATTGGTCTCTAAAGCTTCTTTATTTATCTTTTTAATTTTTTTCAAGACAGAGTCTCACTCTGTCACCCCGGCTGGAGTGCAGTGGCATGATCTTGGCTCACTGAGACCTCCACGTCCTAGCCTCAAGTGATCCTCCTGCCTCAGCCTCCTGAACACCTGGGACTACAGGTGTGAGCCACCATGCCCAGCTAATTTTGCATGTTTTGCAGAGATGGGATTTCACTATGTTATTGTGCAGGCCAGTCTTGAACTCCTGAGCTCAAGCAGTTTACCTGCCTCAGCCTCCCAAAGTGCTGGGATCACAGTTGTGAGATACCGTGCCTAGTCTTAAAGCTTCTTGAAACTGCACTATAAGTGAATAAAAAACAAAGGGAGAGTTCTCTATGGAGGAAAACTTTCAGTATTTGAAATAGTAACAGTCAGTTGACCTATAGTTTAAAAATATTTATAATGAGTTAACGAAGGCAATAGACTGAAAAACAAAGAACTCAACATACTTCAACACTCTCATCACATTTAAAGTCCAAGAGTATTTCATCTATGCATGAGAACCACAGGTATCTTCTCAATAAGAAAACTCTTCACGTTAGTAAGAATATCAAATTGGAGGTCTTTGAAAACCTAAAAGGTATATTCCAATTAGAAACCTTGTTATCTCAAAAAAATACTATTTTTTGTCTCCTACTGGATTGCCAAAGATTAAAAAGATTAACAGGTTACATACAAAAGAAGGTGGTACAAGATGGCGGAACAAGACTCTCCAGTACTCGTCCCAGGGCAGAAACATCAATTCGAACAACTATCCATTCCTAAAAACACCTTCACAAGAGCTAAGAAAAACAGACGACAGATTACGGTACCTGGTTATAGCACAAAAATTTTAAAAGACACGCTGAAGGTGGTAGAAAGGATAGTTTTACATTACCCGCGTCACCCACTCCCCAACCCTAGGCAGCACAGCGTGGAGAGAGATACCATCAGATGGGGGAAACAGAGGGAAGTAAGCATAGGACTTTGCCTTGAACCCTAACACCAGGCCCAACACAGTAAAACCCAGTACCCAGAAGACCTCCATGGCCCCTGACTCTAGGCCAGTACCCAGGGACTGTGCCTTCAGACCTGTCCTGGAGCCAGGTGGAAGCCTGTATCCCCTATGAGGCAGACTCCATTTCCAGTCCACATCACTGCCAGCCAACTACAGCAGGCTTGGGCTTCTCATACCCTCAGTGGCTTCAGGAGTCAGGCATCCAATTAGGAAAGGAAGAAGTAAAATTGTTCCTGTTTGCAGATGGCATGACCTTATATATAGACAACCCTAAAGATTCCACCAAAAAAAACTGTTGGAACCAATAAATGAATTCAATAAAGTTGCAGGATATAAAATCAAAATAGAAAAATCAGTAATACTTCTATATACTAACAACGAACTATCTGAAAAAAAAATCAAGAAAACAATCCTATTTACAACAGTTACCAAAAAAATAAAATACTTAGAAATAAATTGAACCAAGGAGGTAAAAGATTTCTACACTGAAAACTATAAAACATCAGTGAAAGAAATTGAAGACACAAATAAATGGAAAGATATCCCATGCTCACGGATCAAAAGAATGCTTTTAAAATGACCATACTACCCAAAGTGTACTACTTATTAAATGCAATCCTTATCAAAATACCAATAACATTCTTCACAGAAATAGAAAAAAAATCCTGAAGTTTGTATGGAACTACCAAAGGATATGAACAGCCAAAGCAATCTTGTCATTTTATTTACTTTATTTTATTTATATATTATTATTTTATTAAGACAGTCTTGTTCCTTTGCCCAGGCTGGAGTGCTGTGGTACGATCACACAGCTCACTGCAACCTCGAACTCCTGGCTCAAGCAATCCTTCCACCTTAGCCTCCTGAGTAACTGGAACTACAGGTACAAATGACCACACCTGGCTAATTTTTATTTTTTGCAGAAACAGGGTCTCACTTTGTCACCCAGCTGGTCTCGAACTTCTGGTTTTCAAACTATCCTCCCACCTTGGCCTCCCAAAGTGCTGGGATTTGAGCCACGGCACCCAGACACAATCTTGAATAAAATAAAAAAGTTGGAGATATCACACTACCTGGTTTCAAATTGTACTATGAAGTTATAGTAACCAAACAGCATGGTACTAGCTTAAAATACAGACACATAGACGAATGGAATAGAATAAAGAACCCAGAAATAAATCTATGCACTTACAGTCAACTGATTTTTGACAAAGGTGCCAAGAATAAACAATGGGGAAAGGACAGTCTCTTCTAAATGGTGTTGGCAAAACTGGATACCCACATGCAGGAGAATGAAATCAGACCTTTATCTCACGCCATATACAAAAATCAACTCAAAATGTATTAAAGACTTAAACGTAAGATGTGAAAACATTAAGCTCCTAGGAGAAAACATAGAGGAAAAGTTCCATGACATTGGTCTGGACAATGATTTTTAGATATGAACCCCAAAACACAGGCAATAAAAGCACAAACTGACAAATGGGATTATGCCAAATTAATAAGCTTCTGTATAGCAAAGAAAGCAATCCACAGTGAAGAAACTTCCTAAAGAATGGGAGAAAATATCTGCAAACTATACATCTGGTAAGGGGTTAACATCCAAAATATGTAAGAAACTCAACTCAATAGCAGGAAAAAAATCCAATTAAAAAATGGACAAAGGTGGTGGCTCACACCTATAATCCCAGCACTTTGGGAAGCCGAGGCGGGTGGACTGCTTGAGCCCAGAGTCTGAGACCAGCCTGGGCAACATGGCGAGACACTGTCTACACAAAAAATACAAAAAATTTGGCAGAGTGTGGTGGCATGTGCCTGTGGTCCCAGCTACTAGGGAGGCTGAAGTGGGAGGATCACTTGAGCCTAGAAGGTCAAGGCTGCAGTGAGCCGTGATTGCACCACTGCACTCTAGCCTGGTAGACATTTCTCAAAAGAAGCATACAAATGGCCGGGTGCAGTGGCTCATGCCTGAATCCCAGCACTTTGGGAGGCCGAGGCGGGTGGATCATCGGAGGTCAGGAGTTCAAGACGAGCCTGGCCAACACGGTGAAACCCCGTCTCTACTAAAAATACAAAAATTAGCCGGGCATGATGGCGGATGCCTGTAATCCCAGCTACTTGCGAGGCTGAGGCAGGAGAATCGCTTGAATCCGGGAGGCGGAGGTTGCAGTGAGCCAAGATCACAGCATTGCATTCCAGCCTGCATAACAAAAGTGAAACTCTGTCTCAAAAAAAAAAAAAAAAAAGGCAGCATACGAATAGCCAGCAAATACATAAAACAGTGTTACACAGCACTAATAAATGCAAGTTAAAACCACAGTGAGATATCACCTCACTCCTGTTGGAATGGCTACTATCAAAAAGATAAAAGGTAACAAATGCTGGCAAAAATGTAGAGACAAAGAAACCCTTGAACACCATTGGGAGGAATGTAAATTATTGCCATTATGGAAAACAGTGTGGGGGTTTCTGAAATAAATTAAAAATGAAACTACCATATGATCCAGCAATCCCACTACTGGGTATTTATGCAAAGGAAATGAAATCAGTAAAGAGATAATCTGCACTCTCACATTTATTGCAGCACTATTCACAATAGCCAAGATACAGAAGCAACCTAAGTGTCCATCAACAGATGAATGGATAACGAAAATGTGGTATATATACACAACGGAGTACTATTCAACTATAAAAACGGAAATCCTGTCATTTGTGACAACATGGATGAACCTGGAGAACATCACCTCTTTAAGTGAAATAAGCCTGACACAGAAAGACAAATACTACATGTTCTTACTCATATAAGGAATCTGAAGAAGTTGATCTCATACAAGAAGAGAGTAGAATGATGGTTACCAGAGGCGTTAGAAGGTCGGGGGCAGGTGGGGGTGGTGGTGTGGAAATGTTAGTCAAAGAATACAAAATTCCAGTTAGATATAGAAGGAATAATTCAAAGAGATCTATTGTACAGCATGGTGACTATTGTTAATTATGATATACTGTATTCTTCCAAAAATAGAGTAAATACAAAGAGAGTAAATGTTCAATGTTCTCACCACAAAAATGGTAACTATGTGAGGTAACGCATAATTAGCTAGATTGAAACATTCCACAATATACACATACTTCAAAACATGTGGTACACAATACATACATACAATTTTATTTGTCTATTTAAAATAAATAAATAAATTTGGAAAAAAGTTACATATACATTAACATTAACAAAATTGTGTGGGCAAGGATATGGAAAGCAGGACTCTTGTGGATTCTGAGGGGGGTTATAAACTGGTAGTCTCTTTAGAGGACAGGTAAGCCATGTCTCAACATTTTAAATGTGTATAATCTCTGACCCAGCAGTTACACATCTAAGAAGAGAAATGAACAAGTATACAATGATATAAGCAGAAGGCTGATCAATACATCAACAAGGGAAAACTAGAACAATCTAAAAGGTCATCAAAGGCATAAAGTATGGTGCCTCTAAAAGATGGAACATTAGGCAGCCAGTAAAATGATCATGTAGGATTACGCGTATCTTTCCAATTCCCGCAGAGATGTACAAAACATATTTTTCCATTAAAAAAGACTACTATATACAGGCAAACCAATTTATTTAAAATTTTGTATATAAATTCTTCTATATCCATAGATAGATTTCTAAAAGTATGTTCACCAAAATATTAATAGCAGTCATTTCTTGGTGGTAGAAGTTGGATGCTAAGTTCTATCATTATGTTGTTTTATACGGATAGAAATTTTTTTCATTATTATAGTAAAAAAAAACCCAAAATTTTAAGTGTTCGTATCTCACCAAAAGTAGCTTAAAATTCTTTCAACTCCCTATTTTAAGAAAAAAGTATTCACTGAATGTTGCAAGTATATATAACCACCAAACAGCTATGGGTTTCTACTTGCTAGATTTCCTTCTCAGTACCATGCTTTAAAACCATCAGAAAACAGGAAAATAAAGATTAGATTCGAAGAGGTTGAGAACGTCAAATGAACTTACTTGAACAGTCCACATTCCTGGCATCTACCTTAAGAACTCTAGGTTCTATGAACTTAACCACTCCTAAAACAATCTCCCTGTTAGACCTCAAGAAAGCAGGCTGTAAGAGGAGGTAAAAGAAAGAAAGAAATTACAGTTTCTTTGTTAAAAAAAAATTATAAAAAAACTTACCTCGGTAAGAATATTTAATTATTTTCCTGTCTTACATTCTCTTTCTTAGCACCTTTATTGTGAACCTGGAAAAAAAAAGGCAGAAATTACTTTTTATTGAGCACCTACTACATGCCAGACAAGGTTGTGTCTCTTGGAGAATGTGAAGTCTAAGATAAACTGGAAATAACAAAATCGAAGTTATTAAAATGGAATGGTCAGGAAGGAAAGTAAAAATTTGAAAATGTAACTAAAACTTTTCCTAAATTGTTCGAGAACCTATACACGACTGTATTCAAAGAACTGTATTTAACAAACAAGCCTGGAGAACTGCAGCGGGCTAAGAGTTCGGGTGCTAGGCTCAGAGCATCTGCATTAGATCCCGGTTCTACCACTTTCTACCTGTGTGATCTGGGGTAAGTAACTTCTCTGTGTGCCTGTTTTCCCATATGTGTAACAACAGTACCCAATTCTTAGCACTGCTGAGGATTATATGAAATAATCCACATTGGGGACTCTAAAGTAGTTCCTGAAATATGTGTTCAATAAATACTATTTTATTATAATGTTATTATATAATAATAAATCTGCCTTTCACCATCTCCATCACCAGCATTATTTATGATGATAATAATTATTATTAATTGGCTGGGCACAGTGGCTTACACCAGTAATTCCCGGGCTTGGTGAGGCCAAGGTGGGCAAATCGCTTGAGCCCTGAAGTTTGAGACCAGACTGAGGCAACATGGTAATACCGTCTCTTTAAAAAAAAAAAAAAAAATTTGCCAGGAGTGGTGGTGCCCCTGTAGTCCCAGCTGCTCGGGAGGCTGAGGTAGGATGATTGATTGAGCCTAGGAGTTCAAGGCTGCAGTAAGCCATAACTGTGCCACTGCCCGTGTCATGTACTCCAGCCTGCATGAGAGAGACCCCGTCTCTAAAAAAGGGGGAGAGGGGTGGGCATAAGCTTTGTATTCCAGGGGCTTACAGTGTCCTCAGTGAAATAAGAGCTACCTAGACACATAATATAAAGCAAAAAAAAAGATCAAAGTCAATTATTCATTCATTTAACAAACATCTGAATGTCCAATCTTTGCCAGTATTTTGTTGGGTGCAGGGCATTATTTGGTGTGCAGGATGAACACAGTTTCTCTCCTTACAGAGTTTACAGTTCATCAAGGGTTAAGCTGCATGACAGACAAGCTACATGCAGAGACAGATACTGTTTTTGACTGGGTGGGGGACAGTAACAGATCTGAACTGGCAGAATTACGTAGCACTATATTCTGGGTGGGAGGAATGGGGTTCCAGGAAACACAGGGCCTCTAGGAAACATAAGCAGCACCATTGTTAGGGTACATCCAAGAGAGACTAAGGCAGCAAGGCTAGAAGCAGGAGGGGGCCTTGAACGCCAGGCTGAATTTGTTCTCTGGTTTTCAGGTACATTAATTGTCCTGCTGAAACTGAACAAGAGCTTAGTTTTAACTTGGATTCTAATGTCTTGTAACTTTTTCTTTATGGGTCCTTTCTTTTTTTCTTTTTTGAAAGTGAGATGGGTAACAGTGGGAAAAAAATGAGGGAATGGCAACCTCAGCCCATGTTGGCAACAAAGGTGGGAGTGGACCAAGGGCACTAAGCGATGAGTTTCACACGTTTTCTCTTTTAATCCCTCCAGCATTCTTACAGGCACTATTGCTCCTTTTACAGATTAGAAAACTGAGGCTCAGAGAAGTCAAATAGATTTTAAGTTCATAAACTTAACATGATCTTGATTCTTTAAAAAGTGTTTTCTGGAACTAGACAAAACGATTCTAAAGTTCACATGGAAAAATAAACTAGCAAGAATTGCCAAAAAAAAAAAAAGCAACAAGGGGAAACTAGTTTTAAAAGATATTAAAACATTTTATAAAACCAATGTAGTACTGCTATATGAATAGAAAGACTAATGTCATAGAATAGAAAGTGCAGAGATGTACCCCAATACATCCAGAAACTCACACCACCATCAACTGGATTCAGAGATGAAAACTGAAACAAATCGGTAAAGATAACTGGTGGCCACATGGAAAAAGGAAAAGTTGAATTATATATCACTCTGAACACCAGAATAAATCCTAAGTGGATCAGAGATTTAGGTGTTAAAATGAAACCATAAAAGCACTAAAAGAAAACACGGGCAGATTCCAGAAATCGTGGAGGCCTTTGACGTAAAATCCAGATACCATAAGAGATTAATGTTAAGTACATAAAATGTAAAGAAAGCCATATTTAAGCCTTCTTTATACCAAAATACATGAAAGTCATTTTTAAAAACAAGTGACAAGTTGAGGGAAACTGCAACCTAACAAAGGGCTAATCTCTCTAATTTATACACTTATAGAAATTAGTAAGAAAAAGCAATCCAAAAGAAAAATGTGCAAAGGGTATGAACAGATAGCTCACAGAAAAAGGAATACAAATAGCCTTTAGGCACATGAAAAGATGCTCACCCCGATTCATAATGAAAGCAATGCATATTAAAACTACATGGAGTTATCATTTTTCATCTACGAGACTGACACGAATCCAAAGGTTAACTGTTGGAGAGGTTACGGAGAAATAAGGAGTCTCATACATTACTTAGGCAAGTTCAAAATAAGTGCCACTCTGGAGGAAGAAAGTATTTACACCAATTATAAATGCATTGCCCACTGACCAGCAATCCCACCTCTAGGAATGTATCCCACAGATAATGCCTACAAATATACAAAATAATATGTGCACAAGGTTATTCAGCACAGCGTCATTTGTGAGTCTCAGACTGGAAACAACTCATATATTGATCACTGGAGGCTAAACAGCTAAACAATGTATATTTTACAGTTGTTTAGAAAAATGTTTTCTGGGCCAGGTGCAGTAGCTCATGCCTGTAATCCCAGCCCTTTGGGAGGCCGATGCAGGTGGATAACCTGAGGTCAGGAGTTTGAGACCAGCCTGGCTAACATGGAGAAACGCCATCTCTACTAAAAATACAAAAATTATCCGGGCCTGGTGGCACATGCACCTGTAGTCCCAAGCTACTTGGGAGGCTGAGGCAGGAGAATCGCTTGAACCTGAGAGATGGAGGTTACAGTGAGCTGAGATGGTGCCACTGCACTCCAGCCTGGGTGACAGAGTGAGATTCTGTCTCAAAAAAAAGAAAAGAAGTGTAGAAAAATGTTTCCTATATACTAATATGAAGGTATGTCAAGATAATATTAACTTTAAAAAAAAAGCAAGGAAAATATTCACATAGTATGTATATTTTATATAAAAAGAGTATATATAGTATATTAGTATTTGCTTGTATCTGCATCTATACAAAAAAAAGACATGTATAGGAAACAAATGAAAGGTTATTTATGGAGAGAATCAAGACAATTGGAATTTAGATTTCTCAAAATATGTCTTATGTCATTTTAATTTTTGAACCATATGAACATCTTATCTACATGAAAACAATTTGTAAATGTTAAAAGCACCTCGCAAAAAGAAGCAAAAGAGAACCACCTACAAACCAGAGTCTAAGTTTTCTCTGAAATTGGTGACAAGCAATTTTAGTGTGGCCATCACCATAAATTATAAGACAAAGTGCTTTTGTTTCCTCCAATCGAGCCAAAGTATATGATTATAATAATCTATTTTAAAAAGCCGGGGTGAGGAATTAGAAGAGAGAACAGAAAAAGGTGAGAAGAGAAGGAGCTCTACTCTAATGGTTCTCAAAGTATGGTCCTTGGACCAGCAGCATCAGCATCACCTGATAATTTGTTAACAATGTAAATTCTATGGGCCCAGCCCAGACCTACTGAATCAGAGAGAGACCCTGGAGGAGGAGGCTAGCAATCCTTTTAATACATACTCAAGTTTGACAGCCACAGATCTGGTCCCGTGATTTTTATATGTTCACGTGCATTGCCCAGGAAGGGATCTTTTAAAATGCAAATTCTGGTCCAGTTGGTCTGGAGTGGAGCTCAGAGTCTACATTTCAAACAAGCTCCAGGATGCTGCTGACGTGCTGATGGTGTGGGCACCACACTTTAAGACGCAAAGCACAAGTCCACCTGAGGAAGAAGGTACGCAAAGGGTCTTCACGTGATTGAGTTTGCTGTGAAACCTGCACTCAATATTAGACAGAAAAAGTCCTTACACAGGTCTCCAGCTAAGGTATACCACGGAACTAGCTTCCCATATAAACTGTGTACTTCACACAGAGTAAGTATGTTTTCAAATATATTTCTTAAACAACAATAACAACTATAATTCACTGAGATCCAATTTAAGGACGTCCCATTTGAGAAAACTTTCATTTATAAGTGGATCTTCCAGAATGGAAACAAACAAAAAACACAAAAAACCATATTCATACAACTGTCTGGTTATATTATCTGATTAACTTTACCTCAAACACACTAACCACACCATCTGCTCTTCGTGAAAATTCACCAAGCAGTTTGTTTCCTTTTAAACATTTTCAAAAAAATGGTTCTTATATTTACAAACATTGATTCTCCATTTGTTTTACATAAAGGGAAAATCTCTACAGGAATCTTCTTAGTAAAGAATTCTAGTTTAAATGGAAGGGTCCAGAAATATTGTGTATCTTCATTTTGCAAGTCACCCTTTGAATCAAGTTTTTGGTGTTAATCATTAATCATTGTTTCATATTCCCTATTCATGTAGTAAAATTATGTAATAATTTTTACATATTCCCTATTTCATTGACTCTAAGATGCCATCAATTTCAAGATATAATGTCCTACTAAGAAAGAAAAGTTGCCAACCACATGCTAATTTTAAGATGTCATTCTATCTCACATATGCATCTTAAAAATCAATGAAACACCTTAATTACAAATCAGAGATATGTGCATAGTATTCATTTTCTAGTTAACATTTGTGTCTCTCAAATGTAAAACTTCATAAAAGCATGAACTTTTGTCCATTCAACAATCTATCCCCTATGCCTAGAAAAATGGAACATTTTCAATCAACATCTTTTACATACAGGTGAATATTTTTTAAAGTTCTGATTTTAAAAACCAGTAATGACCTCTTTTACCCTGGAACAAGATACTGCTTGCTCAAATTAATATAAATTCATTACTCTCAATTTGGATAAATTTCCATCTCCAAAGTGTTCAATGTCTCTAACTCTAGATAATTTAAAGTATAGCCTTCTGTTTTGACAGCAGTCATTACCTACATGTCTGTTTCCATAGCACCTTTCAAACGTAACACGCAACTAATAATAAACACCTTACATCAAGAAGCAACTCGTCTATTCAACAAAAAAAAGCCAAATAAACTATTATTAAAAGAAGAGTTAAATGTATAATGTTACAATGTAGGTAACATTGTAACATATATAAATGTTATACGTAGGTAACATATAAATGGTCTGAGCTGAACTTTCTTAACTCGATTTGCATTTTCCCCTATGCAGCAAGACTAGCAAAGTTTGAAATGAAAAGACAACTGCTAACAAATCACACCATGAGGACTACTGGCATATGTGATTACAGGTAATTTTAAGTTTTACCTTTGAATACATCTGCATTTTCCAAATTCTCTAATATAGATATTAGTAAGCAGAAGAAGCTATTTAAAGGGTGATTACACTAGTTTAGATTATACTTAACTAAGACTTATTTCTACACATTATTGTTGTTGCTTCCCAACTCCATTCTAACCTCAATCTGCTACTTGATTCAAGTGTTTAGTTGTCAACATTTCCATTAAACACAGCCAATCTTTCAGACAGAGGGACACAGGTACTAACCTGACCTCCCATCTGAGATTCTAGAATAATCAATGAAAGCGCCACTAACCAAAAGCATGCTTTTTGTACGTCAGACACTTCTGAAAGAAAGAAAAAACAAAACAGGACAAAACTCTCAGCAAAAACTGTCTGTTAAATTTCCTTTTATAATTCCTATTATAATTGACTAGATAACACTGATGTTTGGAGTGGTTCTCCAAGGAGCTGGAACTGCCCCCAAGGAACATTTTTAGTTATCAAAGAGACTGGGGGACACCGCTGGCATTTAGGGTTTGGGGGGCCTGGATCTAAAAGACTTCACACAACACATAGGTGGGACAGATCTGTATAATGAAGATTCGCCTGGTACGAGAGTCTTTCAAATGAACGGGCAGATTAAGCCCACTATAAACTGGCATTACTTTACAATATTTAAAAGTTTTTATAAGAAATTGCAGGGAAACTCCAGTAATGTAGGAGAAAGTAGCAAGGGAAGCTTAAATAGAGTAAGGGAAAACTGTCTAAACATTAGCGATCGTTTCCTCACACCACACACCGTTAACATACAATTGTAGTATCAGAATACTGAGCATATACAAACAAGTGAGATACTGATATTGAACCAAAAATTTTCAACCTTGTTAATATTTTATTAATTATTACCAATGGTAATTGTTAGGAAGCCAGTATTGTCCCTTCGAGTGTGTGACACAAAAAATTCTACAATATAGTTTAAAAATATGGATCCATGGAGGGCTTGTGCTAATATTTACGTATTTATTGAGACAGTCTGTTATTTGTCTTGCCATGTTATCCCTAGTTCAATCTAGGTTGTTTCTCTCTTTAATTCGCAAGAAACAGGTTATGCCAACCTAGGTGTTTTTCCCAACCTCCGTCTGTATCTCTGCTCTTTCCCTGAAGTAGCGGCCTCACTCTGTAGCCCAGGCTGGAGGGCAGTGGTGCAATCACAGCTCACTGCAGCCTTTAACTCCTGGGCTCAAGAGATCCCCTCACCTCAGCCTCCCAAGCAGCTGAGACTACAGGTGTGCGCCACCACACCACGCTAATTTTTTCTTTTTTTGTACAGGTGGGATCTCGCTATATTGCCCAGGCTTGCTCTTGTTTGAAATAGCTCCTCCTAATTTTTTTTAACCAATACAAATGTACTCATTAGAAGCTGGCACAAGCACCCCAGTATATACTGTCTTCCAGCACAAGAGTATGTCCTAGATGTGAATGGTACAGCAACATCTGTCATATACTGTTCTCTATTTCGCCCTTACGCTTCAATCAAACCATCATACTGCTTTTCAAGGATGTGTGTAGGGAGGTCACATTGTTTATGAATTTCATTTCAGGGTAGTAAAGAGGGCTTTATACATGTTTGCTGCAAAGGGGAAGAAGGGACCTTGATTCTGACGAGGTTGAGAACCACTGTTCCCAAGAGTGGAATCGCGTGCTGAAACAAAAATCGAACTTTTAGAGAAGAGTTTCCTTTGCCTAAGGCAAGCCCTGGGCTCCAATATTCCACTTCATTGGGCCTGACACCCCACTACCAGCACACGCCCGCTGCTCTCAGCCCACCTCTGCTTCCAAGCAGGGCCAAACAATGGTTCTTGACCACTTGGGGATCGGGGACCCTTTTAGGAACGAGACAAAAGCCCTGGAAAAACTCTCTCCCAAGAAACCCATATACCAAGCTGCATCCAACTTCAGGGCGCTCCCAGACACCCCCTCTGAAGCCTGGTCGGGACCCCAGGAGAAAAGGGCTGAGGGGAGTGGGAGGTGGGAAGAGGAAGGGGGCGCAGGGGTCCCGGTCCCCTCCCACCGCCTCCTCGCAGTGTGGCTCTGGCCCGGGCGCTCCACCTCTCTGTGCAGCCCCGGCGTGCAAGCGCGCAACTTAAGTGCCCGGCACACAGCAGAGGCTCCATAAACGCCGCTGCCACTGTCAGCAGGGCCAACTCTGCAGTCGAGATGGACACTGAGGCGGCCCCGGGGTCGCGCCCGGGCGCGAGGACCGGTTGAAGGAGGCACCGGCCCGCGGCCCCGGCCGCCCCGCCCCGCGCGAGTCCCGGGGACGGTGCGGACCAAACGGCGCCGCAGCTGCTGCGGGGACGAACAGGGATGGCTGCCTGGGACGCGGGATGTTCACCAGGCCCGCTCCCCCACCCAGCCCTCGGTCTCGGCCGCTCTCACCCGGCCTCAGCCCCCAACGGCCGCCACCGCCCGCCGCTCACCTCCCCGGCCGCCGCCGCCGCCGCTCCCGCCGCCGCCGCGCGATCTCGCGAGACTTCGCTCCCCTCGGCACTCCCCCTCCTCCCCGCGGCGCGCGCGGACCCCAGGCTAGAAGCGGCTCGGCGCGCTCCCCGGACGCTGCCCACCCCGCCTCAAGGGTCAAGCCCGGCCTCTCTCGCTGCTCGCCCCCGACTCCGTCCCTGCGTGCACTCCGCCCACTCCCGTGACTGGGAAGGGTTAAAGCCCAGGTGCGAGGCGGCCGCCTCCTTCTCACCTGGCCGGCCGGGTGCGCGTGCGCATGCGCATGTCCGGGGCTCGGCCCTGAGCCTCTGCAAAGGCTTGGACGGTGGCGACAAAGGTGACCGCTGCCACCCGTCCTGAGTGCTCGCTGCGCGCCGAGCACTTAACAGCCCCCTTCGGTCCTCACACTGCCCTCCAAAGTGGGTATTACCAGCCTCCCCATTCTAGAGAGAGGAAAAATGGAGGCCTGGCAAGGAAAGTACAGTAATGGCTCCATGTCACACAGCCAGGAATTGGCTGAGCCAGTGTTGGGATCTGGGGTTGTCTGATGCCCAGCCCAAAACCCATTTCTGCACCTCAGTGACAGCCCCCAGGCCCTGTCCCTCTTTCCGTTCAAGGCTCAAGGCGCTGCCTCTCAGCCGCAGTCTTCATTCTCTCCCAACATTCACCAAGGTGAGAGGAGGAGCTCCTGGGAAGTCATTTGCTACAATCTGTTTTCAATGGAGCTGGCGACAGTAAAGTGCTTCTCCCTCACTTTACAAACTTCCCAAGGCCTGTGAAGCCCCTGTGCCACTCCCTGTGCAGCTCTGAAGACTGTGTGACTATTTTTATGCGGTTCTGTCTCCTCCTTAGACTGGTGGCGTTTTGCTGGTAGAGAGCATGATGGAATGGCACACAGGACAGAGAATCAGAATGTACATGATGTTAGCACACAGAAAAGTGTGACTTCTTCCCAGGAGTAAGTCTTAATGAAATAATAATTGTTTGTAAAGAGGAAGGGCTAACATTTATTGCGGGCATATCAAGGTCATACCAATCTTCTTGCAATCCTGGAGGTGGAGAAAGTAGCCTGTTTCCATTGTGAAATAGGATTTGAACCTGGGTCTGAGTCCGGAGCCCAGCACTACCTTGTAGGTAGGTCCTGTTCTGCAAGCAAGCGAGCATGAGCTAGCTCATCTGGGCCGGCTGCTGTAAGATCAGGAGCCCTGGAGGTTCTAGGTAGCCTTCCACCTGCAACAGCGTCTGCATGGGCTTACCCAGCCCACCTGATAATCACATCAATGTCAGCAAGTGCTGGCCTGCCCATGCTCCAAACCTGTCCACTCTCCCCGGAACCAATTGCTGTGTACAGGCCAGAGCATGTGGGTGCCCTTGCATGTTTCAACCTCACTCAACTCACCAGATGGAGGAAGTGGGTGAAGAAGGAAAATCACACCTGCTGGGCAGCTACAAAGTGCTGAGCCCTGCTCCAGGTGCTGTCTATTTATTAATTTATTTAGCCCTCCCAACAACCCTGTATTAGGGTTCTCCAGAGAAACACAGCTACTAGGTTCTAGATAGATGTAGGCTGGGCAAGGTTGCTCATTCCTGTAATCCCAGCACCTTAGGAGGTCCAGTCAGGAGGATCACTTGAGCCTAGGAGTTTTAGACCAGCCTGGGTAACACAGTGAGACCCCGTCTCTACAAAAAATAAAAAGAATTGGGCATGGTGGCACATGCCTGGAGTTCCAGTTACTCTGGAGGCTGATGTGAGAGGATCTCTTGAGCCCAGGAGTCGAGGCTGCAGTGAGCTCTGACTGTGCCACTGCCCTCCAGTCTGGACAACAGAGTGAGACCCTGTCTCTAAAAAAGAAAAAACTATATAGATTCATAAGAGGGGATGTATGATGGCAGCTGAGAAGTCCTACGATGTGCCATCTCCAAACTGGAAAGCCAGGGAAACTGGTGACATAGCTCAGTCGCAGTTGTGGCCCGAGAACCAGGGAATCTGATGGTGTAACTCTCAGTTCGAGGCTACAGGCCTGAGAACTTGGGAGCCACTGGAGCGAGTCCTAGAGTCCAAAGCTGGAGAACCTGGGCTGGGCGCAGTGGCTCATGCCTGTAATCCCAGCACTTTGGGAGGCTGACGCAGGTGGATCACCTGAGGTCAGGAGTTCAAGACCAGCCTGGCCAACATGGTGAAACCCCGTTCTCTACTACAAATACAAAAATTAGCCAGGTGTGGTGATGGGTGCCTGTAATCCCAGCTACTGGGGAGGCTGAGGCAGGAGAATCGCTTGAACCTGGGAAGAGGAGGTTGCACTGAGCTGAGATTGCATTATTGAACTCCAGCCTGGGCATCAAGTGAGACTGTCTCAAAAAAAAAAAAAAAAAAAAAAAAAAAGCTGGAGAATCTGGAGTTCTGGTGTCGAGGGACAGGAGAAGATAGTGTCCTGGCTCCGGAAGAGAAAGAGAGAATTTGTCTTTCTTCTACTGTTCTATCCAGGCCCTCAACTGATGGCGATGAAGGCAGATCTTCCTTACTCAGTCACTGATTCAAACACCAATCTCTTCTGGCAACACCCACACAGACACACCCAGAAGTAATGCTCTACCAGCCATCTGGGTATCCTTTAATCCAGCCAAACGGATGCCTAAAATCAACCGTCACAAATCCCCTGTGGAAGTTATGGTTGTCCCCATTTTACAGATGAGAAAACCAGGAACATAAGAGGTGAGAGGACATGCCCAACAACACACACAGCAACACGCAACGACACACACAACACGCAACGACACACAACAACACGCAACAACACACAGTTGGCAAGTGGTTGGTTCCACCCCAGATCAGCCTGTTTCCAAATGCACAAACTTTGCCTTTCGTGACCAACAAGGCTATTCCCTACCTCAAAAGCCTTTATCTTTATGAAACAGAAAATCCCCAAATCCCCTGAGGTCAGGACTCCAGTGTAAGATGCTGTTATGTTCTCCTCCGGGTGGCCAGTGCCTCAGTGTTCTCATCTAACATAAGAACATGAGTAGGGAAAATTAACCAACTTAATATATGTGAAGCATACGGAAAAGTGCCTTACAAGATTAAGCACTCAGTAAATCAAAGCTGTTATTACCATGGGTGGATTCTTTGTGATATTTTATCCTTTCCTCATTGCCCAGTAGAAATAGCAATTCAAGTAGGAGGATGGGCTCATATACAGAAATAAAATTAGTTTTTAGGCCAGCTGTGGTGGCTCATGCCTGTAATCCCAGCAGTTTGGGAGGCCGAGGTGAGAGGATCACCTGGGGACAGAAGTTCGACACCAGCCTGGCCAACATGTTGAATCCCCATCTCTACTAAAAATACAAAAATTACCCAGGCATGGTGGCGGGCGGCTGTAGTCTCAGCTACTTGGGATGCTGAGGCACAAGAATCTCTTGAACCCAGGAGGTGGAGGTTGCAGTGAGCTGAGATTACACCACTGCACTCCAGCCTGGGTGACAGAGCAAGACTCTGTCTCAAAAATAATAAAAATAAAATTAGTTTTTAATTATATTTCTGAATGAAATAAATAATTCTGAGAACAATAAATATTTTCAAAATGGGCAGAATTACTCCAGTACTTCCCCCTAGTCATGAAAGGATACCAGCTCTCCTGAAGCAATCTCTTCCCAGTTTCCTGAGGGAGGGGCAGTCTGCTTTATAAAGGACTCTGCTTTTATAGGAAAAGCCACCCAAATATTTTTAAAGATATGACTTGGAAGTCACTTCATAGGCAAAAATAAAAGCGAAGAAAAAATTGAGCTGAAACTTAAGAGAATTTTGATGTGGTTAAGGGTTAACACCAGGCTGGGCACCATGGCTCACACCTATAATCCCAGCACTTTGGGAGGCCAAGGCGTGCAGATCACTTGAGGTCAGGAGTTCAAGACCAGCCTGGCCAACATGGTGAAACCCTGTCTCTACTAAAATTACAAAAATTAGTCAGGTGTGGTGGCGCATGCCTATAATCCCAGCTTCTCTGGAGGTTGAGGCATAAGAATCACTTGAACCCAGGAGGCAGAGGCTGGCAGTGAGCAGAGATCACACCACTGCACTCCAGCCTGGGCAACAGAGGGAGACCCTGTCTCAAAAAAAAAAAAAAAAAAAGAGGGTTAACACCAAAGTGACATCATGATTTGAGGGAACGTTTTATAGGAACTGAAGTTGCCACTAACCTCAGGCCTTGCTGTGCCAAATTTAGGTTTCCATCCTGACACAAGATGTGCCATACTTTCCCATCAATGTGAGCGGCTCCCTGTGGACCTGTGGAAGTGATCCTCATGGGGAAGGGGTGGGCATAACAAGACCACGGGGCGTTATTCTTTGAAAACAACAAACAAACAAAATGGGTAATTCTGGCCAGGCATGGTGGCCCACTCCTGTAATCCCAGCACTTTGGGAGACTAAGGAGAGAGGATTGAATGAGGCCAGGAGTTTGAGACCAGCCTGGGCAACATAATGATACCCTGTCTCTACAAAAAATTAAACATTAAAAAATTAGCTAAGCATGGTGGTTTGTGCCTGTAGTACTAGCAACTGGTGAGGCCAAGGTGGGAGGGAGAGGGAGTTGGGGGTTGTAGGATGCTGTGATCGTGCCACTGCACTCCAGCCTGGGCATGAGAGAGAGACCACATCTCTATAAAAAACAAAAACACAGAGGTGAGTCTCATATGCACACCCCTAAAGGTTTAAGGTATGGTTTCCATCAAGTCCAACAGAGCTTAAAAGTAAGAGGTTTTAAAAAATAAAAAAATAGGCCGGGCACGGTGGCTCATGCCTATAATCCCAGCACTTTGGGAGGCCGAGGTGGGCAGATCACAAGGTCAGGAGTTCAAGACCAGCCTGACCAACATGGTGAAACCCCCATCTCTACTAAAAATATAAAAATTAGCCAGGTGTGGTGGCATGCACCTGTAATCCCAGGTACTCAGGAGGCTGAGGCAGGAGAATCGCTTGAACCCAGGAGGCGGAGGTTGCAGTGAGCCGAGATCGCGTGACTGCACTCCAGCCTGGGCAACAGAGTGAGACTCCATCTCAAAAAATAATAATAATAATAAAATAAATAAAAAAATCAATAAAAATAAATTAAAAATAAAAAATAAGGTATGGTTTCCAAAAAAAAGCACTATTAAAGTGTCTTTTGATCCAAGAAGAATTTTATAAAGTCCTATAGTGGGGTTTGTTTTATGCACATTCATTCAATAAAAAATGTATTAAGCACTTAAGTGCCAGCTAGTATGTCAATAACTATGAGCAAGACAGGTATAGTCCATGCTTTCATGGCATTTATGGTCTAGAGGAAGAGAGAGGTGTTAATTAAATAATTAAACCAATAAAAGTTGAAATACAATGTAGTAAGTAGAATGAAAAAGAGGAGCAAATGACAAGAAAATGGCTGGATGGAAGGGTAGGAAAGAACTTGCTTGGACTGTGTTGTGAAGGATGCATCAGAGAGAACTAGGCAGGAAGGAGAGGGGAGAGCATTCTAGAGATCAGCAAAGAGGAGGTAAGTGCTAAGTGTTAGTGGCTGGGAGGGCAGGGTGGACCAGAGCCTTAAAATACATTAAAAAAAATTTTTTTTTAGGGATGGGGTCTTGCTATGTTGCCCACGCTGGAGTGCAGTGGTGTGATTATAGCATGCTACAGCCTTGAACTCCTGGGCTCAAGTGGTCTCCCTTCCTCAGCCTCCTGAGTAGCTCGGACTACAGGTGCACCATCACACCAGGCTTTAAGAGGCATCTTCAACATCATACTGAGTGGGCAAAAGCAGGAAGCATTCCCCTTGAAAACCAGAACAAGACAAGGATGCCTACTCTCACCACTCCTATTCAGCATAGTACTGGAAGTCCTGGCCAAGCAATCAGGCAAGAGAAAGAAATTAAAAGCATCCAAATAGGAAAAGAGGAAGTCAGACTATCCCTGTTTGTAAGATAATATGAGATTTTATACCTAGAAAACCTTAGTCTCAGCCCCAAATCTCCTAGATCTGATTAACAGCTCCAGCACAGTTTCTGGATACAAAATCAATGTAGAAAAATCAGTAGCATTTCCATACACCAATAGCATCCAAGCTGAGTGCCAAATCAAAAATGCAATCACATTTGCAATAGCCACACAAAGAGTAAAATACCTAAGAATACGGCTACCCAGGGAGGGGAAAGAACTCTGCAATGAGAATTACAAAACACTGCTGAAAGAAAAGAGAGATGACACAAACAAATGGAAAAACATTCCACGCTCATGGACAGGAAGAATCAATATTGTTAAAATGGCCATACTACCCAAAGCAACCTACAGAATCAATGCTATTCCTATCAAACTACCAATGACATTCTGCACACACTTAGAAAAAACTATTCTAAAATTCACACGGAACCAAAAAAGAACCCAAATAGCCAAAGCAATCCTAAGCAAAAAGAACAAAGCCAAAGGCATCACATTACTGACTTCAAACCATACTACAAGGCCACAGTAACCAAAACAGCGTGGTTCTGGTACAAAAATAGATACATATACCAACAGAATAGAATAGAGCCCCCAGAAATAAAGTTGCACATCTACAACAATCTGATCTCTGACAAAGTTGACCAAAACAAGCAATGGGGAAAGGATTCCCTTTTCAATAAATGGTGCCATGATAACTGGCTAGCCATATGCAGAAGATTGAAACTGGACCCCTTCCTTACACCATGTACAAAAATCAACTCGATGGATTAAAGACTTAAATATAAAACCTCACTATAAAAACTTTTGAAGAAAACCTAGGAAATACCATTCTAGACATAGGCCCTGGCAAAGATTTTATGATGAAGATGCCAAAAACAATTGCAATAAAAATCAACAAATGGGACCTAATTAAACTAAAGAACTTCTGCACAGCATAAGAAACTATCAACAGAGTAAACAGACAAACCACACAATGGGAGAAAATATTTGCAAACTAAGCATCTTACAAAGATCTAATTCCAAAATCTATAAGGAACTTAAACTAACAAGCAAAAAACAACTCCATTAAAAAGTGGGCAATGGACATGAACAGACACTTTTCAAAAGACGACATGTATACAGCCAACAAGCATACGAAAAAATGCTCAACCTCACTAATCATCAGAAAAATGCGAATCAAAACCACAGTGAGATACCATCTCACACCAGTCAGAATGGCTATTATTAAAAAGTCAAAAAATAACAGATGCTGACGAGGCTGTGGAGAAAAGGGAATGCTTATTCACTGCTGGTGATAATATAAGTTAGTTCAGCCACTGTGGAAAACAGTTTGACAATTTCTCAATGAACTTAAAACAGAACTACCATTGGACCCAGCAATCCCATTATTGGGTATGTATCCAAAGGAATATAAAGCATTCTGCCATAAAAACACATGCATGTGTATGTTCATTGCAGCACTGTTTACAATAGCAAAGACACAGAATCAACCTAAATGCACATCAACAGTATACTGGATACAGAAAATGTGGTACCTATACACCATGGAATACTATGCAGCCATGAAAAAGAATGAGATCATGTCCTTTGCAGCATGGACATCTCAATACAGATAGGCTACAGGTACGACAGCTGTTTGCTACATCCTGCCCATCCTTGACCTAGCACTGGGTGCGGCAGAGGTGGTAGGACTGAGCTCAGATTGACCAACAGGAATGGTGGATGGAGCTGGATGCCATTGTCCTAAGTGAACTCATGCAGGAACAGAAAACCAAACATCACATGTTCTAACTTATAAGTGGGAGCTAAACATTGAGCAGATGTGGACACAAAGAAGGGAACAATAGACACTTGGGTTTATTTGAGGGTTGAGTCGGGGAGGAGAGTGAGGATCAAAAAACTACCTATTGGATACCATGCTGATTACCTGGGTGACGACATAATACATACACCAAACCCTGTCGACATGCAATTTATAGAACCAATCTGCACATGTGCCCCTGAAACTATAATTTAAAAAACAATAGATTATGTGATTTGGGCATAATATATAATAATACATGTGATTTTAAAAAATTAATGACATCTTGAGACACATGTGCACCCCGAGCACATGGAGGCAGTGGAGAGAAAGAAATCAAACCAGAAGCAGAAGGGTGTTGTGAGCAACGTCGTTGGTCCTCAGATACTCATCGTTCCTGTTGGTCAATCTAAGCTCAATCCTGCCACCTCTGCCGCACCCAGTGCTGGATCAAGGATGGGCAGGATGTAGGAGACAGCGTTGTATCTGTAACCTATCTGTCTTTGAGGAAATCCCACATTGTAAGTCCGGGCACCCCGGAGAAGATATCAAGATGCAGATCTCCTGCCTTCCTTGCAACTAAGACAAGCCGTATGATGTCGGCCCTGTCACCTGGAGGCACCCCATGAGAATGTTGAAGTGTCAGTGGCAGAAGTGGCTGGCTTTGGGGGTAGTGGTTGCAGGGTCGAGCTCCCAGTGGCATAGTGGGCCCCGTGCTGACGGCAGCAGCGGCTAAAGTGAGGGCAGGCTCCTGGCACTGATGTTTCATGGCGCAGGAGCAGGGTGGAGTTTAGTTCATCCAGCCAGGCCTGCAGTGTGGTTTGGGGCATTTTTCCTAGAAGCTTAGCCTCAAGTTCTTTTCTCTGGCCCTCCCAGTGATTCTGTGGGATACCTAACATCCTCTATTGCATTCCCAATTCTGCTTAAACCAGCTCGCGTTTCCATCCAAGGACGTCGACCCCTTACAGGCCAAAACCAATCAGAGCCTGTGAGACTTGGACAGGGGCTCACCGGGGGTAGTGGGGAGGCAAACTTTCTCTGCTGTAAGGGAGAACCCAGGAAGCCAGCCCACTCCCCCTGCTTACCTGGAACCTCTGTTGCCACCAATGGCTTTCCCAACAGCTGTGATGGGAATGAGCCTTAACATAGGGCATGCATGGCACAGATGCCAAAAGATCCTGGAGGCTGGGTGGGTGGCTCACGCCTGTAATCTCAGTACTTTGGAAGCTAAAGCACAGGGATCACTTGAAGCCTGGAGTTCAAAGCCAGCCTAGGCAACATAGCGAGACCCTCATCTCTACAAAAAATAAAAATATAAAAATTAGCCAGGAGTGGTGGCAGGTGCCTGGAGTCTCAGCTACTCAGGAGGCTGAGGCAGGAAGATCGCTTGAGTCTGGAAGGTTGAGGCTGCAGTGAGCTGTGATTGTGCCACTGCACTCCAGCCTGGGTGACAGAGCAAGACCCTATCTCAAAAAACAAAACAAAACAAAACAAAACAAAACAAAATCTGGGTCCTTGATGACATCACCAAGCTGCTGGACTGACCCCAGACCCACAAAGCCCTGGCCACTCTCTTCCCTGAGCTAATGCATGTGGTCAGACCAACTCCAGTTGGCTTCTTTGTTCTTTGAAGCCCAAATATTTACACTGGTACAGGGAGGAAGGGAGCAATTTCTGGGGAATAAGCATGCCTCTTCCCTGGCTATGTCAGGAACCACCTTAAATTCTGTGCAATTTTAAAATCTATTCCCTCCCCACCTTACCAGTCCTACTCAGGCAAGTCCTACCTGGTTCCAAACACTTCATTCCAGAAAATACATCCTTCCTTGGCCCTCCCCCTCCTTTGACTCTCTCTTTGATGGGTGTAAAGTGGTTCCATTACTTGCCTAGCTCACACATCTGGTAAGTGGTAGAGCTGAGGGTCTGGAGGCAGTACAGATTCCAGGCTTTTAACCACTAGATTGAGTGCCCTGCACTATCCAGCTTTGTTACCAAAAAAAAAAAAAAAAAAAAAGATGACCTTGAGCCAGACCGAAAAAAAAAAAAGACCTCAAATCCTGCTCCATATTTGCTGTCTGGCCTTGAACAAGCTTCTTAAGTCTCACTGTGAAATGAAGTTAGTGATGCCAGCTTCATAGAACCTGGTAGTTATCTGTGCTGTTCACCAATGACTGACTTCAGGCTCCCCAGCTTCTGGGCACATGCAGGGCTCCACTTCCTTTTCCACTTGGGTGAGGTGTTCTGACTAGCTCTGGCCAAGGAGTGTGAATGGAGAGAGTAAGTATCTCTTCTGGGCCAGAGCTCTGTGTCTCTGGCAGGGCAAATAGCAATGCCCAGGATGGCGCTGGCTCTGTTGAGAAGAGCCCTCAGCCAACCCATTGTGGGCACAAAATGAGCAAAACACAAACTTTGGTGTTTTTTTTTGTTTTTTTTTTGAGACGGAGTCTTGCGCTGTCGCCCAGGCTGGAGTGCAGTGGCGCCATCTTGGCTCACTGCAAGCTCTGCCTCCCAGGTTCACGCCATTCTCCTGCTTCAGCCTCCTGAGTAGCTGGGACTACAGGCTCCCACCACCACACCTGGCTAAGTTTTTGTATTTTTAGTAGAGACAGGGTTTCACTGTGTTAGCCAGGATGGTCTCGATCTCCTGACCTCCTGATCTGCCCACCTTGGCCTCCCAAAGTGCTGGGATTACAGGCGTGAGCCACCGCGCCCGGCCAAACTTTGGTTGTTTTAAGCAGCTCCTGGTTGATGGCTGTCATAGCATGCACTAGCCTATCCCGCCTGATATATCTAGGATGGTCACTTGCTCACTGATTCCCTTGAACATATTTCTGCTGTGTTTCCAAACCCCACCTGGATAAGAGAAAAAGCTCAGGCAGCAGTTCTAAAGATTCTGGTTCAACACACCTTGGATGAGGCCCAGATCTCTGCAGATTTCTGGAGCTTCCCAGTGATTCTGTTGCACTGCCAAGCCTGAGACCCCTGCATTACCATGGACCACTCGTGATGAACAATAGGATGTGGTCCCTACCCTTGAGGGCTACGTAGATTGGAGAAGACTGGTGCCGAGAGAGAAAAATGAAAATTCAAACAGGGTAAGAGACCTGAAACCTGCGAAATGAAGTGAGAATATATGAGAGCTTTATGAACTATAAAGCTTGACCTGTAATAAAAATAGATGTGTTTCCTGGCGAATCCATTCATCAACTGTGTGACCCAAGACTGGGTGCATAGGCTCTCAGCCTAACGTATATATCATAAAATTATGTGTCTCAGTCGGGCATAGTGGCTCACACCTGTGATTTCAGCACTTTGGGAGGCCGAGGCGGGCAGATCACTTGAGGTCAGAAGTTCGAGACCAGCCTGGCCAACATGGTGAAATCCTGTCTCTACTAAAAGTACAAAAATTAGCTGGGCATGGTGGCGGGCTCCTGTAATCCCAGCTACTCTGGAAGCCGAGGCATGAGAACTGCTTGAACTCAGGAGGCAGAGATTGCAGTGAGCTGAGATTGCGCCACTGCACTTCAGCCTGGGTGACAGAGTGAGACTCCGTCTCAAAAAAAAAAAAAAAAAAAAAAAAAAATTACATGTCTCTCTGTTTTCCAGATATGAATATTGAAGTTGAGAAGGGTTCTGAAATGTAGCCCATGATCATACAGCGAGCACATGGCTAAATTGGAATTCAGACCCAGGTCCTTCCATATTTAAAGTCCGAGGCCCCACTGGTTTGCACAAGGCCCCTGCTTATCTCTCCAGCTTTAGCTCTTGTCTTCCCCTTCACCTTGGACCCTATCTTCTAGCCAACTCCAAGCTTCTCTTTCTAGGCACATGCTGTGCCATTTCCTCTGTGTTTTGGCTCACGCCTGTCTTTCTGTCCAGCATGATTTTCCTCCTTTCTCACAACCTTGCCTCTAAACACTGGAACACTCATGGTTTGCAGGCATAATCCTTGGACACTCAGTTTGATGTGCTGTCACCATCTTCCACAGTGTGGCCCTGCAAATGGCCTTGCACCTGCCGACTGGATGCCTCTGTCATTAGATTGCATCTGTGTGGAGGGCAGAGCTTGTCGTCCTGTCCTTGGGTCATCTGACTAGCATCCTAACACTTATACTAAAATATCAGCCATGACCACCTGAATACTCAGCTCAGCAAAACCAAAGCCTATAGCTTACAAGGCAGACCCTTCCAGGTAGCGGGGAGAGGGGGCAGGGAGAGGTTGATTAACGGATTAGCAAAATTACAGCTAGATGAGAGCAGTAAGTTCTAGGCTTCTGTAGTACTGTATGGTGACTATAATTAACATATTTTATTGTATATTTTCAAAAAGCTAGAAGAGAGGATTTTGAATATTTACAACACAAAGAAATGATAAATGTTTGAAGTGCTAGATATGTTAATACCCTGATTTGATCATTACACTGATTTGAGCATTGTCTGTATGTATCAAAATATCTGTATCCCATAAATATGAACAATTATTATGTGGCAAATAAAAATAAAAGGAAAAAATATTATGTCAATAATGAGTTATACAAAGGATTAAATATGTATTACTTTGGGCCGGGGGCGGTGGCTCATGCCTGTAATCCCAGCACTTTGGGAGGCCGAGGCAGGCGGATCACTTGAGGCCAGGAGTTCGAGACCAGCCTGGCCAACATGGCAAAACCCTGTCTCTACTACAAATAGAAAAAATTAGCTGGGCGTGGTGGCACGCACCCATAATCCCAGCTACTCGGGAGGCTAAGGCACGAGAATCTCTTGAATCCAGGAGGCAGAGGTTGCAGTGAGCTGAAATCTCACCACTGCACTCCAGCCTGGGCGACAGAGCGAGACTCCGTCTCAAAAAAAAAAAAAAAAAAAAAAAACAAATACAAATAAAAAATAAATAAATAAATATGTTTTAGTTTAAAGAAAAGCCCTTCCAGTAAGACCACACAGAAGAATACTTAAGAAAGCAAGTTGAGAGTTCTGATCCAGTCTTTGCCACTTTGTAGTTTTGCAGCTACAAGCACCATATTTCATTCTTCTTGACCTGTTTCCCAGATGTGAAATGACACATCTGAGACAGTACCTACCTCACACAGTCGTTGTGAGAATTCAATGAGATTGATGTGTACAACAAACTTGGGTACATTGCCCGGCTCATGAGGAAGAATTGGACTAAATTCCAGCTGCCTTCATTATTTCTATTATTGTTGCCTTCTTTTTATTATTAAAGCTATGGAGCATGCCCTTGTAGCTACTTGTAGTTATTCTTATGATTACTCACCACATCCTCCCTCCCTTCCCGCCAACCCTAAGTGACTTTGCTAAAGATTCCTTCCGAGAACGGATAGTGTTCTTGGAATTCGCGAAATGAGTTCTTCATTGTCTTATGATGGTTCAGTGCCCCAGTGGTGATTTTGCACTCCTGGCACCCCCGGGAAGCTGCCCAGTTGGCTCCCCAGGAAGTTGGTGCCTGCCAAGCCCATTCCATCCAGGCTTCCTGGATACAGCTAAGAAAATACGGGCTCTCCGTAGGCTCTCCCTCCCACTGACTTGACATCTCCCTGCTCCGGGGTATTCTGGGTTTATTTCTGGTCAGCTCAGGTCACTGTGAAGGTGGCCCCCACCCCTGGCTCTGGGAATGGCAGGATCCCAAACAGGCCCGTGGGCCTCTGGAATTGTTGATAACACTAAAAGGAATAATACCTGGAACACACTTATTTTCTTTCCTCCCAGGAGGAGCTCAGAGTTGGACTCTTTAGTTTTGAATAACAAGCACTTCATTTGCCATCAGAGTGAGCCAATCTTGCCTTGCCTTAGTTATCTTTAGCATATCCAGAGTGTGGTAGGCAAAATTTGGGTTTTCAGCGAAGCATTCCTCGGGGTTTCATAGTGAACAACTCTGAACTGTTATGAAAGGACGGAAAAACAGAAAATTCCTCCACACCCAAAGTATTACAAGAACAGGGAACTTAAGGAAAAAACCAAGTCCCAGACAACAAAATAAAGGGAAATGTAAGCTTGGCTTTTTGTATTGAAAAGATTCTGATGACCCAGCCATGAAAGGTTTCCACTAGGATCTGCTTGGAGGTGAAAATTCACAGGGTCTGTGAAAAGGAAAATAAAGATGGGAAGTCAGAAGAAAAGGAAAGGGAACAACATGTGTGTTGGAAGATGAAGGGGACAGAAATCAATGAGATGGTTAAAAGACAAGAGGTAAGGTGCCCCCAGGAACAAGAATTGTTGCCAAAGTAAGAGGGCCATCGGGTGACAGTATTTTCCAGAAGGCTGGAGCAGAAAACAGGCACACACACAATTTTTTTTTTCCGGAAATATGTTGACACACAACTGCTCAAATAAATTTGCATTCCCATCTCAACTGACTCATTTTTTGGCTGGAACAGTGAGCTTACATTCCAGAGCCCAGGCCGACCCTCTTGCACCCCCACTGCCGATAAAGTATAAAATGTGTAATTAGTGCTTTTTGCAGTAGGAAGGACCGTGATGTCAGCTCAGCTCTCTTTCCTGTAGCCTCTGTCTGCAATATCTAGCATTCAGTGTTGCATCCTTATGTCAACCATTTCCACAGGAGAAAAGATGAGAGGAAGGGTGAGAAGGGAGCATATTTTTACAGCTTACCAGGATTTAAGCATCAGTCTTTCAATTAAAAAACAAAGTTACAAACAGGGGAAAGAGGGATGTTAGACTGAGTGCTGTGATGATGAATTGAAATCAGTAGTATTGGTATGAACTAAAGGTTTCTTAATATGTAGAGATAGGTATAGGTGGA
The DNA here is from genome assembly GCF_000001405.40 of Homo sapiens. Classification (NCBI taxonomy): domain Eukaryota; kingdom Metazoa; phylum Chordata; class Mammalia; order Primates; family Hominidae; genus Homo; species Homo sapiens. Next base: position 14,056,802 of record NC_000016.10, on the reverse strand, counting down.
CAGATGGATGGATAGATAGATAGACAGATAGATACATAGATAGATAGATATATCCATGCATGCATGGATTGGTATACATAATATATTCTCAAGCTCTGAACACTGAGAGACTCCAGCAGCAAGGATTCTCCACTAGCAGTGAGCACACCTACCACTCAGATCTTGGTTTCTAAATACCATTCTCCAAAAAAAGAGAGACCAGGGCTCCTTGGAGAGGTGGTTACTTCCAGAACTGGAGCGGAGAAAATACAAAATGCCTGTAGAATACCTTGTGATGCCAGAAAATAGGGAATTGCTCAAAAAATAATTGGGGTTTATTGGAAGGATGTAGAGCTCCTCATGGCCAGAGATGGAAAAATTTGAGCAACAAACTAATGGTAATATTGGATTATAAGTCATAGAATAAATACCCATGAGTCCATAATAATAAGAAAGGAAGAAAAGGAGTAAGCAAGAAAAGGAGGAAGGAAGGAAAGGAGGAAAGAAGGAGGGAAGTATTTTCTTAAGAAGAATTACAATTAATAGGCCGGGCATGGTGGCTCATGGCTGTAATCCCAAAATTTTGGAAAGCCGAGGTGGGGGGATCCCTTGAGGTCAGGAGTTCAAGACCAGCCTGGCGAACATGACGAAACCCTGTCTCTACTGAAAATACAAAAATTACCAGGGCATGGTGGTGCACACCTGTAATCCCAGCTTGTTGGGAAGCTGAAGCATGAGAGTTACTTGAATCCAGGAGGCAGAGGTTGCAGTGAGCCGAGATTGTGCCACTGCACTCTAGCCTGGGTGACAGAGTGAGACTCTGTCTCAAAAACAAAACAAACAAAACAATTAATAAATGTAGAAGCAATGAGGGAAATAAAAAAAATCACCATTAGAACACCACAGTAGAAATTTCTGCAGGTAAGATCCATGGATGCTTGCTAAAGTTTAAGTGAGCAAACATTTGAGGAGAAACAAGATAGTCGTGAAGTATCTCCCCCGAGAGATTAATTAATGACAAAAAGAAAAATGGTAACTTTATAGTGAGGAAACCCAGCAGACACCACATTAATCAAGTGGTTGAAGTTAACATCCCTAGTAATAAGTCATGTTGATATGTTGATATGATAGACATGATTCAAAGAGAATGGCATTTCACCTCTATTATTCTTCTCCCAAACCCATAACCTCCGTCTAATCATGAGAAAACATCAGACAAACCCAAATGGAGGGACATCTACAAAATGTCCCTCCAGTATTTTTCAAAAGTGTCAAAGTCATAAAAGACAAGGAAAAGGCTGAAGAATTGTCAGAGGCTGGAAGAGACTAAGGAGAACTGATGGCTAAATGTAATGTGGGTTCCTGGACAGAAACAGGTCATTAGAGGGAAAACCTGGTGAAATCTGAATACAGTCGATAGATTAGTTAGTAATATTGTACCCACGTTAACTACTTCTTCTTCTTCTTCTTTTGAGACGGAGTTTCACTCTTGTTGCCCAGGCTGGAGTGCAGTGGCGCAATCTCGGCTCACGGAAACCTCCGCTTCCCGGGTTCAAGTGATTCTCCTGCCTCAGCCTCCCTAGTAGCTGGGATTACAGGCATGTGCCACCATGCCCAGCTAATTTTGTATTTTTAGTAGAGACGGGGTTTCTCCATGTTGGTCAGGCTGGTGTCAAACTCCTGACCTCAGGTGATCCACCCGCCTCAGCCTCCCAAAGTGCTGGGATTATAGACATGAGCCACCACACCTGGCCTCCATGTTAACTTCTCAGTTCATTTTGCATTGTTCTATAGTTATAAAACATGCTAATATTAGGAGAAGCTGGGTGGAGGGTCTTTGGGAATGTGCTGTTGCTTTTGCAACTTTTCCTTAAGTCTGAAATTATTTTGAGATCAAAAGGTTTTTTGCTTTTTAATGAGGTGCTCAGTTTACCTGTTTACTGCTGATAGGGTTTTCTAGCAGCAATGTGAATCTGGAAACCCTCTGTTCTAAAACTGGTATAAGAAGTAAGGCCCTTCAGAGCTTCCATTCCTTGGGGGAGAACTTTAAGGGGGAGCTTCGTTCAATAATAAATGCTTATTAAGTACTATGATGGACTCTGAGGATATAAAGGTGAACCTACAGACATGGTTCCTGTCCTCAGAGAGCTTACTAGCTAGCGGGAGAAAATAGACCAAAACAAAGTACAAAAAATAAAATCAAATCATTGTGAGCTGTAACAAATGCCATGAAGGAAATCAATAAGGAGGCCAGGAAAGGAATTCCTGAAGTGATGACATAGAAGCTGAGAGCTAAAGAATGAAAAGGGCCGGTCATGGTGGCTCATGCCTGTAATCCTAGCACTTTGGAAGGCTGAGGACGGTGGATCACTTGAGGTCAGGAATTGGAGACCAGCCTGGCCAATATGGTAAAACTCCATCTCTACTATAATTACAAAAATTAGCCAGACGTGGTGGCAGGTGCCTGTAATCCCAGCTACTTGGGAGGCTGGGGCAGGAGAATTGCTTGAACCCAGGAGGCAGAGGTTGCAGTGAGCTGAGATTGCACCACTGCACTCCAGCCTGGGTGACACAGCGAGACTCCATCTTAAAAATAATAATAAAATAAAATTAAAAAAGAAAAAATGAAAAGGATCTAAATATGTCAAGAATGGGAAAAGGAGAACCCCAGCAGAGGGAACAGCACGCGCAAAGCCCTGAGTCAGGAAAGAGCTTGGTGTGTTTGAGGGCAGTGGCACAGATCACCATGAACACTAGGCCATAAGTTGATTTAGAATAGACTCGTCAAACAGTAAGGAGGTTTCTCAAATGACTGAAAACGAACTAGCACACGACCTCACAATCTCACTAGTGGGTATTTATCCAAAGGAAAGGAAATCCATATATCAAAGAAATATCTGCATCCCCATGTTTGCTTGTGTGTGTATTGATTTATTTTAGAGGCAGCCTCACTCTGGCTCCCAGGCTGGATGCAGTGGCACAATCATAGCTCACTGCAACCTTGAACTCCTGGGCTCCTCCTGCCTCAGCCTCTTGAGTAGCTAGGACCACAGATGCCCTCCACCACACCTAACTATTTTTTTTTTTTTTTTTTGAGATGGAGTCCTGCTCTGTCACTCAGGCTGGAGTGCAGTGGTGCAGTCTTGGCTCACTGCAACTCTGCCTCCCGCTTTCAAGTGATTCTGCTGCCTCAGCCTCCTGAGTAGCTGGGATTACAGGTGCCCGCCACCACGCCCGGCTAATTTTTGTATTTTTAGTAGAGACAGGGTTTCACCATGTTGGCCAGACTGGTCTCGAACTCCTGACCTCATGATATGCCCGCCTTGGCCTCCCAAAGTGCTGGGATTACAGATGTGAGCCACTGTGCCCAGCCTAATTTTTTAAAAAAATATTTTTTTTGTAGAGTCAAGGTCTCACTATGTTGCCTCGGCTACATCAATGTTTATTGCAGTGCTATTCACAATAGCCAAGATATGGATTCCACCTAACTGTCTAACAAATGAATGGATAAAGAAAATGTAAATGTGTACATATACATGATATAAATGGATATTACATATATCCATTTATACACACACACACATACACACACACAGAGGGCTGGGCACAGTGGTTTGTGCCTATTATTCCAATGCTTTGGGAGGTCGACGTGGGAGGATCACTTGAGGCCAGGAGTTTGAGACCAGCCTGGGCAATGTAGTGAGACCCCATCTCTAAAAAAAAATGTATATATACAATGGAACACCATTGTATGTCAGTCAGCCATAAACAAGAATGAAATCCTGGCATTTGCAGCAACATGGATGGAACTTGAGGCCATTATGTTAAATGAAATAAGCGAGGAACAGAAAAACAAATATCATATGTTCTTACATGTGGAAGCTAAAAAAGTGCTGTCATGGAGGCAGAGGGTAGAATGGTGGTTTCCAGAAGTGTTGGAGTGGGGATGAGGACAGGTTGGCTAATGGGTACAAACATAAAGTTAGATAGAAAGAATGAATTCAAGTGTTTGATAGTACAGCAGGATAACTGTGGTTAACAACAATTTATTGTATATTTCTTTCTTTCTTTTTTTTTTTTTTTTGAGATGGAGTTTTGCTCTTGTTGCCCAGGCTATAGTGCAATGGCACCATCTCGGCTCACTGCAACCTCTGCCTCCCAGTTTCAAGAGATTCTCCTGCCTCATACTGCCGAATAGCTGGGATTACAGGCATAAGCCACCGTTCCTGGCTAATTTTTTGTATTTTTAGTAGAGACGGGTTTCACCATGTTGGTCAGGTTGGTCTCAAACTCCTGACCTCAAGTGATCCGCTTGCCTCGGCCTCCCAAAAGTGCTGGTATTACACGCGTGAGCCACTGTGCCCGGCCTGTATATTTCAAAATAGCTAGAAGAGAAGATTTGAAATGTTCCCAGCACAGATAAATGATAAGTGTTCAAGGTAATGGATATTTTAAATACCCCGATGTGATCATTACACATTCTACACATCAAAATGCCACATGTACCCCATAAATATGTACAATTATTATGTAACAATAAAAATTGTTTTTAAAAAAGAATAGAATCCTCAATCCTTGTCTATACCACCACTGCCACCATGACTCCTCCTCCCTCATTTCATGTAATCCTCCCAACAATCCTACCACGTAAAGAACAAAGGAAACATCAGCACCCCCCCATGCAAAACCCTCTCTAAATGGTCATAACAAAACAAAGTATGACCACTTTGCATTTTAAGCTTGTGTAAGGGTGGGTGGCGCGCTTCACATGGATGGGGAAATCAGTCTCTCTGCTGGTCTTTTCCCCTTGCAAAACTTGATGTGAGAGGAAGAGACCAGATTGGAAGGTCTGGGTCTCAGCAGAGCACATTCACGAGAGGGAAGGCATGTAAAGGGAAGTCCAGGGAGAGCTCAAAATCAGAGAGTTGAAAAGAAATGAATTGTTCTGATCAGAAAAAAGGTGGAGAAGAATATTTGGGAGGCAAGATAAAAGAAGATTGGAAAGGAAGGATGTTTGGGGGATTCTGAAGAAAGATACCCAATACTCATAAGTGTGCGTTGAACACTCCTTCCAGAGCCCCTGAACCTTGTGAAGTCTGCCACATAGGCAGACCTGGTGTGTCTGTGAATGTGTGTTCTGTATGAGTGTATTTGTGTGTGTGTCTGTGAATGTGTGTCTATACGAGTGTGTTTGTATATCTATGTGTGTGAATGTGTGTTCTGTATGAGTGCATATGCGTGTGTGTGTGTGTATTTGTATGAGTGTACTGTCTGTGTGTGTCTTTAAGTCCATGGGTGTATATTTGTATGAGTGTATCTATGTCTTTGATTGTGTCTGTATGTGTGTATGTGTGTATTTGTATGAGTGCTTCTGTGTTGGTATGTCCATGGGTGTGTATGAGTGCATCTGTATGTCTCTCTGTGTGTATTTGTATGAGTGTGTCTGTGTGTTTGTATGCCTATAGGTATGTATGCATGTGTCTGTGTGTCTGTGAATGTCTATGTGTGTATGTGTCTGTACGTCTATGGTGTGTGTCTATATGAGTGTGTCCGTGTGTGTCTGTATGTCTATGGGTACGTGTCTGTATGACTGTGTCTGTGTGTGTCTTTGTGTGTCTGTGTCTGTCTCTGTGAATGTTTCTGTCTCTGAGTCTGTGTGTACTGTTGTGTCTGTCTGCTTCAGTGTGTCTTTGTCTCTGTGTGCCTCTGTTTGTGAGTTTGTGTGTGTCCAGGTGTGTTTGTGTGTGTCTTTGTCTTTGTGTGTGTGTTGGAAATCACAGCACAGGATTGAATTCCTGTGATGGTAAAGACAAATAAATCGCCATAAGAATCAGAGGGAGAACAATAAGTCGGCCGAGACAGGAGGAAGTAGAGCCCTAGGTGACAGTGAGAGTGTAAGGTGCCAGGAATTCGATGACATCTTTGCAAGGGCATTGGAATTTCCCTGGGTCTGGAATGTGGGTGGAGGTGGCGAGTCAAGACAGTATTATCGAGACCTCCAAGAGCAGGGAGACCCGCCCCCATTCTGCACCTGGAGTACGCTGTGTTATCTCCATTTTGTAGCTGAGAAAACCGAGTCTGAAAACTAGTTATTTTATTGGACTGAAGAGGAGGACCTGACTGCTGAGCTAGCAGCAGCCTCTGGCTGGACTGACCCTTGCCTGAAAACACTGAATCACAGTGAGAAAGTCATTCTGCTTTCTGTTTGCTTTCAATCCTTTTAAATTTAATTTTTAGAGATGGAGTTCTTGCTATGCTGTTTAAGCTGGACTCAAACTCCTGGGCTCAGGAGATCCTCCTGCCTCAGCCTGTGGAGTAGTAGGATTACAGGCATGCATCAAGGGAGATGGGAGAATTGCTGAAGCCTGGGAGGTCAAGGCTGTGGTGAGCTATGATCACACCACTGCACTCCAGCCCAGGTGACAGAGTGAGACCTTGTATCAAAAAAGAGGAAAAAAATTGAGACTTTGGTCATGTTAGAGGTAAATTTAGGAGCGTTTTTATTTGTTTGCTTGCTTGCTTTTAATTTCTATTTTACAAAAATTCAAGACTACAGAAAAAGTTGCAAGAACTGTAAAATAATCTCTTATATACACTTTATCTAGATTCTACCTCTGTTTACATTTTTGCCACATTTCTGTGTGTGTGTGTGTGTGTGTCTGTCTGTCTGTCTTTCTGGGTATATGCATATCTATAAGTCTATGTGTATATACATATGCATACAACATGTACACACACTTTTTTAAAAAGCACTTGAGAATCAGTTGCCAATATCATGATCTTTAATTCCTGGCCAGGCGTGGTGGCTCACGCCTGTAATCCCAGCACTTTGGAAGGCCGAGGCGGATGGATCACCTGAGGTCAGGAGTTTGAGACCAGCCTGGCCAATATGGTGAAACCCCGTCTCTACTAAAAACACAAAAATTAGCCAGGCCTGGTGATACATGCCTGTAGTACCACCTACTCGGGAGGCTGAGGCAGGAGAATCACTTGAACTGGGGAGGTAGAGCTTGCAGTGAGCCGAGATCGTGCCATTGCACTCCAGCCTGGCAACAAGAGTGACACTCCGTCTCAAGAAAAAATCCTAAATACTCCATGTATCTCCTAAGAACAGGACATTCTCTTCCATAACCGCACTGTAGTTACCAAATTCAGCAAATTTAATATTGGTACCATGCCATTACCCAATATACAATCCATATTCAAAGTCTGCCAATTGTCTCAATGAAGTCATTTCAGTCATTTTAGTTTTTTCTGATCCAGGATCCAATCCGCAATCATATTGCATTTATTTGTCATTTTTCTTCACTCACATTTAATCTGGAACAGTTCCTCAGTCTTTCATGACCTTGACCTAACTCTTTTTAGCAAAGAGAATCCAAGCTTCAGGCTCAGAGCCTCAGACTAGTAACAATATCCAGCTAGAATAAAATCAAGTTTTGTTTTCTGAGTATTTATGTTTCAATTATCATCTATTTATGGCAAGTGACACTGGCTTCTTATTTAGGGGAGTGATACATGATTTCTTTAATGTTTTTCATTTAAAAAGTCAGTTAATTGAAAGGAAAATATTAAGGACGTCATAGAACTGGCATGTAGATTTAGTCCAAGTTTTCTCAACCTCAGCACTATTGGCACTTGGGGCCAGATAATTCTGTGTGGTGGGGACTGTCCTATGAGCTGTAGGGTGTTTAGCAGCATCCTTGGCCTCTACCCACTAGACGCCAGTAGTATCCCCTGCTCTCTCTCTCTCTGGTTGTGACGGCCAAACATGGCTCCAGACATTGCCAAATGTCCCCTGGGAGGCAAACTCAACCAGCTAAGAGCCACTGATATAGTCAAAAACCATAAGAGTGGAGTGTAATTGACAGGAGCTTGGGAACCTTGGAGTAGAGCCTCTGTCCAGTTCAACCCAACCAATGTTTACCAAGTGCTGCCACATGCCTGGCTCTGCATAGGTCCCAGGGAGACAGATGAGCAGGACGCAGTCCAGCCCTCTAGGATCTCCATTGAAATCAAAAGGGGGTGGTGGATGTACAAGAGGCAGAAAAGGTGGGAGCTGGGAAAAGCTGTATCATTACCCAGAATTAAGTCTCAACCTTGTGACTTTCACAACTGCTCTTCTGCCCCAATAATTCCTTTGAAGACATGAATCAGATCATGTGATTCCCCTGATTAAAAGCTTCCAGTAACTTCCCACCACACTTAGAATAAGATCCAAACTTCTTATAGGACCTCAAAGGCCCTGCACACTCTGGCCCCTGTGTCTTCCTCTGTGGTCTGGATTTGCCTCACTGCCCATTATTCCCAGGCTCCAGCCACCCTGGACCTCTCTCTCTCCCAAGGCCTCACCACACTTGCTTCCAAGTGAGGGTCTTAGCACTGTGATGTCCTCTGTATGGAATACTCTGTCCCAAGTCTTTGCAGAGCTGGCTCTGGGTCACGAGGTCTCTGTTCAAACATCACCTCCACCAACCACTTTATATCCAGGAGCCCTCTATCCCATTATCCTGTTTGATTTCTTCCATTGTATTTCCTGTGGTTGACATTGTAGGTTGGCTGACTGACCTTCACCATCAGTGCCTGCCCAAGACCATGGGAACCCACCTCTTGCATCAGTGAGACCTGGATGTGAGACATGGAGTCAAAGGAGATCATTTTGGGGCTTTAAGATTTGACTGCCCCGTTGGATTTTGAACTTGCATGGAACATTTAGCCCCTTCATTTTGGCCAATTTCTCCCATTTGGAATGGGTGTATTTATCCAATGCCTGTACCCCCATTGTATCTAGGCAGTAATTAACTTGCTTTTGATTTTACAGGCTCATAGGCAGAAGGGACTTGCCTTGTCTCAGATGAGACTTTGGACTATGAACTTTTGAATTAATGCTGAAATGAGTTAAGACTTTGGGGGACGGTTGGGAAGGCATGATTAGTTTTAAAATGTGAGGACATGAGATTTGGGAGGGGCTGGGAGCAGAGTAATAAGTTTTGGCTGTGTCCCCACCCGAATCTCATCTTGAATTATAGCTCCCATAATTCCCATGTGTTGTGGGAGGGACCCAGTGGGAGATGACTGAATCATGGGGGTGGTTCCCCCATACTGTTCTCATGGTAGTGAATAAGTCTCATGAGTTCTGATGGTTTTATAAGGGGTTTCCCCTTTTGCTTGGCTTTCAGTCTCTCCTGCCTGCTGCCATGTAAGACATGCCTTTTGCCTTCTGCCATGATTGTGAGGCCTCCCCAGCCACATGAACTGTGAGTCCATTAAACCTCTATTTCTTTATAAATTACCCAGTCTCAGGTATGTCCTTAACAGCAGCGTAAGAACGGACTAATATAGTGCCCTTCTCCTTAGTGACCACCCAGGCAGAGGTCGCCATCTGACCCACATCTGGCCCAGGAGAGACGCAGAAATTGGCTATCACTGCCTGTTACAGGGACTGCCCCTTCCCTTTCTTCATCTTTCTGCTGAATTACAAGGGTGATGACTGGAGCTGTCCAGCTATCCTATGACCATAAGGGAAAGACCACACACATGAAGATCCTTGAGCCATAGAACCAGCACCAGCATGCTCTCATTTTCTGCTCCGGAGAGAAAGATAAAGCCCTGGGGTTTAAGCCACTATAGTGAGGTTGCCTGATACTTGCAGCCAAAAGCATCCCTAATTGACATACTATGTGAGATTCCTATGTAAATTTCCCGTTTGTTTTTCATCCATATCCCTTTAGTATTCTCTGTGCACTATGAGGCAGGAATTCACGTCTGTCTTATTCACAACCACATCTCCAGCCGCTAGGCACAGGGCCTGACTTATGATAGAGTTCAGTAACTATGAACCTGTCTGTTCTCTAGTTCCCTTACATGTAAATAGGGATCATCACAACACCTTGACAGATTGTAAGGATTAAATGAGTCAATATGTATTATATATAGCACTTAGAGCAGTGCCTGGTATATAATCACTGCATAAAGAATTGCTATTATTTGTTGACTTAATGAAGTAATTAATTTATGGAAGAAAGGATTCCTTCTCTGTGTGCTTCTGCAGCCGTGTTCTCTGGCTTCCTCTTTCTCCTCAAATCAAAGCTGTATTTACTTGGTGCTGACAAGTCAGGCTATTGATTAAGAAACATGATCGTGGCAGTTGGAAGAAAGTCACCATTTACAGTGAGCTGGAGGATTAGCACCTTTAGGGCGGTGGAGCAGGGGAGAGATGCTGACACACAAAAGGGTAGGGTGCATAAAGCCTGGCATATTCCAAAGGGCAGGCCAAGAAATGCTGGAAATGAAACCCAATATGAGGTTTTGCTGTTGTGCACCGTGGGAAGAAGAACAGAACCGTGCATTGCAACTGGTGTCCAATGAAAGCCACTCAGAGGTCAATTGGAGTTTATAGGGATGGAGATTCAACATTTGTTGTAGGGGGATGGGCTACAACCCACTGGGATCAAAGAGGTTCATTCATTCATTCAACAAAATATATATGTATATTTTTGAGACAGGGTCTCACTCTGTCACCCAGGCTGGAGTGCGGTGGCACAATCACGGATCACTACCACCTCAACTTCCTGGGCTCAAGCGTTCCTCCCATCTCGGCCTCCGGAGTAGCTGGGACTATAAGCATGCACCACCACACCCGGCCTCATTCAACAACCTACTATGTGTCATGTAGAGAGGGATCTGACAGAGAAACAGTAAGTAGTGCCTTAACTGAAATGGTCACACTGGGTGATTCCAAGGGACCCCACAGTTTTTCTTTCCTAATTGCCTTGCAACAAAGTAGACGCCAGCCCCAAATTTCAGATCCCGCATGACTTAGTTCATGACCAACACTACTGCTACTAGCTAATATTTTCCGGTATCTATTCTTTACTAGACACTCTGCTGAGACCACTTTACCAACTACAGCCAATACCACTCATTAGGAACTTAACATCTATTTCTCTCTTCTCTTTCACAAAAAAAACCTCACTTTTATTCAGGTGGCACCAGAGGGCACAGGCACCGCAATTTGACTATTAGCATCCAAACGTATGCCCTGATGGACACAGAGGTACTATTTCATTCATTTCTCAGAAGTCAGTGAGACAGAGGTTAATGTCATTTCCATTTTACAGTGGAGCAGACTGAGGTTTGGAGAGTACATGAATTGCTTCTAACTGATGAAGGTAGAATGTGAATCCAAGCAATTGGATTCTGGAACCTATGTTCTTTCTATTCTTTTGGTCTTTCCCCATTTGTACAGACAGCACATATAAACATTCTTGAATTTAACCCTCCCAAGAACTTGGCAGGTGGTGTAACAGGTAAGGTTTTCGAATATCTGCTGATATATGTTCTCTAATCTGTCTGCTGGCTTCACTCTCTGAGTCACCTCTCTCTTCACTTTTAAGGCTAACGTCTTGCAGCCCAGTGGAGTGGAGAGTGTAGAAAAAGAGACAGAGAAAGGCAAGAAGCGGTCAGCTGTGTCGGGATCTAGGCACAACTCCTAGGAGGCGAGTGTTAGGGCTTGGAGAAAGTCAAAAGCAGAACAGCTTTTGCATCATTTTCCATGTGACGTTCTGGAAACAGACAACATTAAAATCAGCTTACAACAGAGTTAGGCAGAGGGAGGGCTCAAATTTTGCATCCAGAAGTTTCCAGAATGTTCCAGGTAGCCTACGGAGGGATCTATAGAAGGTGCTGATGGTGATAATAAGTGAGACTGATTGAACTTGCTGTAGGAAGGGTGCAGTAGCTCTCAAACTGAGAGCTACATGGTGACGAGAAATGAGACAGGGGCAAAAGGTTCATGGCAACCAGACCCCAGATGAAATTTGGCACCAGAAAGAGCCAAGGTAGGGCTGGTCAGTGGGAAGATGCCTTGAGTGGACTAAGTTGACCACCAGCTGTCCAGGAGCCTACCAGTTGTAGACCCAGCAACTGTGGCCTGCTGGGACAGTGTTGGGGCAAGGGACCATATTGTCACAGAGGTCAGCAAGGGCCTCCTGAGCAGTATTCCGAAACATTGGGTTCTCTTCTATATATCCCGAATGCCACCTTGATGAGACAGAGGAGGGGAAGGAAATCTGAAATGACAAAGTCTCTCAAACCAAGATAATATGGCAATATCATTCATTGGCAGGTTCTAGTTCCTCTAGATCAATGATGACCTTATGGGCAAAACTTGGGAGGAAGATTGGTGCAGTTATGGAACATCCAGAAGCAACCTTTGCTTTGCACAGCTGAGCTGTGAAGGGAGCGTGTGCTACTGTTTAGTCCTGGTACACAGAATTCCTACTTTCTCCAGATTATAGCAGACAAGCAAACTGGAAGTCACTGTGAAAACCACCTACCTTCTCTGAGCCTCAATTTCCTTGCTTTTAAAATGGGAATAATAAGGGCCACCTCCCAGGATTATGAGGGTAAAATGAAGATCGGCGCCATGAATAGCATGACAAAGGTCACATGCTAGACATGGGACCGTAAGGCTCTCCCTGCCTTCCACCCCACTGTCTTCCCATGGACGCTGTCATGAGAGACACCTAGAGCCAACTGGGACCTGAATGGCAGCTTGGTGACAGGAAAGAGACAGGCCTCATTTTAATGCTTGTGGAGAACCTAGGTGAGGATCATCTTGTCACCAGTTGGTGTTTATTGACACTTAGTAGACTGACTGACTGACTGACTGACTGAATGAATGAATGACAAGGCCTTTACTAGGGACTACGGGAGTCTTAGACACCAAGTGTTGTCATGTGAGGCTCCAGCGTGTTTTGGTGGGATCACCTAAATGGCAGAAGTCATTTTTTCAGTCTCATAAGTCTCATAAGGTGACAGTTCAGATGTCACCTCCTCCAGGAAGACTTCCGTGATACTCCCAGTCTGGTTTAGTCACTACTGAGTGCTCCTATCACTGCACTATATGGATTAGTCTGTCCATTGAGGTTTTCTCACTTGATGGTGAGTTCTTAGAGGCAAGATTACGTCTCATTTCCTCTCCCCGTGTGCCTAGCACAAGGTTCGGCCCAAGGTGGGCATGTAGGAGATCATAGGAGCCATTTATTGAGTGCTTTCAGGTACCTGGTGCTGGGCTAAGTGCTTTAGCTATGATATCCTTGATTCCTTCAATAACCTCAGGAGCTAGGGCCACCTCATCATGCCATTGTACAGGTAGAAAAGGTGAGGCTCAGAGACGCTAAGCAGCCTGATATTTCTTCCTTGTTTCTATATCTTTCTTTGCCAGACTGCCTGGCCTAGATTCTTGAGGTTTGGGAATAGCATAAACCTCAGGGTGTTGAGGCGGTCTGGTTGGCTTGGTGCGTGGGTAGGAAGATGCAACAATGAAGAAAGAGTACATGCTAGCAGCTGGCATCCACAGTGCATGCCAGACACAGGACCACAGCACCGAGACCACCCGAGGAGAAATGCCTCGTGGCCTCTGAATGGGGAGTGTTAACCACACATTCTATAGGACCCATCTGCTAACTGATTTGGAACAAATGGGTGCTTGAGAGCTTGTGCTGTTAACATGTATGCATGATGCTTCTGGCAGAAAGAATGGGGAAAACAAAACCCAAAGTCCCCTCCAAATCCCAGCAACACATATGGAAGTACGCAGAGGTGAGCAGACATAAGATGTAGACAGCAACACAAAAATATCAGCACCATAGTCAAGAAGGAAGAACAGTGCAACACCCATTGCATATCCCATTTTAAAAATAAAATAAAATGAGGCCACAAGTTTGCTTTTCCAAGGAGCCCCACAGTCTCCAGAAGTCTCCCAGAGGACCCGTTCCTTTGCGGGCCTTTCCTGCCCAAGCTCCGGGCTACCCGTAAATCTGACCCTCTCCAGGGCCAGGAGGCCTCAAGAGCTTGGAGACTCACCGGAGCAAACAACTTAGCAAAAACAATCTGTCCCATAAACAAAGCCAGTGGAAAGCATCCAGGCCCACACAATGGAGCTAATCTTCTGGGCACACATTTCCCGTCTGGGGTATTAGCAAGGATACCGCTTCCTTCTAGGTGGAGGTAAACGCTGCTTGGCCTACGGGTCCAAGAACAACAATCCTCTGTAGATTCCCCCCTTGTTTGAAACGTAACAGGCAGGAATTCAGAAGCAAGGAGCTGTTCTTCCCCCCTTCCTTTCTTTTCTTAAAGAAGCACTGCAAATTTAAAGGCCAGGGAACTTATGGGGAAGGACATGCTTTATGAACCACACAACCACACAAGTCTCTGATTTAGCTCATTCACTGATGAGCCCTGTGATTTGGGACAACTGATTTAACTTCCCAGAACCATAACTTCCCCATGGTTCAAGTGAGATTGCCTACAGATGTCCAATCCTGCTTGTTCTCATGGAGGTATAAAATTAAAATGTTGAATGGCCACTATCAAAAACAAGAAAACAAACCCAGTGGCCAGGTGCGGTGGCGCACACCTGTAGTCCCAGCACTTTAGGAGGCCCAGGTGGGCGGATCACCAGAGGTCAGGAGTTCAGACTAGTCTGGCCAACGTGGTGAAAATCCATCTCTACTAAAAATACAAACTTAGCCCGGCGTGGTGGCGGGTGCCTGTAATCCCAGCTACTTGGGAGGCTGAGGCAGGAGAATTGCTTGAACCCAGGAGGCTAAAGTTGCAGTGAGCTGAGATCACGCCATTGCACTCCAGCCTGGGCAACAAGAGCACAACTCCATCTCAAAAACAAACAAACAACCCAGAAAATAACACGTGTTGGTGAGGATGTGCAGAAATCAGGACCCTTGTGCACTGTTGGTGGGAATACAAGATGGGTCAGCATCATGGAAAACAGTATGGAGTTTCCTCAAAAAATTAAAAATAGAATTACCATGTGATCCAGCAGACCCACTTCTGGATATATACCCCAAAGAACTAAATTTTATTTTATTTTTTTTGAGACAGAGTTTAGCTCTTGTTGCCCAGGCTCGAGTGCAATGGCGCAATCTTGGCTCTCTGCAACCTCCGCCTCCTGGATTCAAGCTATTCTCCTGCCTCAGCCTCCCAAGTAGATGGGATTACAGGCATGTGCCACCACGCCTGGCTAATTTTGTATTTTTAGTAGAGACGGGGTTTCTCCATGTTGGCCAGGCTAGTCTCAAACTCCTGACATGAGGTGATCTGCCCGCCCCGACCTCCCAAAGTGCTGGGATTACAGGTGTCAGCCACCACGCCTGGCAAAAACTAAAATTTATATACTCATGTTCATAGCAGCATTATTCACAATAGCCAAGAGATGGAAACAACCCAAATGTCTATTGATGGATACATGAATAAAGAAAATGTGGTAGATACATATGATGGATGTTATTCAGCCTCAGAAAACGAGATGCTACAACACGGATGAACATTATGCTGAGTGAAATGAGCCAGACATAAAAAGACAAATACTGTATGATTCCACTTATATGAGGTATCTAAAGAAGTCAAACTCAGAGAACAGAAATAATTGCGGTTGCCGGGGGCTAGGGTTAGGAGGAAATGGAGAGTTGTTCAATTTGTATAGACTTTCAGTTTTGCAAGATGAAAAAGTTCTAGAGATCTGCTGGATAACAATGTGAGTATAGTTCACACTATGAAACTGAACACTTAAAAAAGGCCAAGATGGTAAATTTTATATTATGTGTTTTTACCACAATTTAAAATCCTCCCCTCCCCTCCTCTCCCCGCCCCCCACTCCTTCCTTCCTTCCTTGGCAGTGTTTTGCTCTGTTGCCCAGGCAGGAGTGCAGCAGTGTCATCATGGCTCACTGCAACCTCAAATTCCTGGGCTCACAAGATCTTCATGCCTCAACCTCCTGAGTAGTTGGGACTACAGGTGTGTACCACCATGCTCAGCTAATTTTATTTCATTTTATTTGTTTTTAAAGTTTTTGTAGAGATGGGGTCTTGCTATCTTGCCCAGGCTGGTCTCGAACTCCTGGGTTCAAGTGATTCTCCTCCTTTGGTCTCCCAAAGCGCTGGTATTATAGGCATGACTCACTGTGCCCAGCCAGAGATACCATTTTTCTACCTATCAGATTGGCAAAAATAAAAATATCTGGCAATATGGAGTTAGTAATAGGCCGGGTGCGGTGGCTTGCACCTGTAATCCCAGCGCTTTGGGAGGCCAAGGTGGGTAGATCACTTGAGGTCAGAGGTTCAGTACCAGCCCTGCCAACATGGTGAAACCCCATCTGTACTAAAAATACAAAAATTAGCCGGTTGTGGTGGCAGGTGCCTGTAATCCCAGCTACTCGGGAGGCTGAGGCAGGAGAATCTCTGGAACCAGGGAGGCGGAGGTTGGAGTGAGCTGAGATTGTGCCACTGCACTTCAGCCTGGGCAACAGAGCCAGACTCCATCTCAAAAAAAAAAAAAAGATTTAGTAATATTATAGAGCAACGGAAACACTCCTACTTTGTGGATGGCAGTATAAATCAGTATAACTATTCTAAAGGGCAACTGGCCCCATCTATCAAAACATAAAATACATGTATTCTATAACCCAGCAATTTCTCTTATTATTTATCCTAGGACATGTAAGAGGATGGTCAGTTATTATTGTTATAAAAGCTAAAAATTGGAAATAATCTAAATGGCCATTAGTAGAGGAATGGATAAATACAAATGGCGTATATTAGGTTGGTGCAAACGTAATAGTGGCTTTTGCCATTGAAAGTAATGTTAAAAATTGCAATAACTTTTGCACCAACCTAATACTTACTAATCCTTATATAATTTAAAGCAATGGACAGATCTGTTTATATCAATGCAGATAGATCTCAAGAACATATTATCGGCTGGGCGCGGTGGCTCACGCCTATAATCCCAGCACTTTGGGAGGCCAAGGTGGGCAGATCACCTGAGGTTGGGAGTTCAAGACCAGCCTGACCAACATAGAGAAACCCCATCTCTACTAAAAATACAAAATTAGACAGGCGTGGTGGTGCATGCCTGTAATCCCAGCTACTTGGGAGGCTGAGGCAGGAGAATCACTTGAACCCGGGAGGCGGAGGTTGCAGTGAGCCGAGATTGCGTCATTGCACTCCAGCCTGGGCAAAAAGATAAAAAAAAAAAAAAAAAAAGAACATATTATTGAGTGAAAAAAGTTATACAATAATAGATAATAGACATAGCATATCACAAGTGTAAATTAAAAGTGCATGAAATGCTAATAATATGCTATATGAAATTATATTTGTAGTACAAATATAATTTGTATATCCAAATTATGCATATACATATATGTATATATATGTACAAATATATTTGTGCACGCATATATAGATAAGGTAATGAGAAAAATAGTTAATCGGGAAATAAAACTCTTAATTTCTAGTGTACCAGCCTGAGATGGCCCTCAGTGATCCTTGCCTTCTGGTATTCATATCCTTGTGTTGTTCCCTCCCACAATGAATAGGGCTGACCTGTGCTCTATTCATTCCACAGTCTCCCTGTAGGATACTATGAAATTGATGGCATATGATTTCCAACACTAGGACATAAAAGACATCACACCTTTTCCTTGCTCTCCTGCTTTCTCCAATGCCCGTTCTGGAGGAAGCCAGCCATGTTGTGAGGATACTCAAGCAGTCTGTACAGAGGCCCATATGATAAGGAGCTGAGGGCTCCCCCAACAGCCAACACTTACTAGAGCCACCTGAAAGGTGGATCCACTAGTCCCAGACAAGCCTTTAGATCACTGCAATCTCATAAGAGACCATTGATATGGTTTGGCTGTGTTCCCACCCAAATCTCATCTTTGATTGTAGCTCCCATAATTCCCACATGTTGTGGGAGGGACCCAGTGGGAGATAACTGAATCATGGGGGCAGTTTCCCCCATACTGTTCTCGTGGTAGCAAATAAGTCTCACGAGATCTGATGGTTTTATAAAGGGTGTCGCCTTTCAGTTGGTTCTCATTCTATCTTGCCTGCTGCCATGTAAGATGTGCCTTTTGCCTTCTGCCATGATTGTGAGGCCTCCCCAGCCATGTGGAACTGTGAGTCCATTAAACCTCTTTTTCTTTATAAATTACACTGTCTCAGGTATGTCTTTATCAGCAGTGTTAGAACTGACTAATACAACCATGAACCAGAACCAGCCAGCCAAGTTGCTTCTGACTTCCTGACCCATATAAACTGGGGTATAATAACTGTGTATTGGTTGAAGCCACTAAGTTTGAGGGTAACTGTTATGCAGCAATAGGTAACTTGTACAGATATGGTTGCCTGCCAAAGCTCTGTGTCTGAGGCCCACTCACCATGTGCTCTGGTAGGTATCAGAAAGGAATTAAAGACACATTAGTACTAAATCAAACACTTTCTTCCTCATGTAATCAGAAAGATTGATTATTCCTCAAGACCTGTTTCTGTGTTTGATATGAAGTCAGTCCCACCACCACAGGAGCACATACCTTGGGAAACGCTGATCTGGTCTGTTATGGAATGAATCTTGTCCCCTCTGCCTCTAAATGTATATGATGAAATCCTAACCCATAGCACTTCAGAATGTGAGTATATTTGGTGACAGGGTATTTAAAGAGGTCATTAAGGTAAGATGAGATTATTAGGGTGGCCCCTAACCCAAAATGACTGGTGTTTTTATAATAAGAGGTAGTTAGAACACAGACACACACAGAGGGAAGACCATGTGAGGACACAAGGAGAAGATGGCCGTCTACTACCAAGGACAGAGGCCTCAGAAGAAACCAACCCTGCTGATACCTTGGTCTTGAACTTCTAGCCTCCAGAACTGTGAGAAAATAAGTTTCTGTTGTTTAAGTCACCCAGTCTTTTGTTATGGTATCTCCAGCAAAGTAATAACAGCCCAGGTATGGAGATACCATAACATACCCAACATACTTGCTTTACAAATAACGACCGTAGGTCCAAAGGTAGAGATGACTTGGCCAATGTCACAGAGAAAATATTTAATACAAAGCAGAACAGAAATGAGAGCTCCTTTCTCCTAATTGGAGTTCCAAAAAGTGAGAGCAAGCCCCACAGGTAGAGAAGGTAGAGATGTCAGTCAATGCTGGCTGACATCCGCTGAACTCCTTGTTCCTCGTTCATGATGATAAGTGAGGAACCTCTGCCCTCAGCCTTCTCTGCCTCATGCACTTAAGGTTTCTCCTTAAGAATCAGCCCCAGTTAGACCTTTTCTTTGCAGATTTACCTCCTGATGGAAAAGCAGCCAGTCCAGGGAACTGTGCTCTTTTCCAGGAAACAATGACCACAGCCATGAGAGCACCCAATACGGAGGCAGTGATCAGAAGCCCATGAACTTTCAAAACACAAAGTTATACAGAGTAAAACAAGTCTCACATCCATGTAAAAAGAACTCTCAATGGAAGACAC
Organism: Homo sapiens; assembly: GCF_000001405.40. Taxonomy (NCBI): domain Eukaryota; kingdom Metazoa; phylum Chordata; class Mammalia; order Primates; family Hominidae; genus Homo; species Homo sapiens. The sequence continues at coordinate 14,037,486 of NC_000016.10, read as the reverse complement.
CCTTCCCCCATTTGAAAATCTCCAGCCCCCACCCACATGTCCAGCTGCCTCTGGACAGCTCCATCTGGGTGTCTCCTCAACACTTAAAACCTGTCAAGCTCAAAATAATCATCCTCCCTCCGACACCTCCGCCTACCATAGTCCTGATTTCATTTAATGCCATTGCCATAACAATAACCATGATCTACCATCTATTGAGCGCCAGCAATATGCCAGGTCCTTCACAGGAACCATCGATCAATTAAACGCAATCATACAAAGTGACTGTCATTGCCCTTCTACGGATGAGGACATCACCAACAGTGACATGGTCATGCATCTCGTAAGTGGCAGAGCTGGGATGCAAATCCAAGCCTGCCCAACTCCAAAGCAAACCGGTGGCCCATCGGCCACATCTGGTCTACAGATGGGTTTTCTTTGGCCTCAACAATGGTTTTTCTTGTTGCTTAAAAAAAATAGTAATTAAAAAGTCAAGACATTTCACATAAAAACCAGATTTCTGGAATCTCTAGAAAAAAAAAAGTGAGATGATCTGGCAGTGTGAACTTGACAAGCTAATTAACTTCTTGGAGCTCAGTAGAAATAATGAAAAGGGGAAAGCTGCTACTCAGCTCTGGAGCGTGTTTGGGGTTCAGTGGGGGCTGGCCCTGGGGGCCAGGTCGTGGTAGTAATGCCTCTTGTTTCCTCCACACTCACCATGAACTTTAAGAGTGTATGATGGAGCTGAGATCCTACCCCAGGCCAGATTCCAAAACACCAGGCTTATGAAATCCTGGACTATGATAGACATAGGTAGTTATATATATATTTCTATATATATGATGGAATGTATATATTTCAACATATATATGATGGAATGTATATATTTCAACATATATATGATGGAATGTATATATTTCAACATATATATGATGGAATGTATATATTTCAACATATAAATGATGGAATGTATAATTTCAACATATATATGATGGAATGTATATATTTCAACATATATATGATGGAATATATATATTTCAACATATATATGGTGGAATATATATATATAAGTCTAACTGGGGCTAACTGGGGCTGATTCTTAAGGATAAATAATTATTTTGAGCTTGGCAGGTTTTAAGTGTTGAGGAGACACCCAGATGGAACTGCCCAGAGGCAGGTGGACATCATATATATATATATATATATATATAAATATATATAAAATACATATAAATCTTATATATATATAATATATAGTATAACATATATTATATAAACTATATTATATATATTTTATATAATATATTATATATAATGTATTTTATATAATATATAATATATATTTTATATAATATATATTATATATATAATATATAATATATATTTTATATAATATATATTATATATATAATATATATGATGGAATACTACTCAGCCATAAAAAGGAATGAATTAATGGCATTTGCAGCAACCTGCATGGAATTGGAGACTATTATTCCAAGTGAAGTGACTCAGGAATGGGAAACCAAACATTGCATGTTCTCACTCATAAGTGGGAGCTAAGTTATGAGGATGCAAAGGCATAAGAACGACACAGTGGGCCTTGGGGACTCAGAGGGAAAGGGTGGGAAGGTGGTGAGGGATAAAAGACTACAAATTGGGTTCAGTGTGTACTGCTTAGGTGATGAGTGCACCAAAATCTCACAAATCACCACTAAAGAACTTTGGTTACTCATGTAACCAAATACTGCCTGTTCCCCCAAAATGGAATTATATGGAAATAATTATATGGAAATCATTTTTTTTTAAAAGAAAGAACTAGTTTGTGTGGCCTTGTGCAAATCATGACAGAGCCTCAGTTTTCTCATCAGGAAAGTGGGGAAGTGACATTACACATACCTCATAGAGTCATTGAAGATTAACATATAATAAATGCTTAAAATAGCGTCTGGCACACATTTTAGTAAGCATGATCTAAGCTTATTAGTTTTCATATTTTTATTGGTCTGAGTTTTATGACTGCCACTCTACTCCTATCAAAAGCCAAGAGAGCAGCTCTGCATTTTGCACCAAGGCCGGATAAATTGCCTATTCAATAAATAGCTAAATTTCTGAGATAGAAGAAGGCAGGAAGCGGGCTGTGCTGCCTGCAGATCAGTTGGAATAAAAGCAGATTTGGGGTGAGGAGCTGTGGACCTGGTGACCTGCCACCTCCTGGCTGTGCCTCTCTGTTGTTACACAACTCCTCTGCACTCCTGTTCCCTGATTTATAGGAAAGGGATCATCACAGGGGCTCAGGGAGGATCGCAATCTTATGCAGTCTCCTTGCATTGGTGCAGGGGTTACATTTGTTTAGGATGTAACTGAGCAACTTTGGTGACTTCCACTACTCGTGGTTTTGCAGGCACGCAACATGGAGTAAAGCCACTTCAGAGGTGAAATCTCCAAAAGCTCAAGGCCAGGTACTTTCCGACCATGTTTCTGTCTCCATGGGGTGGAGGAAGACATAGACATACCCTCCCCGGGACCAAAGGCAGGGTTGGCTCAGCAGAGAAAGCGTAGAGGAGATAGGGGCCCGGACACTCAAGGAGAAGTCCTGGCTGCAGGCCTGGGGTGGTGGGGCCTTCCTTCCTAGTTGCTGAACAGGCCTGTTAGGGGTCGAATTGTGTCCTCACAAGAGATGGTGAAGTCCTTACTCCCAGTACCTGTGAATGGATGGTATTTGGAAACAGGGTCTTTGCAGATGATCAAATCAAGATAGGGTCAAGAATGGGCCGTAATCCAATAATACTGGTGTTTTGGAGGAAATTTGGACACAGAGAAAGACAAACAGAAAGGAAGGACAATGTAAAGACACAGGGAGAAGATGGCCTTTTTTTTTTTTTTTTTTTGTGAGATGGAGTTTCACTCTTGTTGCTCCGGCTGGAGTGCAATGGCACGATCTCCACTCACTGCAACCTCTGCCTCCTGGGTTCAAGTGATTCTCCTGCCTCAGCCTCCCAACTAGCTGGGATTACAGGTGCCCACCACCACGCCTGGCTAATTTTTGTATTTTTAGTAGAGACGGGGTTTCGCCATGTTGGCCACACTGGTCTTGAACTCCTGGCCTCAAGTGATCCGCCCACCTTGGCCTCCCAAAGTGCTGGGATTACAAGGGTGAGCCACCATGCCTGGCCAAAGATGGCCATTTATAATCCAAGGGACACCTGGGGCTACCAGAAGCTGGAAGAGAGGTGGGGACAGGTTCTCCCTCACAGCTTCCAGAAGGAACCAAAACCTTGCTTTCAGATATCTGGCCTCCAGAACACTGAGCCAATACATTTCTGTTGTTGAAGGCACTCAGTTGGTGGTACCTTGTTACAGCAGCCTTAACAAACTACACAAAGCCTGAATGCCAAGAAACAGCAGCAAGGCCTGGGGCCTGAGCTCTCTCTAGCAGAGCCCTAGGAGCTCTGGGAGAAGGGCGGGAGCGGACAACCTGATGATGCCAAGACAGACCTGCACTCATAGCCACACACAGCGGGCAGAAATAAGGAGCACCTTCAGCTTTGTTCCTCCATTGCCTAGCCCTCTTAAATGGTGGATTTCCTTATTTTGAACCACACTCACCACACAGTTTTTATTTCTATGTTTAAAATTTCTTCTTCTTCTTCTTTTTTTTTTTTTTTTTTTGAGACTGAGTCTCACTCTGTCGCCCAGGCTGGAGTGCAGTGGCGCGATCTCAGCACACTGCAGCCTCTGTCTCCTGGGTTCAAGCAATTTCCTGCCTCAGACTCCCAAGTAACTGGGATTACAGGTGCGTGCCACCATGCCTGGCTAATTTTGTATTTTTAGTAGAGATGGGGTTTCACCATGTAGGCCAGGCTGGTTTCAAACTCCTGACCTTAAGGTGATCCACACGCCTCAGCCTCCCAAAGTGCTGGGATTAGAGGTGTGAGCCACTGTACCTGGTCTATTATTATTATTTTGATACAGGATCTTGCTCTGTCACCCAGGCTGGAAAGAGTGGCACGAACACGGCTCACTGCAATATCCTGGGCTCAAGCAATCCTCCCGCTTCAGCCTCCCAAGCAGCTGAGACCGCAGGCATGTGCCACCACACCTGACTAATTGATACATTTTTTTGTAGAGATGAGGTCTTGCTATATTGCCCAGGCTGGTCTTGAACTCCTGGCTTCTAGGGATCCTCCTGCCTCGGCCTCCCAAAATGCTGGGATTACAGGCATAAGCCTCTGCACCCGACCTATGTTTTTTTTTAATTTTAAATTTTTGTAGAGATGGGGCCTTGCTACATTGCCCAGGCTCGTTTCAAACTCCTGAGTTCAAGCGATGCTCCCACCTTGGCTCCCGAAGTGCTGGGATACAACATGCTTTTTAATGTCTGTTCTAAGAATGCAAGGGCCTGATGGGAGCCAAGATCTAGAGCTTCCCAGCTATCTGTCATTTTCTAATAACCTTCTCTGATTTTTGCAGACCTACTAAAAAAAAAACTACAAAGGGAAACAAACCTTTTTCTCTTCTATGCCCACAGAGAAGAGCATGTCTGTGGTTCCAACTACTTGGGAGGCTGAGGTGGGAGGATTGCTTGAGCCCAGGAGGTCAAGGCTGTTGTGAGCTGTGTTTGCACCACTGTATTCCAGCCTGGGTGACAGAGCAAGATCATGTCTCACTTTTGACACCAAAAGTGTGGGTTTTCCACACCAAGCAATTCTCCAAATCTCTGCAGACACCAACTGGGTGTCCTATAATTTAGTTAAATCCTGGCAGTAGCTACCTGGGGTTCATATAGACCCCACAGGTTAAGGGCCCAGATCCATAAGACTGCCCCCACTTCAGCCTCCAATCACAAGTAGTGGGTCTCCAGGTTACCCACAACTTCTGTCTGACAAATTGGAGGTTCCCATAATCCCCCTTCTCAGGTTCAATAATTTGCTAAGACAGCTCTCAAAACTCAAAGAAATATTTACTTGACGCTTGCAGCAAAAAGAAAAAAAAGCAGAGAAACATTTATGTACGTTTCTGGTTTATGATAAAGGATTCAAGTTCAATTCCAATGCTTCAATGCAAGAGATGCATGGGGCAAGATATGGGGAACGGAGTGGAGCTTACATGCCCTCTCTGAACACATCACTCTCCTAGCACCTTGCATGTGTTAACCAACCCAGACGCTCTCCAAAACCCTGTCCTTTGGGGTTTTAATGAAGCCTTAATTATGTAGGCATGATGGATGAAAGCATTGGCCATTAGTGATTAACCCAACCTCTGGATCCTCTCCTCCCCTGAGGTCAGGGATGAGGCTGAAAGCTCCAAATATCTAATCACATGATTGGTTCCCATGGCAGCCAGCCCCCATCCTGACGCTGTCTCCTAGTCTGTAGCCTTTTCAAAAGTCACCTCATTAGGCCAGGTCAGTGGCTCACACCTGTAATCCTAGCACTTTAGGAGGCTGAGGTGGGCAGATCACTTGAGGTCAGGAGTTCAAGACCAGCCTGGCCAACATGGCGAAACTATGTCTCTACTAAAAATATAAAAATTAGCTGGGCATGGTGGAGAAGGCCTGTAATCCAAGCTATTTGAGAGGCTGAGGCAAGAGAATCGCATGAACCCGGGAGACGGAGGTTGCAGAGAGCCGAGATCATGCCACTGAACTCCAGCCTGGGTGACAGAGTGAGACTCTGTCTCAAAAAGATAAAAAAAAGTCACCTCACGAACACAGACTCAGGTATGGATGAAAGGGCCTTGTTATGAATGACACCTTTATTACCCTGAGGCTATTTCAGGCCCTGAGGACAAAAACACAAATATTGTCACACATGATGCTCCTTTTGCTCCTATCACTTAGGAAAGCACAAGGGTTTTAGTGGCTCTGACCAGGAGCTGGGAGAAAGACCAAAATATATATATTTCTTATCATGTCACAATATCCAATCCACTTACGCTTGGTCCTAATAGGTAACATTTTCTATGTGCTAAAAGGACAATACGAATACTCATTTAATCATGGATCTGATGTGCTAGTTATTTTTCTAGTACGTAGTAAGATACATAACTGTTAAAATGATAAATGTTTTTTCAAAGTTTGTGAAACTTTGACCTATTCTTTTTTTTTTTTTTTTGAGACAGCCTCACTCTGTCGCCCAGGCTGGGGCGCAGTGGCACAATCTCGGCTCACTGCAACCTCCTCCGCCTCCCAGGTTCCAGAGGGTTTCCTGCCTTAGCCTCCTGAGCAGCTGGGACTACAGACATGTGCCATCATGCTCAGCTAATTTTTAATTTTTTGTGGAGATGGGCTCTTGCCATGTTGATCAGGCTGGCCTTGAACTCCTGGCCTCAAGTGATTCTCCCTCCTTGGCCATCCAAAGTGCTGGGATTACAGGCATGAGCTATCGCACCTGGTCCCTGGATGTTTGTTAATGGGAAAGTCTCTCATTTGGGGCTACTGGCCATGGGGCAGGACAATTATTTGTATAATTCTTTGTCCTGTGCATTGCAAGACATTCCCCAACTTTTATTATATACCTGTAGTGGGCCTCGGCCATCATGACAACCTACGCCCCCAAGTCCATTTTCAGAGCCCCCAGTTGAGAATCACTTCTAGGGAGTCTCCTGTTCCTAACCTGCAGGATTCCTGTTCCCTAAGTCTTAACATTTTACAGATAGATCAATGCCTCTTGCATACCATGACATAACCTTGGATAATCAGCTTGAATTCCCAGTGGCTCCGGGTTCCACTAGGGACTGGTAAAAGCACAGACTCAGGATCCAGGCTGCCTGATTGGATCGGCTCTGCCACCACCTTGGGTGACTTACTCAATGAGTTTCTGCGTTTGTTTCCTCGTCTGTAAAGTGAGGTTGAACTAGCACCTGCCTTGAAAGGCAGTTGGGAGGATGAATGAGAGCATCGAAATGGTTTTTGGCACACAGTCAGCAATTAGGGTCAACTTAAAACACCCCCTGCACACTTGCATTGTCTACTGCATTCAGCCATGTATATTGCATGTCTTATTTCACCCCCAGAATGGTCCCATGAGGTTCATATTATGATTCCATTTCACAGATGATGGAATGGAGCCATAGACAAATGATGACTACAGCCTTAGCACCCACAGCAAGAAAATAGCAGAACCAGGGCCTGAACCAGCTATATCTGACTCCGTGGCAGTGTGGTTAGAGGGCAGAGGGGAGAGCACTGAGCCGGGAGTCAGCAGAACAGGGCTGCTTTGCCCCTGTTTGTGCAAAGGGCTGTTGCTAACCCGCTGTGGGCATCAATGTCCTCATTGGAAAATAAAGGCTTTGGACTGAACGCTTTCTGAGGCTCCTGCTGACTCCTAAGACCTGTGTCTTCTGTGAGACCCAGAAAACTGAGCCAGAGGGGAAGTCAGCCACAGGCCCTGCGAAGACAGCAGAAACCCACCCTCTGGGAACACCCAGCTCCCCTCCTCATCGTGCCCATGGAGGTCTGCCTGTTGGCTGATCACAGGCAGCTCTCACTCCTCCCCTCCCCCCTCCCCATGCCCAGCATCCACCCAACTCTCAGGGTATCTGAGGACGCAGAGGATGTTATCTCAGCCCTGACAAAACCACTCAGCCTGGAACGCTGGGGCCCAGTTCCAGGGAATGAGCCTGCGGAGGCTGCAGGTAACCCAGATAGCCAGTCTCTGTGCCATCCCCAGAGGATGCTGCCCATGGGAACTTCCATGCCCAGGAAGCAACACACAGGGCGGCTGCTTCACCTCTGCCTTCAGAGCTGGACAGTGACTCTTAGAGACAGACACGGGGGGTGGAGGAGGAGGCAGCTCCAGCAGCTAAAAATACCTGCAAATTCTATGTTGTTTCCTGCATGTGCGTACACAGTGACGATGAAGACAATGATGATGGTCACAATATCCCTGCCATTAGTGAGCACCTCTGGGGTACCTGGCGTGATTCTAATGGCTTTCCACACACAAACATATAAAATTAACTATATATATATATGTGTGTGTGTGTGTGTATATATATGTGTATATATATAATGTGTATATACATATGTGTGTGTTTATATATATGTGTGTGTGTGTGTATATATATATATATATATATATATATTTTTTTTTTTTTTTAAGACAGAGTCTTGCTCCGTCACCCAGGCTGGAGTGTAATATCTCGATCTTGGCTCACTACAACCTCTGCCTCCCAGGTTCAATATTTACATATTTTTAACGCATAAAGTCTCTCTCTGTCACCCAGGCTAGAGTGCAGTGGTGTGATCATAGTTCACTGCAGCTTCGACCTCCTGGGCTTAAGTGATCCCAGGAGGGATCCTGAGCCTCCCAAGTAGCTGGGACCACAGGTGTGCGCCACCACACCTGGCTAATTTTTTTATTTTATCTTTTGTAGAAACGAGGGTCTTGTTATGTTGCCCTGCCTGATCCTCCTGCCTTGGCCTCCTGAAGTGCTGGGACTACAGGTATGAGCCACTGCACCTGTCCTCTGGTTACCGTTTAAGATCCACACCTCTTTGAGATTTCCCCAGGATGCTTGTTTTAACTCACTTCAGCTAGATACAAAGGAGACATCAGTGGGAAGAACAAACCCATCCACGATGCTGGGGCCAACCTTCTCCACTGGTACCTGATGCACATGGTGAGGAGTAAGGTGAAAGGATCATATTCCCTGAGCACAAACAATCTGCCTGGCCCTGAGCCCTTGACCTGAATGTTCTCAGTTTCTGCACACGAGTCTAGTAAGCTAAGGAGATGTTAGTCCCAATTTATGGGTGGAAACACTGAGGCTCCATGAGGTGAAGTGACTTGTTCCAAGATCGCACAACTAGGAAGTTGCGGTTGGGACTCCAACCCAGGCCTAAGAGGCTCCCAAAGTGGGCAGTAAAATTCCGAGTTGCAGGCAGGCAGCTCAAAGCAGTTCTTAGCCCAGGCTTGTGGGAGAGGAGAGATGTGTGGGAGAAGGGGCCCCATGTCCCCAGTGCAATGTGCCAAACCGAATGGCCAGAATAGAACAGTGGGGAGATCCTGTCCCTTCCCAGTCCTAGCACAGCACTGCTGCTCACTGTCCACCTGCCTGTTGCTTTTCCAGGAATCACCAGCTCTGTCACTCATCTTCCTGCTGCAGGAAACCCGAGCCTTTCTGCACCTGCCCATCCAGGAGCCTAAGGCCATGGGACCTGGGGGAGGGGTAACTCGAGCTGGAAGACCTGGGTCTGGCCTCTTTTTTGCTACCTTCAGAGTCAGACTAGGGCAAACATTGCACTAGGGTATTCCTTTATTTCACAGTTACTTGGTTTGTTTTGTTTTGTTTTGTTGTGTTGTGTTTGTTTGTTTTTTTGTTTTTTGAGATGGAGTCTCATTCTGTGCCCCAGGCTGGAGTGTAGTGGCACAATCTCAGCTTGCTGTAGCCTCCGCCTCTTGGGTTCAAGCTATTCTCATGCCTCAGCCTCCCAAGTAGCTGGTACTACAGGTGTGCACCACCATGCCTGACTAATTTTTGTATTTTTAGTAAAGACAAGATTTCGCCACATTGGCCAGGCTGGTCTTGAATTCCTAAGCTCAAGCCATCTGCCTGTCTTAGCCTCCCAAGGTGCTGGGATTACAGGTGTGAGCCACTGCACCCAGCCCACAGCTGCTTGTTAACTTCTATTTGCTACACACCATGGTAAGTTGCTGGAGAAACAATAGCAAATAAGATAGGGCTGGTCCACAGAGATACTTCACCCCTTCTCATGGCTGTGACTGCTCTGTCACTGTCCCCAAACTTTCATAAGGAATCCCCTTTAAAGTTAACAAACTTAAAATTTGAAGTAGTTTAAGACTCACAAGAACTTGCAAAAATAGTAGAGCTCCCATGTACCATCTTCGCCCAGCTTCCCCCATGATAACATCTTATACAATCACAGTCACTTTTCAAAACCAGGAAACAGACACTGATACAATAATATTCACTCAACTACACACCTTCTTCAGATTGCACCAGTGTTTACATGCATTCATTTTAATTTCTTTAGCATACAGTACTCTGAAATTTCATCATATGTAGAGATTTCTGTATCTACCATCATGCTCAGGATAAAGATTTTTTTTCTATCACCACAAAGAAATACCCTCTTCAGACCCTGTTATAGTTGCACTGTCTCCAATCCTAACCCCTGGCGACCATCAATCTGTTCTCCATTCCTATCATTTTGTTGTTTGAAGACATTATATAAATGGAATCATATAGAACATAGCCCTTTGACAGTGTCTTTTTTTTCACACAGCGTTGTATCCTTGAGGTTCACTCAAATTGTTGAATCTATCATTAGTTCATTCTTTTTTTGTGGCTGAGTAGCAGTTGGCTTATCTGTCTGTTGATGGAAATTTGGGTTGTTTCTGGTTTGGGACTATTATGAATAAAGCTGCTGTGAATATTCATGTACCGGTTTTTGTACAGACATACATTTTCATTTCTTTGGTATAAATATGCAGGAGTACTATTGCTGGGTCCTATGGTGAGTGCATGTTTAACTGTGTAAGAAACTGCTACACTTTTTTCCCCAGAGTTTCTGTACTACTTTACATTCCCATCAGCAATGCCTGAGATATCCAGTTGTTCTACATCCTCTCCAGCACTTGGTATGTCAATTTTTTTTTATTTGAGCCATACTAATACGTGTGTTGTTGTAGCTCACCATAGCTTTGTTTTGCAATTCCCTAATAGCCAAAGATGTTGAACATCTTTCCATGTGCTTGTATGCCAACCATATATCCTCTTCAGTGAAATGTCTGTTCATGCCTTTTGCCCATTTTCTAATTGGATTTCTTATTTTCAACCACTGAGTTTTTAAAGTTCTTTGTGTATATTCCAGACTCAAGTCTTTTGCTGGATATGTGTTTTGCAAATATTATCTCACAATCTGTGCCTGTCTTTCCATCTTTTTGACTGGCTCTTTCATTAAAACTAAAGTTCTAAGTTTTGATAAAGTCCAAATTATGAATTTTTTCTTTACGGATTGTGCTTTTGGTGTAATGTGTAAGAACTCCTCATCTAACCCTATGTGATGAAGATTTCCCCATATATCTTCTTGCAAAAGTTTTATAATTTTATGTTTTATATCTATGCTCTGAGTTAATTTTTGCATAAGTTGTGAGGCTTGGTTTGAAATTTATATTTTTGGCTATGATTATCTTATTGCTTTTGTATCTTTGTAAAAAATCAGTTGTGGGTACTTGTGTGGGTGTTTTTGATTCTGGATTCTGTTCCATTGATCTGTGTGTCTATACTTCACAGTCACAATGATTTTAACTATATAGTAAGTCTTAACATCAGTGTAAACCTATAATCTCCCAATTTCTTTTTCAATATTATTTTAGCTGTTTTAGTTTCTTTACCTTTCTGTGTAAATTTTGTAATCATATTGTTTACATCTACAAAAAAACCACTAGTGGGATTCTGACAGAAATTGTGCTAAACCTATAAATCTATTTGGGGAGAACTGACATCTATATTATGTTGAATCTTCTAGTCCATGAACATGGTGCATCTCCCCATTTATTTAGGTCTTCTTGATTTATTTCAATATTTTGTAATTTTCAGTGTATACTTTCTATAAATGTTTTGTTAGGTTTATATCCTAAGGGTTTTTTTCCCTGAGTGATTGTAAATGACATTCTGTTTTTCCATTTTGCATCCAAAATTGTTCATTGCTAATATATGGGAAAATGATACATTTTTTTGCATGGTGCCCTTGCATCCTGTTAGCTTGCTATAGTTGTTTATTAGTCCAGGAGTTGTTTTTGTTTTTTTAGATTCCTTATTGCTCTTCCAGCAATCTCCAGTTATTTTACTCAGCCTCACAGACTTCCATGTCCCTATTCTAGGAAACCTGAGCTTCTTGCACCTGCCCAGCCAGGATCCTAGGCCCACAGGGCCCCAGGAGCAGTAGCCAGGAGCACGATGACCTAGGACTGGGCTCCTTTTTCCTACCTTAAGTCAGACTAGGGCAGGCACCGCATGAAGGTTATTCATTTATTCTCTAATACCTAACAAGATCTTACCAGGTGTGGGCACCTTGATAGGCACTGGGTAAACAAAGCAAACTAAGATACAACTGGCCTATAAAGATCTACTTCATCCTTAGGCTGAGCAACATAGGAAGACCCCAGCTCTACAAAAAATAAAAAAATTGATAGCTGCACTTGGTGGTGCGTGCCTATTGTCCCAGCTACTTGGGAGGCTAAGATGGGAGGATCACTTGAGGCTGACAGGTCGAGGCTACAATAAGCCATGATTGCACCACGGCACTTCAGCCTGGGAGGCAAAGTGAAACCCTGTCTCAAAAAATTGAAAACATTTATTTCATCCTTCTTATGGCTGGCTGTTTACTGCCCCATGTCTATCTTGAAGCTTTTGTGATCAAGTACCCTTTGAAGTTTTGAACTTTAAACAACCCTCAGTTGGTGCATATTGTTTGTTTACACATTAAGACATGAACTGTTCTATTACTATATTATGTACATTACAAAAAAAGGAAAAGCTATATGGCCTAAAGATTAATCCCATTTGCTTGGAAATCAAACTGCCTGAGTTCAAATCCGAGCTCCACTGGGGACCTTGGGGAAATTTACATAACTTCTCTGTGTCTTTGTTTCCTCATCTATAAAATTCAGATAATAGCAGCCACCTCATGACAGTGTTGTGAAAATTGCATGCAAAAACAGACCCTGACTCATAGGAAGTTTGCTATTCCTATTAAAACCTGTAAGGTACAAATAAAAATGTAAAATTAAAAAATAGAGATAGAAGTTTTACACTTATTTCTTGCACCACCTCTCAGGAGGTGCTGTATTTCATTTAACATTCCTCTTTTGATGAATGTTTAGGTTGTCCCATTTTTGGTATTATGAAGAATGCAGCAATGGCCATCCTTCTTCGTGATGTCTTGGGTCTAATTGCCAATGCAATTCTAAGGCATTTTCTGAGAAGTGAAACTGCTGAGTCATGAGAAATGCGTGTTTTTAATTTTAATAGCTACTGCCAGGCTGCCCTCTGCAGTGGCCATATCAATTTACATTGTCTGGCCATTTCTATTTCTCTACAGCCACAGCAACACTTGATATTGTTAGACTTTGGCTACCTCTATCTGGGGAAGGAGAGAAGGGACCAGTAGGAAATACAGTGTCCAAAGGAGACATTAGCTTTATCCTCAACATTTCAATGTGCTTATAAAATGCATGCTTGATGACTTATGTAATGAAAAGTTAATCATAAGCAACTCCCTTCAACAAAATAGCTCTGATGAAGCTCAGATCTAATGGGAAAATAGATGCTGAGCAAATGCACAGACAAAATTTATGATTGCAAATGGTAAGAAGGGCTGTGAACAACACCAATAGGAGGCGGCAATGTGATTGCTGATAATAAGGTAGATGATGGTGATAACAGCAGCTGCCACGATGCACCAGGCACCATTCTTTTTTTTTTTTGAGATGGAGTCTCACCCTGATGCCCAGGCTGGAGTGCAGTGGTGTGATCTTGGCTCACTGCAACCTCTGCCTCCCAGGTTCAAGTGACTCTCCTGCCTCAGCCTCCCAAGTAGCTGGGATTACAGGTGTGCACCATCATGCCTGGCTAAGTTTTGCATTTTTAGTAGAGACAGGGTTTCACCCTGTTGGCCAGGCTGGTCTTAAACTCCTGACCTCAGGTTATCTGCCAGCCTCAGCCTCCCAAAGTGTTGGGATTACAGGCGTGAGCAACCACGCCCAGCCCTTGTGCCAGGCACAGTTCTAAGTGCTTTGCATATGTAAACTTATTCACTCCTTGCAACACACATATAAAATATGTATATATATATATATAGACACACACACACACACACATAAATATGTATATGTATATGTATATGTATATGTATATGTATATGTATGTGTGTGTGTGTGTGTGTGTGTGTGTGTGTATCTGCCCTTGGGGGCCGATATTGTTACTCTTTTCATTTTACGGATGATGAAACTGAAGCACAGAGCTTAAAAACTTGCCCAGGGTCACATAATAAATAGAGAAACTAGGATTTAAGCACAGGCCATCAGGCTCCAGAGCCAGGATCTTATTTTGTCACCCAGCCTGGAGTGCAGTGGCACAATCATGGCTCACTGCAGCCTCGACCTCCTGGGCTCAAATGATTCTCCCACCTCAGCCTCCTGAATAGCTGGGACTACAGGCACACACTACTACTCCTGGCTAATTATTTTTATTTTTATTTTTTGTAGAGATAGGGTCTTGCCTTATTGCCAGGATTGGTCTTGAACTCCTGGGCTCAAGCAACCTCCTGCCTTGGCCTCCTAAAGTGCTGGGGTTATAGGTGTGAGCCACTGTCCCCAGTCCTGGAGCCCATATTTGTAAACCAGCTCTGCGGGTTAATAGCTGCTCCCTTTCACTAGAGAATTACTGAGGGTGGCAGAGGGGAAACCACACAACATAAGAGCAAATAAAAATATAAAATTAAAAAATAGAGATAGCACCATGTGGTATAAGAACAGCATTAGGCTGGGCACAGTGGCTCACGCCTATAATCTCAGCACTTTGGGAGGCCGAGGCCGGTGGTCACTTGAGGTCGGGAGTTTGAGACCAGCCTGGTCAACATGGCGAAACCTCACTTCTACTAAAAATACAAAAAGTAGCCAGGCGTGGTTGCAGGCGCCTGTAATCCCAGCCACTCGGGAGGCTGAGGCCACTGCACTTCAGTCTGGGCAACAGAGTGAGACCTTGTCTCAAAAAAAAAAAAAAAAAAAAAGAACAGTATTAGCAATGACTTCTATGTATGTGCTGAACTGACGAAATGTTTTTTATGGCCGGGCATGGTGGCTCATGCCTGTAATCCCAGCACTTTGGGTGGATCACAAGGTCAAGAGATTGAGACCATCTTGATCATCCTGGCCAACATGGTGAAACCCTGTCTTTACTAAAAATACAAAAATTAGCTGGGTGTGGTGGCATACGCCTGTAGTCCCAGCTGCTCAGGAGGCTGAGGCAGGAGAATCACTTGAACCCAGGAGGCGGAAGTTGCAGTGAGTGGAGATCGCGCCACTGTACTCTAGCCTGGTGACAGAGCAAGACTGTCTCAAAAAAAAAGAAATGCTTTTTGCATATACAATTTTATTTAAGCTGAAACTCTCAAATGGGATTATGATAGAGTTGTTAAGTCCTGGCTCCTATCTCCTCTGCAGAGATAGGAATTAGAACTCAGGGATTTGCTCACAATTACAGTAAGTGTTGGAGCCAGGGTAAAAATCCTGTTATTCCACCTCCTTCTCTAGTGTGGTAGGCAGACTGGCTCTCCAAACACATGTAGACTCTACTAGCCTCTGGAACCTGTAAGTGATGTTACATGGCAAAAGAGATTTTGCAGGTGTGATTAAAAGTATAGCCTTTAAAATAGGGAGATTATCCTGGATTTTTTTTGGTGGGCCCAACATAATCCTAGGAGCCCTTAAAGGCAGAGAACTTTCTCTGGCTGGAGTCAGAGGTATGTGGCAGAAGAAGTCAGAGAGTTCTACTTTTAGTTCTTTAAGGAATCTACCATTTGATCCAGCAGTCCCACTACTGGGTATCTACCCGGCGGGAAATAAGTCATTATACGAAAAAGATACTTGCACACACATGTCTATAGCAGCACGATTCGCAACTGCAAAAATATGGAACCAGCCCAAATACCCATCAATCAATGAGTGGATAAAGAAACTGTGGTATATACGATGGAATACTACTCAGCTATAAAAAGGAATGAATTAACGGCATTTGCAGCAACCTGGATGGGATTGGAGACTATTATTCCAGGTAAAGTAACTCAGGAATGGAAAACCAAACATTGTATGTTCTCACTTATAAGTGGGAGCTAAGCTATGAGGATGCAAAAGCATGAGAATGATACAATGGACTTTGGGGACTCAGAGGGAAAGGGTGGGAAGGGGATGAGGGATAAAACACTACAAATTGGGTGCAGTGTATACTGCTTGGTTGATGGGCACACCAAAATCTCACAAATCACCACTAAAGAACTTACTCATGTAACCAAACACCACCTGTTCCCCAAAAACTTATGGAAATATATTTTTTAAAATAAGAAGTCATAGAGATTCAAAGCATGAGAGGGATTTGTCCTGCTGCTGTAGGAGCGAGCCACATGGGAAGCATAAGAAAGAATGCAGGCTGCCTCTACGATCAAAGACCAGCCCCCAGCAGAAAAGAGTCACCTCAGTCCTACAACCACGAAGAACTGAATTCAGCCAACAACTTAATTCACCCCCAGAGCTGGTCCTGCCAACAGATTGATCTTATCCTTGTGAGACTCTAACAGAGGACACAGCTGAGCCACATGCTATCCATGGGCTTCTGACCTCCAGAACTGTGACATAACAAACGGGTGTCATCTTAAGCTGGTGTTAGTGCCACTGCACTACAAGTGAATAGCAGGGCTTGGTCTAAAAATATCTCCTCCACTGACATACCACATGGGTTGATATTCCTGCTGTCAGAGGCACACCTTGAAATTAAGGTGTCTTCCTACAAAAAGTCTTGTTGTTAAGTTCAGACACTGTCTGAGATGAGGTAAGGCATTAGCAGCCTATCAGTAATTACCATGCAACCAGAGGAGTTTCCCACCCTGAAATACAGAAGAGCCATATTTTGGTGCAGAGTCCAGAAGTTCCAAACAGAGGAGGATCCTGCCCTGAAAGGGAAGCTCCAGATAGGAGACAGAAGAGGCAAGGCCTTGAGTAGCATACAAGGGTTAAGGGCTCATTGGCAACAGGAAGGAGAATGGTCTCCATTATAATTTCATCTGGAGCTGCCGTCATCTGGCAGCCAAGAGCCTTACTGCCTTTACATCTGATGTTCCTTGTGCCAAGAATGCCTTTCTCTCAGCTTTTCTTGGGGGTGGCTCCTTCTTTCATGCAGGGTCAGCTTATCAGAAAGGCCTTCCGTGACCACCTGGCTAAAGTGATGCCCTTCTCCATGACCCTGTTACTCTCTGCGATGGTCTTTGAATTTTCAGGTATTTATAATTCCTGCCCCAAATTTGGCTATAAGCTTCAAGAATACTGGGACCTGGCTTGTTTACTGAAGCATCTCTAGAGCCACAACAATGGGTGAAACACCATGGACAGTTAGCAAATATTTGCTAAGCAAATGAAAGACTACACGACAAGGTAATGTTTGACAAATGCAATAAAAAATAAATAAATAAAGGATGAAATTCTATTAGGGTGTAGAGCAGGATGGAAGAGGATTCATTGAAAAGGTCAAGGATGCTTGCATGGGAGGCAGAGTGTTTGACCCAGATGGGATTTGTTCCAGGGGAGGGGAAGCTAACACAAGCAAAGGCAAGGTCATGGGACAGTGGAGGGGGTACCCAGTCAGTGGGTGTCAATCCAGTTTGGCCAGAATGAGGATTGCATAGACAGGGTGAATATACTTTAAAGCTCATAAAGCTTAAGCTGAAGGGTTTATCACATGCTTAGGTACTGTCAAGGCCCTGATAGCGCCCTAATAAGCGTCTCACGTGATCAATGTTTCTGTAACATTTGCAAGAATAGGATAGTTCAACCGCAATCAATTAAGACTGATGTTTCCTTCCACCTCACTTCCCTTCTATTTGTCCCATCTTACTCCCTCTGTGTTGGGCAGCATTGGAATTTCTGTAAGCCTTTTTTGGATCTATAATAGCTGAGGGAATTTGAACCCAAACATGTGGTTTGGGTTCAGCGGGATCGATTAACGCTGTTCGCAGTCACTTCCTTATAGAGTTAAGTAATTGCTAGCTGGCTTAATGTAGAAATGGTTTCCAGAAATATGCTTACTACTCACTGGGCCAACTCACCTGGAAATAGGACGTGAAGCTTGCACTGCAGCTTGAATATTCCCAAGTATGTGGGTCATGGAGGAGAAACAAGGTTTGAGGATGTACAGAGCCAGAAGTTAATCTGTAGAAAATTATTGCAAAAATTTCGTATATGAAAAAAAACTTGATAGAGATTGTGATGGTTAATTTTATGTGTCAACCTGACTTGGCTTCAGAGCAAAAGAAGTGCAGGAATGGGCCCATGCTCATGGAATTCACTGGTCTTACCATGTTCGTCATGATGCTGAAGCAGCTGGCTTCATAGAATATTGTAACAGCCCTTTGAAGACTCAATTACAGCACCAGCTAAGTAGTAATACCTTGGAGGGCTGGGGCAAGTTTCTCCAGAAGGCTGAATATGCTCTGAATTAGTATCCAATATATGGTGCTATTTCTCCCCTAGCCGGGATTCACAGATCCAGGAATCAACGGGGTGGAAATGGGAGTGGCACCAGTCACCATCACCCCTAGCGACCCACTAGCAAAATGTTTTTTTCCTGTTCTTGAGACTTTATGCTTTGCTGGCCTAGAGGTCTTAGTTCCAGAGGGAAGAATGCTGCCACCAGAAGACAAAACAATGATTTCACTGAGCTGGAAGTTAAGACTGCCACCCCGCCACTTGGGGCTCTTCATGCCTTTGAGTCAACAGGCTAAGAGAGGAAGAGAAGGAAGGAATAGCCAATGATCAGTAACTGTGCAGAGCCAGGATCAAAAACTCAAATGCCCACAGGGGCCAGGTAATAAAGCAAGTAAATGAAGGCATTTGCAATGTTAAACTGATGGGCAGAGTTTTTACTTAAATAAATGTCTGCTTTCTTAAAAAAAAAAATATGTGGCTTCTTTGGTCTAGCTTTCATTTTCATGGGTACAAGAATGATTTATTGGCCTTAAGGGATATGATGACTTTGAAAGCGCAATGATCCTGGACTATGGATTCTGTGTGTTAGTGCTGGGGACTGGTGGGGGCTGTGGTGAACCGGAGAATTTTCCAGCTCCAGCTCATGATGCCAGGTGCAAATGGGCCTGGTTTTATCAGACCTGATGTCCCAAGAGAAGCCATACAGCCTGATTTTCATGTGAACTCCTAATTTCTACACATGCATTTATTTATTTACTTTAAGAATAATACGTAGTCCAGAAGATATATCTGTGAGCCAGATACAGAACCATGTTGGATCTAGAATTAATGAGCTCAGTGAAAATAAACAATAAAACTAAAATCATAAAGAGGTTGGTGATGAACACGTGTGTATTTAATATATGCCAAGTACTGTTCTAAGTGCCTTGCCTAAATGAACTCATGTAGGCTTCACTGCAACCCTGTAAAGTTAGATATTATTCCCTTTTTTCTAATTGGGGAAACTGAAGCTCAGAGAGGCCCAAGTTCATGTAGCTATAAGCGGTGGAGCCAGGATTTACAACAAGCAGTGCAGTTCCAGAGCTTGGATTCTTCCAGAAAAGCCCTCTGGATTCCACACTCAGGAAGAGGGGTTATTATCCTAGAGACTGAGGGTGGATTTCAGGAGGCACATGGAATCCTGAAATTCCATATATGTTTTTATGTGGATACAAGAGTGTGTTTTTCTTGGAAAGGAAGCTTTCATAAAGTTCTCAAAGGGAGGCCAAGTACAGTGACTCATGCCTGTAACCCCAGCACTTTGGGAGGTCGAGGCAGGAGGATTGCTTGGGGCCTTGAGTTCAAGACCAATCTGGGCAACATAGCAAGAACCCATTTCTATAGAAAAGTTTTTAAAAAATTAGCCAGACATGGTAGCACATGCCTATTGTCCCAGCTACTTAGAGGCTGAGGCAGGAGGATCACTTGAACCCAGGAGTTTGAGGAGGTTGCAGTGAGCTGTGATCACACAGTGCACTCTAGCCCGGGAGAAAGAGAGAGACCCTGTCTCAAAAAAAAAAAAAAAAAAAAAAATATATATATATATATATATATATACACACACACACACACACACAAATACACACACACACACACATATATACATATATATATATATATATATATATATATATATATATATATATATATACTGTAGTCAGTCAGTTCTCTTTTCGTTGCAAGGGACACAAAACTCATACCATAGAGGTTTCACACGAACAAACACAATTTACATTTCATATAATGAAAAAGCTCAATAATTCAGGCACAACTGGATTCCAGAGCTCAAGTAATAAAATCACAACTCTGTTTCCATTCATCTCTTGTTCCAGTTTTTGCTGCAGGCCATTCTCCAATTCTCTCTTTCTGCTGTTAAGAAGACTGCAGCAGGCCGGGCGCGGTGGCTCACGCCTGTAATCCCAGCATTTTGGGAGGCCGAGGGGGGCGGATCACAAGGTCAGGAGATCGAGACCATCCTGGCTAACATGGTGAAACCCCGTCTCTATTAAAAATACAAAAAATTAGCCGGGTGTGGTGGCGGGCGCCTGTAGTCCCAGCTACTTGGGAGGCTGACGCAGGAGAATGGTGTGAACCCGGGAGGTGGAGCTTGTAGTGAGCCGAGATTGCTCCACTGCACTCCAGCCTGGGCAACAGAGCGAGACTCCGTCTCAAAAAAAAAAAAAAAAAAGAAGAAGACTGCAGCAGCTTTGGCCCAATATCAAGCTAGGTTCTATTTGAAAGGAATATGATTACATCTCAGAAATGCTTGTAAAAGTCTTGTTGCATCTCATTGGCCTAAACTAAATGACATACTCAGAGTTAAACCAATTGCTTATGATGAAGGGAATGTGATGATCTAATTGGCCAATTCTGAATCACATGTTCACATCTGGAGCCAATCAATACCATCCCAACCACCATACGGCCTGGGAATAGGTCAGGGTCTTTTTTTTTTTTTTTTTTTTTTTTTTGAGGCAGAGTTTCCCTCTTGTTACCCACGATGGAGTGCAGTGGTGTGATCTCGGCTCGCCGCAACCTCCGCCTCCTGGGTTCAAGCCATTCTCCTGCCTCAGCCTCCCGAGTACCTGGGATTACAGGCATGCGCCGCCACTCCTGGCTAATTTTTGTATTTTTAGTAGAGACAGCGTTTCTCCATGTTGCTCAGGCTGGTCTCGAACTCCCGACCTCAGGTGATCCACCCACTTCAGGCTCCCAAAGTACTGGGATTACAGGCGTGAGCCACCGCGCCCAGCCTAGGTCAGAGTCCTTTAAGGGAGGTATGAAAGGACCACAAATATCCATCATCGATAGTTACTGATGGAGGGTTATCTACTATGCCTTGGAGAATTGAGTGGGACCCACCTAAAAAAAATCATATTTAAAACCACTGCAAAAGTTGCAAGTTCCATGTCATTTTTTTTTTTCTGACTGGGAGGAGCCTTATTCCAGGGTCTTCTAGGTGTTATTGGTCAGATGGTGACTTGATTGCTGCTCTCTAAATAGAGCTTTCACATCCGAGATGACTCTTCTAACTTTCTACAGAGCTCCCACATCTGTTCCTTCATTTGATCTAAATTTAACAGCATTCCTATGAGTCAGAGAAGTGAAGTAACTTGTTTACAGTCACACAGCCAAGCCAAACTTCCTGCCTCCCAGCTTACAAACAGAGCAGTGGGTCCACCCATCTTGATCCTGGGGTACTGACAAGAAATATTTTGGAGAAGTTAGATAGGGTAGAGGCAGAAGTAGACGCAATTAAACATGAAGGATTGTGAAGGCAAAAGATGAACCAGCCAGCCTAGTCTCTGGATGCATAAGCTCCAAGTGTGGAGGAGACCCGGAGAGAAAAGCAGACTGTTCTCTGTGTTTACCTGTAAGCACAGGTAAGTACAGAACCTTCTGGGAAAGCCCACTGATTTTGGTGGCAACAGCCTTCTTCAAGTGAAGACAGGAGGGAGTGAGCCTGCATCTTTAAGGATCACACAGTCTCATTTTAATTATTAAGTTGCTGCATTATTAACCGATCAGCTGTGTGCGGCAGAAAACCAAGGGTCAGAACTCCAGGGCAACGATCCATTCCTGGTGCCACCTCCAGCCCAGTAGTTTCGAACTCTTCTCGGGGCCCTTTCAGAACTTGATGAATGATAGCGAGACTTCCTTCCAGAAAAGCGCAAAATTTGTCTGCAATTTCAGGATTCGGCTAGGAATACGGCTGCAGGTATTTCCTGCCGGTGTGTTGAGGGGCTTTCCACATCCGGTCTCATGGAGTCCCAGGTCCCCTATATTTCTTGGTCTCTTTCTGAGTAATGATAACTCCTAAAGGTGGATGCAGGGAGAGGAGGAAGGGGAAGAGATGAGGAGGTAGGACTTAACAGCACAGGCCTGAATTATTTGGGGAAGAGAGGAAAATAAAGTTCTCTTTGCTGAATTGCCTTGCACAAGGCACTGGTCAAACAGAACTCTAAGCGGATAGTCCCACGGATGAATGTGCATGCCTGTGTGCATTCGTTTCCAAACTTCAGCCATGCAGAGACACCTCCAAGCCTTTTGTTTCATTTCACTTGCATTGTGGCTGTTTCCCTTTAAAGCAATACACTTACACTTACATTTCTTTCCCAGGGAAACTTTATATTACTACCAGACATGTAGAGCCGCAAATGTTATTTGAAAGGGATTAAACACTCAGAAAACCAAACAATAGTATGAAATCCTAGCTAGCCTCGATAACTGTCCTTCACTCTGAGCCCCAAGATGTACTTTCTATTTAAACAAAAAAAGAGGCAGGGTGTGGGGAGTGTGGAGGTGTTGGGGGATGAGAATAGCAAGGAAAAGAGATGTTAGACACCGAACTGAGAGTTTTTTATTTTTTATTTTTTTGAGATGGAGTCTTGCCCTGTCGCCAGGCTGGAGTGCAGTGGCACGATCTCAGCTCACTACAACCTCCGCCTTCTGGGTTCAAGCAATTCTCCCTGCCTCAGCCTCCTGAGTAGCTGGGATTACAGGCACCCACCACCATGCCCGGCTAATTTTCTTTTTTTCTTTTTTGCATTTTTAGTAGAGACGGGGTTTCACCATGTTGGCCAGGCTGGTCTCGAACTCCTGACCTCAGGTGATCCACCTGTCTTGGCCTCCCAAAGTGCTGAGATTACAGGCGTGAGCCACTGCGCCTGGCTTTTTTTTTTCTTTTTGAGACAAGAGTCTCACCATGTTGCCCATGTTGGAGCGCAGTGGCGCAATCACTGCTCACTGTAGCCTCTGCCTCCCAGGTTCAAGCAATTCTCCTGCCTCAGCCTGCCAAATAGCTGGGACTGTAGGCGTGTGCCACCATGCCCAGCTAACTATTACTATTTTTTTTTAATTTGTAGAGACAAGGTCTCACTATGTTGCCTGGGTTGGTTTCAAACTCCTGGCCTCAAGTGATCCTCCCATCCCAGCCTCCCCAAAGTGCTGGGATTACAGGCATGAGCCACCTTGCCCGGCACTGAGACTCTTGATATTATCAGGACTGAAATGATTGCAAGAAGACTGTCACTTTCTCACCAGTCTTCACTCTTACTTCATTCTCCACGCAATTGGGAAACACCGTGATTTATTTAACAAATATTTATTCAGTTGCCTGCTAAGTGTTCTTGGCCCTAGGGGAGAGGAGGGGAGGGCATGGGGAATAGACATGGGTCCTGCCCTTCTGGAGGGAATATTTTCATGGTGGAGACAGACAAACGACTAAGCGAAAAATAAAATGATTTGAAATGGGGTTGAGTACCGTTTAAAAAACTAACAAGGGGTTACAATAGTGAGTTGTTCAGGCGTGGGAGGTGCGAGGGTGGACTTCACATGCTGGAGGCAAGATCAGGAGGTAATTTGGTCCTCCAGTGAGTGAGACCTGCGTTTCCAATAGAAAAGTCACGTTCAGGGTTGGATTCTTAAGCAGTGGGAAAGTGGTTAGCAGCTGTAACTTGATATCCCAGGCATAATCTGAAGGACACTACAGAGACCTGCTCTTTGCCCCTGATTCAATCAGAAAGCAAAGCAGATGTTGTATTAATAGTTTTCCAGTCCAATGGCCAAGAGAAAACAAAATATGTCATACATGTGGTTGTATTTAAAGGCAAGATTACAACACATGTTCAACAAACGTTCGCTGTTGCTGGAGCAAGGAATTCCATTCGTAATCGCAGCTGAGTTAATCTAATTAACTGCAAATGAAGATGCCTGTTTTCAAGTGCAGCCAACACAGTCAGGGTACACAGTATTTACAATGTTTTCCCCTCTTCTTTCCTTGCAAGGCCGCAACCTGCCATGCTGTTTTTAAATGCCCAAGAGCTGGTGACAAGAGGGTTTCCCTTTGCCATCTGGACCTGATTGCCTTAGAGGTAAAGATTCAATACCCTTAAGAAGTTAGATTCTAAAAGATTATAAATTGGTGCCACTGCTTTTGATTGCAATTGATCAATTTCCGGATAGAGATTGCACAATCCATGAAGACACACAACACTCTCAGAAGTCACTGCTCCATGCTGTGCCCCTCATCCCTGCCTGGGAGCTCGGTATCTCTGCCTCCCACCTTGCTAACCAGCACCTCTGCCTTCACTCAGAGCGCTCAGGACATAGCTGTAAGCCACTCAAAAACAGTTCTTGAAATCTCAAGTTCAATACTGGCCTCCTAAATCCTAGCAATTCCCAGAGGAGTGAGAGGTGGGAGGTGGCAAGGATGAAAGGCTGATTTTAGCTCTGCATTTGGGGCCTCTTGAATCATCTTTATTTGATGGGAAACTGGGAAGACTGGGGGAGGATAACGTATTAAGCTTATTCCATTGAAAAGACCTCACTAAGATATCAGGAAAAAGTCAGATGATAATATTAGATTTACAAACCACAGGCGGTTTGCCTTCTCATCCCCTACAGGCTGAAAGCTCCAGGGCCATGACATTTTAGGCACCCTGAGGCAGAGGGGTTAGAGTATGGGCTTTGGACTCAGGCAGCCCTGAGTTCAAATCCCAGTTCTACCATTTACTGCATGTTAAACGTTCATACATTGCTTAACCCCCTGAGCTTCCATTTTCTCATCTGGGAAATGGGTATGACACCATCTGCTTCTCAGAGTTGTCCTGAGGATGGGAAATGATGCCTATGAAAATGTCAAGGTCAGCCGGGCGCGGTGGCTCACGCCTGTTATCCCAGCACTTTGGGAGGCCAAGGTGGGCAGATCTCGAGGTCAGGAGATCGAGACCATCCTGGCTAACACGGAGAAACCCCATCTCTACTAAAAATACAAAAAATTAGCCAGGCGTGGTGGCAGGTGCCTGTAGTCCCAGCTACTTGGGAGGCTGAGGCAGGAGAATCGCTTGAACCCGGGAGGCAGAGGTTGCAGTGAGCTGAGATTCCACCACTGCACTCCAGCCTGGGTGACAGAGCGAGACTCTGTCTCAAAAAAAAAAAAAAAAAGAAAGAAAGAAAAAGAAAATGTCAAGGTTGTTGCCTGCCCGAGACTCTGTCTCAAAAAAAAAAAAAGAAAAAAAAGAAAAAGAAAATGTCAAGGTCGTTGCCTGCCCTGTAGTTTGCACCTGCGTTGAGTAAACAGTACGTTCTCGCTGCCACCCTCACCTTCTCCAGATTTTCACTTTTCCCTCCCACTTTCCTCTGGAGGCTGCCTGCACTCTAAGCCATCTCCATGATGTCATCTAACCCAGATCTTTCCAATTCTTCCTAAGACCAGACATTTTTCAGGGGCAATGCTGGGTGACAGCCATTAGTCCAAGCTGTGGCCAAGGAAAGTGCTCTATCCCTGTCCAAGGGCAATTCCCAAGTGGGTTCCCTGTAACAATAACGAATGCCTGTGAGCATTCCTTGCAAGAATTATTATTATTATTTGTGAGACGGAGTCTCACTCTGTTGCTTAGGCTGGAGTCCAGTGGCATGATCTTGGCTCACTGCAACCTCCACCTTCTGGGTTCAAGTGATTCTTCTGCTTCAGCCTCCCCAGTAGTTGGGATTACAGGCGCCCACCACCACGCCCAGCTAATTTTTGTATTTTTAGTAGAGACGGGGTTTCACCATGTTGGCCAGGCTGACCTCAAGTGATCTGCCCGCCTCAGCCTCCCAAAGTGCTGGGATTACAGGCGTGAGCCACCACACCTGGCAATAATAATTTTATTTTAAAAGGAATTCTGTGCTCTTATTAATTTAGGAAATACTTAGGGATTCACAGTGCACATTAGCATATTAAGGGTTCTGAGAAATCCTGTAGCAAATAAACCCATTTAGCTTTGTTTATGCTAACTTTCCCACTTGAGCTGACCTGGCCACATCATGTTATCCCTCTTCTTTTCTCAGAGTGCTTTCCTTTAACTCCTCTCAATTCATCCTCCCAAAACCCTCTCACCCACTTTCACAGATGTGGAAATGGGGTTCAGAGAGGTGAAGTGACTTGCCCATGATGGCTCAGCTGGGTAGCACCAGAACCAGCTGCTTTCTTCCTGAGTCCAAGGCTCTTTTCTCTACATCTGGAAGAAACAGCTGAATACATCCCTTTCTGGCTAAACAACCACAGAATCTGTCAATCATTGCCTGGGCTCCTGGGATGACATCGCCCAACAATTTCATTTTCTCAACAATGGGAAAACCAGAAAAGGGAAGAGATTTGTCCAAAAGTGACAGGAACAGGGGTGGCAGAGCCAGAACTGGCACCCAGCCTACTAACGCCCAGGCCAGGCCATCTTCACCTTATGCCTGGGGCCCACCTGTCTGGCTCAGACCCCTCAGTCATCTTCATTACAGCTTTCTTCCCTCCAATACTAGAATACACTGTCCAATAGATCTTTCTGTGGTAACAGAAATGTTCTATAGCTGTGCTATCCAATACGGTAACCACTAACTACATGTGGCTATTGAGATGTATCTAGTGCAAATAGGAAGTAAATGTTTAATGCTATTTAATTTTACTTAATTTACACTTGAATGGCCACATGTGGCTAATGCCTACCATATTGGACAAGGCAACTCTAGAGGTCAGAAATGAAGGCCAGGCATGGTGGCTCATGCCTATAATCCCAGCATTTTGGGAGGCTGAGGCAGGAGGATTGCCTGAGCCCAGGAGTTCGAGACCAGCCTAGGCAACATAGGGAGACCTCATCTGTATAAAAATAGCCAGGCATGGTGGCACGCACCTGTAATCCCAGCACTGTGGGAAGCTGAAGTGGGAGGATCACTTGAGTCCACGAGTTCAAGACCAGCCTGGGCAACATGGCAAATCCCCATCTCTACAAAAAATTAAAAAATTATGGTAGCCTGAGCCTGTGGCCCCAGCTACTCGGGAAGCTGAGGCAGGGGGATTGCTTGAAGTTGAGGCTGCAGTGAGCCATGATCCTGCCATTGCACCCCAGCCTGGGTGACAGAGCAAGATCCTGTCTCAAAAAAGAAAATAAATCATATCATAGCAAGTCTACTGAGATCCACTCCATGTAATTATCATATGAATAGAAGATCCTTGTAAGAACTGTTGAGGCTAAACTGCCTGGACCTTGTTGGGGGCTAAATTCCCTTTCATCAGGGCACAACCTGAGATGTCTTTGCTCAAGCTATTTCTTCCTTCCCTGGCAGCATCCTACCCAGCTTCTAATCTAAGCTCAAACACACCCTCCTTCAGGAAGATTTGCTGTTCTACCTTCTCCCCACCAAGCAGAGTGAAGGGATTCTTCTTTGGAACTCCCACTCTCCTTTATTTATCTCCAGATGGATGAAAAAGGAAGAGGGTTTCTGTTTTGCTAAAAGCCCTCTGGTGAGCAAGTGGATGAAAGAGGAGAGAGTTTGCCTGGGGCAGGGGTGGAAGGGGGAGTCGTGGCAGGGGCAAATGCTAGGTAGCTTGAGAGAGATAAAGAAGATGTAATTAGAGAAGAGGGGTGATATGTGATTTAACCTTCTCCTTTATCTGCCCTACAACATCTTTAGTGAAAGTCGACATTGCAAACCACAGTGACACGTGGATAAAACTCACGTTGTTGGGGGGAGAAGAGCAAAACATATGCTTCACAATAAAAACACTCAGTATCCTAGGAATAGGAGGGAACTTCCTCAACCAGATAAAGGGCATCTATGAAAAACCCAGAGCTAACATCACACTTAATCGTGAAAGACTGAAAGCTTTCCCTCTAAAATCAGAAACAAGAAAAGGATGTCTACTACTGCCACTGCTATTCAACATTGTTCTGGAAAATTCTAGGCAGAACAAGTAGGCAAGAGAAAAGAAGAGGTATCCAGATTGGAAAGGAAGAAATAAAACTGTCTCTGTTTGACAGTTGTCATAACCTTGTACATAGAAGATTATGAAGAAGCTACCAAAAACTATTTGAATGACTAAACAAGTTTAGTATGGTTGCAGGATACAAGATCAATATGCAAAAACCAGCTGTAGTTCTTCTATATGTTGAAAAGAAGAAAATTTAGAACGAAATTAAGAAAAATTCATTCACAAGAGCATCAAAAAGGATAAAAAATAAGGCCAGGCATGGTGGCTCATGCCAGTTAATCCCAGCACTATGGGAGGCTGAGGAAGGAGGATCACTCAAGCCCAGGAGTTTGAGACCACCTGAGCAACACGGCAAGACTCTATCTCTACCAAAAATTTTAAAAAATTAGCCAGGTGTAGTGGCCATGCCTGCAGTCCTAGTTACTCAGGAGGTTGAGGTGGGAGGATCACTTGAACTCAGGAGATTGAGGCTGCAGTGAGCTATGATCTGGCCACTGTACTCCAGCCTGGGTGTCAGAGAGAGAGACCCTGTCTCTAAATGAAAATAAATAAATACATAAAATTTTAAAAAAGAATGAAATACTTAGGAATACATTTAACCAAAGAAGTATGAGGCTTTTTACATTGCAAAACTATATAACATTGTTGAAAGAAACTAAAGAAGACCTAAATAAATGGAAAGACATCCCATGTTTATAGATGGAAAAGTTTAATATTAAGATAGCAAAACTTCTCAAATTGATCTACAGATTCAATGCCATCCTTTCAAAATACCAGCTAACTTTTTTGCAGAAGTTAACAAACCAATCCTAAAATTCATATGGAAATTCAAGAGAATCAGAGCAGTTAACCTTCAAAAAGAACAAAGTTGGAGGGTTCATACTTCCTGAGTACTAAAACTTAGTACAAAGCTATAGTAATCAGATACTATGAAATTGACATAAGGACAGACATATAGATCACTTGACTAGGCTTGACAGTCCAGAAATAAACCTTCACATTTCTGATCAATTGATTTTCTACGAGGCAGCCAACACAATTCTGTTTTAAATATGGTGGTAGGACAACGGAGTAGCTACATTCAAAAGAATGAAGTGAGACCCTTAACTCACACCATAAACAAAAACTAATTCAAAATGGATCAAAGACCTAAATGCAAGCATTAAAACTATAAAACTCTTAGAAGAAAACATAGGAGGAAATCTTCATGACCTTGGATTAGTCAATGGATTCTAAGATATGATACCCAAAGCATAAGCAACAAAAGAAAAAATAGAAAAATTGGACTTTATTTTTTTAAGAGATGGGGTCTTGTTATGTTGCCCAGGCTGGACTTGAAATCCTAGGCTCAAGTGATCCTCCTACCTCAGCCTCCTGAGTTGCTGGGACTACAAACATGTACCGCCATGCCCAGCTAAATTGGACTTTAAAATGGAAAACTTTTGTGCTTCAAAGACGTCAAAAAAGTGAAGACAACCCACAGAATGAGAGAAAATTTTCACAAATTGTATATCTGATAAGAGACTTGTGCCTAGAATCTATAAAGAATGATTACCACTCAATAATAAAAAGACAAATAACCCCATTAAAAACAGGCAAAGGATCTGAATAGACGTTTCTCCAAAGAAGATAAATAAATGGCCGATAAACACTTGAAAAGATGCTCAACATCATTTGCCATCAGGGAAAAGCAAATCAAAACCATGATGAGATGATGAGATACCACTTCACACCCACTAGGGTGGCTATAATAAAAAAGACAGATCGTAATAACTGTTGGCAAGGAGGTAGTGAAATTCGAACCATCATCACACATTGCTGGTGGGAATGTAAAGTAGCACAGAGCTTTGAAAAACTGTTTGGCAGTTTCTCAAAAACTTAGAGTTACCATATGACTCAGCAACTTCCCTCGTAGGTATATAGAAGAGAAATGAAAACATATGTCCACACAAAAACTTGTACATGAATGTTCATAGCCGTATTATTCATAATAGCCAAAAGTGGAAATCACCCAAATGGTAAACTGATGAGTGAATAAATAAAATGTGCTTTATACATATGATGAAACATTCTTTGTCAATAATGAAGAACTGATCCCTGCCGCAACATGGGGGAACTTAAAAGCATGATGTTAAGTGAAGGAAGTCAGATTCAAAGGTCCATGATTCCATTATAAATGGCATTCCATCTGTGGAATTCCATATATGGAACGTCTAGAATAGGAACACTTCCTTTCTATAGAGACAGAAAGGAAATTAGGAGTTGCCAAGAGAGGATGGGGAGACTGGTGGGTGATGGCTGAGAAGGTGGCCGTGTTTCTTTTTGGGGTAACGAAAGTGTTCTGAAATTGATTGTAGTGATGGCAGTACAACTCTGAATTTACTGAAAGCCATTGACTTGTACATTTTAAATTGGTGACTTGTACGGTGTACGAATTACATCTCAATAAAGCTGGTTTTCTTTTCTTTGTTTCTTTATTTTAATAGACAGGGTCTCACTCTGTTGCCCAGGCCGGAGTGCAGTGGTGCGATCATAGCTCACTGCAGCCTTGAACTCTTGAGCTCAAGCAATCCCCCCACCTCAGCCTCCCAAGTAGCTGAGACTATAGGCATTTGCCACCATACCCAGCTAATTTTGTTTATTTTTTGTAGAGATGAGGTCTTGCTATGTTGCCCAGGCTGGTCTTGAACTCCTTGGCTCAAGTAATCCTCTTGCCTTGGCCTTCCAAATTGCTGGAATTACAGGCATGAGCCACCACACCCAGCTAATAAAGCTCTTTAAAAAAAAAAAAGTTGCATATGGATACATACAACATATCATTTATATGAAAATATTGAAACATGCAAACAATACTATTGTTTAGAACACATACAAGGGCAGCGAACGCAGAAAGACATGCATGTGGATTATAAGGGCACAAATGGTTAGTGCATGAGAGAGACACAGGCTGCTTCAACTATAATTCTAACGTTTCTTTTTTTTTTTTTGAGACAGAGTCTCACTCTGCTGCCCAGGCTGGAGTGCAGTGGCGTGATCTCAGCTCACTGCAACCTCTGCCTCTGGTCAAGCGATTCTTATGCCTCAGCCTCCGGAGTAGCCATGATTACAGGCGCGTGCTACCACAACCAGCTAATTTTTGTATTTTTTTTTTTCTTTTGAGACGAGTTTTGCTCTTGTTGCCCAGGCTGGAGTGCAATGACACAATCTCGGCTCGCTGCAACCTCCGCCTCCCGGCTTCAAGTGGTTCTCCTGCCTCAGCCTCCCAAGTAGCTGGGATTATAGGCATGCGCCACCACGCCCAGCTAATTTTTCTGTATTTAGTAGAGACAAGTTTTCATCATGTTGGTCAGGCTGGTCTCGAACTCTTGATCTCAGGTGATCCACCCGCTTCAGCCTCCTAAAGTGCTGGGATTACAGGTGTGAGCCACCACACCCGGCTAATTTTTGTATTTTTAGCAGAGATGCGGTTTCACCATGTTGGCCAGGATGGTCTCCAACTCCTGATCTCAAGTGACCCACCCGCCTCAGCCTCTCAAAGTGCTGGGATTACAGGCATGAGCCACCACACCCAGCCGTAACATTCATTCTTAAGCTTGGCAGTGGAACATGATATTATCCCACATACCTTTTCTGTTTGCTTGAAATTCTTTGTGAAATAATTTCCCAGGCATTTTCCAATGCTGCAGAAACTGGACATGTGTATTTGATGGATGAATTGGGGGACTGGCCTAAGGGGGCCCTGGACTGGAAAAGCTGGTCCCTTTCAGGTTCCCCACACTCAATAAAACATTTCCTGTATTGAATCCAGCAATCTCTGGGACCATCTCCGGAACATGCTTTCCCATAGTTGGTGTTCTGCAGAAAATAGTACGGCCTTTGCAACCATCCAGACAGCCCTGGTTTGAGTCCCCGCTCTGCCCTCATTACCAGCATGGCCTCTCAACAATTACTAAATACCTCTGGGCTTTACTTTCCCATCTGCTAAATGGGAATCATACCACCTGCTCCTTGAAACTAGTGATGATGGAATGCAGAAGCCCTTGCAAGGTGCCTGGCTTCCCCTGCCTGCTGAGGACGAGGCTCTCACTCTCTGCTGAATCTTTCTGGGTGATGCAGGTTGTACTGGACCCTACATTCCTTTGCACGGTGTGTGATCGGCCATCAATCAGTACTCCCTGAGTAGAACTGACTTTAAGAGCCTCAACTTCCTTCCTCCCTTCCTTACTACTTTGAAAAGCCAAGGGAACCAAAGGCTTCTGAAGAGAGCTCCCTTCATTACTTTAAAAAACAAAGAAATGTAGAAATAAGCTGGCTCTGTCATTCTCCATGGATCGTTTTTGTGTTCTCAGCTGTTGTTCATCAGTTCCTGGAGGCTCACAGGGCAGTGCCAGCCCCCAGGGGCCAAGGAATGGGATGATGGTGTGTGAGGATCTGGATGTAGCCTTCCCACCTCCAGTCATGCAGGCTCCTTCAGCCCTTCCTGGAGCACAGAGAGTTGGATGCCTTGGCCCAGGCCCTTGGCAGTGAGATTTAGTCCCTGCTGATTGCAGCCCAGCCCCTGGGGGAGAACCGGGCCTCAGAAACTGAGACTGAGATCCAGGTGGACAGATGGGAGCTGGTTCTATGCTGACCAGGGTAGATGGAAATGCTGACTGCCCAGAGGAGCTTCTGGAGAAAGCTGTCATGGAGGTAATTCCAGTGACTGAACAGAACCCAGGAAGTGCATTCTCTGAGCTTTGGGCCCTGAAGCTTCCTCTTCCAAATGTCAGTTGCAGCACAGAGCTCAGCACTCGGCCATTCCTTCACTCCCTCTGGGACTTGGCTGGTTTGTTTTGGGAAGGTTGCAGTCCCTGTGTCTGGCTCAGGTCTCAATGTCATCCAAAGTCTTTGTGGCCAATGGGAAAGGGAGCAGGGAGACAGAGCCCCATGGGGCCCCGTGGGCTGTGTCCTGGCCATCCTGGCCAGTGGGGGAGAGCCTGATCATGGTGCCCCTGAATGTCCCCAAAGGAGGTCAGAGCACAGGCCTTCTTTACGCCACTTCCACCCGACCCACAGTAACCCCACCGTGACTCCCTGCGGTTGCAACTTAGCTGAAAAGCGATACATCATTCTAGCTTCACCCGTGGACCTCTGGGATCCCTTGAGGCCCCATCTGTTCAGTGCCTGACCCTGATTAACCTGTGGTCCTTCTGGCCTAGGGCCTGGCATCATGGAACAGGATGGGCGGCTTTGGGAACCAAGGGAAAAGTGACAGTCCATTCCCTCCACCCCGGTTACTTGTCTGCGGTCCAGCTAGCCATTCTCCCATCCACTGGATGAAGGTCCTACAGAAATCAAGGTCCGGGGCTGCCACCAAGCCTTCTGGCTTCTCCAAGGAGCTCCTGGGGCTCATGGCTTGCTGTCCACAGTCCCTGCCTGCCTCCCACCAGTCCTCCATTCTGCTGCCAAAACCACCCAACGAACCCTCAAATGCAACTGTCTCACAAACCCGCATTATGGACCCTGCTTGGCTCTCCTCCACAGACTGGAGGCCCACAGATGGGTTTTTGCTTGTCCTGCATTGAGATTTTTAAAAATCTGGAAGTTGCCCAGGTTCCCTTGAAACACCAGTTGGCTGGAGCTAGTGCAAGGCCTCCTTAGGCAGGTACTTAGGGAACAGTCCTCACCATTCCCTATCGTCTCACATCCAGCCTCATTCCCTCATGAAATGCAGTGTTTGGTGCCTGCATACTTTTGAGTTTCCCCCCTCTAGTCTCCAGGCAAAGGCTATTGTAGCATGGCAGGGAGGGAAGGAAGAAGGAAAGAAGTGTAGAGGAAGGAAGGAAGGAAGGGAGGGAGGGAGGGAGGGAGGGAGGGAGGCAGGCAGGCAGGCAGGCCGGCCGGCCCCAGCTCTGCTGGTGAATGCAGAGGGGCTCAAGCAGTGGTCTTCCCTGCCAGGACCTACGTGCATGCTCTGCAGAGCAGGCTGGGAGACGCCTCTGTCGGGAACTGCCATTGCACTGCTGTGGCTCTGGGAGCAGCAAACTGCCTGGGGGCTGTTCTCTGATTTCCAAACCACGGCAGGGAAGAGCACTGTGAGCGTGCGGGGGTGGAGGGTGGAGAGAGACAAGAAAGCAGGAGCAGAGGGAAGTGGAAGGGGCAGAGGCGTGCTGCTTAGCAACCGCGGAAGAAAATTTAGAGAAGTGACAGGACCATTTCTCCCTGTGCCTGAAAGGGAGGATTAAAAAGAAAGAAACAAAAAACTCGTCACACGCCTACACTTGCTCATCTTGTTGTGGCGGCTCTCGGAGTGTTGGCTGGAATTCACAGGGCTCCTCTGCAAGGGAGGGCCATTGTGGAGGATGCCTGGCCAGCCACGTGTGATGTGGGAAAAGCTACAAAAAACTACGTCCTCAATAGCTCAAGGGGGACCATCTTTGTGGCCCCTCAAGGGGAGGGAGTGAAGCCTTGCAAGAAAGATGTAAGGACACAACCTCACCTGTCTCATCTTTTCTCTCTCTCACTTCTTCCTCCTAAGTCTACCAACATCTAGAGAGAAAGGTGTCGGAGTCCTGTTCTCCATCTTTCTCCCAGAACCTCACGAACAGCCCCAACCCCATTCCTTCCTCCCCACCGAGAATTCTCTGTTGCTTTTCTTTCTTAATTTGATTTTCTCTGGCTCAGAATCGAGATCAAAAGAGGAAATTCTTTCCAGCCTTTTAGGAATAATTCCCAGAATCTCCCCCTGGAAATGCATACGTAATTACCATAATTATTTTTAAAGAAATCTTTCGTGTTCTCTTACCCGCTTCTTTTCCATCTCTCCTGCAGGCTTGGGGAGGAGGGGAGAGAGAGGAAGCTTCAAGAGTGTCTTTGTGGTTGCTGGTTGACCAGTATAAACGGTATTTACACATTTAGAGTGGCAGACTCACCAGTACGTGAGAGAATTGTCGATGATGCAGGCAACTTACATGAAATGTACCCCTCCAGCATTCAACGCAGCAGAATCACCTAGTAGAAGTTATTCTCTTTCTAATTTGTTTTCAGTTGTTTTAATTTCATCGAGTCTCAAGTTGGTGCTAGCCTAGGTCATTAACACCTCCCGGACACTTGCTAACCTTGCCTTTTTTTTTTTTCCCGGACGGAGTCTTGCTCTGTCACCCAGGCTGGAGTGCAGTGGCATCATCTCGGCTCACTGCAACCTCCGCCTCCTGGATTCAAGCGATTCTCCTGCCTCAGCCTCCCAAGTAGCTGGGATTACAGGCACCCCCAACTTTGGCCAATTAATTTTGGTATTTTTAGTAGAGACAGGGTTTCACCATGTTGGCCAGGCTGGTCTTGAACTCCTGACCTCAGGTGATCCACCCATCTCAGCCTCCCAAAGTACTGGGATTACAGGTATGAGCCACCATGCCTGGCCTAATCTTGCCTTTTAGCAACCATGACAGCACCAGTCTTCAGGCTTACAGCGAGCGAGAGCAACCAGCTATCTTTTAATCATAGTATTGCTTTTGGTTGTATTTATTTTCTACAGACCATGAGAGGGGCTTTTTGTTATGGCTGGTTCTTTTTAGAGGAAAGACAAATAATGAATCAGTAATAATTGAGTTGGAACAAGGATACAGTGCCTCATGGCAGAGGCCTGAAAAAGAGCCCAGATTTCCAGCTCCTATTCAGCGAAGTGGGTTCCCCAGGTGGCAGGCTGCAGATCAAGCTTGGGGAAGGTTCTGGTCTGAGGTCAGTGGGTCCAGCTGGTCAGCAGATGGCAACGAGGGAACTTTGGATGAGAGTTGTTGTCGGAGCCCGCCGGCCTGGTTTTGCAGCCTGCTTGAAGCCCGTCTCTTCCCTGGGATGACAGAAGCCAGTTCATCAGTGTTCACCGTGGGACACGAGGCTGAGGAGAGTGGGTGGCTGCTGAAGTCACCTTTGCTTCTGGCGGCCAAACCTGATTTTGCTCTGGGCGATCATTGTTCACTACTCTCAGATCTGGGTTTGAGCAGACTGGACCCACCTCGGGCCATCCGCGCTTGTCTTCGTTGCTTTGGGTACGGTGATGGGTTCTAGATGGGTAGTGAGATGCAAAGAGGCTTTTTCTGGGAATGCTGGGGCTGGATCTTTCCCACTGGCTTTGAACCCAAGAAGGGGAGATGCCAGAACCCCTGTATCCCCTATGAGGAGGGCGCTCACAGCAGATAATGGAGCCGAGAAACCCAATCCTGATGGTATCGGTTCCATCCTGGATCCAGCTGTGCCCGAAGCTAGGCTCTACCCTTGGCCGCCTTTGGAGCTACCCACCAAGCCAATAAATTCCCCTTTCATGTAATCCAGTGAGGATCAGTGTTTCGGTTGCTTGCAACCACAAGCGTCTTAACTGATGAAATGGCTCATTGCAAATCCTTGGCCACTGAGAGAGAAAGAACTCAAAGGGCAGGTACTGCGGACATGGGTGAGGGACGTAGTCGCTATACCCATACACCAGCATAGGAAAAGCTGTCATTGTCACAGGAAGCTCCAACATTTAGATGATCATGTATCAGGCACAGGCCAAGGGCCTGGCATGCAATGGTTTATTTAATCCTACGTTGGTTTATTTTGATCACCATTTTAAAGATTAGAAAACTGAGGCTCAGAGACCTTCTGTGGACCTCAGTGGCAGAGCTGGGTTGGGTTCCTTGACACTGTGTCGTCCCAGCCACCCTTCTGTAGTAAGCAAGTAGGTGGCTCACTGGCAAATACAAAACTCAGACACTGTGTGATGGGAAGGGGGACAAAGGGGACAGAGAGGTGTGGTTGTCAGGAGACACACAATGATACTTGTGTCCCAGGTGATGTGAACGCCACCCCCAGGAGCTGTGTGTACCCAGCCTGGATGGCTGTCCACAAGCCCTGCAGAGAGGGAATCAAACTGCTTTTACTCCTGATTGAAGATGGAAAGGCAGAAAAGGCCCTGGCTTTAGATCAGAACACATTAGCACTAAAAAGCTGTGTGATTTGGGGAAAATCATTTCATCTTTCCAAGCCCCACTGCTTTTCCCAACTGGGAAATGGGGAGACCCCGGCCCTTGACTCACTCACCTCACTGAGCTCCTGGAGCATCAGATGTGAAAGGTGATTTGCAGGATAAAAAGAGGGGCTACGGGATGGAGGGGATCAATCCCTTGACTTGCCAGCGGTGAAAGAGCAGGTGTAGACAGATAGATGTAAATCAATGACCTATGCGTCCTCCTCCCCCGCCGGGGGCTGGGAAGGGGCAGTCCAAGGGGTGACCCGAAAGGAACCCTTCTGTCCCCGAAGCAGAGAGAGATAACTGTGAAGCCAGAGAAGCGAGTGCTGCTACAGGCGCTTGGGAGTTTATTTTTACCCTGTTATCTCTATCCTGAAATGTCAGGCTTAGAGCCGCCTCTCTCTCTCTCTGTCTCTCCAGCCCCCACCCCAATGTGGCAACGCAGCCTGGAAACAGGCACCCTCTCCTCCTCTGCTTCCTCTGCCTTTCCATGAGAGTCACAGTGCTATGGTGACAGGAGGCATGGAAACACTGAAATAGAGAAGGGGGAGGCGAGACCATTTATTTGGGTCCTGGAACAGGCTTACTTCCTCCTAGAAACTGAAGGTGCAGAGGAGGCCCTCAGTGTTGTTGGGTGCCTATTGCAATGTTTCTATCATATAGGCTCTTTATGCAGCAAGGAAACCCCACTTACATTGGCTTATATAATAAAGAGCATTTAACTGGTGGAGGCCACTAAAACCTCCAGCAATAGGCCTGGCTTCAGGCGAGGCTCGATCCTGGGGCTCAATGGCTTCACAAGGACACAGCGTTCTCCATCTCTCGCTCTACCTTCTGTGGTGTTGGCTTCATCCTCAGGCACCATGCGATGCTCCCCCACAGCCCCTAACAGTTCCAGAATCTTCCCCATGGTCACAAATGCCTGCAGTGGTTCTAAACTTTGCATCTTTATACTGATGGCTCCCATGCAAAAGAGAGAAAGCTTTTTTTTTTCTTTCTTTCTTTTTTTTTTTTTTGCCAGAAGGCTCTAGACGATGTCTTCTTGAGTTTCACTGGCTCTGACTGGGTTCTGTGCCCATCCCAGAGCCAGTCACTTTGGTGTGGAGATAGGAAGTGAAAAATATTTCTGACTAGCTTGAGCCAAATCCTATTCCCAAGAACAGGAAAGCAGTGGCTTCCTGAAGGGCATTGTCCCCAAAAGGAAAGAAATATGCTGAGCCACAAGCAGCGACCTGTTATATGGTTTATTCATTTTGCAGTTTCATCCTCTCCTACCCAGGAAAGCCTCTGAGGTTAGAAGTGACTGTTCTTTTTTTTTTTTTTTTGGAGACAGAGTCTTACTCTTATCTCCCAGGCTAGAGTACAGTGACGAGATCTCAGCTCACTGCAACCTCCACCTCCTGTGTTCAAGTGATTCTCGTGCCTCAACCTCCCGAGTAGCTGGGACTACAGGCACATGCTACCACGCCTGGCTAATTTTTTGTATTTTAGTAGAGACAGGGTTTCACCATGTTGCCCAAGGTGGTCTTGAACTGAGCTCAGGCAATCTGCCTGCCTCAGCCTCCCAAAGTGCTAGGACTATAGGTGTGAGCCCCCATGACCGGCCTTTTTTTTTTTTTTTTTTTTTTTTTTTTTTTTTTTTTTTGAAACAGAGTCTCACTCTGTCACTCAGGCTGGAGTGCAGTGGCATGAACATGGCTCACTGCAGCCTCAACCTCCCAGGCTTAAGAAACAGGCCAATATTAATTTATTATCATTTTTCTTCCTTCTCCTTGTTCCTCCTCCTCCTTCTTCTCCTGTCTTCTGTCTTCCTTCTTCCCTCTTCCTCTTCTTCCTCTTCCTCCTTCACCTTCTCTTTCCCCTTCTTCTTCGAGACAGGGTCTTATTCTGTGGCCCAGGCTGGAATGCAATGGTGTGATCATAGCTCACTGCAGCCTCAAACTCCTGGGTTCAAGTGATCCTTCTGCCTCGGCCTCCTGAGTAGCTGGAACTACAGGTGTGCAACTTCATGCCCAGCTAATTTTTAAAAATTTTTGTAGAGGGTCTTGCTATGTTGCCCATGCTGGTCTTGAACTCTTGACCTCAAGAGATTCTCCTGCCTCCCAAAGTGTTGGGATTATAGGCATGAGCCACTGTGCCTGGCCAATTTCTTTTCTTTCCATCTGTAGGTTTACCTGGGGCTCTAAGTTCTAAGAATCCCAGGTCTGTTACTCCCAAAATTTCACTGAGGCCACAGATCTACCCCGAGGTAGATCAATAAGTTCAGGTTGAAGTGTCATGTTTTCACCTGCCAAAGGCTTCCTCTGCATTCAAAATAAAATTCGCACTCTACACCTGGCCTGCCTACGACTCACCCCCTTGCTGAGTTGTAGCCACACTCATTTCTTGTTATTTATTAAGCCAACCTGCTGCACGCCTCAGAGGCTTCTACTTCCTGTTTCCCTGTGTCTAGAATGCTCTTCCTTTAAATCTTTGCACAGCTGCTACTCAAATGTCACGCTCTCTGAGAGGTCTCTGACAAGTCTAGCATGTAAAACCACTTGAAATTATTGTGTTTGTTGATGGTTTGAGTATCTCCCTCCTTTCTCTAGACGGTAAGCTCCATGAGGCAAGCATCATGCTTGTCTTACTCACCTGGTTCCTGGTTCTGTGTCTAGCACAACGTAGGTACTCAAATGTTTGTTGAATAAATGAATGAAAATTCTTTTTTTTTTTTTTTTTTTTGAGATAGGGTCTTGCTCTGTCACACAGGCTGGAGCGCAGTGGTGCAAACATGACTCACTGCAACCTCCGCCTCCTGGGCTCAAGCTATCCCCCTATCTCAGCCTTCCAAGTAGCTGGGACTATAGGCACATGCCACCATACCCAGCTATTTTTTTTTTTTTGGTACAGATAGAGTCTCACTGTGTTACCCAGGCTGGTTTGAACCCCTGGGCTCAAGTAATCCTCTTGCTTCAGCCTCCCAAAGTGTTAAGATTAAAGGCATGAGCCGCCACGCCTAGCTGAAAATTCTTTTCTGAATGTCCTTGTAAACTTTTTCAGGGCAGGGCAATTTCTTACATTTTTCTTGGCTTTTACTTGGTGCCTACAAAACACTGGGCATAAAAGAGACAAAATACAATAGTATTTTTTCAAATAAACTAAAGCTCTCTGCTGAAGGGATTGGCTCAAAGTTGCCCAATAAACTAAAGCTCTCTGCTGAAGGGATTGGCTCAAAGTTGCCCTCACATTAGTACAGAAAGATACTACATGATGCTAACTGCTTCTTTGAGAATTTTCTTTCCAAAGCCATTGCATGTGAACATTTGAGATGCCCCCCATGTCTGCGTGAAACTGCAGAGGGGAACGTGGGGCCATCTTTCTATCCTGGTCTCTGAGTGTGGTGATAGAGCCACCATATACAGGCAAACGTCTGAAAATGATGTCATGGGATGATGCTCTTGTTTACTCCTTTACCCAAATGAGGTAGAATGAGAAGAGTGTCTTTTTATCTGTCACGCTGTCCACTGCAAACCCGAAAGTCAAGGTCACAACCCTAATGTGCTGATCACGCAGGTGGAACCCTCATTTGTGGGCCGAACTCTCCCTGAGACCTATCAGCCTGTGACAGTCCTCAAGACAATCAGGTGAGAGTGTGGATGGCCCCACGCGGCTAATAGAAACTCAAAAGCACACCTTCTACAGAGAGCCGTCGGTTGTCCCTGTACTCAACAGAAAACACACCACTGGGGGCATCTCAAGTATGCCTAGTCTTCATCCATTCTCTGCCTACCCAACCAGGCCTATCCCTCTCTTAGACTCTCACATGGCCCCTTGACCTTTGTCTCACGAGCTCTCCATCATTTGTCATGCTATCTTTATGTAGGTGATTATTTCATTAATATCCATCTTCCCCATTGGACTCCAAACTACTCAAGGGCAAGGCGCAATCTCTTTTGCTCACTGCTGTATTTTGTCACCCAGTCCTGTGCCTAACACATGGACCATGCATCATAAATACTTTTTGAATGGAAGAATGGATGAATGGAAGAAAGAAGGGAGGCTAAATGTTTTCTCTGTCAGGTATCACCTCACCACCACCTTGTCCCTTTCATCAAGGTGTCTCCTGTGCCCACAGTAGTATCTGGCATAGAGTAGAGGGGCCACAGATATTGACAGAAATGAATGAATGGACACTGATCTTTGCCTTCTCAGAGAAGCCTGGTTACCTTCTTTTTTTTTTTCTTTGTTGTTGTTGTTGTTGTTGAGACAGAGTATCACTCTGTCACCCAGGCTGGAGTGCAACGGCACGATCTTGGCTCACTGCAACCTCCGCCTCCTGGGTTCAAGTGATTCTCATGCCTCAGCCTCCTGACTAGCTAGAATTACAAGTGTGTACTACCATGCCTGGCTAATTTTTGTATTTTTAGTAGAGATGGGGTTTCACCATGTTGGCCAGGCTGGTCTCGGACTCTGGACCTCAGGTGATCTGCCCACCTTGGCCTCCCAAAGTGATAGGATTACAGGCATGAGCCACCGTGCCCGGCTGCCTGGTTAACTTCTTAAGGATAAATGTATGGAAAGGGAGAATGAGGGGAAGCTACATGATATGGTTTGGCTGTGTGTCCCCACCCAAATCTCATGTGGAATTGTAATCCTTGATGATGGAGGGAGGGGTCTGGAGGGAGGTGATTGGATCATGGGAGCG
The DNA here is from genome assembly GCF_000001405.40 of Homo sapiens. Taxonomy (NCBI): domain Eukaryota; kingdom Metazoa; phylum Chordata; class Mammalia; order Primates; family Hominidae; genus Homo; species Homo sapiens. The sequence goes on along the minus strand of NC_000016.10, from coordinate 13,995,829 downwards.
GTCATCCCCCTTGCTGTTCTCATGAGTTCTCACTAGATCTAGTTGGTTAAAAGTACATGGCACTTCCCCCTTCACTCTCTTCCTCCTTCTCCAGCCAGGGATGATGTGCCTGCTTCCCCTTCACCTTCTGCTGTGATTGTAAGTTTCCTGAGGCCTCCCCAGCCATGCTTCATGCACAGCCTGTGGAACCATGAGCCAATTAAACCTATTTTCTTTAAAAATTACCCAGTCTCAGGTAGTTCTTTATAGTAGTGTCAGGAAGGACTGATACACTTCAATATACGAATATACTGAACCAAGCCCAAAGGCTGCATTTAGGTCACTCCCTTCAGAATCAATGGGGCCAGTTCTTGAGGTCACTAAACCATCAGACCAGCAAGGGAGGAGCTTAAAGTGCAAACTGAACTTGTTTGCAAGAGACAATGCTCCTTTGGACTCAAGTGCAACCAGTTCTGGGGTTAGATGTTTAAAGTTTAAGTGGGTCATGGCTCCTGGTCCTTATCACATAGCCTGAAAAAAACAAAACAAAACAGCATCTCAGGAATGGTATCAGACCTTAGAAGATAACCTGACCCCAGTTTCTGCTACCAAGTCAGAAGGATACTGAAAAGGAATGGATTTTGCTTCTCCAAGGCCATGGCCTCCTTACTGGGGGACATCTGAGTCCCAACGAGGTCTCTTTTTATCCGAAGATCAACCAACGAAGGGCTGGAGATATTCAGTCTTTGTCAATCATTTGTGGATGACAAAGAGTTTACAGATCTGTTCTGCAATCACCAATCCAAAACCAAACACCAAAAAAAAAAGTAAATAAATAAACAATCCCCAAACCGTACTGAGAAACCATCATAAAACCAAATCTCCAAACACGTCTGGGTTTCAAGCCCACCCTAGCCCAGCAGACAAAAGTGGCTCACCTTTGAACTACAGAATCCCTTCCAGAACCAGAAGGAAAGGGAAAGGGGTTTACGGGTCGTCTCAGAGTTGTAGGCTCTGGCTGGTGCCCAAGATGAGTTCATTACTTATTCTTAGAGACTGGACTCAAATTAAACAAACAGCACCTATAAATAGAGTGAGGATACGCTCAGCTTGGTGTCACTGGAAGGTCCTTTTTGCAGGGACAGACGTGCTAAACGGATGTTCTCGGGTTACCCTGCTGGTACTACGTGGGGGAAGAGTTGTACTTTTTTTTCCCCTGTGTTGTCCAGGAGAGGGGAAAGAAGCAGGTGAGTCAGACTTTGGGATTCAGTTCGATTCTGTCTTCATCTCTAAATGCTCATTCACATGCTAAGTTAGAATGAGCTGCAGAGGAAGGATGCCACTCTGCAAGACGACCTGGCTGAGCAATTTGGCTGCTCCCCCTGGGAATGGATCCTGGTTCAGACTGCATTGACAGAGTGTTCTGGTCTTTTAGATTAGATTGCAAACTCCCTATGGGAAGGCACCAAGTACTAGGATTTCCTCTTGGCTTCCCTGTTCCTGCCAAATGCAGGAATGGATAGGGTTTCCATGGCGGGTCCTGAACTGTGAATTAAAAGGACCTCGCTATGCACGCTGATCTTTACAGTGGGAAACAATATGGGCCCATGTTCCAGACCTGGTGTGGCTTTGGTTTTAATCATGCTGAAGAGCATGATTGGGAGGCGGAGTCATCACATCACCGTGATAGACGAGCGGGGGCAGAAACCCCTGGAATAACTGTGAATAAATACAAAGCCATGGGGCAACAAGGTCAACTCACTATCATAATAACCAGAGTCCATAACACTGATTCAGCCCTTGACGGGGAATTCTAGGCACTATTCTAAGTGCTTTGTAAAAACTCACTTATGGGCTGGGTGCTGTTGTTTATGCCTGGAATCCTGGCACTTTGGGAGGCTGAGGTGGGAGGATCGCTTGAGCTCAGGAGTTCAAGACCAGCCTGGGCAACACAGAAAGACCCATCTCTTAAAAAAAAAAAAATTTAGGCTGGGTGTGGTGGCTCACGCCTGTCATCCCAACACTTTGGGAGGGCAAGGCAGATGGATCACCTGCGGTCAGGACTTTGAGACCAGCCTGACCAACATGGAGAAACCCCGTCTCTACTGAAAATACAAAATTAGCCAGGCATGGTGATGCCTGCCTGTAATCCCAGCTACTTGGGAGGCTGAGGCAGGAGAATCGTTTGAACCCAGGAGGCAGAGGTTGCGGTGAGCCAAGATCATGCCATTGCACTCCAGCCTGGGATACAAGAGCAAAACTCTGTCTCAAAAAAAAAAAATTTGTTTTTAATTAGCTGGGCATGATGGTGTGCATCTGTAGTCCCAGCTACTCAGGAGACTGAGGCAGGAGGATCACATGCAGTGAGCCATGGCCACACCACTGCACTCCAACCTGGGCAACAAAGCAAGACCCTGCCTCAGGCAAAAACAAACAAAACACTAAAATAAAAGAAAATAAAAACTCATTTACTCTTTCCAAACCCCTATGAGGTAGGGACTCTATTATTATTTCTATTCTACAGATGCAGAAACCAAGACACCAAGAGATGATGTGCCTTGTGCCAGCCCACACAGCTGGGAAGCCAGGTTTGGAAGCCAGGCAGTTTAGCTCCAGAGTCCGGTCTCTGATAGTAAAAATTAAACATGTAGAGTAGCTATCTGTTGGTTTTCCTGTCCGGCAGCCTTCCTCCCTCCCTGGATGATCACAGGTCTCTGGACCACCTCTTACTACTCTCAGCCGGGTGGTTCTGGTGCCTCGTCTTAGAGGGGAGCCCTAACTAGTCTTGACCCAAGCCTGCACCTGCCCATCAACAGGTCTTACAGGCATGGCCATGGGACATACATATGGCAATTGCAGTGAAGTCTCAGGACTTTAACTGGGAATGCTAGGATGAAGACGCACTGGATTTCCCTCTGGATTTGAACTGAGAGCAGGCAGCTCTGAGAAGTGCCGTGGCTACCTTGCTACCCCAGCAGGAACCTGGCTGAGAATGAAATCAGTACTGAGAGGAAGCAGCATTGAAAAACAGATCTTGGTGGCATCCTTTGAAGCCTGAATCCAGCTAGACCTGGTGCTGGAACCCAGGCTTCAACTTTGCACTTTCATGAGCCAATATTTTCCCTCTGCTTTTCAGGCTGGTTAAAGTTGATTGGCTCAACTAACATCCTGGCTCCATCCATAAAACGACAGTCCATTCTCACCCGCTTCTCTAGCCCTGTTGGGCTGTTCAGAAATGCATGCACTGGCCAATGCAGTGGCTCACCTGTAATCCTAGCACTTCTGGGAGGGAGAGATGGGAGGATTGCTTGAGGCCAGGAGTTCGAGACTAGCCTGGTCAACATAGCAAGACCCCATCTCAAAAAATGTTTTAAAAATTTTAGGCCAGGCACGGTGGCTAACGCCTATAATCCCAGCACTTTGCAGTGAGCAGACATTGTGCCACTGCACTTCAGCCTGGGTGACAAAGTGAGACTCCGACTCCAGAAAAAAAAAAAAAAAAAAAAATAGCCAGGCATGTTGGTGGTTGCCTGTAATCCCAGCTAGCCTGGGAGGCTGAGGCAGCAGAATCGCTTGAACCAGGGAGGCGGAGGTTGCAGTGAGCCGAGACTGTGCCGCTGCACTATAGCCTGGGCGACAGAGCATGACTCCATCTCAAAAAAATAAATAAATAAAATAAAAAGAGAGAGAGAATTTATAAGGAGTTTTCTCTTTTTTTTTGCAAATACTTTGCTGTCCTTCACCTACTAACAAACATACACAAAGGTGGGGGTGTTTAGCCCCTATTCCTGCACCTTAAGTCTGGTGAGAGCAGCTTCTCTGAGAGGCTGTGGAGAGTTTGATCAGTTTGCCATAATCTAATGAGTCGAAATCATTTATTTTGATTAAAACTAATTACCAATTCAATCGATTCTAATACTTTTTGGGTTCATTCGTAAGCTAAAGCTAAGATTAGAGAAAGGGAAGTGACTATGGGGGCTGCGTGTGACTCAATCCTGAGCACCTGGAGTGGGAGAGACTGTGGCTAGGAAGCTGACATTGGCTTGCACCCCCAAAATTTGTTGTGGCAGAGTATGTTTTGTAGGGACCATCTTGGCAGATGGATCATCTTAGATATTGTCCTATGGGGTGGCTTAGAAGGGTAATAAGCCCTCATCAAAGGCTGGAGGGGACCACCAGAGTCCTGGGGGTGTGGAGGGATTCCTGGGGTGGCCTGAGGTACACTGTCCCAGAACTGGGGCCTCTCTAGGTATCCAAACATTACCCCGACAGGGTACCTGATCATACCCACAAGGTGCAACACCATATTTTTTTCTTGCCAGATTCAATGATTATCTAGATTTTTATTTCAATAGTTTTTGGGGAACAGGTGTGTTTTCATTACATGGATAAGTTCTTTAGTGGTGATTTCTGAGATTTTGGTGCACCCGTCACCTGAGCAGTGTACACACTGTACCCAATGTGTAGTCTTTTATCCCTCACCCACCTCCCACCCTTCCCCTCGAGTTCCCAAAGTCCATTATGTCATTCTTATGTCTTTGCATCCTCATAGCTTAGCTCCCACTTAGGGGTGAGAACATATGATGTTTGGGTTTCCATTCCTGAGTTACTTCACTTAGAATAATGGCCTCCAAATCCATCAAAGTTGCTGCAAAGGCCATTATTATGTTCCTTTTTCTGGCTGAGTGGTATTGCATTAACGCTGGAATACTGTGTGCATGTGTGTATATATACACACACACTATATATAAAATGTATATATATTTTATAGATATACATTTTATATATCTATATATCTATATATGTATATATTATATATTATATATATTATATATTCATGCCTGTAATCTGAATTTTATATATATTATATAATATATAATAAATAATATATAATATATAATATACATATCTATATATGTATATTTTATAGATATACATTTTATAGATATACATTTTATTATCTACATTTTATAAAATGTATATACATTTTATATCTATAAAATGAATATAGATATATCTATATATAAAATATATATTATATATTTTATATATTATTATATATATTATTATTATATATTATTTTATATATTATTATATATAATATATACTACATATTATATATATAATTATTATATATAAAATATATATAATATATATAATATATACATATATGTATATATTAAATATATACATATATACATATTTATATATGTATATATTAAATATATACATATATATGTATACATTAAATATATATGTATATATTAAATATATACATATATGTATATACGTGCATATATGTATATATACATGTATATGTGTATATATACATACACGTATATATGTGTATATATACATACATGTATATATGTGTATGTATACGTATATATGTATATAGTACATATATTTGTGTGTATATATATAGCACATATATATATTGTGTGTGTATATATATATATTCTGGAGCCTGTGTTCCTCACCATTACACTGTACTCAGAACATGGTACCTGGAAACCCATGGCCACCTTCCTCTTGGGGTACCAAGCCAGCATGGAGTTAGCTGCTGCCATGCTGTATTCATGAAAATGGACCCTTGTTTTGTTTTGTTTTGTTTTGAGACAGGGTCTTGCTCTGTCACCCAGGCTGGAGTGCAGTGACATGACTCGGCTCACTGCAACTGCCACCTCTAGGGTTCAAGCGATTCTCGTGCCTCAGCCTCCCAAGTAGTTGGGACTACAGGTATGCGCCACCAAGACCAACTTACTGTCACCTTTTTATGGGTTAGGAAACTGAAGCTCAGAGATGAAGTGCCTTGACCAAGGATACATTGTTAATAAATTGAACCAAGGCAATTTGAATCCCAGGCCTACATTCTCAACAGCTACCTTAGAGTTTTCATTGAGATACTGTTTATTTTTATTTATTATTATTATTTTTGAGACCAAGTTTCACTCTTGTTGCCCAGGCTGGAGTGCAATGGCGTGATCTGGGCTCACTGCAACCTCCGACTCCCAGGTTCAAGTGATTCTCCTGCCTCAGCCTCCCAAGTAGCTGGGATTATAGGCATGCACCACCACGCCCAGCTAATTTTGTGTTTTTAGTAGAGGTGGGGTTTCTCCATATTGGTCAGGTTGATCTCAAACTCCCGATCTCAGGTGATCTGCCTGCCTCGGCCTCCCAAAGTGCTGGGATTACAGGCATGAGCCACGGCGCCTGGCTGAGATACTGTTTATTATTATCATTATTATTATTATTTTAAGAGAGTCTCCCTGTCACCCAGGCTGAAGCGCAGTGGTACAATTCATAGCTCGATGCAACCTTAACCTCCTGGGCTCAAGCAATCCTCCCACCTCAGTCTCCAGAGTAGCTAGGACCACAGGGGCACCCCACTATGCCCAGCTATTTTTTGTTGTTGTTTGGTAGAGACAGGGTCTCACTATATTGCCCAGACTAATCTCAACCTCCTGGTCTCATGTGATGCTCCCACCTCAGCCTCTCAAAGTGAGATTACAGGCATGAACCCTGTATTCAGCCCTTGTTTATTATTAATGGATTTTTTAGACATCCCCACTGGGGGAGTAGAAGAACAACTTTGGCAGGTGGCTTTGCTTGATCCTGTAATGGGATAGAGCTCATGCTAGAGAGACTCATGTCATGGTTAGTAAGTTCTATGGAATATTAGTGCCTTCCTGAGACTGGGGTCCATTGATGATCTCCTGAAAGGTAAGAAGACCCCTCTTCCTGTCATCGCCTTTATAGCTACAAATCATATTTCTCTGCCCACCCCCATCTCATGCACCGTGGTTTTCCTCTCAAAAAGTCAAGACCATCTTCCAAACACTGAGAGTCCTATGTGATTGGATTTGATCAAGTCAGCTTCTTAACTGGAAATTGGCAAAAACACTGGGAGAGGGTCCATTTTCATTTAGAGGGTGCAGTGGCTCCCGCCTGTAATCCTAGCACTTTGGGAGGCCAGGGCAGGCGGATCACTTGAAGTCAGGAGTTCGAGACCATCCTGGCCAACATGGCGAAACCCTGTCTCTACTAAAAATACAAAAATTAGCTGGGTGCAGTGGCGTGCACCTGTAGTCCCAGCTGCTCAGGAGGCTGAGGCAGGGGAATCGCTTGAATACAGGTCTTGAACTGTTGCAGTGAGCTGAGATCACGCCACTACACTCCAGCCTGGGTGATAGAGCGAGACCCTGTCTCAAAACAAAGCAAAACAAAAAGGTGATAGTACCTTCCTCTTAGTATTTGTGAAAGTCAATAGATTATTTACAAATATTCCAATTCCCCTTCCCGTTTAGGTACATGATAAAGTTATTATTATAGTTTTTGCCTACTCTGAAGTTAAGTATTACTATGTGACTCACTGGCCAGTGAAGTGAAGATGAAAGTAACTTCTTGCTACTGGGTAGAAGCTTTAAGAGCTGGTGTGAGGTGTGCCTTTTCCTACTTCAGCAGTTTCCATTAGGCTGGGTTTCTGAGTGTCTCTGATGAGCGCTGTTCCTCCTTCCCAGTTCTAATAATCACTAGACATGCAGCAGAAGTAAGAAGTAAACCTTTGTTGTTTCAAGCCTCTGATGCTTGGGGATTGTTTGTTATCACAGCATAACCTAGTCTACACTGACTAACACAGTGTGGAGGATTAGATATAGAAAATGATGTACAGCTAAGATACCTTTATACAGACACTAGGATGGCTGTAATAGGCTGGGCATAGTGGCTCATGCTCATAATCCCAGGATTTTGGGAGGCCAAGGTGGGAGGATTGCTTGAACCCAGCAGTTCAAGACCAGCCTGGGCAACATGGTGAAACCCTGTCTCTACAAAAAAAATACAAAAATTAGCCAGGTGTGGTGGTGCATACCTGTAGTCCTAGTTACTTGGGAGGCTGAAGACGGAGGATCATTGGAGCCCAGGAGGTTGAGGCTACAGTGAGCCGTGATCACGCCACTGCACTCCAGCCTAGGCAACAGAGCAAGACCCTGTCTCAAAATAAATAAATAAATAAATAAATACAAGAATAAAAATACAAAGAATGGCTCTAATAAAAAAGACATGGTACCAAATGTTACCAAGGATGCAGAGAAACTAGAATCCTCATATGTTGTTGTTGAGAATGTAAAAAATGGCACACTCACTTTGGAAAACAGTTTGACCATTTCCTAAAAAGTTAAATGTAAGTTTCCTATACAACCAGCAGCTCCACTCCTCGGTATCCATTCAAAAGAAATGAAAACATGGCCGGGCGCGGTGGCTCACGCCTGTAATCCCAGCACTTTGGGAGGTCGAGGTGGGTGAATCACAAGGTCAGGAGTTGCAGACCTGCTTGACCAACATGGTGAAACCTTGTCTCTATTAAAAATACAAAAATTAGCTGGGCATGGTGGCACGTGCCTGTAATTCTAGCTACTTGGGAGGCTGAGGCAGGAGAATCATTTGAACCCAGGAGGCGGAGGTTGCTGTGAGCTGAGATCACGCCACTGCACTCCAACTCCAGCCTGGGTGACAGAGCAAGACGCTGTCTCAAAAAAAAAAAAAAAAAAAAAAGGTCGGGTGCAGTGGCTCGCGCCTGTAGTCCCAGCACTTTGGGAGGCCGAGGCAGGTGGATCACAAGGTCAGGAGTTTAAGACCAGCCTGGCCAACATGATGAAACCCCATCTCTACTAAAGATACAAAAAATTAGCTGGGAGTGGTGGCGCATGCCTGTAATCCCAGCTACTTGGGAGGTTGAGGCAGGAGAATCACTTGAACCTGGGAGGTGGAGGTTGCAGTGAGCCGAGATCGCACCATTGCACTGCACCCTGGTGAGACTCTTATCTCAAAAAAAAAAAAAAAAAGAAAGTAAAAAGAAATGAAAACGTATGTCATTAGAAAAAACTGTAGGTGAATGTTCACAGCAGCATTATTCATAATAGCTAAAAAGCTGAAACAATCCAAATGTTCCTCAACTTGTGAATGGATATACAAATGTGATATATTCACATAATGGAATATTATTCACCAATAAAAAGGAAGCTACCACCTAGACGAATCTCAAAAACATTATACTAAGTGAAAGAAGCCTGGTGCAAAAGAATTGAATATTGCATGATTCAGTTGCTATGAAATTTCCAGAAAAGACAAATTTGTATAGCCAGAAAGCAGATCACTGTTGCCTGGGGCTGAGGATGAGATAGGGGATTGACTGCAAACAGGTTTGAGAGAGTTTCTGGAGGTGATGGAATATTCTAAAACTGGATTGTGGTAACGGCTATACAACCCTATACATTTTCTGAATATATTTGAGTTGTATACTTTTTTTTCTTTTTAGATAGAGTCTCACTCTGTTGCCCAGGCTGGAGTGCAGTGGCACAATCTCAGCTCACTACAACTTCCACCTCCCGGGTTCAAGCAATTCTCCTGCCTCAGCCTCCCGAGTAGCTGGGATTAGAGGTGTGTGCTGGGATTAGAGGTGCACCTGGCTAACTTTTTTGTATTTTTAGTAGAGACAGGGTTTCACCATGTTGGCCAGGCTGGTCTTGAACTTCTGACCTCATGATCTCCCCACCTCAGCCTCCCAAAGTGCTGAGATTACAGGTGTGGACCACCACACCTGGCCAAGTTGTATACTTCTAATGGGTCAGTTTTACAGTATGTAAATTGTATCCTAGCAAAGCTGTTGGAACAACACTTAAGTACAATATTTGGCACATAGCAAAATCTCAGTAACTGTTTGTTATTATCAATCATTTTGGGAATGAAATGCTATGGTTGAGATCTTGTAATGAATTGATTAGGCGTGATCTGCATTCAATGAAGGGAGGCCTGGCAGTTGGGGATGGGCAGAGACCACTCTTCTTCCATCCCCAAATTTTGTATTTCTTCTTTTCTGACCACCACATGCAAAAGACCAGTGGAGATGTACATTGTCCTGCATCAAGCTCCAGTTAGAGACCAGCCAGATCAGGATGCCCCAGTCCCTTGCAATTTTTTTTGAGCTCTCATGATGCCTTGAGATTGAGCCTTTTTGAGATATTACAAGCAGACTCAATCTGGTTTGGCTGAAATGTGTGGGAGGCCAAGGTGGGAGGATTGCTTGAACCCAGGAGTTCAAGACCAGCCTGGCAACATGGTGAAACCCTGTCTCTATAAAAAAATACAAAAATTAGCCAGGCATGGTGGCATTCACCTATGGTCCCAGCCACTTGGGAGGCTGAAGTGGGAGGATTGCTTGAGCCCGGGAGATTGAGGCTGCAGTGAGCTGTGATCACTCAAAACCATTTGAGGATGAAAAACCATTTGAGGATAATGGTTTATCCTCAATACTGACAAGGACGATTAATATTTTCAACCAACTCTCATCATACGTTCCCTTTTGACTTCTTAATGCTCTTTATTTGATTTGATTTTATTTTTGAGACACAGTCTCGCCCTGTTGCCCAGGTGGAGTGCTGTGGCACGACCTCAGCTCATGGCAACCTCCACCTCCCAGGTTCAAGCAATTCTCCTGTCTCAGCCTCCGAGTAGCTGGGACTACAGGCGCGCACCACCCTACCCAGCTAATTTTTAATATTTTTGGTATAGAGGGGGTTTCGCCACATTGGCCAGGCTGGTCTCGAACTCCTGACCTCAAGTGATCCACCTGCCTTGGCCTCCTAAAGTGCTGGGATTACAGGCGTGAGCCCTCGCGTCCAGCCCTTAATGCTCTTTAGTAAGTCCTTATATCAATCTCACCACAGCCAAGAGGAGAGAAGAGATGGCTGAGGAGGTTATGGTTGCAGGTAGGGGTTGTTTCTCGTGACAGGGTGTTAGAAACGCACTCAGTGCATAAGATTGTCCTTCATTTACAGCCATAGCATTCCCAGGCTGGCTGATGCAATTCCAAACAAGAGCCACTTAGGCCCCAGGGTCCCCCAGATAAGACTAAATTGATTCTGGAAGTGGGATGAGTGGGGAAGGGTCTCACTTTCCATCGTTGCTAGAAAGATGAAGTTCAGTCCTTCGCTAGAAACTGCCTTGGCTCTCTAGTTAAAAAATCAGCAGGAAGCAACCGTACAAAAGAGATGATGCTTGTGGTAGCATTATCTGAAGAACTGGCATTTAAGATACATAGCCAGGTCCCCAGTAGAGAAATGTGTTTTTGATCTTTTCTATTTCTAGGTCCTCTCTCCTAACTACAATGTTATTTCTGTATTTCCGTCTCTCTGGCCACTCACTGGAGAAAAGACAAAGCTTAAATGGTTCTGTTATTAAATAAAATGAAAAAAAAAAAAACCCTGAGCAATTAACTATAACACAGAGACAAAAACTAATAAAATAAATCAAAGGACAGCAGAAGGAAAAGGTAAAAGATAAAAGCAGACATAAGCAAATTAGAAAACAGAAAACAATAGGATTGATCAAAATAAATAAAAAAGCTAGCTCTTTTAAAAGACCAATAAAACAGACAAACCTCTGGCAAGGTTACATGAGAAAGAAAGAAAATACAAATAAATAACACTAGAATTAAAGCAAGACTAGAAACATAGATTTGGAAGAAGATGAAAGTTAAAAGCATACTGTGTTTAAATTCCTGCTAATAAAATATGGACCAAAATAAGACAATAAAATCTGCTCAACAGGACGTAGAAAAATCCGACTAGACAACGAGTCATGGAAAAAACTGATAAAAGAACCCCTTGCTACTTTGATGAGACATACTGGCTCAGATGATTTGGGGGGTGAGGGATGGGTCGGTAAATTCTGCCAAACATTAAGAGGTGATTTCTATAGGATTTAATTGGTTCCAGAGTTTCAAAAAATTTTAAAGTGTCTCAATTAATTTTACAAAATGAAGCCAACTCCAATAACCAACTACTGAGGGTTGGGGTCGGGGAGAGAGAGAGAAAGAGAAGAACATGAGCAATAGTCACATTATTTAGGGAGAGTGTACTGTGTTGAATAGTGTCCCCACAAAATGCATGTCCACCCAGAACCTCAGAACATGACCTTATTTGGAAATATTGTCTTTGCAGATGTAATTATTAAGATGAGATTATACTGAGTTAAGGTGGGTCCTCAAACCAATGACTGGTATCCTTGTAAGAAAAGGAGTCCGGGCGCGGTGGCCCATGCCTGTAATCCCAGCACTTTGGGAGGCTGAGGTGGGCGGATCACAAGGTCAGGAGTTCAAGACCAGCCTGGCCAATATGGTGAAACTCAGTCTCTACTAAAAAATACAAAAATTAGGCCAGGTGCAGTGGCTCACGCCTGTAATCCCAGCACTTTGGGAGGCCAAGGCAGGCGGATCACGAGGTCGGGAGATCGATACCATCCTGGCTAACATATTTAATATTTTTGTAAAAATACAAAAAATTAGCCGGGCGTGGTGGCGGGCGCCTGTAGTCCCAGGTACTCGGGAGGCTGAGGCAGGAGAATGGCGTGAACCTGGGAGGCGAAGCTTGCAGTGAGCCGAAATCGCACCACTGCACTCCAGCCTGGGCGACAGAGCAAGACTCCATCTCAAAAAAAAAAAAAAAAAAAAATTAGCCGGGCATGGTGGTGTGTGCCTGTAGTCCTAGTCCCAGCTATTCAAGAGGCTGAGGTAGGAGAATCACTTGAACCAGGAGGTGGAGGTTGCAGTGAGCTGAAATTGCACCACTGCACTCCAGGCTGGGCAACAGAGTGAGACTCTGTCAAAGAAAGAAAGAGAGAGAGAGAGAGGGAGGGAGGGAGGGAGGAAAGAGAGAAAGAGAGAAAGAAACAAAGAAAAGGAAAGGGGCCAAGTGTTGTGGCTCATGCCTGTAATCAAGCACTTTGGGAGACCCAGGCAGGAGGATCACTTGAGCCCAGGAGTTCAAGACCAGCCTGGGCAACATAGTGAGACCACCCACTTCTACAAAAAATAATCAGCCAGTTGTGGTGGTGTGCACCTGTGGTCCTAGTTACTTGGGAGGCTGAGGCAGGAGGATTGCTTGGGCCTTGGAGTTTGAGATTGTAGAGAGCTATGATTGCACTACTGCATTCCAGCCTGGGTGACAGAATGAGACTCTGTTCCTAAAAAGAAAAATTTAAAAAGGAAATAATAGGAGAGGACACAGAGATTCACACAAAGAAGGACATGTGAAGACGGAAGCAAAGACCGGAATGATGCAGCCACAAGTCAAAGAATGCCAAGGATTGCAAGGACCCACCAGGAGGTAGGAAGAGGCAGGGAAGTATGCTGGCCTAGAGCCTAGACCTTGATTTCACAGTCTGGCCTCCAGAACTGTGACAGAATACATTTCTGTTGTTTTAAGTAAGCCAGCTTGTGGTACGTTGTTATGGCAGGCCTAAGAAACTAATGGAGATAGAGATGCAAGTATTTTTCTATTGCTTTGGTGATTTCAATCACTTTGTAAAGGAAGGAATATATGGGCTGTATCTACCAGCTGGGAAATGGATACAAAAGTCTCAATATTGCTTCCTATTGTGAGTCTCCCACAGACGGTCTCATGCCCACCTAGAGGATTTACTCTGTAACAGGTTTTCCCCAAGCCTTTGGTGGGCTTTGGGCAAGAATATAAAGGGGGGCCCATATACAATATGGCCAAAGTCTTTCAAAACTGTAAGCTGACAACTATATTTTTTGTTTTTGTTTTTTTGTTTTGAGATGGAGTCTCACCCTCTTGCCCAGGCTGGAGTGCAATGGCGCAATCTTGGCTCACAGCAACGTCTGCCTCCCAGGTTCAAATGATTCTCCTGCTTCAGGCTTCCAAGTAGCTGGGATTACAGGTGCCCACCACCATGCCCAGCTAATTTTTGTATTTTTAGTAGAGACGGGGTTTCACCATGTTGGCCAGGCTGGTCTCGAACTCCTGTCCTTGTGATCCAACCGCCTTGGCCTCCCAAAGTGCTGGGATTATAGGCATGAGCCACTGTGCCTGGCCAACCGTTCTTATCTCTACCTGGCAAACATGCCTTCATAACCATGTGGCAAGCCACATTTGAATTTAGAATTCTCCCAGGTTCCTCAGAGTTCTGAGCTATTATCTAGTGACACAAAGAGAGTTGAGTGCCCTTTCCCTATAGCCCCCATTTCCATCCTGCATCAGGACAGGCCTTATGAGAATAGGTATAGGCACTCCAGCCCAATGTCCATGCTTTGTCCACACCCCACACAATCAGTCATCTTTTGTCACTCCTCAGGCTTAGGAGTACACTGACCAGCAGTGTGGTCTACTCTTGGGAGGATGGACCCAGGAAAGAGGCCCTGAAAGCGGACTAAGACCATTTAGGTAGAGAATTCTGGGGACTTGGGTATCTAGAATATGGTCTAGAAGGCAAAGGCACAAGGTCACAGCACCCAGACCCCATAATTTCCACCTAAACAGGCCTGAACCTACTTGCAGGGTCTGTCTCCTTGGCCCTGCAGATTCCTCACCTGCTGGGGAGGATCATGGCCAAAGGAGGAACAGAGACCATTAAAGCAAAGGCAGAAGCTGCCCTGGCCTGGTCTAAAGGGCTGCTGCTTAGCAGGTTGTCACATTACAAAAGAGATCCACCTTGTGGCTGGGCGCAATAGCTCATACCTGTAATCCCAGCACTTTGGGAGGCCGAGGCAGGTGGATCGCCTGATGTCAGGAGTTCAAGACCAGTCTGGCCAACATGGTGACACCCTGTCTGTAATAAAAATATAAAAATTAGCCTGGTGTGGTAGTGCATGCCTGTAATCCCAGCTACTCAGGAGGCTGAGGCAGGAAAATCACTTGAATCCGGGAGGTGGAGGTTGCAGTGAGCTGAGATTGAGCCACTGCACTCCAGCCTGGGTGACAAGGCAAGACTCCATCTCAAAAAAAAGAAGAAGAAGAGATCCACCTCTACAGCACACTGAAGATGATGGATTAATAACTTTGTGGGGACATCAGAGAACGGAACCACATTACAAACCCCAGCAGAAACTAGTAGACATCCCTGTCCCTTCCTCCAAGTTCCTTCCCCATCTTTCCTCAGTCTCTTCAAAAAACCCAATATTTACTTATTTATTGAGAACAATCCAGTTTTAACCTTTGCCCCAGCAAAAGAGAAACCAAATAATCATCTACTGACCTACAAGTACGTCTGGGTAAATCTGGTGAAATCTTATGACCTCTCCCTTCCCTCTAAGCAACATGTCACATATTTTGCCAAGAAAAGTAGAGGACAAGGGTGGTCATGAGTTAAAGAGGCAATAGATCAGTTTTGACTTAAAAAATATTTTCTCCTATTTTGTAACCCTTAAAACATTAAGAAAATTGATATATTGTCAAACTCTTCAAAAGCAAAAAAATAAAAGAAAAAAATAAGAAAAGAGAATACAACTCTACATTTAAAGTAATATAATTTGATTAAGTATAGCTTAACTCCCCAAATCATACAGGCAAGGATGGTTCAATATTAAAAAATTTATGGATTCATAACATTCAGAAATCAAAGAAGAAAATCATATCAGCTAATAGAATTTAAAGTTCTCTCTTCATACAATGCTTCTGTTAAATTGGAGACAGAGGCTTAATATTGAAAAATATATTTATTTCAAATCAAGAGCCTACAAAATAGCTAATTGGGCAAAGAATGGAGGCATTTTGACTAAACCAGGATAAGGCAAGAATGCCTAGTATTGCAACCCAATACATACTTAAATTCTGGAACCTCTAGCCAACGTGGAGGATACTGTGAGCCTGGGTTGAATATGACCATCAGATATCCCGTATTTGACTTGCCTGATGTTTAAAAAATTCAAATTTATTTCCAACATTTAAAATACCTGTATATTCAACATTTTAAAATACCTGATCTTTGGCATATCGTTTTTAAAAAAATCTGACCATCTGTTAACACTAGGCCTGTTTCCCAAAGGGCAGAAATTGGCTGGGATGAGCAGAAGCACCGATCCCTTAGACAAGGCCTGGGATCTCTGTAAAGGCCTCTCTTGGCTCGAGTTACTCATTTATGTTGCTGGACTGGGCCTCATGGGCATCTGAATTCTTGAACCCATGCTATAAGACAAGAAATAGAAAAAGAGGTGTAAATATTGACCACAGGAAAAAATTATCATTATTATTTTTGCATGAAGTAGATGGTCTCCCTACACTATTCAAAAAGAATCAGCTGAAAAACTATTACCATGAATAAAAGTTCTATAAGATGGGAAGTTATAGAATCCATAAAAGTTGATGTAGTTAGAATGGCCAGGGCTGGGGGAGGGAAGAAAGTTCAGTCACAATTTGCAGCAACAACAAATACCTTTGAATTAACTTGGCAAGAAATGTGTAGGACCTATATGAATCAAACTACAATGTGTTACTGAAGGAAATGAAAGAAGACTTCCACAAATGGTAATACACATTTGCTTAATATTGTAAGGATTCCCCTTATTGTCAAAGTAAAATGAATGTAATATAATTCCAATAAAAATCTAAACATCATTTTCTTTGGAAACTTGACCAAAAGAATCTTATATGTTCATCTGGAAGAATAAATAATTGAGGATGGCCAGTTAGCCAGTAAAAATGTCAGAGAACACAGTAATAGAGAGGCATCTGTACAACAAATTATTGAAATTTATTATGACATGATAGGGGCCAGGCACAGTGGCTCACGCCTGTAACCCGAGCACATTGGGAGGCCAAGGTGGGTGGATCACCTGAGGTCAGGAGTTCGAGACCAGTCTGGCCAACATGGTGAAACCCTGTCTCTACTAAAAATACAAAAATTAGTTGGGCATGGTGGCCGGTGCCTGTAATCCCAGTTACTCGGGAGGCTGAGACAGGAAAATCGCGCCACTGCATTGCACTTTAGCCTCCAGACAGAGTGAGACTCTGCCTCAAAAACAAACAAGCAAACAAACAAAGATAGGAACAGAACTAAAAGCACAGAAACATATCCAAGTGTAAACACAAATACAGTATAAGACAAAGCTGCCAATTAAAATCAGAAGGTAAATAAAATACTTTTCAACAAATGGTGTTGGATAACTAGCTCACCAGTTTGAAAAAGGTTAGATATATACCACACATCACATACTGATAGAAGTTTTCAGTGGAATAGAGATTTAAATGAAAAAGACAGAACAAGAATAAGAATACCAGAAGAAAATGTGGGTGTATTTTATATATTCTCAAATGCAAAATGATTTTTTTAAATACCAAAAGATTTAAAAACATATACATTTTTTAAAATCTGAAAGGCAAAAGCATAGAAAAAAAGACATTTAGAAAAGGATTTGCAACATTTATGTTGCAACTTACTACTCTCAGTGGATATAGTTCTCAAAAATAAATGAGTGTCCGGGCGCGGTGGCTCACACCTGTAATCCCAGCACTTTGGGAGGCCGATGGGGGTGGTTCATTTGAGGTCAGGAGTATGAGAACAGCCTGGCCAACATGGTGAAACCCCGTCCTACTAAAAATACAAAAATTAGCCAGGCATGGTGGTGCACGCCTGTAGTCCCAGCTACTTGGGAGGCTGAGGCGTGAGAATCGTTTGAACCCGGGAGGCAGAGATTGCAGTGAGCTGAGATCGGGCCACTGCACTCCAGCCTGGGCAACCGAGCGAGACTCAGTCTCAAAAAAACAAAAAATAAAAATAAAAAAATAAATGAGAGAAAGAACACTTGATAGATAAAAGGGGCAATTTGCACACACATACCCTTCCCCTCCAACACACAAACAAATGGCCAAGCAACATATGAAAAATCTAATCTCAACAGTAATTGAACAAATACAGGCAAGAGTGGTGGCTCATGCCTGTAATCCCAGCACTTTGGGAGGCCAAGGTGAAAGGATGGCTTGAGGTCAGGAGCTTGAGACCATTCTGGGCAACATAGTGGGACCCCAACTGTACAAAAAATGTAAAAAATAGCTGGGCATGGTGGCACGCACCTGTAGCCCAGTTACTCGGGAGGCTGTGATGGGAGGATCACTTGAGCCCTGGAGGCTGAGGTTGCAGTGAGCTACGATCACGTCACTGCACTCCAGCCTGGGTGACAGAACGAGACCTTGCCTCCAAAAAAAGTAATAATAATTTTAAAAAGAGTGACAAATCAAAATAGTGAAATGGCACTTGAATTTAGCATATTGATGATAAAAGGCACAGTGATACTTTCCAAATGAAGGTGTAGAAAAGTGGGGTCTCATATCCTGCTAATGTGAACATAAGTTGATAAAACCTTTCCAAATATACAGGTTGATAAAACCTGTATATACCAAAAACTTAAAACATGGTCTCATCTTTTCTTTAGGAATTCCCACTTGTTAAAATTTATCCTGAGAAAATGATCATGGATGTGCACAGAGGTTTAGTGTGAAAGATGCCCATTTCATCATTGCTTCTATTGGGGAACAATCAGAAACAATATAAGGGTCAACAATATAGTGCTGGTTTCGTAAAATCCACAGCTGATATGAGTGTATGGGAGCTCTGGCCAGCATCCATTCTGATTGGTGGCTGTGATGCACATTTGACGCAGAGTCTAGACGTCACTCACACAGCGAAATACTCTGTACCACTCAAAAATGATGATGCAGAACATTTATGACATTGACAAATTGTATACAATGTTAGGCAAAAAACATATGTGGCATATATACGAGAAGATTCCATTTTAAATAAAATATGATATCCATGCAAGTAAAGACAGAAAAATATCTAGGAGGCCAGGCGTGGTGGCTCATGCCTGTAATCCCAGCACTTTGGGAGGCCTAGGCAGGCAGATTGCTTGAGGCCAGGAGTTCGAGACCAGCCTGGGCAACATGGTGAAACCCCGTCTCTACTAAAAATACAAAAATTAGCCGGGTGTGGTGGCGCATGCCTGTAATCCCAGCTACTTGGGAGGCTGAGGCACAAGAATCGTTTTAACCTGAAAGGTGGAGGTTGCAGTGAGCCAAGATTGCACCTCTGCACTCCAGTCTGGGTGACAGAGTGAGATTCTGTCTCAAAAAAAAAAAAAAAAAAAAAACCGAAAAGGAAAAAAAGTCTGGGATACACATTGAAGTGCTAGAAATATCTCTAGCTGGTAAAATTCTCTCTACATATTTTTTCCTACCCAGATTTTTAAATAATTGCACAAAATTCGAACTATAATTTCTTTAACAGAAGTTCATTTTTTTTTTTTAGGGTAATGGTCAGCACTGGTAAATGGTATTCCTGGGTCAAGAAAGGTAGTGTCTGAGTCATATCCATGGCTAGCGTCAGGGACATTGGATAGTCGCATGCCACTGGTCGTCATATTGTTGGTTGCAACCTTTCTGGAGAATCAGTAATGTCTGAAGATTCTGGCATATTAATATGTACAGAAAAAAGTCTGAGTGATGGGATTATGGTTTTTATTTTATTTTCTATGTTCTTCTCCATAGTCCAAATTTGATGAGTTCATGTTATGTTTATAATCAGGAAAAAAATCCACAATACAACTAATTAGTGTGTGTGTGTGTGTGTGTGTGTGTATACATGTGTGTGTGTGTGTGTGAGATGTGTGTGTGTGCATGTGTGTGTGTATATATATATATAATTTATTATTATTATTTTTTGAGATGGAGTCTTGCTCTGTCACCCAGGCTGGAGTGCAGTGGCGCAGTCTCGGCTCACTACAACCTCCGTCTCCCGGGTTCAAGTGATTCTCCTGCCTCAGCCTCCTGAGTAGCTGGGATTAGCGGTGTCCACCACCACACCTGGCTAACTTCTGCATTTTTTGTAGAGATATGGTTTTGCTGTGTTTCCCAGGCTGATCTCAAACTACTGGGCTCAAGCAGTCCACCCACCTCAGCCTCCCAAAGTGCTGGGGTTACAGGTGTGAGCCACCGCACCTGGCCCTAATCAGTATTATAAAAGCCTGCTATGGCTATAATTCCCACCAGGACCTGGGTCCTGCCGAACCTCTGTATTCTCTTTCCTCTCTGGGTTGCTGGGCACTGTTCCTGGGATTCTGTTGCTTCCTCCTTCCCACGTCTACTTTCATAGTTCCTTCTGCCAGGAGAGCATTCTCTTCTTTGAGCTCTGGATTAATCTGACAGAAATTAATTTGTTGAAAGCCAATTTATCGAATTAGTTTTCCAGAATGAACCGTTGGCCAAAATTACCCAGTTTGCCTATTCTCTAAAGCCAAAAGTTTTAATAGCTTTCACTAGAAAGTTTAACAACTTTACAGGAAATTTTGAGTTTTGGTTATTGGTAGTAAGAATATATTTTTAGCCTTTCTTGTAGAAAATTTTTGATTTACGTTAACTTTTTTCCTCCAACATATTTACAATTTTTAGACATACTGAAAAATTTTACAGCAAATGTCTGCATACTCATTATCTACATTGTAAAATGGTTTACATTGATTTTTAAAAATAATTGCTTTTTTTTTTTTTTTGAGACAAAGTCTCACTCTGTCACCCAGGCTGGAGTGCAGTGGTGTGATCTTGGCTCACTGCAACCTCCACCCGGCAGGTTCAAGTGATTCTCCCGTGCCTCAGCCTCCTGAGTAGCTGGGATTTCAGGCATGTGCCACCACGCCCAGCTAATTTTCTTGTATTTTTAGTCAAGACAGGATTTTGCCATGTTGGCCAGGCTGGTCTCGAACTCCTGGTCTCAAGGGATCCACCTGCCCTGGCCTCCCAAAGTGCTGGGATTACAGGCATGAGCCATCACCTCCAGCTAGTAATTGCTAATTTAATGTTCTGATCATGATCTTTGTTCACTCATTTGGTGTTTATGCAACTTAAGAGGCTTTTAAGTTGATTTTATTGATTGCTTCTTTTAAAATTCCTATTTATGGTTAATGCATGTCAGATATAAAGTACTAATAATATGATTCATTATAATAATTCATTCCGATGAAATTAATTTTCTCTCACTCATGTATTCCAAATTATCCTTGTTAGAAACCAGAATTTCAGCATTTTTCAGGAAAGGGTTATTTCAGTTAGTCCTGATATTTTTAGTATGGTTTTAAATTTACAATTTCAGATTTCTTTGGGACATTTTGCATTAAAATTTAACATGTTTAACACTGAATTCCAACTAAATTCAATTTTAAATTTGATGCATTTAAATTTAAGCCTGATATGTCATTAAAGGAACTGGCAAAAGATTATTATAAATGTTTATAGTTTGAAGGATAGAAAAAGACATTCAAAAGTATCACAAAAGAATTTAGAAGAAACTGAAGAAAATCTGACATGAAAGGCTAAAATTTTGCTTGGTAAATACAGCACTTCATATGAAAAAACCCTTCATTTTAGGCTTATTCCGACTTTGTCACATTTTTAAAAGTATCATTTTATAAGATCCATTTGCCAACGATTGCATTATCAATTGTTTTTAATTAGTGCCCAGGAAAGTATATCTCACAGTCAGAAACCAACTTGAATATCCCAGTGAAAGCTACTCAGTAACTTTGGCAAATTCAGTATATAGGTCATTTGGCAAACTGGATTTCTGCACATTGATTTTCTGTGAGTTGATCAGGCGATGAATTCACCAAGAACTAAGTAAGTGCTCTACACAGATCATTTTATTTTGTTTTCCTAATAAACTTAGGTTCTCTGTACTACTATTCCCATTTTACAAATGACAACACACATGCTTTGGTTGGGTGGGGAATTTAAGATACGAACTGGGCTGGGCGTGGTGGCTCATGCCTGTAATCCCAACACTTTGGGAGGCTTAGGCGGGCAGATCACGAGGTCAGGAGTTCGAGACCAGCCTGGCCAACATGGTGAAACCTCATCCCTACTAAAAATACAAAAATTTGCCGGGAGTGGTGGTGCGGGCCTGTAATCCCAGCTACTCAGGAGGCTGAGGCAGGAGAATTGCTTGAAACCGGAAGGTGGAGGTTGCAGTGAGCCGAGATCGTGCCACTGCACTCCAGCCTGGATGAAAGAGCGAAACTCCGTCTCAAAAAAACAAAAAGATACTAACTTAGGCTGTGTGAGCCCAGAGTTTGTATTCTTAACCTCAGAGCTAACTCTCTAGCTCCCCACCAGCTCTCTGGCTCTCTGCTGTTGATGGCAGTATAAACTGTTACATTAGGCACTGCTTCTTCCAGGGAGCCTCCCCTGACTCCCAAGACTTAGATAATCCCCTCTCTCTTCTCAGTGAACTCTGATCATGGTATGTCCATGTTGCTTTGAAAGCATCAGTATGTTCCCCATGGTACTGAGGGCGGGACCATTAACTGTTTCATCTTGGGTAGCCCTGGCACCCAGCATAAGATTCTGGTGCAGAGGAGGTGATCAGTGAGGTTGTGCCAGATGCCACCGGATCACAGAGCTTATCCACCCTTGCGTTTTCAGACAGAGAACGTCAGCTCTTATCCCTCATGTTCCTGTAGCTTTGGTGTGGGGTCTGGGCTGCCGGCTTTGGCAGACATACCCAGACAGTGACTTAACCAGTTGTGTGAGGTGTCTGTTCCCTGTGCCCCCGCCACCCGCAACTTGGTTTCTCAAAATGGAAGGGTGGACTGGTTGTAGGCTGCTGTATTATTCAGCATCACTTTCAGGAAGGCAAACAAGAATAAAAGAGGCCTGAGGAAAATGGCTTTTGCAGTTTTTCTTTCTCTTTTACATCATCCTATTTTCTTCACTGTGCTTAAAACAATCTGTACAAACAATCCTGCTTGTCTCCTTGTTCTCTCCCCTGATGAGAAAGTAACTCTAGGAAAGCTTAGATCTTGTCTGACTTACTCTGTACCATATTGTTAGGGTCTAATACAATACCTAGCACAAAGTTGGTTCTTGGTTAATATTTGTTGAATGAATAGGCTTTAGGTTCCTCAACGTTATCTCTAAAGCTTCTTCTAGCTCTAATGTTGTGTAACCCTGGGACTATTCTGGTAACCTAACCCAAAGCATCTTATCAAACTGCCCTACATATTAGGGAGAAAATGATGAGGAGCAAATAAAAGTTGATTTAGTATCATTTGTTTGACATTACTACTATGATTGTAACTGCTTATATTTTTAAATTATGTATAATTTATAAATATTTTCAGAATAGTTTCTAATTTATTTAAATTTAAATAAATAAGCTCTAATTAAAAATTATCTTTAAACAAGCAAAATATAGAAAGAAATAAAAGAAACACGAGGTTATAAGTTATGAGGAATATGGAAAGCTAGGATGGGAATCCCAGATCCAAAAAGATTGGAAATATTCTTTTATAAATCAGAAAACAGACAAGGGTGTTTACTGTCATCCCATCTACCCAACATTGTATTGGAAGTTCTACAGTGTAATAAGACAAGAAAAAGAAATTAGAGGCATAGGAATTGGAAGGGAAGAAATAAAACAGTCATAACTTTCAGGTAACAGGATAATCATACAGAAAAGCCAAAAGAAGCCACAGTTAAGGCATTATAAATGAGATTTAACTAGGCTCCTTGTGACATTAAAGTGAAAAATTCCATTGCATTTACTACACCAACAGCAGAGTAGAAGATATAATTAAAGAGAATAATTTTCAATGGTACTAGAGAATATAAAATATCTTAGAATAAATCTAATAAAAGAAATCTCTAATCCCTACATGGAAAATTATAAAACTTTATTAAGAGATAGTAAAGAAGGTTAAATAAATGGAGAGAAATATGTTCATGGATAAATATTGGGAATAGGTCAATGCTCCCTAGATTGAGCTTTAAAGATAATTGCAGTTAAAATCCCAACAGAGATTTTATGGAACTTGATAAGATAATTCTAAAATTTATTTGGAACAGTAAAGGGCCAAGAATTAGTAGGACACTTCTGAAGAGAAAGAGTAGAGACAGGTCTGGCCCTACCACATATCAGAATTATTATTATTATTATTATTATTTTGAGACAGAGTCTCACTCTTTTGCCCAGGCCGGACTGCAGTGGCGCTGTCTTGGCTCACTGCAAGCTCCACCTGCCGGGTTCACGCCATTCTCCTGCCTCAGCCTCCCGAGTAGCTGGGACTACAGGCGCCCGCCACCGTGCCCAGCTAATTTTTTTGTGTGTGTGTGTGTGTTTTTTTTTTTAGTAGAGATGGGGTTTCACTGTGTTAGCCATGATGGTCTTGATCTCCTGACCTCATGATCCGCCAGCCTTGGCCTCCCAAAGTTCTGGGATTACAGGCGTGAGCCACCACGCCTGGCCATCAGAATTATTAATAAAGCTGTAGTAAGTGTATTGGTGCAGAGAGAAATACATTCATCAATAGAAGAGAATTAAGCCCATGAATAGACTGTATATAAAGTGGAAATTTGGTGTATGATAGACATGGAAAAAGATAAAATTTTAGCTCTTCCATGACATCATAAATAAATAAAATCAACTTTAAAAACAGTATAAGATACAGTTAAATATTTTAGATATTATAGTAGAATGGACTTATTAAACAATTTATCAAATGATATCTTAAACAAAAAAGATTAATTATAAAAGAGTGATACATTTTGCTATATTAAGAACTTTTGTTCATCAAAAGATACCTTAAAGAAAGTGAAAAGAAATAAACAAAGGATTAGCATTGAGAACATATTCAGTACTCCTTTTAATAAGAAAAGCATATCAGTTCTAGGAGCTGAGAAATGAAAGAAAAAAAAAGAAAAGCACAAACAGCTGTAGAAAAAATGGGCAAAAACCATAAACAGATACAGCTCAGAAAAAGAAAGGAGACATGTGGCCAATCCAGTAAAAGAGATACTTGGCACTGAAGGTGAAAATGCAAATCAGGACCATAATGAGGTACTATATTATGCACAACTGATCAGCAAAAATTAAAAGGTCTGATAATATCAAGTGTTGGGAGAGAATGTGGATCTGTCAGTTCTCATAGACATTACTGACCTGAGTGTAAGGGCAAGCACTTCAGAAAACAGTTTGGCCCTCTACCCTGAAGTTGAACATACATAAACCATCCAACCCAGTAATTTCCTTTCTAGGTACATACTGAAGAGAAATGTTTGCACACACTTGTATAAGTCATAAGACTAGGCACAAGAATGTTGATAAAAGTACTGTTTTGAGTAATACTGAAAACTTGTGGAGGAGAGGAGGCAGAGGAAGATGGCCAAACAGAAGCCTCCACCAATTGTCCTGCCCACAGGAACACCAAATTGAATAACTGTTCACACAAAACAGCATCTTCAGAAGAACCAAAAATCAGCTGAGCAATCACAGTACCTGGTTTTAACATTACATTAAGGAAAGAAGCACTGAAGAGGGTAGGAAAGACAGTCTTGAATTGCCAATGCCACCCTTCCTCCTTCCCCCAGCAGTGGCTGTGTGGCACAGAGAATCTGTGCACTGGGAGTGGGACAGCACAGTGATTGCAGGACCTCGCATTGGAACCCAGTGCTGCCCTGTCACAGTGGAAAGCAACATGGGGGAGAAATCAGCCAGAGCCAATGGAGGGAGCATTTAGACCAGCCCTAGCCAGAGGGGAGTCATCCATCCCAGCGGTTAGAATCTGAATTCAGCCAGCCTTGTCACCATGGGCTAAAGTGCTCTGGGGTCCTAAATAAACTTAAAAGGCAGTCTAGGCCACAAGGACTGCAATTTCTGCACAAGTGCTGGTGCTGTGCTGGGCTTGGAACCAGTGGACTTGAAGGGCACACGACTTAGTGAGACACCAGGTAGGGCAGCTAAGGGAGTGCTTGCACCAACCCTCCCCCAAATCCAGGCAGTGCAGCTTGCAGCTCTGGGAGAGACGCCTTCCTTTCACTTGAGGAGAGGAGAGAGAAGAATAAAAAACAGGCTTTGTCTTGCAACTTGGATACCAGCTTAGCTACAGTAGGCCCCCATTCCAGGTCCTAGTTCCTGAATAACATTTCTAAACACACCGTAGGCCAGAAGGGAACCCAGTGCTATGAAGGGAGGGACCCAGTCCTGGCAGGATTTATCACTTCTAGACTAAGGAGCCCTTGGGTTCTGAATAAGCAGCAGTGGTAGCCAGGCAGTACTCACTGTGGGCCTTGGGTAAGACTCAGAGACAGGTTGGCTTGAGATGTGACCCAGCACATTCCCAGCTGTTGTGGCTATGAGAAGAGACTCCTCCTGCTACAGAAAAGGAAAGGGAAGCATAAAGCGGACTTTGTCTTGGAGCTTAGGTACCAGCTTGGCCACAGTGTGGTGGAGCACCAGGTGGGCTCTTGGGGTCCCTGATTCCAGGCGTTGGCTCTTGGATGGCACTTTGGGCACTTCCCTGCCCTGGGCCAGAGGGAAGCCCACTGCTCTGAAGGGTGAGTCCCAGGCCTGGCAACATTCACCACAAGCTGACTGGAGAGCCCTTGGACTTGAGTGAACACTGATGGTAGCCAGGCAGGACCCATCATGGGCCTGGGGTGGTGGTGGCCATGGGGAGAGACTCCTCTGCTTGAGGAAAGTAAGGAAAGAGTGGGGGGGACTTTGTCTCATGGCTTGGGTGCCAGCTCAGCCAAAGTAGAATAGAACACCAGGTAGATTCCTAAGGTTTCTGACTCCAGTCCTTGGCTCCTGGCATCTCTGGAGCTGCGTGGGGCTGCAGGGGAGCTCACTGCCCTGAAGGGAAGAACATCAGCCTGGCTGGCTTTGTCACCTGCTGATTGTAGAACCCTAGGGCCTTGAGTGAACATAGGTGGTAGCCAGGCAGTGGTTACCATGGGCCTTGGGTGAAACTGAGCAGTGAGCTGACTTCAGGTCTGATTCAGCACAATCTCAGTGGCAGTGGACACAGAGATGCTTGTGTCACTCCTCTCCCAGCTTCAGGTAGCTCAACAGAGACAGAGAGAGAGAGAGAGAGAGAGAGAGAGATTCCATTTGTTTGGAGAAAGTAAGGGAAAAGAATAAGAATCTATGCATGGTAATCCAGAGAATTTTGGATCTTATCCAAGACCACCAAGGTGGTACCTCTATGAGTCCGCATGAGCCACAGTGTTACTGGGCTTGGAGTGCCCCCTAATGAAAATATGTCTACAGCGAACAAAAACTTAGCTTACAACACCCAAGTCCCTTTGAATACCTGGAAAACCTTCCCAAGAAGGATGGGGACAAACAAGCCCAGACTACAAAGGCTATAATAAATACCTAACTCTTTAATGTCCAGACACCAACAGACGTCTACAAGCATGAAGACCATCCAGGAAAACATAATCTCACCAAACAAACTAAATAAGGCACCAGGGACCAATCCTGAAGAGATGGAGATATGTGACCTTTCAGACAGAGAATTCAAAATAGCTATTTTGAGGAAACTCGGTGAAATTCAAGACAACACAGAGAAGTAATTCAGAATTCCATCAGATAAATGTAACAGAGATTTAAACAGTTTAAAAGAATCAAGCAGAAATTCTGGAATTGAAGAATGCAATTGACATATTGAAGAATGCATTGGAGTGTCTTAACATCAGAATTGATTGAGCAGAAGGAAGAATTAGTGAGCTTGAAGATAGGCTATTTGAAAATACACAGTCAGAGGAGAAAAAAGAAATAAGAATTAAAAAACAACGAAGTACACCTACAGGATCTAGAAAACAGCTTCAAAAGGGCAAATCTGTTATTGGCCTTAAAGAAGAAGTAGAGAAAGATAATGGTAGAAAGTTTATCCAAAGGGATAATAACGAAGAGCTTCCCAAACCTGAAAGACATGAATATTCAATTACAAGAAGATTATAGGACAGCAAGGAGATTTAACCCTAATAAGACTACCTCAAGACATTTAATAATCAAATCTCCAAAGGTCAAGGATAAAGACAGGATCCTAGAAGCAGCAAGAGAAAAATGTCTGGCAGCAGACTTTTCAATGGAAACCTTACAGGCCAGGAGAGAATGGCATGACATATTTAAAGTGCTGAAGGAAAATAACTTTTATCCCAGGATAGAAAAATATCCTTCAAACATGAAAAAGAAATGCAGACTCTCCCAGTCAAACAAAAGCTGAGGGATTTCATCAACACCAGACCTGTCCTACAAGAAATGCTAAAGGGAGTTCTTCAATCTGAAATAAAAGGACGTTAATGAGCAATAAGAAATCATCTGAAGATACAAAACTCACTGGTAAGTACAGAGAAAACACAGGATATTATAACACTGTAATCATGGTGTATAAACTATTCATATCTTGAGTAGAAGGGCTAAAAGATGAGCCAATAAAAAATAATAACAACTTTTCCAGACATAGACCGTATAATAAGATATAAATAGAAACAACAAAAAGTTTAAAAATGGGGGAATGAAGTTAAAGTGTAGATTTTTTTTATTAGTTTTCTCTTTGCTTCTTAGTTTGTTCATGCAATCAGTATTGTCATGAGTTTAAAATAATGAGTTATAAGACATTATAAGACAAAGAATATACAACTAATACACAAAAAATAAAAACGAAGAAATTTAAACATACCACCAGAGAAAAACACTTTCACTAAAAGGAAGACAAGAAGGAAGGAAAGAAAGAAGGAAGAGAAGACCACCAGACAATCAGAAAACAAATAACAAAATGGCAGGATAAGTCCTTAATAATAATATTTAATGTAAATGAACTAAAATCTCCAATGAAAAGACACAGAATGGCTGAATGAATTTTTTAAAAAGACTCAAAGATCTGTTGCCTCCAAGAAACCCGCTTCATCTATAAAGACACACATAGACTGAAAATAAAAAGATGGGAAAAGATGTTCCTTGAGAATGGGAATCCAAAAAGAGCAGGAGTAACTATACCTATATCAGACAAAATTGGTTTCAAGAGAACAAAAACAAAAAGAGACAAAGACGGTCACTATATAATGATAAAAGGGTCAATTCAGCCAGAGGATATAACAATTTTAAATACATATGCACTCAGCAGTGAAGCACCCAGATATATAAAACAAATATTATTAGAGCTAAAGAGAGAGATAAGCCCCAGTACAATAATAACTGGAGACTTCAACATCCCACTTTCAGCATTGGACAGATCATCACAGCAGAAAATTGACAAAGAAACATCAGACTTATCTGTACAATTGGCCAAATGGACCTAACAGATATTTACAGAACATTTTATCCAAGAGCTGCAGAATATACATTCTTCTCCTCAGCACATGGATCATTCTCAAGGACAGGCCATATGTTAGGCCATAAAACAAGTCTTAAAAAATTTTAAAAAGTTGAAATTATATCAGGTATTTTCTATGACCACATGGAATAAAACTAGAAATCAATAACAAGAATTTTGGAAACTATACCAATTCATGGAAATTAAAACAATATGCTCCTGAATGACCAGTGGGTCAATGAAGAAATTAAGAAGGAAATTAAAAATTTTCTTGAGACAAATGATAATGGAAACAACATACCAAAACCTATGGGCTACTGTGAAAGTAGTACTAAGGGGAGAGTTTATAGCTCTAAGCACCTACATCAAAAAAGGAGAAAAACTTCAAATAACCTAACAATGCATCTTAAAGAACTAGAAAAGTAAGAGCAAACCAAACTGAAAATTAGTGGATGAGTAGAAATAATAAAGATCAGAGCAGAAATAAATAAAATTGAAATGAAAACATTGCAGAAGCTCAATGAAATGAAAAGTTGGTTTTTTGAGAAGATAAACAAAATCAACACACTCTTAGCCAGACTAAGAAAAAAAAGAGAAGAAAAAAAGAGAGAAGACTCAAATAAATAAAATTAGAAATGAAAAAGGAGATATTATAACCAATACTGCAGAAATTCAAAGAATCATTAGAGGCTACTATGAGCAACTATATGCCAATAAATTGTAAAACCCAGAAGAAATGGATAAAGTTCTAGACACATACAGCCCACCAAGA
Organism: Homo sapiens; assembly: GCF_000001405.40. Lineage (NCBI taxonomy): Eukaryota > Metazoa > Chordata > Mammalia > Primates > Hominidae > Homo > Homo sapiens. Next base: position 13,966,142 of record NC_000016.10, on the reverse strand, counting down.
TTGAACCACGAATAAATCCAAAACCTGAACAGACCAATAACAAGTAACGCAATCAAAGCCATAATAAAAAGCCTCCCAGTGAAGAAAAGCCCAGGATGCAGTGGCTTCCCTGCTGAATTTTACCAAACATTTAAAGGACTATACCAATCCTACTAATCCAGACAAAGACACATCAAAAAAATCAGACAAAGACACATCAAAAAAAGAAAACTATATGCCAAAACCCCTGAAGAACACTGATGCAAAAATCCTCAACAAAATGCTAACAAAATGAATTCAACAACACATTAAAATGATCACTCATCGTGACCAAGTGGGATTTATCCCAGCATGCAAGAATGGTTCAACATATGGAAATCAATCAATGTGATACATCATATTAACAGAATGAAGGACAAAAACCATACGATCATTTCAATTAATGCTGAAAAGAATTTAATAAAATTCAACATCCCTTCATGATAAAAACCCTCAAAAAACTGGGTATAGGAGGAACATACTTCAACACAACAAAAGCCATATATGACAGACCCACAGCTAGTATCATTGTATCATACTGAATGGGGAAAAGCTGAAAGCCTTTCCTCTAAGATCTGGAACATGACAGGGATGCCTACTTTCACCACTGTTATTCAACATAGTACCTGGAAGTCCTAGCTAGAGCAATCAGACAAGAGAAAGAAACAAAGAGTATCCAAACTGGATAGGAAGAAGTCAAATTATCCTTGTTTGCAGATGATATGATCTTATATTTGGAAAAACCTAAAGACCCTGCCAAAAAACTATTAGAACTGATGAACAAATTGAGTAAAGTTGCAGGATACAAAATCAACATACAGAAATCAGTAGCATTTCTATATGTCAGCAGTGAACATCTGAAAAAGAAACCTGTTGCGGGAAGTCAGGGACCCCAGATGGAGGGACCAGCTGAAGCCATGACAGAAGAACGTGGATTGTGAAGATTTTATGGACATTTATTAGTTCCCCAAATTAATACTTTTGTAATTTCTTATGCCTGTCTTTACTACAATCTCCAAACATAAATTGTAAAGATTTCGTGGACACTTATCACTTCCCCAATCAATAACCTTGTGATTTCCTATACCTGTCTTTACTTTAATCTCTTAATCCTGTCAGTTGAGGAGGATGTATATCGTCTCAGGACCCTGTAATAATTGCGTTAACTACAAAAATTGTACAGCATGTGTGTTTGAGCAATATGAAATGCGGGCACCCTGAAAAAAGAACAGGATAACAGCAACTGTTCAGGGAATAAGAGAGATAACCTTAAACTCTGACCGCCGGTGAGCCGCGCAGAACAGAGTCATATTTCTCTTCTTTCAAAAGCAAATGGGAGAAATATCGCTGAATTCTTTTTTTGAGCATGGAACGTCCCTGAGAAAGAGAATGCGCACCTAGGGGTAGGTCTCTGAACTGGCCCCCCTGGGGCGTACCTGTCTCTTATGGTTGAGACTGCAGGGGTGAAATAAACTCCAGTCTCCCATAGCGCTCCCAGGCTTATTAGGAAGAGGAAATTCCCACCTAATAAATTTTGGTCAGACCGGTTGATCTCAAAACCCTGTCTCCTGATAAGATGTTATCAATGACAGTGGTGCCCAAAACTTCATTAGCAATTTTAATTTCGCCTCGGTTCTGTGGTCCTGTGATCTCGCCCTGCCTCCACTTGCCTTATGATATTCTATTACGCTGTTAAGTACTTGATGTCTGTCACCCGCACCTATTTGTATACTCCCTCCCCTTTTGAAACTCCCTAATAAAAACTTGCTGGTTTTTGTGGCTTGTGGGGCATCACGGATCCTACCGATGTGTGATGTCTCCCCCAGATGCCCAGCTTTAAAATTTCTCTCTTTTGTACTCTGTCCTTTTATTTCTCAAGCCAGCCGATGCTTAGGAAAATAGAAAAGAACCTACGTGATTATTGGGGCAGGTCCCCCGATGGAAACCCAAGAAAGTAATCCTATTTATAATAGCTACAAATAAAATAGAATATCTAGGAATCAACCAGAGAAGTGAAAGAGCTCTACAATAAAAACTGTAATATGCTTATGAAGGAAATTGAATAGCATGCCAAAAATGGAAGGATATTCCATGTTCATGAATTGGAAGAATCAATATTGTTAAATGTCATACTACCTAAAGCAATCTACAGATTTAATGTAATCTCTGTTGAAATACCAATGACATTCTTCACAAAAACAGAAAAAAAAAATCCTGAAATTTAAATGGAACCACAAAAGACCCAGAATAGACAATGCTATCCTGAGCAAAAAGAACGAAACTGGAGGAATCACATTACTTGACTTCAAATTATACTACAGAGCTTTGGTAACCAAAACAGCATGTATTGGCATAAAAATGTAGACACATAAACTAATGAAACAGAATAGAGAGCACAGAAGTGAATTCATATATCTACAGTCAACTCATTTTCAACATAGGTGCCAAGAACATACATTGGGAAAGGACAATCTCTTCAATAAATGGGGCCGGGAAAACTGGATATCTATATGCAGAAGAATGAAACTAGACTCCTATCTCTCATTACATACAAAAACCAAATCAAAATGGATTAAAGACTTAAATATAAGACCTCAAACTATGAAACTACTACAAGAAAACACTGGGGAAACTCTTCAGGACATCAGATTGGGCAAAGATTTCTTGAGTAATACCCCACAAGCACAGACAACCAAAGCAAAAATGGACAAATGGAATCATATCAAGTTAGAAAGCTTCTGCACAGCAAAGGATACAAGCAACAAAATGAAGAAACAACCCACAGAATGGGAAAAAATATTTGCAAACTACCCATCTGACAAGGGATTAATAACCAGAATACTTAAGGAGTTCAAACAACTTCATAGGAAAAAAAATCTAATAATCCGATAAAAAAGTAGGCAGAATACCTGAATAGACATTTCTTAAAAGAAGACATTCAAGTGGCAAACAGGCATATGAAAAAGTGCTCAACAGCACTGATTATCAGAGAAATACAAATCAAAACTATGATGGAATATCACCTCACACCACTTAAAATGGCTTTTTTTTTTTTTTTTGAGAAGGAATTTCACTCTTGTCACCCAGGCTGAGTGCAATGGCGCGATCTTGGCTCACTGCAACCTCCACCTCCCGGGTTCAAGCGATTCTCCTGCCTCAGCCTCCCAAGTAGCTGGAATTACAGGTGCCCACCACCACTCCTGGTTAATTTTTTGTATTTTTAGTAGAGATGGGGTTTCACTATGTTGGCCAGGCTGGTCTCGAACTCCTGACCTCGTGATCCACCTGTCTCGGCCTCCCAAAGCGCTGTGATTACGGGCATGAGCCACTGTGCCTGGCCTAAAATGGCTTTTATCCAAAAGACAGGCAACAAATGCTGGCGAGGATGTGGAGAAAAGGGAACCCTTGTACACTGATGGTGGGAATGTAGATTAGTACAACTACTGTGGAGAATACTTTGCAGGTTCCTCAAAAAACTAAAAGTATAGCTACCATATAATCCAGCAATTGCCCTGCTAAGTATATACCCAAAAGAAAGGAAATCAGTTTACCAAAGAGACATCTGCACTCCCATGTTTATTGCAGCACTATTCACAATAGCCAACATTTGGAAGCAACCTAAGTGTCTAGCAACAGGCAAATGGATAAAGAAAATGTGGTACTTATACACAATGGAGTACTATTCAGCCATAAAAAAGAATGAGGTCCCATCATTTGCAACAACGTGGATGAAATTGGAGGTCATAATGTGAAGTGAAATAAGCCAGGCACAGAAATACAAACTTCCTGTGTTCTCATTTATTTGTGGGAGCTAAACATTAAGACAATTGAACTCATGGAAATAGAGAGTAGAATGATGATTATGAGAGGCTGAAGAGGGTAGTGGGGAATGGGAGTGAGACTGGGGAATTGGTACAAAAATATTGTTATATAGAATGAATGAGGGCTGGGCGTGGTGGCTCATGCCTGTAATCCCAGCACTTTGGGAGGCCGAGGCGGGCAGATCACGAGGTCACGAGTTTGAGACCAACCTGGCCAACATAGTGAAACCCCGTCTCTCCTAAAAACACAAATTTAGCCGAGTGTGATGGTGGGAGCCTGTAACCTCGGCTACTCAGGAGGCTGAGGCGGAAGAATCGTTTGAACCCGGGAGGCGGAAGTTGCAGTGAGCTGAGATACTATTGCACTCTAGCCTGGGTGACAGAGCGAGAATCTGTCTCAAAAAAATAAAATAAAATAAAATAAATAAAAAATAAATAAAAATGACGAACTAAATGAATGAGAGCAGGTCATGCATGGGTCCGTGATGTGTTTGATAAACCAATAATTATAATTATTCTGATTCTAGGCACTAGTGGCCCAATTAAAAACAAAAACACCTATCTTAAACAAACAGTAGTGTATGATAAAAGAAACAAGATGATAAACTAGAGGAAATGCCGGAAGCTCAAATCTGGACTACAGATGGAAGACTCAGTTTGAAGGGATACATCAAAGGTTTGGAGCCCCAGCAAAAAACCACATCACAAAAGCTTCTCCAGGTCAGCTCTCAGGAAAACATTACAAAGATCTACCTGGAACATGTCTTTCCTTTTATAAACCTTTTCTCCCATTTCAAAACTGCCCTCTGACACCACTCCTCGAAACCGGCGAACAGCCTGAAGATCCGAACAGCTGAGGACATGGGTTCTTTGCTTTTCAAGACGACTGAACTTTCTCATCTGTTCGACTTGGGCTATCTTTTTCCTACAAGGCATTAAATGTGAAATAAGCCCTTGCTTGGCAGTCTGCCATGGAGAAGTATACTCTTACAACTCCTGTAACCTATGCTCTTAGCACCCAGAACTCTGTAATACAGATCACAGTGCTGTGACGCTTTGGTCATTTCCAGGCAATGAGTGTTATTTTCAAAAAAATATATCTAAGGAGTACTTTACTGTAATTCCATCATTACAAATACAAAAGCTGGCTTTGCTTTTTGCACTCTTTAAGACTTGGAGAAAACTACAACTTGTAACTCCAAACTATGGGCTGGGCTTTTCTCTTCCGGCACACAGAAGACGCTTCATGAATGTTTGTGGAATAAACTGACATTGTTTTCCAAATAATAATTTTTAAGACCCCGAATGTCAAGAGAAAACACTTGTTGAATGAAACATTCTTCCGATAGATCATATTTACATAGCAGAAAATGACCTACAAAGTATGAATGTATATTTATGGAGGGATGTCAAAGGAATTGTTAAAATTTGGGACTGTCTTTGGAAATTAAGGACATGTGAGATCAGCCACTGTGGCAAGGACACGCCTTCAAAATAGGTACAGAATCCAGAGGGTCAAAAAATACACACACACAAACACTACACATACAGATTTAGTGACAGTGACTGAGAGGTTAGGAGATTCAGAAAAAGACTGCCTATATTAATGACCCTCTTGTTTGTTTATTTGGAGACTGAGTCTCGCTCTGTTGCCCAGGCTGGAGTTCAGTGGCGCGATCTCAGCTCACTGCAACCTCCACCTCCCGGGTTCAAGCAATTCTCGTGCCTTAGCCTCCTGAGTAGCTGGGATTACAGGCGGCTGCCACCATGCCCAGCTAATTTTTGCATTTTTAGTAGAGACGGGGTTTCACCATGTTGGCCAGGCTGGTCTCAAACTCCTGACCTCAACTGATCCGCCTGCCTCAGCCTCCCAAAGTGCTGGGATTACAGGTGTGAGCCACCGGGCCCAGCTGACCCTCCTATTAAGATGGCAAATTCTCCAAATCACTTGCGTATGTTGAATTTGTTTGCCAAAAGATGGCAGCAGGAAAATGCTGGCCTCACCGAGACTGAAGGGAAAATGAAAGAAATAATTAATTCCTTTTGGATGAAGTCAGCAGTCAAAATGAAAGACCTTTCCCGCAAGGTTAGCAGTCAGAAGTAGATATTCCAGAATATCTACAGCAAGAGGAAGGAAAAGCCTCCTTTCCCATCATTAAGGGCATTTATCTGAAATAGAGAGAGATCATGTACTTTTCAGAAGATCATAAGCAAGTCCATGCATGGATACACGTTCATATTTTCCCACTTGAAGTTATTTACATTAAAAAAAAAAATCCGGGCCACTCCACCCTCATGGCTGCCTGCTCTTCGATTAACCTGGCTTGCCGAAAGACTTTGTTCTTTCTTTTGTGCCATCTAAGCACACACGTATTCATTTCTCCCTAAATTAATTTGCTCCCTGGTGTGCTGGTTTCCAAGCTTTAAGTCATTTCACGTGTGTGTGTTTTGTGGCCACAGCCCAATGGCACAGCTCTTGCATGCTGTCATGCTGTTGGCTTGACTCAACTTGAATTTGCTGAAACCTGAAGGCAAAAACAGCCTTCTCCTGTCCTGTGGCCGCCTGGGGTGGGGTACCTTGAAGGTGCTTCTTTTTCCTTTGCTACTAGGTTGGTGTAAAAGTAACTGCGGACAGGGCACGGTGGCACATGCCTGTAATGCCAGTGCTTTGGGAGGCTGAAGTGGGTGGATCACCTGAGGTCAGGAGTTCGAGACCAGACTGACCAACATGGCAAAACCCCGTCTCTACTAGAAATACAAAATTAGTCAGGTGTGGTGGCACATGCCTGTAATCCCAGCTACTCAGGAGGCTGAGGCAGGGGAATCACTTGAACCTGGAAGGCGGAGGTTGCAGTGAGCCAATGTTACGCCATTGCACTCCGGTGTGGGCAACAAGAGGGAAACTCTATCTCAAAAAAAAAAAAAAAAAAAAAAGGAATTGAGGTTTTTGCCATTGAAAATAATGGCAATAACTGCAATTACTTTTAAAAAATGTTTTATTTATTTTTTGATTTTCATTTTTTTTGAGACGAGTCTTGCTCTGTTACCCAGGCTGGAGTGCAGTGGTGCGATCTCGGATCACTGCAACCTCCTCCTCCTGGGTTCAAATGATTTTCCTGCCTCAGCCTCCCAGGTAGCTGGGATTACAGGCACTGGCCACCATGCCCGGCTAATTTCTGTATTTTTAGTAGAGATGGGTTTCACCATGTTGGCCAGGCTGGTCTCAAACTCCTGACCTCAAGTGATCCACCCACCTCGCCTCCCGAAGTGCTGGGATTACAGACGTGAGCCACCGCTCCTGGCATAATAACCACAATTACTTTTGCACCAATCTAATACCCAACAGCTCCCCCACCCTCCTCCAAATTTGTCACAACCTGGGTTTCACCTATCCCGACTGCCTTCATTCCCTTTTACCTAGTGAAATACGGAGTTGAGTAAAAATAAATGTTACCTACTAACACACACTCTGGGAGTCTGAGATCAGCATTGGATGCTGTGACCTCATGATCCCTTCAGGCAGGTACTCTGTGTGTGTTTGCACCCAAATACAAGCAATAGATCGGTATGGATGGGGAAGGGAGGAGGTAACACTGAACTTCATGATAAATCATAATAATAATTAACCACCACGCAGGATGACCAGTGCTCTCTTCATTGTTGCGTCAAAGGCCACCAGGCTATCTACGCTGATACTGCTCAGCTCCTGGTGTTGTGGGTCACTCCCTATAAATTCCCTCCTGTTTCATTCTGGCTGCTGGATGACTCAGTTTCTTCTTCTAATATTCTGTCTGTATCTTCCCTTCTTCTAAGTGTAGGCATTTTTAGCATTCTGTTAGTCGTTTACGGTTTCTTTACCTTAACCACTTACTTATTCAACCAATGTCTTCAGTTCTCATTTCAATGCAGGTGCCTACTACATCTTTTTTTTTCCTGCTAAACTATGTTTCTTCTAAAAAATATTTGAAGTATAATTTATATACAATACACTGCACATATTGAGTGTATGCTTTTATGATTTTGACATCTATACATTGCAAAACCATCACCGCTAAAATTACAAACATTTCTATCAATTCCAAATGAGTTTCTTTGTGAGCACAGCCAATTTTTATCCTTACTCTGGAAGCTCTATTGGTTTCGAAGGGATGTGACCTGATGCAGAAGCCCAGGGCTTAACATGGGGTCACTGATAATATTCAAGAAATCAACAGAACTCTACTCAAAAATCTACCTCTTTCTCAGGGGGAAAATTCCCAACAAGACTTGGGACTTCAAGTCTGACTCATGCTGTGTCCTGGGGCGCAGACTCGGGCTCTGATAAGAGGAAGTCAATCTGTCCTCTATTTGTTTATAATGAGTCATGCTCGAAGTCAGGCATCTAGTTTTTGTCTCTCCTCTGTCATGGTTAGGCAAGAATTGGAGGAAGATACACCCCAATTCGGAGTGCAGTGATCCTTAAAGTGTCCGAGGGCTCCAGTGTAGTTCAGGACGTGGGACTTAATGGGGACCCCTACCAATGGAGGCCGGGAGCACCAAGTCTTGGAGTTGAGGTCTACCTTCCTCCCACATCTCCAGGGCAGATGTTAGTGAGTTACAGATTTATTTGCAAGAGGAAAGGGAAAAGGCAGCTGAGTTTTCAGTAAGTCCTTGAGTCCTGTCCACTCTACCCCCTACCCCCATCTATTAGTGACAGAGGGCGGCATGAGTCACAACTCTCAGCCCAAGCCCACACTGGAGCAATTAACCACATAATTGCCTCAGTGATGAACCTTCCCCCAGCTGCAAGCCGCCCCCGGGGCAGCGCTCTAGGCTGTGAGCCAACAGCCTTCAGTTGCATGAATTGTGAAGGCCTGGGTTTAAACAGCCGAAGTTGCAATTCTTTTAGCCAATGCCTTCTTGGCTCCAATTTAAAATTCTTATACATGAGTCCTGATGGGAGCATGGAGGATGTTTCAACTAGAATTAATGTCACAATCAAGTCAACATAAAGTAGATTTATCTGCTGTTTCCATGCATTGCAGCAAAGTGCTCTGTTCTGAGAACAAATTACCATAGCAACTCAGCCGCCCCAGTTACAGTAAGCTCAGTACGACCAAAATAAAAATCCTTACCAAGTTGTAGGATTGGCGAGTGAGAGTTGCTGAACATCGACTTTCAGTTTCCAGATGACATTAGCCAGCATATATTTTGGTTTTAAAAAATCGCTGAAAGGGAGGCTTTAAATAATAACAAAATTATAAAGCCAGGTTACAAACAGAGAGGGGTCCTAGGCTGTTCCACCGCGAGCTTAAACACAAGCAAACTTCAATGCCAAACAGCAGCGTTTTTTTGTTAAAACAGAAGGCTGCCGAAAAGGCTCATTACTACTTATCGTGGCGTGCCCATTCCGTTTCACATGGTGGGGAGCATGATCAGGTTGATGCTGGTCTTTAAGAAGAAGCAATTCAATACAAAAACAGGTTTTCTGTAGGTGTGAAAGGAAGAAAAGCAAAACCACGTTCGTTTTTTTCCCTCCACCCCCATCCCCCACAATACTAAATTTTGGTTCTGCCTAATTCTCTGTTCTCTCTCTAGTGCCTTCCTTCTCCCACTTTGCTCTGCTCCCTCATCCTGATCACCAACAAGCAAAATCGCCCCTCTGTTCAGCCTGCCCATCCTCGTTTTCTTCATCCTCACCACCCCCCATGGCTTCCTCAGACCCCCAGGCGGGCGTGTGCCCCTAGGTCTCCTGGACACACCACACAGGATGACCAGCGCTGTCTTCATTGTTGCCTTGAAGGCCGCCAGCGCTCATACGGCTCAACTCCTGATGTTGTGGGTCACTCCCTTGAAATTCCCTCCTGTTTTCATTCTGGCTGCTGGATGACTCAGTTTCTTCTTCTAATTTTCTGTCTCTATCTTGCCACCTCCTAAGTGTAGGCATTTTTAGCGTTCTGTTAGTCGTTTCAGGTTTCTTTACCTTAACCACTTATTTATTCAGCCAATGTTTTCAGTTCTCACTTCAGTGCAGATGCCTACTACATCTTTCTTTTTTTCCCCCTCTTTTGACACAGTCTGTCTCTGTCACTCAGGCTGGAGTGCAGTGGTGCAATCTCCGCTCACCGCAACCTCAGCCTCCCAGGCTCGAGAGATTCTCACGCCTCAACCTCCCAAGTAGCTGGGACTACAGGTGTGGACCACCACGCCCGGCTAATTTTTGTATTTTTAGTAGAGATGGGGGTTTCACTATGTTGACCAGACTGCTCTCGAACTCCTGGCCTCAAGTGATCCGCCCACCTTGGCCTCCCAAAGTGCTGGGATTACAGGCGTGAGCCACCACGCCCAACCCCTACTACATCTTGTATTGAGACTGTCCCCTGGCTCTCTGCTATCTCAAAATCAACCTGATCAAAACCGTACTTCTCCTTTCCCATCAAAACTGTACTTCTCCGTTTCCAAATCAAGTCCTTCTCTAGACTTTAACTTTTCTCTTCAACAGTCTCATCATCTCCTGAGCCCAGGCTTAAAAAGTAGGCATTATTTAGACTCTTCCCGGGCATACATTTCATTTGCCACCTTCCAAAGATTGTCCTTCCTTCCATTTCGAAAGCTGTCATTCTAGTTCTGGCCTTCGTTACCTGTTGCTTAGATTGTTACAACAGCTTCTGAGGTGGTCTTTTCACCTCCAATCCTCCCTTCTAGACAGCAAGGTCTGGCAGAAAGATGACAGGTTTTGGAGTCTGAATCTGCAATGTCCTTCCACTGTGGCTTTAGTCACTTAATCTCTCAGTATGTCTCTTTGTCTGTAAAGGTAGCATACACAACCCACATGGCACACTGTAAATTAATATTAGTTCCTTTCCATTTCAAAATCTCTACTGCCAGACCAAAATTTTAAAAGTCTTCTGGTTCATTTTTTCCTTAATTGAACATTCGCTTTTCTACTGAAATGAGAACTCCTCATCCTAGCCCTTAAGAGACTCCTACAATATGGCCCTCGTATTGCTCCTACTTAGCGTTCACAACTCCCTCTTTAAACATTATTCTATTTCCCATCTGTTTCTTCACTAATGTGGTAGACCGGGGCTGAAGTGCAGAGCCCTGCATCTGTCTGCTGAAATCCTAGCTGTTTTTTAAGACCCATCTCGAATTCTACCTCCTCTCTGAGGCTATTCCTGTTCCCTGCAGGGATATGACCTCTTCCTCTGACCTCAGGAACACTTCTATCTCTCTTGTGGATTTTTTATTCTTCCACCTGCTCATTTTCTGCCTCTGACTTCTCTTCACTGCAAGACTGAATGTCCCTCGATGGCGTGGACTGTTTGTTATAGCATCAAACCCAGAGAGAGCCCTCTGCCTTATGCACTAATGCCTGACGCTGAAAATAAACCTGCCTGGTCACGCTTCTCTTGGTCTACTAAACTGTCTTCTCTCCTAAGCTTCTGTTGGGTGTCACCCTTCCCAGAAATAAAGTTGCACAGGGAGGCAAATCTTTTACTCAGTTAAGAGGACTCTTTAATTGACACCAAGTTCTGGAACTCATAATTATAGGAAAGGGTCCCTAAATATTACCATCTCAAATATGCCATACTACCATTTTATTAGACCTGGTTTATTTACTATTTTCATGAAACCAGGAAACTCTTTTATTTAAAATCTTGAGTTGATTTTGTTTACCTTTCAGGCCTCAGAGAGCTGTGTTCTTCTCACGTAGAAATATCTTAGTCACACAAATAGATCTTTGGGATTATCAAAAATTCCTTTTCTTTCTCATTCATGAATCAGCCTCTTTAACACTGATAGTCAACGGCTACACAGAAAAGAAACTTAGACTAAATATTCAGCTGAGCTTTTGTAAACGGAATGAGGATGAGTCCATTGAAAAATGCCAGCATCTTAAAATTTGTAGTTCTTAAAATTAATATCTAATCATAGTTTTCAATGTTAATGTATTAGTACGTTATACTTCTTACATATTTAAGAAATATATATATTTCTTGATTTTATATATATACATGTGTATATATATTACCCTCTTCTATTTTATAACTTTAGGATGCATGAGGCTGGAAACAGGGTTTTATCATTATATGGGAGCTTCAGGAGCTCATGCTGGCAATACCATTATAAAGGACAATTTTCAAAAAGTTAAAACCATAGGCTGGGCGCGGTGGCTCACGCCTGTAATCCCAGCACTTTGGGAAGCCAAGGCAAGCAGATCACCTGAGGTCAGGAGTTCGAGAACAGCCTGGCCGACATGGCGAAACCCGGTCTCTACTAAAAATACAAAAATTAGCCAGGCGTGGTGGTGCATGCCTGTAATCCCAGCTACTTGGGAGTCTCAGGTAGGAGAATCGCTTGAACCCGGGAGGCGGAGGTTGCAGTGAGCCAAGATTGCGCCATTGCACTCCACCCTGGGTGGCAGAACGAGACTCCATCTCAAAAAAAAAAAAAAGTTAAAACCATGCCTCTTATACAAAAAGAACAAAACAGAAGTCAAAGATTTTATTTGACTCACTCAATGAGGAAATCATTAAGACTGGTTCAGAAGAAAGTCAAGGACCTGGAGATTTGGAATTTGTTGGTCAAAGGAGTGCAGAAATACGTTTGTGAAAAAATGCAAAACTGGTTAATGCTACACTAGGCAATGACCTTTGCAATGCAACTGGACAAGAATCATTTGCATGGCCAACAGTTTTATTTAAATTAACCTCTATTCTTATGAAGTTGCAAAATAGCCTTCCTAATCAGTGACCAAGAGGCATATGGCCCTAGAAAATCAGAGGCAGCCTAGGCAACTGCTAAATATCTAGCTCTACACAGAGAGGAAACTCAGTATTATTGTATCTAAGTTTTACATACTTCCTTTTGACACTTTAAGAGAGATATAAAAACATACCAATTTGCAGGCCGTGCATGGTGGCTCATGTCTGTAATCCCAGCACTTTGGGAGGCCGAGGCAGGCGGATCACGAGGTCAGGAGATCAAGACCATCCTGGCCAATATGGTGAAACCCCATCTATACTAAAAATACAAAAAATTAGCTGGGCGTGGTGGCATGCGCCTGTAATCCCAGCTACTTGGGAGGCTGAGGCAGGAGAATCGCTTGAACCCGGGAGCCGGAGGTTGCAGTGAGCAGAGATCGCACCACTGCACTCCAGACTGGGCGATGAAGTGAGACTCCGTCTCAAAAAACAAAACAAAAAACCAATTTGCATTTTCTATGACATATTTCTATGACATATTTGTAATCAGATACATAGAAGTGTACAGAAATGTTTCCCACTACCCCCCATAACCCCACTATTTCATTATGGGCTGTACATCAAGGTATCAAATCATGGTTCCACCTTGAGCAAATTACTTAGCGTCTCTGTGTCTCAGTTTCATCATGTAAAACAAGATTAAATAATAGTACCTTCATGGCTTCGTTATGAGGATTAAATGAGATAATGCATAAGTGATTTTAAAAAAATGTGAGTTACAGTGCCGCTACTAAGGGGTTAGTCTGCCAAAGTTTTATTCAGACACTAAAACATGTTGAGAAATAACCTGTCTCACACCTTGTTAAAAAGGGATACAGATCTACATTTTGAAGAAGCAAATGTAATTAAATCATTGAAATGAGCCAATCAGTAACCAATAATTAAACTTGTTTGAAAGATTACAATAAATTCCAGAGGTGTTGAAAGGATAATTCATTTCTTCCAACTCTGAAATTAAAGGAACAAAAATGTACGAGGCAGGAGTGGCAAGGAATTCACCTTTGTTGAGCTAAGATATCCCAGGCATTGTGTTTACCACACACTCATTACAAACTGACAAATGAATATTTTCAGAAGAATAGTTTTCTTGTTTTGTTTTGTTTTCCTCCTTAAGGAGACATGATACAGAATGAAAAGCAGAAAGGAAAAATAACTAATAGTTTCAAGTCTTAGAAAGTAGGTTATCAAATGAATTAAACAGCAAAAGCAGTGGTTCAAAGAGCATTTCTGCCTTGTTTATTCTGCATAACAAAAACAAAAAAAATGAAACATTTTCAGGATTTTGAATTATTACTGCTGGTAATATATGCCCTTTCACTATGCATTGTTATTTTTACTTTGCCCATAAAATACTGAGGAAAGTACTGAATAAATATATATTTTATTAAACACACACAAATACAACTCTGTTAAAATTCATATAAATCAGTTATGTCTCACTCCCATCCAAATTTTGGCTTATACATCTTTAAATTAAAAAAACAACAGCATAGCGGTTTAGGCTACCAAAAGCCTGGTTGATAAGGATGATTAAGTGCTGAAGTTCAGAACTGAACCAGAAATAGCTATAAACCAAAATAGAAAACAAAATAATAAAGAAAAGTGATAATTCACGTCAAAGCCTGGCTTAATTTTAATATACTCCATCCTGAAAAAAGAACTTTCCTAAAATGTTGGTTTTTCAAGAGGACCTTTCTAGGTTAAACTGAACACAAAAGAGAATTTCCCCAAATGAGTTTTCTGAGCCAAAGGAAAATCAAATTATGCTTGCAAAACAAAAGGAAAGACCAGTAATGCCTCTTTCCCCCTGCCCCACTTCTTCGGATTTGCTTTAGTGTAGGTTTTCCTACTGAAGGCCATTTATTAATTCTATATTGTGGGGTTTCAATGCGACCAAATCTAGACTTAACCCTTCACATCCTAGTGGGTTGATGAATAAGACTATTTTCAGTCCCTCATGAGCTGGGAAACTGTATCCAGGATGTACTCAAACACATGTAGACATATTGTCTACCGAGCTTCAGGCTGAATTAGTAATAGCTTACTGCCAAAAGGATAATATTTATGACCACTACTAAAAATGATTTCTTCTTGCACAATTTTAAGAAAGTATCAAAAGAGGCACCATGATTTAAATGAAACTTAAAATGATTTCTCACAATATCTCATATGTTCACCTTTTTATACAAAAAACTTGTAAAATAGAAAAATGCTGATCTAGCTTTTAGAAAAGGTTTTAAAAGAGCCAAACATGAGTTCATAAGTACACTGGATATTTACTAGAGAGAAAAAAAGTGAAGTTAATAAAATTATGCTGGAAAATAAATACATTAATTTTGCAACTGCATGCATCTCTAGTTCCTTTACCAAAGATTATTAGATTGTAAAAAAAATTTTTATAAAAATCTAAGTAAACACTTGATGTATGTATTGAAAACTTTCCAAAACTGGAAATACATTGAAATATATTTATGTAGTTGGAAGAGGAAGTGGTAGCGAGAGGCTTTCACTTACAATGACCATTTTAGAATTCATTAGAAATTACTGTTCATAATTCAAATACATACGAGACAGTGCACCTGTCTTCAAGCGTCCAGCAGATACAAGAGCAAAGAACAGATTTGGAGAGCCAGGGGGGCACTGGTATTAGTGCAATTTTTAAGACTGTTATTTATGTTGTACTAGATAACAAGGACGGTTGAAAATGGTAGCTTTAGGAAGACCTTTTTTTTGAAAACTCAACTTGGAATGAAACCCCTTTCATAGAATATGCTATGGGAAGATGTTCCTTTTATATAATGAAACAACAATTAAAAGCAAGTGGAATTATACAAGAGGAAAAAAATAGAAACCACATACTGCAAGCAGAAGTGCTAGAATAGGGTGAAGAGACATTATAATAATCATTATCATTTGAAGTGGTAGGTCTATTTTAATATACTCTGAACTATATTCAATAAAACAATAAATACAAAATTGAATGTTAACGATAATGTTGTAATCATTCAAATTTTTGTTTTCCATTCTAGCGGGTATATTTTGAATCCTGGGAAAAAATTAGCAGCCCAAATCTTTATTCCATCTTAAACTAATTTTTATTTCTTCTCCTTTTCCTTACTCTCCACATCATCTTACAGAGTTCTACTGTAACCAATCTGGTTCTTGATACCCCTCAATTCATTCTGGTTATACCCTTGTGTAGAGTTCAAAATCCATATATACTGTTAAGTACCAATAAATCAAGATGCCAATGTGAGAGGTTCAGTTCAGAAACGACAGTTAAAAATAATTTTGTTGGGTGGGTGCGGTGGCTCACGCCTGTTATCTCAGCACTTTGGGAGGCCAAGGTGGGTGGATCACCTGAGGTCAGTAGTTTGAGACCAGCCTGGCCAACATGGTGAAACCCCGTCTCTACTAAAAATACAAAAATTAGCCGGGTCTGGTGGTGCACACCTATAATCCCAGCTACTTGGGAGGCTGAGGTGGGAGAACTGCTTGAACCCAGCAGGCGAGGTTGCAGTGAGCCGAGATTGCGCCACTGCACTCCAGCCTGGGCAACAGAGGGAGACTCTGTCTCAAAAAAAAATAACAATGACAATTTTGTTAAAGTTGAAGACAATTTTGTGTTACATGATCCACTGTCTATTAGTTCAAATAGTGTAGCAAACAAAAAAACAGCTGATGTTGATGAAACATTAAAATATGTGATATGGCTAGCAGAACTGATGTCTATATCAGCTCCTGAGGTAGAAAATTTACTACCCATTACTCAACATGTGAACAAAAGCCAACTTAATAATGTTTAAATATAAAAGTTTAAAAACTGCACAAAGATGCTGTGAATATCCTATTTGTACACTTACGTAAAAAGCCAACTTAATCAGGTTTAGAATGAGATTTTTTTCTTTATGGATTTTTAAACGTATATATTTCTTTCGTATTTTTATATATTCCATACATTGATCTTTCATTTACCTACACTCCTTTTTATCTCAAGGCAGGAAAATCAAATCTTAAAAGCTTAGTGGGCCACTCATTGGCTTGTATTTGAGTCCTCACAGAGAGAAGTAGCCACCCTGGCACAGGATGGTGAGAAATGAGGAATCACAGGCAGGTGAGCTTAGGTTGTATTTCTTTTCTTTTCTTTTTGTAATAGAGACAAAGTCTCACTCTGTCGCCCAGGCAGGGGTGCAGTGGTGCGATCTCGGCTCACTGCCAATTAGGTTGTATTTCTAGAGGATATGATGCTGGTGTCTTAGGATATAAGAGCTGAGAAACGAGGAAGTCTGAAAAAACTCTGTAACTAGCCAGCTGGACTTAGGGATCTCTGATATTAGGAGACTGAATATGTGCAAAAATTGAGAATTCTAAGAGCTCCTTCATCATTAACTTTTGCAAACAGGTAATTCATTTTGCTTTAAAAATACTAATTTGGAACAATGAAATTATAGTATATGCTACATATGTTAGGGTCATTAGAAGACTAGTCAACCAGTTTTTGAGGAGACTGTCTTGAATTAGTAGTAGGAAGGCTCCATGAAATTTCCTTAGAGCAGACAGGCAGAAGTATGGAGCTGAAGAAAATGTGGTAGAGAGAACTGGTCAGGAATGGCAAAGAGATGTTTCTTCTCAGTGTTCCAGAAGGCTCCTTTGTAGACAAAGGGTCAGAACATGATTTCCTACACAAACATCAGTTCAAGCGTCCAGCAGACACAACAGCAAAGACCAGATTTGGAGAGCCACAGGACATGGGTATAAGTGCAATTAAGACTGTTATTTATGTTGCACTAGATAACAAGGACTGTTAAAAATGGTAGCTTTCTTGTGCCTGCTCTTTTCCCTCCCTGCACCGTCCATGCCAGGCTTAGCATATTCCTTTCTAAATGAGATCTGTTAGGATCAGGTAAAGTTTCTACCTTCTGTAATCACTTGTAGGAACTTTACCTGATCCTGACAAACCTCATTTAAAAAGAAACATGCTAAGCCCGGCATAGACGGTGCAGGGAGGAAAAAGAGCAGGCACAGGCAAGTTCAAGTGATGCCTAACTGCAGAGTTCAGAGAGGAATCCTGGCTTCTGGTCCACCGTACAATCATTAAGAGCATTGGAAAAGAATGAAATAGCAAACCAATAATTAATAATGACCTATGATGTCTGGCAAGGAGCCGCTGAAAAGTACAGGCATGGGATAAGAAAACAGCCATCACTGTTCACTTTTTCCCTTTTCCTTTTGATACGACTTCTGCAAAAGAGGTGTGAATGAAATCATAAAGCTGTTTGGCATTTGCAGCATTCCCCAGAATACTCGTGAGCTCGTCTTGTGACAGGGCTGCTAATTCTGCGATGTTCTTAACGTGGTGCATCAAGGAGCGGCAGTTTTTGGCATTCACCCCTGGCATTTTTAACAAGAAGTCTTGGGGACCAGGATTATACTTCTCTGACTCGGGAAGGGTTTCAGAATCTGCTGTAATGGCCAGTGCTGTCGCCGCATCAGGCTGTGGCTTGCTTTGTTTCAGCTCCTCAAACAACTCCGCCGTTGCATGAGGAGAGGGGCACCAGAGAATCCGTAGTCTGGGGAAGTGAAGTGTAAGAAGAGTGAGTTTGGAACTAATGTCATTGCTGGAGATCTCCTGAAACAAGGCACCTCGGGAAGTGAGAGAGAAAGGCTTGCTAGGGTCAAACTCAATCAGAAGCACGGGACGCTTGTAGTAGCGGGACATGGAGATGCACTGGCTGTAGAGGCGGCCGTTATTTAAAGAGCCGATTAAATCACTGATACTCTTGCGCTCCACGCACATTTCTGGAGTGAGGATGTAATCTCCAACCTCTAAAGTCACGGGTTCAATGTCAATGCCCCGACGATGGATCAGAGATGGAAGCTCACTTCGAAATTCACGCATATCCACAACTATGCTTTGCTGTGTACCATTCTGTTCCTGGCCACCTACAGAGAAAAAGTAAGTAATGTCACTGGGGAAGAACTCTCAAAGAAGGAATATAACAAAATCTAAAAATCGATGTTTCTGTTGTTAACTCTGATGGATGGTTACATAATTCTATATGGTAATATTCCATATAATTTCTATATTTTCAAAAAGATTTGTTTATAAAGTAGAGGCAATTTCCCTTGAAGGAAACCGAGCTAATAGGAAAGTTAGACTGTCAGTAGTTCCTTACTTGCGATGATTCATAAATCCACACATACCTGCTAAGGTCTCCCCTCTGTAGTTTCCTCACTGACCACATTTTGTTGGTCAATGTATTCCCAATTCCTAGGACAAAGCCTGAGGGTAGAGGCTTAAAATAGCGGCCCCAGTAGATGTTAAAAATGCTCACTGAGCAAATCTAGTGATTTAGGGACTATTGTATTTATATCAGTGAGTCCAGAGATGGGGAAAGGGAAGGAGCTGGGAAAAACATGAACATCTTAGACCACAGCTTCTCACATTATAACATGCACATGAGCCACCTGGGGTCACATTAAAAAGCAGATTCGGGCCGGGCGCGGTGGCTCACGCCTGTGATCCCAGCACTTTGGGAGGCCGAGGTGGACGGATCACCTGAGGAAAGGAGTTTGAGACCATCCTGGCTAACATGGTGAAACCCCGTCTCTACAAAAAATACAAAAAATTAGCCGGGTGTGGTGGCGTGCACCTGTAATCCCAGCTACTCGGGAGGCTGTGGCAGGAGAATTGCTTGAGCCCAGGAGGTGGAGGTTGCAGTTAGCCGAGACTGCACCAGTGCACTCCAGCCTGGACAACAAGGGTGAAACTCCGTCTCAAAAACAAACAAACAAACAAACAAACAAACAAAAAAACAGATGTTGTATTTAGTAGGTCTGAGATCTAAGGGGTCTAAGAATCTGCATTCATAACAAAATGCCAGGTGATGCTAATGCTGCTTGTTTAAGGATCACATTTTTAAGTATCAAGGGCTGCTGTAGGCAGAATAATGGTACCCCGCAAAGATGTCCACATCCAAATCCCTGCAACCTATTAATACGGTCATGTGCTGTACAACAACGTTTTGGTCAATGACAAAGTGCATATAAGACAGTGATCCCGTAAGATCACAATACTGTATTTTTGTACCTTTCTATGTTTAGATGTGTTTACATACACAAATACTTACCATTGTGTTACAGTTGCCTAGAGTATTCAGTACAGTAACATGCTGTGCAGGTTTGTGGCCCAGGAGCCATAGGCCATACCACATAGCCTAGCTGTGCAGCAGGCTAGACCGTCTAGCTTTGTGTAAGCACGTTCTGTGATGTTCATGTAATGATGAAATCGCCTAATGACACATTTCTCAGAATGTATCTCCGTTAAGCATTTTGAGATTGGGAGATTATCTGGCTTATCTAGGTAGGCTGAAGGATTCTCAGAAGTGAAAGATGGAGGCAGGATGATCAGAGAAGGGAGGATGCTATGCTACTGGCTATGAAGATGGAGGAAGGGGCTATAAGCTAAGGAAATCAGGTGGCCTCTAGAGGCTGGAAAAGGCCAGGAAAGGGATTCTCCCCTAGAGCCTCCAGGAGGAATGCAGCCATGCCGATATCTTGATTTTAGCCTTGTGAAACCCATTTGGACTTTGAACCTGCAGAACTGTAACATAATAAAATGTGTGCTGTTTTGAGCCACTAAGTCTGGGGTAATTCGTTATAGCAGCCATAGGCAACTAATATGAAGGCGTGGAGAACTGATCTCTAAGGAAAGACTTCTACGAACAGCTCTCTGTGTGGTACCCATACTGCCTTACATTCTGTCGTTCTTCATGAAATGTCAACAACCTGGTTGATATTTCAAAGAATCTTCTTTGAACAAGACACAGAGGCTCTGAGGCAATGTTTCCCAAAGTATGGTCCAAAAACCACTTCCATCAGAAGCCCCCGAGCTGCTGGCTCCATTTCACATCCACTGAGTTGGAATTTCTATGAATTGAGGGTTATGAATCTACAGTTTTAATGAGCATCTGAGGTTATTCTAAAGTCTACTAAATTCTGACACCCACTGCTTCAACTGTACTTGGCCTCACCGAAGGTTAAACCAACTCAATCGTATTGCTTTTCTCATGCCACCTGGCTGAAATCAGCTGCTGGCATAGGAAAATAGGAATTTGGGGAATGGGAAAATGGTGACTTCTGGATCACAGTGCACTTGGAATTCAGCAGGTCTTGGTGGCATGCCACAGTTTGGACACTGCACAGCAATGCGTACCAGACACCAGGTATCTGGGGAGCTACCAAGAAGAAATGAATACAGAAGGAGAGGAGGAGTGTATGCACCCCACCTATGTATACAACTAAGGGGAGAGGCAGAGGAGGGAAGGAGAAACTTCCTTTAACTACTCTGAGTTAAACTGGCTTTTTAGGTTGAGATAAGAACCTAATCACCGTTTAACAAAGTTTATTTGCAAAAGTACATTCTGAGTCTCAACCAACCAAATATAAAGGAAATGCTGGAACATAACCCATTCTAAGCTGGGGTGCCTAAAACTCAACCTCACATGATTCGCAGATGACACAGTGCCTTCACTCTGGGGAGGACACATGGTTAGTGAATGGCAGAGCTGAGATTAGAGTAGGGAAGTACACATCCTCTCCTTGGCCCAACCCCCATTTTTAAGAGTTTGTTAATACAGACCAAGCCTTGGCAGAGTAACTCTGGAACTTCACAGCCCCCTTTGCAGGCAATGGAGGTGCCTGACAAAGTGCAGGACTCACCGGCTTTCCGAGTGTCAGTGGAAACATCTGCAGATGCTGTGCCTCTTACTAGGTCTAAGTTTGTTTCATCTCTGCCTTCTCTTTCTTCAGGGACAACCATGCTTGCTTTTTCCCTGTGGGAGAAAACATTGTCAACACTTCTGAAACAAATTTCAAAATTCTAGATTTTATTGTGTGTAAATTGTAGTATTGAAAATGATCTACATGATGATAGCAGTAAGAGAAAAACAAAAACAAAAACAAGGAATATATTAGAAGTAAATATGCCAAGACAAATGATGGGTAAAGGAAGTAGAAAAAGTCAGTAAAAAGTGCCTTGGTCGGATACTACTTCTTGATTTTCCAGAGTAAAAAAAGCAGTTGTTTATTTTGACTTTATATTCAAATATTTAAGAAACAACACAAGCATGTCAAAAAATGCCACATGTAAAAAATGCCACCAAGAGATTCTTGAGACTGTTTGTAAGGTTAAAGTGTAAATGTAAATCATTTATATTCAAACATTTTCAGGGTAATCACAAATAGGGGTGGTTAAAAATCATTAAGAAACTAAAAAACATATATGATAGAATTTTGATGTTAAAAACTCCAGGTGGGAGGTCCCATTAAACACCCTGAGTTTTAAAGGAAAATCAAGATCAAGATTTTGAAATAGATATAAGAAATCAAATTTCTATCAGAGATTAAAACAAAAAATCAACAGCTCAGGTTATGCCTTGGGAGCAGCATTCATTACTCACTCATGCATTTATTGAAAAACATTTATGGAGTGTTCCTGCGTGGTGCTCTAGGTACTTTGGATATAATCGTGATCACGCAAGAATTCCTGTCTTCAAGGTGGCTCATATCTTATACGGTAGATCTAGAGGACAGTACAATCATAACTAAGATTCGCAATTTGGAACTACATCATGACAAGATCCTCAATAATCACAGAAAGAGTAAGCCAGGTTTGCGGTAGCTTTATTTTTCAAAATTGATAAAGTATGTTATAATTAATTCTGCCAGGTATGACAGAAAAGATATATAAGCTGAGTCTCTTCCCTGCTTGGGTTCACAACTGATGTCGAGGGAACAAAGCAAACATGAGAAGAAAAAAAAAAACAACTGGAACTGAGGAACTGCGATAAAACAGACTAAGGTGAGGGGAACAGAAGAGGAACCATCAATGTTAATTAATTTCAACAAGGGTTAAAACAACCAAGATTTTCCCATTGATATGGTCTGGCTGGGTCCCCACGCAAATCTCATCTTGAATTAATAGTTCCGATAATCCCCATGTGTCCTGGAAGGGACCTGGTGGGAAGTGATTGAGTCATGGGGGTGGTTTCCCCCATGTTATTCTCATGATAGTGAGTGAGTTCTCACGAGATCTGATGGTTTTAGAAGTGTCTGGCATTTGTCCTGCTGGCACTCATTCTCTCTCCTGCTGCCATGTGAAGAAGGACAAGTTTGCTTCCCCTTCTGCCATGATTGTAAGTTTCCCAAGGCCTCCCCAGCCATGTGAAACTTGTGAATCAACTAAACCTCTTTTCTTTATAAATTACCAAGTCTGGGGTATTTCTTCATAGCAATATGAAAATGGACTAATACACCCATTAGAGGAAATGAAATCAGAGGGTTCAATTCTTCAACCACTCTGGATAAATATTTTAGAGCAGGGTATCACTAGAAGATACTACTAAAGAACAGAAATTGTAATTTAAAATTTTATACTATTTGAAACAACCTATAAATGCAAATATATTATTAGTACAAATTTTATAAGTAGATCACAAGGGGGCAGACAATGGTTTCAGTTCCATGTTTTTCTCATTATTCTCAATACCAGACTCAAGCGCTACCTGCTGAAAAGCCCTCTGCAATGGCAATGGCTCTGGCTGCCACTCATTACCACTCCATTCTCTCTATTGCACTCTGGTTAGGACAAAGGGCAGACCATTCAAAAAAATTACTGCTCTTCTATTTTTCCTTAACATTCATTTGGTATTATTATGTTGTGTCCCCCACTTTGTTTCTACTTGTTACACTGGCTAAGCTGTATATCACACATGGGATCATCCCAATTTCCTGATTAATTTGTAGTCTGTATAATCTTAGGGGGTTAGAGTACAGATTCCGGTTCCAAAGTGTGTGGATCTGAAACCATTTACTGGCCACGTGACCTTAGGCAAGTCATTTCATGGCTCTGTACTTCAACTTCTTTATTGGTAAAATGAGGATAATAATTTAAAAACTTACCTCAAAAGACTGTTATGAGGATTACATAACATATGCAAGGCGCTCAGAACAGTGCCTGGCACCTAGTAAGCACTATATAAATGTTAGGTGTTATTATTACTGTACTTTTCTTATAACGTGGTAATCTCTTCGTCTAATTATCCATGATTATACTAAAAAACTGAAGATTTGCTTTCAAATAATTCCACAATTGTTTCCATTAATAGCTACAGAAAACAGCTAGTTTACCACTAAATGTTATAACTTAACTACAAGTCGAATGTGAGAAAAAATATATTCGAGATGAAACCTGGACTATGAAGAAAATAAGCCTTCCTAAGCAGTAATTCAGTTTAACAGAAATGTATCGTAATTATAAACAGCCAGTCTCTTGCTTTCAACATGTGGCATAATTATCCAAGTTCCCCTATGTGACAGACACAAAACAATTAAAAAATTCAGATTCCTATTTCTGCTTAAAGCACCAAGCTTTCCTATGTTTGCTTTAGTATCTTCAATGGTATTTTTATTAAAATTTATTTTATTTTAATTTTTAAACAAATTGAGATGGATTCTCACATGTTGCCCATGGTGGTCTTGAGCTCCTGGGCTCAAGTGATCCTCTCGCCTTGGCCTTCCAAGGTGCTGGGATTACAGGCGTGAGCCACTGCACCCAGTCTTCAATGTTATTTGAATACCGTGTACAACATAATCCTATGGCAACATAGGAAAGTAGCACTGAACTAGAAGTCTCTTCCAATGGGCATTTACTTAAGCCCTCATGCTAGCCCATTTTGTGATCGTATTTTCAAAAAGTAAAATTTCAAATAATCTTACCCTTTCCTTTGAAAAGCAGTGACCTCCTCAAAGCTATGTATACTGAGGATGTTATTACTAAGTTTTCTACCCAGGGAGCATTTTACGTCCCTGGGTAGAAATAAAATTATTATGATATTTAGCAGTGTAATCTTTTCCACTTTATCTGTTATCTATAATCTACAGATCTTTAATCCAGCTAAACAATCCTTTCACTGTCAGTTCACCTGATTTGTTCCTTTCTGGTTAAAGAGCCACAACTGCTTTTGTTCTTACAACATCACCCATGGAGGTCTTGGTAAAAGCACATTGTCTCATCTTCATATTAAATTTTTCTCTTAAGTACACAGTGCAAATGTTTTTTGAACAATGCACCTCAAATATGTTTTTGCTTTGCAAAAGAAGCACCTCTCAAATTTCCCAAGTTTCCTGGGAAAGTAAGTATCTTAAGATTCTTAACAGTGCAACTATCTGATTGACTGCTGGGTAAAATGGGAAGATCTTATTTATGACAAGTAGACAATCATCATTGAAAGCATTAAAAATTATGCCAGATAACAGATAAAATTATGTTAAAACCTGGTGCAGAAATTTTTCTATGGATTGAAATGTGGGAGAGAGTCCATGATCCAGGTTCTGCTGAGTGAGGTTTTCCAGTATGTATAAGGCTAATCCACATCTTGTCACTGAGTCCTTTGATGTGTAGAAGCAGGTGCATAAATCAGGAATGGCATGGGATCTGGTACCTTACTACTATCTACTAAAAGTGCTCTTTTCTAGATTAGATTCCCTGATGCACTGGAGAAGAGGCAGCTGCATGAAGACAGGCGAAGCAAGAAACTCACCTACTCAGGTGCTGTCTTCCTCCCATTCTATCAGGCTCCTCTGGCTCTAACGCTGTGCAGGAAAGGATTAACTCAGCAGGCCTGGGCTGCTCAAACTCTGCATGTTTCCAAGAAAGGCTTCTCTCCTCAACACTGGCTCTTGGTCAGCTCCTGGGAGATGAGCTCTGAGCCCCTGGAGTATTCTCCCTGATAAGGTTTTTATATGCCTGAGGCCTTGGGTCACAATGTGCCAGCTGGATCAGATAGTTTATGCTGACGATGTGATTTATCGTAAATGTCTGTTGCTGCTTTGGGGGCTGGAGTCTGAGGAGCTGTAGCCAGCCATGGAGGTACTCTGTGTCTATGTGACTCAGCTCAGTAAAAATGTGGGGACTCAAGGCTCAGGTGAGTTTCCCTGTTGACAACACTTTGCATGTGTGGTCACACACTGTTGCTGGGAGGACTCAGCACATCCATGTGACTCCACTGGGAGAGGACACCTGGAAGCTTAGGCCTGGTTTTACCTGGACTTTGCCCCATGTGCCTTTTCCCTTTGCTGATTTTAATCTTTTTTTTCTTTTTTTTTTTTGAGACGGGGGTCACTCGGTTGCCCAGGCTGGAGTGCAGTGGCACGATCTAAGCTCACTGCAACCTCCACCTCCTGGGGTTTGAGTGATTCTCCCACCTTAGCCTCCCGGGTAGCTGGGATTACAGGCATGCGCCACCACTCCTGGCTAATTTTTGCATTTTTAGTAGAGGCAGGGTTTCACCATGTTGGCCAGGCTGGTCGTGAACTCCTGACTTCAAGTGATCTGCCCGCCTTGGCCTCCCAAAAGTGCTGGGATTACAGGCGTGAGCCACTGCATCCAGTCTTAATCTGTATCCTTTTGCTGGAAGAAACTGTATTGTGAGTATAACACCTTTTCTGACTCATGTGAGTTCTAGTGAATCATCGAGCCTGAGGATGATCTTGGGGAACCCTGACATGAACACTGAAAACCCAATCTGAGTATTTTAGCTCTGTGCACTCATTTCTATCTAGGTGACAATTATTTTAATGAGCGAAAACTTGGGCAAAGGCTGTTCTAAAAAGAGTGAAGGAATGGTCAGGAGGTACTGGCCCACATCCAGTATCACCAATTCTTTGATTCTATCTCCCAAATCTCTCTCAAATCTGTCTTCTTTCCTCCATTAACCTAATCTTGGCTACCACCTTCTCCCATCAGACTGCACTAGCATTCTGACTGGTTTCCACCCTCACTCACTCCTCAGCTTGATGCCAGAGAAAGCCTTTACAAACATACCTAAGTCCCTTTCCTACTTAGAATGCTTCAGTGCGGTCTTACTGCCCGTGAAGCCCTAAATCCTTTACAGGGCCTCTTGTACCTGGGAGCCTTCGTGCACGCCTTTGTTCAACATAACCCCCTTTCCACCCCATCTGCCTAGTATCAGCTTGAATATCATTTCCTCAGGGAAGCGGCTCCCGATCAGCTTGTGGTCTGGGTGAGGTCTTTGATGTACTCTCCTATTACACCCTCTTCTTTTACCTTTGCAGCCAGCGGTGCTCTGTATACCTCTACTTATTACAATATTTATAATAATTTAATGTCTGTCTTTTCCACTAAAGGGTAAGTTCCAGGAGGGCAGAGGCTTTTTCTGCACCACTTGTAACCTCAGCACTTTAATATTAGCACAGGGCCTGGCACATACCAGATGCTTAATAAATACCTGTTTACTCTTTGAGCCTTGTGGCGTGAAGGTCTAGCAGACAAAGAGTAAGACAGAGAGGAGCAAAGAGCCTGGAACAAGAGGCGGCTGGTATAATGCCTGGTCTGTTATAACACGATTTCTGAACTAGGTTTTTGAAAAATATATATACCCACATATACGACATAAACAATCCCATAGAGCACACTGGTAGGAAACATATTTTCATAGGCTGAGAGGACTGAGCAATACTTGTATGACTAGCAGCTGGATGAATCCATGGCCAAGGCATATCACCATTCGAGAGGATGTGAAGGGAAAAGAGGGGACCGCCCATGCACCATGCTGACCCCCATCGTGGGACTCCATGCCACTGATTCAGCAAATACCCCCATTTCCAAGAATTCTTCTCCTGGGCTATCCAGGTTATATGTATATTTTGCACATACACTGAGAACCCGCAGCCACCACTGCAGAATGGTTATCCATTTTGAAATTTGGCCTAGGGTCTTGGCAGTCCTCGCAGGTTGACTACTGCTAAAAATAATTTCTGCCCTCCATTGCCAATGTCTGAGGCTTGGAAGTTTGCTCTGGCCCAGCCCACTCCGTCCAGGCCATGGTCTCTGCTGATCTAACTTTCTCTGGCTCAGCTCTGTGATGCCCCATCCAGCACTTGCCCTGGCTTCTGAGGCCCTTAGAGATTATCTGGCCCATCTTCCCACACCAGGCTGCAATCTTCTTGACAATATCCCTGGTAGGTGGTTATCAGATTTATCGAATGCCTTCAGGGCAAGAGGTAGCCAACCAGTTTGTGAACATCTCACCATTTTCCTTTCGTAAAATGGAAGGGCATTTTCTACTTGGATTTGGAATAGTACCAGATACTCATTCTTAAAAACATACACGTGTATGTCCAGACAAACAACACACTTCCTAAGAAATATTTTCCCAGAGTGATTCTATTGATGGTGATCATAATTGGCTGTGTTGTAAAAGCATTTCCCAATAAACGGTAAAGCAGCCACCCACCCAAGGACATATTGTGCATAAGGCAGGGAGGAGGGAGATTTACTAATGTATTTCTTAGAAAAGCAGTATTTTAGCTATATTTCTCGTGTTTTATCATACTGCTTCACAAACAAAAAAGCAGTTGTCTTTGTCACATTTCTAATATTCTATTAAACAAACCACTGAAAAGCAACTGGAGATGAAGGAAGAGACGGGGAAGAGAAAAAGGAAGTATGTGCTGAGATCTACACTGGAGGACAATTCAGACCACAGGTTTATCTCAATGTGATCCTCTCCAACGTCTTCCTTGCCCTATCCTTCCTGAGCAGGACTATCTGATATTCCCCCATCCAGAGGTTTCCAATGTAGTTGGGGCTTTCATACTGATTTTCTATGTATTACCTTATGAGTTTTTCAAAAGCTTCCTTTTCTTTCCGCAAAGCAGTGAGATAGCGTTGTTCCTCAGTTGAACCTCCGTATATAAGAAAGTAAACCCTGCATGTTAAGACAGAACTTTTAGGTTGGAAAAACAGCATTTTTAATCCCTGAAAGGAACAGCAGAACATGTGAAATCAGCAACCTAGAGCGCTCAAATAACAAATATTTGACTAAGAATCAAAGGTTTCATTTATCACACACTAGCTCAAATTAAGCTGCCTAAACCCCACCTGTTAAAGGTCTCGTTACCACACAGGGCATTTTTTATTTTCTTTTGCCAAAAGGAAGAAACGAGTTTAGGTAAACACTGAAATATAACTAGAGGGATAGAATAATTCTCTCCTCATAACTATAAACAAACAGAAAAACACACAAATTTTAGAGGCTTCTCCAATTCTTTCTTTGTACCTCAGCCAAACAATCATTTAAAAAGTTGGACAGTAGTTATGAAAACCAGCCTATGAACGTTTTTTTTAATTCATGTCTTAACAGAATACAGCGGTCACACATTTTATATAAATACATGGGCATGGAAGACGTATGGATTACATCAGGCATCTCAAAGAATAATTTGATCTACTTTCTCTTAGAAAAGTCCTGGTTTTTAGGCTGGGCACGGTGGCTCACACCTGTAATCCCAGCACTTTGGGGGGCTGAGGTGGGAGGATCATTTGAGCTCAGAAGATCAGCCTGGGTAATATACTGAGACCCCATCTCTACAAAAAAAAAAAAAAAATTAGTTGAGCATGGTGGCACATGCCTGTAGTCCCAGCCACTTGGGGCTGATGTGGGAGAATCACGTGAGTCAGGGAAAGGGGGAGGTGTTGAGGCTGCAGTGAGCCATGATTGCAACACTGCACTCCAGTCTGGGCATCTGGGCAAGACACTGCCTCAAAGAAAAAAAAAAAAAGGAAAAAAAAAAAAGGCCTGCTTTTCCATCTTGTTTGTTGCTAAGAGAGCTGAATTAAGCACCTCCTCTGTCCCTTTGCTTCACCTTCAGTCAAAGCTATTTTCCTTTTTGAGCCTTGGTTTTTCTTTTAGCTGTTATCTTCCTAGATGATAATTCTTTGAAGTGTAAACAGAGAAAAGATCATTGGGTGATGAGTCAAGAGACTCAGCTCTCCCACGGATGTGTCATGTGGCCAAGGCCAACTCAGTCACCATTTCTGGGCCTCAGTTTCCCGTTGATAGAGTAAGTGGTTGAACTCCCAGGTCCCTTCTGATTCTAACATTTTGCTCCCAAATACCACACTATTCTGTTCTCAGGCAAGAAAGAAGCTTGGTGTACATAAGCTATCTACAAAGTTGATCAACAGCACGGTACAAAAAATTTACCAGCCTATAATTATTTTACCAGCCTCATCTAATCTCTTCATCCTGCATTATTTCTGATCCAGCTCCTCCATTCATCTCTACTCTGAAAGGCTGTGTTAGTTAAAATGCTAGGGGAAGGTTTCTTTTGGCTCCGTTTTTGGTTCAGACTGAGTTCAGGATATTAATTTTGCTGTTTATTTCCCCTCAGATAATTGGAAAGCCAGAACACTATCTTCTTTGGGAGGCATCATTTTCTCATCTGATATTTCTGTAGATGTTTCATCTGATATATCTTGAAACTCAAGAAAACCTGGTACAGTAATTCCCCCAACACTTTAGTTTTATATGGATGTAATTTAGAGTCATTTCTTAAAATTTATAGGAAAGATATTTTAGAAGATTAAAATTACTTAGCCGAGTCACAGTTATATTAACTTTTGTTAGAAATTAGAATATTATGCATTTCCCAGACTTTTTCAGATACAGTACCCCATACGATGCAAACCAATACCCAAAGAATAAAGGAGAGAACGCACAGCAGCACGTAACGAGAACAAGAGCAGTCCCCTTGGTTTGTTGTTCTGCTGTGATACTTGACATCCTTCCTATCCAACTTCCCAGATTCATCAGGAAGCAAAATAAGGTTTCATAAACATAAGCAGCATCGTAACGGATATTAAAGAAAACTAACATGCAACTGGTATAGTTTCTGGGTTAAATCCTAAAGAACTGTGCAACTGAAAGCTGTGATTCTTTATAACTTGCCTCAGAGGTTTCCCAGGCCTACTCGCCCTGTAAATTTCAAGCTGCCGAACAAAGGTTAGCTCTGCGTCATAAAGAACCACGTATCTTGGCTCCACTTCATGTAGTACCCTTGTCAGAGCATAGGGGTCGCTGCAACCCAGAAGCGGATGGATGATAGTGAGGGGTTCTTTCAGGATTCCGAAAGCAGCATCCGATGACAAATTTACATCAAATTCTTCATGCTTAATTTCTTCCGGGCAGCTTTCTGGGCTACTGCTTATTTCTCGACGATATCCTTCCTCGACATCTCCTTCCTCTTCCAGTTCTTCAGGTTTTCCTACCATTTGAGTTAAGGTCAACTTCCGTTTTTTCTTTTTGAGGGTTCTTTCTTTGGTAGAAGCCCGTTCTTTGTTTTGGGGGTCTTTAGGTCTTTTGTGAGATTTCCTAATTCTCTTTGAACTGTCTTCCTTCCTAAATTTCATCCAGACTTCTTCAGCTTTGCTATCCTTCTCAAAGGTTTTCCTGTAGAGCCTCAATAAGAAGGCCTCCGCTCCAAGAGTGATATAGTCTCTCAGCTGGGAACATGTTCGGTCATCACTTGCACAAATCAGTACTTGACCTGAAAATAGAAAACAACATTATGTTACTATTACCTCACTTGTCCTCCTAGTTTCCCTGTGCCCCCTTATTCCTTCACCCGAAGGGAAGACATCTTACCCTTTGGTATTAAAGATCCACAATTTACAAACTATTTAAAAAGGGTCTTAGGTATTGATCAAATGCTTTCTCCTCTCTGGCAAGATTACTTAAATCTTTTCAGTAAAGTTGAAGCCAGACTATTTAATCTTATGAAAGTACAACTGTGGTGTAATTGGGGCTTTAAAGAAGTTCTTTTTAATTAATATTTTTTTCCAGAGGATCTCATATATGCCTAAATTAATTCCAAATGGATTTTTCCTCTTTTGTGAATTGTGTTAGTCTCCTCTGCCAATTTAGACAATGTCTTCAGTTTGTACCGGCTCATTACATATTGAAGTAATAGAAGAGTTGAGGCTTTTTTGGAAAGATACTTGGCTGAGGATATAAAACAGGAGACCCATTAGTTTATTCCTTGGGGATTCCAGATTTAAAGCTTGGTGAATATGTGTAGAGATTAGCTCAATCTTTAAATAGAAGTTCTAAGAACCCAACTAGTTTAAAAACCTGCTTTCATGAATATACAATGATTCAACCTGGAGAAAACAACATCAAACGAACAGAAATGAGGTTGCCACTAGGATCTCAGTGTTCATTTGCCATTTATTTGTCTACATTTTATAGATAAAATAGCAGTGTTTTAAAATAGAGACAGGGTTTCACCATGTTGGTCAGGCTAGTCTTGAACTACTTTTAAAGAGCTAATTAAATCAGGACTCATTTGATAGATTTTGGAAGCAAATGTTTTCATCTCCTTTTTTCCTACCTGGACCACCAAGAGCTTCACTCTCCTTATTTTCTGCCTCAATTTCTTTTAATACTTCAGTCAGTGCCTCCCACTTTGGGTTGCTTTCTAGGACCAGTTCCTTTTTTGTTTCTGTAGAGAAATAAAAATATCTCATTCTATGTGATAATATTTACCCATAAAGTCTTCCAAAGGCTTTTAAAACAACAGATAACACGAGCATCAGTACATATGCCCATTTATTTAAGCTTTCTTTATAATGTTAGATGGAATCTGCTTTCCTGAAAAAGATCTACTTAAGGTGTAAATGAAAGATACTTCAAACCATTAATATGGCTTTCAAAATGCCTTGGTAGAAAGTTATATGCATGGTCACTAATGAGAGACCATTCTGTGTTAGTTGTTTCTGTGACACTATATATAAGCAGCTATACAAAACAAAGGCATCGGTACACAATGACAGTATTTACTATTTCTAAAATCCCCATGACTTTCATAATCCTGAACATGGATAAAAGTAGACAACAATTAAATTTTTTGTTCCTATACGCATTCAAACACAAACACATCAATAATATATTCAATTAAGTTTTCTTTAAAAAGATTTTTTTTTTTTAAGACGAAGTTTCACTCTTACTGCCCAGGCTGGAGGCAATGGCATGATCTCGGCTCGTTGCAACCTCTGCCTCCTGGGTTCAAGCAAGTCTCCTGCCTCAGCCTCCCAAGTAGCTGGGATTACAGGCATGTGCCACCACTCCTGGCTAATTTTGTATTTTTAGTAGAGAGAGGATTTCACCATGTTGGTCAGGCTAGTCTCGAACTCCTGACCTCAGGTGATCCACCTGCACTGGCTTCCCAAAGTACTGGGATTACAGGCATGAGCCACCGCGCCCGGCCTCAGTTAAGTTTTGAAACAGACCTTTAAACTAGGCAGAAAGCAGGCATTAACCCTATCCCATGCCTTAAAAAACTAGTGATATTTACGGTATCACTAGATAAGATGCTGGAATAAAACCCATATTTGCCTCATTCTAGTATATTTATGTTGCTTAAAAATTAAAAAGGATATTCAAATATTCCATCCTGACTTTATTTATTAGTTTTGAGACACAGTCGTACTCTGTCACCCAGGCTGGAGTATAGTGGTGTGATCATATCTTGGTGTCACCTTCAACTCCTGGGCTCACCTTAGCCTCTCAAGTAGCTGAGACGATAAGTGCACATCACCTCGCCAGGCTACTTTAAAAGTTTTTGTGTTTTTTTTTTTTTTTTTTTTTTGAGACCGAGTCTCACTCTGTTGCCCAGGCTGGAGTGCAGTAGTGTGATCTCAGCTCACTGCAACCTCCGCCTCCTGGGTTCAAGTGATTCTCCTGCCTCAGCCTCCTGAGTAGCTGGGATTACAGGTGCCCGCCACCACGCCTGGCTAATTTTTGGTATTTTTAATAGAGACGGGGTTTCACCATATTGGCCAGGCTGGTCTCAAACTCCTGACCTCAGGTGATCGGCCTGCCTCAGCCTCCCAAAGTGCTGGGATTACAGACGTGAGCCACTGAGCCCAGCCTTAAAATTTTTTTTGTAGAGATGGAGTCTTGCTTTGTTGCCCAGGATGGTCTTGAACTCCCGGGCTCAAGCAATCCTCCTGCCTCGGCCTCCCAAAGGGCTGGGATTATAGGTGTGTGCCACCATGCCCCAACCTCATTCTGACTCAAAAATAATAATTACTTTGAAGTTCTAAAAAAATCAATATATAGCTCCTCATGTAGCATACTTTTGATCAATATTTGACATCTGTTATTTGGAAGCCCTGGGCAATAGACTGCAAGACTTGCCATGCTGTATACTTCGACATACATTACACATATACTTTACATATATACTTTCAACATACATTACATGTTACATATAACAAACATACATACATTTATCTTCAAGGAACACACTTTTCACATGGCCAAAGAAGACTTTAAATTGCACTTTAAATTTCCATACCAAATACCGAAATAAAAAACACATTTAAAGACTTAACCCCACAAGATACCTTCCCCTTCTTTAATTTCCATTTTTTCAGATATTTTTTCTTTTTTACTCATTTTGGCATCTGGAAGATGATAAACCCTTGCTCGAGCATTTATAAACATCGAGGTGCTGGAGTCAAGAAACAGCCAACCTAATACGAAAAGTTAAAAGAAAAAGTGCCATCAATTTATGGTTAATTTAAAACAGTCTCTGATGGTCACATGACCTACATACGTAACTGGCTGTCATCCTGTCTTCCTACCAACCACACCGCCTCCCACTACTGTGATCTGTCGCTGTTCAGCTGGACCAGTGGTTTTCTGGGTGTGGTCCGTGAACTCCCAGGGGCCCCCAAGATATTTTCAGGGCTATGTGATGTCAGAACTTTTCTCGTAACAATACCATGACATTATTTGACTTTTTTCACTGCGTTGACATTTCCAGTGATGGCGTAAAAGCAAGTTATTTTAATATTTGCAATGTTGTTAATAGGAATTTGCTGTTATTTAAGAATAAAATTGGAGGTCATTTAAAACACAGCTTCTTTGGTTTACTGGAAAGTAATAATTTATAGGAAAATATGTGGATTGGCATATAAGCATCACTCTGACTTTTGCAGTTATATAGTAAGTGGTTATCTCTTATTTTAACTATAATCAAGAGGAAAATAAATAACATTTTTTACTTTGAAATGACAACATTTGGATATCTACAGGTAGAAGAGTTTTACATAAGAATGCTCCATAATTGTACATGCTGGTGCCGTAGCATGAACCAAGGCAGTGCCATGAAAGTGTACTGGCATTCAGTGCATTCTTTACTGTCATGCTTCTGCAGTTCATCACTTAAGAATGTCCCTAAAGAACCATCAGAATTATTAACTGTATTAAATCTTGACCCCAGGGGTTCACGGACCACACTTTGAAAACCGCTGGTCTGGTCAAACAGTGACAGAGGCCAAAACAGTGGTAGCCAAACGAGATGGTGGCCAGCTGTATATGTATATTTCCCTAAAATCTCTTCTGCTCTTCAGTCTTTGGCACTCTAGCTGATGGAAGCCCCATACTCCCTTGCTTTTGCTTTGAGGAAAATGAATTTTAAGTTCTTAACAACTAAACTTCCAGAACACAACCTATTTCTAAGTTGAGGACTGCCTGTACTACACACAGTCTTTTCTAGAAATAAAATTGCCCGGAACGGATATGAATATTTATTATTATACAGAACAGACGTTAAGTAGGCGGAAACATTAGCTATCAATAAAACCTACATCTTTGTGCTATGAACATAAAACATAATTTGAAATCTCAGTATAACATATAGTTGAATATAGCACTTTTCACACCTGATTCCCCCTAAAACCTAACACTTTATTCAAATCAGCTCTTAGAATATTATTAGTATTTTAATCTCCCACCTGAATTCTGACCAAAAGCTTTTTCCGTTGCTCTCAGAGATTCCAGAAGATTAAGAAATGTGACACAATCATACTGAGAGAGATACTGCAGCAAAGTTCGTAATATCTTCAAATCCTGAACTAAGGATTTAGTCTTGGCTCCAAGCTGGTGCCACAAAGGATCCAGATAATGGCGGATTGTCTAAAACAAGAATAAAATTTGGTATTGCTAAAATATGTTAAGTATAGTTATTCTTAATACAAATCATACTTTCAAAAGGATTATTTCCTGTGTATCTAAAAATGGTTAAAATGGTAAATTTTATGTCATATATATTTTACTACAATAAAAAAACTGCAAGCATTATTCAAGGAAGTGGCTAGAACATTTCAGTTAATAAAATTCTAATAATAATGTTTAAATTTTCAAATATAGAAGAATGTCTTACTGCTAGAATCTTTATGATCAGATAGAGTCAATCTATCATCCAAATATATATTACTGTCAGGGGAGAAAAGACCTTATAAACATCAGATAATCAATTATTTGTTTTTATGAACAGAATCTAAGCA
Organism: Homo sapiens; assembly: GCF_000001405.40. Lineage (NCBI taxonomy): Eukaryota > Metazoa > Chordata > Mammalia > Primates > Hominidae > Homo > Homo sapiens. The sequence goes on along the minus strand of NC_000016.10, from coordinate 13,930,338 downwards.
TGTAGCTCAGATATGTTCAATTCCTGCCAAGTTTGACTCTGACTATCCTGGATGGATAAAGACATGGGATCCAAATGGACCAAGCAGAGGGCATACACAAGCACGATGGCTTACTAACAAATTAAGGTACATTGCTATTTAATTTGTACATGAGTATCATGTTTTTTGACCTTTAAAATAAGGTATAACCAAGAAATGAAAAATTTAGTTTGATGCCCATGTACAAATTAAATAAGAATTATCAAATTAAATAACAACGTACCATAATTTGTTGGTGTAAAAATTTCTTTAGTGTTTTTTCTAAAGTGGATTCATGATAGGAAAATATTTGTTAAATTAACAATGGACTAAGTTTGATTATTATTATTATTATTTTGAGATGGAGTCTCACTCTGTAGCCAGGCTCGAGTGCAGTGGCACAATCTCGGCTCACTGCAACCTCCGCCTCCCAGGTTCGTGCCATTATCCTGCCTCAGCCTCCCAAGTAGCTGGGACTACAGGCGTTGCCACCACGCCCAGCTCATTTTTTGTATTTTTAGTAGAGACGAGGTTTCACCGTGTTAGCCAGGATGGTCTCGATCTCCTGACCTCATGATCTGCCCGCCTCGGCCTCCCAAAGTGCTGGGATTACAGGCGTGAGCCACCGCACCCGGCCAATTATTTTTTAAGATTCCAAAATGCTGTCTAAAACAAAGAACAGCTTTATGTATACACTATGTAGGTACCTACATATCCACAGCTATGTATATGTATGTTTCCTTCACAGACTGATTCTGTTACTTTTTAGGTACAGAATTATCTGATTTTTAATCAGAAATTTGTAGCCTGATATAAAAGCAGTACCATTGCACGGAATCTTATCTAACAAATTTAATAATGAGCAGGAGAAGTATCTGGATGACTGTATAGTTTATTGTCTAAACCAGAACACTTGTGGAAAAAGAAATGATACACTATTTATAATCACTGCAGGACAACAGGTAGATACTGGGACTATCCTGAACAAACTGGGATATATAACTACATGCCTTTTTTGTAAAATCATCTACAAAATATTAAACATTTTAACAAGACACATGGGATATCTATATTTAGATATGGTTACTAAAAGAATATCTAAAACAATGAAGTGACTGTTACTAACCGGGGGATAATCAACAGAAATTCAGTGTGAAACATGTTAGGCTACAATTTTATTTTTCTAGGGATATACACATTCTATTAAAAGATTGTGTGGGATTTAAAAAAAATCACCATGGACTAAATCATAAAAAACTTTAAGCACAGAGGAACAGAATATATAAAATTAGTTTTATGTATCAATATTCATAGTCAACTGACTTTTTTGAAGAATCAGAGAAATAAGTCAATTTTTTCCTTTTTTATAATCGCCACGCATTATTGCCAGTGACATAGAGATTGACTCAGAGTTTAAAAGACAGAAACTTTTTCTACCAGAATATGACAAAAAGGCTGCCAAGAATTTCTAAAAGGTCAGCATTTTCTGGATCTCCAATTCAATACTAGACGTTTATGTATCTGTAATAATATTAATCTATAATGAAAAAGTAGACATTTATATATCTGCAATATTAATCTATAATAAAAAATTAGTTAGAATAAAAATTCCTGGAACTGATGTCTTACCATTTCCTCAATTCAGAATGTAATTTTAAGACAGAGCAAGTTTCACACTCCTCAGTAATGAAAACTCATCCAAATTATTTTTTATTCCATAAAAGAGATCATAAATTCATGTACAATTATGGAGCATTCTTATGTAAAACTCTTCTACCTGTAGACATCCAAGTGTTGTCATTTCAAAGTAAAAAAAGTTATTTATTTTCTTCTTGATTATAGTTAAAATAAGAGATAATCACTTACTATAACTGCAAAAGTCAGAGTGATGCTTATATGCCAATCCACATACTTTACTATAAATTATTACTTTCCAGTAAACCAAAGAAGCTATGTTTTTAAGTGACCTCCAATTTTATTCTTAAATAACAGCAAATTCCTATTAACAACATTGCAAATATTAAAATAACTTGCATTCTTTAAAATTACAACATAATAAACTGTGCTTAAAAGGAAAAAGAGTACCTTGTCAAAAGGTTTTCCAATAGCATTTTCTAAAGATAAATCTTCCACTTCAAGCGATGGGTTATGGCATTTTAGTTCCTTTAGACATGCATTTAAAATGTCCAGTATAGCAGTCTGTATAGCAAGCATGGTAGGTGTCATAGAAACATGGATTTCTACAACTTCAGGTTTGTGCTGTTCTAAAAATGAGTTTACTGCTACATGGAACCTAAAGAGACAAATATTTTTCAACAATTTTCTAGAGTTTCAGCAGCTATGTATTTCTGGTCTTGGTTTAACACCCCATTTTTATAAATGCTACAAACAACACGAAAAGCAAAACAACAAACAAATGAAAAGCAAAGCAACAACATTTTCAAAAACACTTTGAACCTCAATGAATAGAAGCAGTGTATTATTCAGATAAGGAAAGGGTCAGCAAACTACGGTCTGGGCCAAATCCTGTACCTGTTTCTATAGTCTCACTGGAATGCAGTCACACCATTACTTATGTAAGCAGTCTATACTTGTTTTTGGGCAATAACAGAGTTGAGTAATTGTGACAGTCTATATGGCCTGCAAAGCCCAAAATATTTACTACCTGGCCATTTACATGAAGAGTTTGTTGACTCCTAAAACAAGGTATAATCAAGAAAGTTAAAAATACTATAACTACTCTTTTTTTTTTTTTTTTTTTTTGAGATGGAGTTTCGCTCGTTGCCCAGGCTGGAGTGCAATGGTGCGATCTCAGCTCACTGCAACCTCTGCCTCCTGGGTTCAAGTGATTCTCCTGCCTCAGCCTCCCAAGTAGCTGGGACTACAGGCATGTGCCAACACGCCTGGCTAATTTTTGTATTTATAGTAGAGACAGGGTTTCACCATGTTGACCAGGCTGGTCTCGAACTCCTGACCTCAGGTGATCCGCCTGCCTTGGCCTCCCAAAGCGCTGGGATTACAGGCGTAAGCCACTGCACCCGGTGTACAACTACTCTCAAAATAACATATATTATAACCAAAATACATGGTAGCATAGGTTGCAAAAATGTTTGAAAACTGAAACCTTAATGTTATTCCTAGAAATTAATAAAACTTCTTCAAAACCTTTGTGCTTTATTTCCCTGTTGAGTAATTTTCAAAGCAGAAGTGGTAATGTTAGCCAATAAATCTGCTGTACACCTAAAGCTGTTGTATATGTGGGTCTCTAGATCCCTGGGAGTTTCCCTAAATGTGTAAGAAAGAATAAAGTGGCTGTCTTGGATGGATGTGATGGACCAGCAGAAAAGCAACCATCAAATTGCTCTCGACTTAAATAAAACCACAAACTTGGTGAATACATATTTATAGCTGGATGTGTTTGTTATAAAACTGACTAGGTTCTATCAAACAAAATTACAATGAATTTTACATTATATTACATCAAAGTGCAACTAAGTTACAGTAGATCTCACAAACAAAGATGACAAATAATGTCATCATTATTTGTCACATAATGTTCTTTACCTTGGCCACAGATACAGTTTCCTCACAAAAAGATTTCTCATCACTCTTTCCACATGACAAAAACCAGTATCAAAGGCAACAGCATTGTCTGTGAAAGCTTTAATAAAACCACGTTTGTTTTTCTGGCGAAAGAGGCGCAAGATGAATGCTTCTTGACAAGACTCGATTATTCTGTGGGCTCTATACACCAAGATGCCTGAGGGGGAGAAACATAATTTAAACTACAGAACAGGTAGGTAATTGCCATTCATTCATCACATTTTTCTTAAGTACTTACAAGAGAATGAATAAGCACCATTCTAGACTGGGCATATAGCCACGCACAGAACAGAGATAAATCCCTGTCCTCAAGGAATTGACTATAAACAATATAAATACGTAAAATATTTAGGATGCTACAAGTGCTGAGAAGAAAAAATGAATCAGAGAAGGAGGAGAGGGAGTATGTATGAGGGGTGGTCTCACCAAGGTGGTATCTGAATAAAGGCTGGATGGAGCCTTGTGACCATCTGGGCCAAGAGAGTTCCAGGCTGCCAGGCTGAGGGGACAGTGAGGGCACAGGCCCTGGGGTGGGGTGTTTCTGGCATGTCAGAGGAAGAATTTCTGAAAGCAAAGTAGGTCATGAATTTTTTTTTTTTAATGTATGAATCAGATGTGGACTATACAAAATAGCCACATTTTAGAAGTCTGGGCAACATCTACATTACCTATGAGATGAATTCAATTTTCAGAATCAGAAGATAGTCAATTCAGAGGTAAATTAGTCCATTTAAAACAAAAACCTTCAATCGACATACTTATACATGTCTTTGGGGGTGTACATGATTATAACACCTCAGCATCTCAAAAATAAGAACAATTATACATGCTTTGTTATTTATGAAATGAGACTACTGACCCAGATCTTTCATATATATTGTGTCATCTGATGCAGTGTGATTAGTGCTAAGTTAGGGAGAAACATGAGATGACATAAAGGCATACAGACATGCTTTCTAGATCAAAACCACAATTACTCCAAGACGAGTCTGTCTTTTAGACCTAAATCAAGCTGGTTACCTTATATATATTTGGCATAATGGTACTTGCATGCTTTTGATCCAGTTCTCATATCTGGAAGGGTATGGACAATAATACTAACAGTGATTTATGACCCTTCTAATAGTTCAATAAACTAAACTCAGATTTTACTATTTTAATGTTTAAGTTTTGGATAGAGGTGGATGGAGCTAAATTTACTCTAGCTCAGCAAATTATCTTCCAAATATAGTAAAAATTAATAATGTTATTTAGGAATTCATAGACAAAGGATTTTCAATAACCCCCCCAATACACGTACATAACTAATTTACTACTCAGAAAATATTCTGTACCTAATTGGTGGGTTTTCCCAAGGACTCTAAGAGGCCACATTTTGTTAGCCTGGATTGAAATATTACGTAGAGTCAAGAATAATAAAAATGAACTTCCAAAGAAAAGGAGAAACTCAATTTAAGAAAATGTTGCGCTCCAAAAAGTTGTCTTTATTTTGGTTGGAACCCAGGAGGAAGAAGAGAACTGATACTACATCCCAGGTAACTGGGTTAGGTGTTTCTATAGATTTTCATTTCATTTAATTGTTATGATAATTCCATGCAGTAGGTATCATGATGAGACCAAGGAAGGGAAGCAACTTAACCAAGGTCATCCAGCAAGCAAGTGGGAGGCCGAAGGTTCCAAATCATGTGTAAAATCATGTTATTCCTATTTAGTCACACCAACTCAAGACACTCCTTTTTCAAAAAATAAAAATAATAGAAGCAGGTTAGGTTTTTGGGAGGAGTTTTAGCTCCACAAAAGCCTACTTTAGTTTTTTTTGTTCCTATGACATTTTGTACCCATACTGTACTATAACTACTTCTTTACTTGTCTCCTCCATTAAACTGCCCGAGAACAGGAACATCGTAACACCAACAGGCAGAGATCACAGAGATCATAGAATGCTGACTATGTGCCATGCTACCAAGTATTTTACATATAAGCATTTCATTTCACCCTGACAATCCTAGGAGGAAGGTACTATCTTTATCACCAATGTACGGGTGAGTAAGCTGAGGCATAGAGAAATTAAGAAACTTGCCTAAAAATACACAGCTGGTGCAAGATGAAGATAACTCAAACCCAGAAGCAGTCTAACTCACGAGTTCACCATACTGTCCCATTCATCTGTCTATCTTCAGCACCCTTCCTGCCAAACAAGGGACCCTTAGTGAGTTAAATATTTGTTGAATGAATATAAAGTGGAGGCACAGCACTGGGTACACAAATCAAAAGTGTAACTGAAAAATACATATATATTTCCCAGAAAGTGTGTTCTTAGTTCTGTCTGGAGATGTCAGGGTCAGTTTTGGCAATGAAAGCATCCTCCTGTCCTGTTCTTTTCAAGGTACAACCTCACCAGATATTTATATAGTTCTCCCACGTGTTAGGAGTTCTGGTTAGCAGGGATTCCCAGGGTGGGGTGTGGTGGTAATAATGGGTGGTGACAGGTGAAGAAGTTGGGGCTGGGGGATTCAGCCTTTCCAGAGGGTTACCTGCACTTCACGCACTGCTCTTTGGTCAGTCCTGGGGGATGATCCCAGGGGATGAAAGAATTCAAAAGAATTCATTTTTGGCATTCATTTACATTCCACTCAGCCAAGCATCAGTAACAGCTCCAGCTTCATTATTCGGTGGGCTTTGATCAGAAAGGAGGAGGGAATTTGGCATTTTTCATTAGGAGCTACAGATAAGCCAGACTTCAACGTTGCATAAATTCACATTGCTCTCTGCCTAATTAGGTTGCACTGTAACTGAAAGTCACAGGATATTACTGACACCTAGTGGTAGTTTTAAACACAACAAAAAAATTTTTTTAAATCAATTTAAAAAATAAAGTAAAACCAAGCTTATAAGAAAGCAGCAAACAGTAAAAGACTGGTGTATCAAGATTTCTGGTTACAAAAGGCCAATTTTATTTGGTATGAATTACTAAGAGTTTGTTGTGTACCAGGCACTATACTAAGAAATTATTTTATTAACTTAATCCTTATAATAACTTCAGGAAGCACTGTTTTCTTAATGAGAAAACTGGGGTTAATGAAAATTAAGGAGTTTGCTTTGTAAGCAGGGTGTTAGCATTCAAAACCAGGTGAGCCTATGATACTGTTTATAACAATTATAAAAGTTATAAAAGAGTAACCAAACTTCTTCAGTCGGTTTACCATTGAAGCATTCATTGACACATTTATTTATCAAATTTTTCTTGAGGGTCATCTAGGTTCAGGGCAACATGACAGATACAGTGGGAATAAGATTATGAATTTCAGAGTCTCTCTGCCTCCAGAAGTTCACTAACGATCACAGTACTATATCCATCCATCATTCACCCAACAAATACGTCTTTAGTGCCTACCATGTACCAGTTATTTAGCCTGGGATGAACAACTTGTTCCTTGTGCTTCAGCTTATCTTGTGAGTGAGATAGACAAACACATAAATATAATGTAGTGTTGTGAGCACTATGACTGGGGAGAAATACAGGGTAATATGAGGGCACAGAGGCACAGCCCCTACATTAGCTTTGGGGACATCAGAAAAGGTTTTGAAAGGATAATGAAAATGAATTTCTTTTCTATTTAATTCTAGCTAAAATAATTTTTCCTCAAAATAAGCAAGCAACTACTTGATTTAATTTCAAATAATGCCAAAAAAATCTTAAGGAGGAAAACTAAATATTTTAGGAAATATACAAAGATTATTTATAAACATTTCAAATCTGATTAAGTTCTAAAAGCAAATGCTAACGAATTGCAAGTATTTACTGAATAAGAGCTTAGAAAACAATGAAAAGTTAATCTAACATTTAGTTACTTATTCAGGTCACAGATATTTACTGAGCATCTACAATGTGTCAGGTATCATGCTGAAAGTTGGAAGCATAATGTTGAACAAAAGGATCCAGTAGTGCCCACTAGAAGGTTCTAGTAGAGCGTTCAGCAGAGGAGACAGACAAAAATAAAAATGTAGAAAATACCCTCTCCGGTCCGTGCCTCCAAGATGACAAAGAAAAGAAAGGACAACGGTCATGCCAAAAAGGGCTGCGGCCATGTGCAGCCTATTTGCTGCACGAACTGTGCCTGATGTGTGCCCAAGGATAAAGCCATTAAGAAATTCGTCATTCAAAACACAGTGGAGGCCACAGCAGTCAGGGACATTTCTGAAGCGAGCATCTTCGACGCCTATGTGCTTCCCAAGATGTATGTGAAGCTAAATTACTGTGTGAGTTGTGCAATTCACAACAAAGTAGTCAGGAATCGATCTTGTGAAGCCTGCAAGGACCGAACACCCCCACCCAGATTTAGACCTGTGGGTGCTGCCCCACGACCCCTACCAAAGGTGATGTAGGGAGCTGAGTCCTTCAAGACTGAAGACAGACTATTCTCTGGAGAAAAATAAAATGGAAATTGTACTTAAAAAAAAAAAAGTACAAATTTACATACTAATAATAAGATTTCAAATTCTTACCAGTAATTAAATCTGAAGGTATTCTATCAGTCAAGAAGTCAACCACAAGTATCCTACTTGTCGCAAATATAACACCACCTTGTGTGTAAACTTCATAGCGACTGTTGCTTGTGATTTCATTTGTTACACGGCGAGGGAGGTGTTCAACTCCTTCTATCTTCAGCTGATTGATAAAATACTCCTAAATCAAATCAAACTTGATTAGTAGGCTATTTAATACAGGGCAGTTTTTAATAGGTCACAGATATTTAAAATAATGTGCTGTCTTTCTCTGAGATAATGAACTTAATAATGAATATACACACTAAGTTACTTCTTTATAGTAACTTCAGCCAACCAGTCTACATTTAATGAGGTTTTCTTGTTTTGGGGTTTACACTAAGGAATAATTGCACTTCAGTCATTATCAGCACTCAACTACAATAACATATGCACACACATACAAAACCTCAAACTTTTAAAAGCCTGGATTAAAAGATTTCTGCTACCTAGAAAATACTTCCCACCAAAGCCAGGTTTGTAGCCAAGCACATTCTATGAGATGATAACAAGGGAATCCTTTCCCCAGACAATGTTTTAGACTATCAGTTCTGTGCTAATCTATCCTAGAGGGACTTCATGTCACTGGGTCCCTTGGCTTGGTTTATTTATATCCCCAGTTTAAAACCATCTTTACTAGGCCCTGTGTGTTGCCTTAGGCCCTATGCCAAGCACTGGGGATACCTAGATGAATCAAACAGGATCCCTGCCCTCAAAGAGACTGTGGTCACTCTTCTCAGCTGACATTTTTCTCCCGGCCACCTGATATATCTAGGGGATCATCAGACTTGTCCGACCAAGCTGTGTCCCCTCTCAACACCCCTCAGACCCATGTGTAGCCCCATTCCATCTTTCTCAGTGTTCTCCATTGTCCTTAACTGTAGTTAACCTTTGCCAACATCCTCAGCGTCAAGCTCCAATCCCTTTCTGACCCTATGGCCCTCTTAACACAGCCTTGGTGAATGTCCTATTTCCTGGTCCCTCCTTTTCCCTATTGGGGTTTTTCCAGCGCCTCAGCATCTCCTTTCATGTCTCCCCATCACCCTCAGAGATCTTCCATCCTCATCACTGTTCCCTTTCAGGGACCTTCCTTCTGCCCCCAGAAACTCCCTTAATGGCCAACTTCAGGACTCTCCCGTTATTCCTATCCAGATCCTCCTTCCGACATCTCCCCCTCCCCTGCAGCGACCTCCGATCCTCTCCTACCACTCAGAGCCCCTTCACCTTTCAGTGCCCTTGCACCCATGTCAGGGACCTGCATCCTTCTGGGGACCCCTCCCATCCCTCTTAGTGTTGTCAGGGAATTGCATCCTTCTCGGGACCCCTTCCATCATTCTCACTGTGCCTGCACAGTGTCAGGGACCCGCATCCCCTGGGGACCCCTCCCATTTCTCTTAGTGTTCTTGAACTCTGGTCAAAGACTTGCATCCTTCTTGGGACCCCTCCCTTCCCTCTCAGAGTCCCCGCACAGTGTCAGGGACTGGCATTCCTCTTAGTGTTCTTCAACTCCTGCCAGGGACCTGCAGCCTTCTCGGGGCCCCTCCAATTCTTATCAGTGTCCCCGCACGGTGTGAGCGACCGGTATCCTCCTAGCGACCCCTTACATACGTCTGTGTTCCCGCAGTGTGAGGGACCTGCATCCCCCTGGGGACCCCTGCCATCCTTCTCTGTGTCATCGCGTAGTGTCAGGGGCCTGAATCCCCCTCAGAGCCCCTCCATCCCTGTCAGAGGCCTCGCATCCGCTCAGGAGGCCCTCAACACTCTCGGAGTCCCCTCACTCCCGCGCCAGCGCGGCCGCACCTCCTCGGCCGGCTGCGTGTTGAGCACCAGCACCAGGCAGGCTGGGTGGCAGTGCAGCTGGAGAAAGTGGTAGAGGAGCCGGTCCGCGCCGAGCCCGCGGGCGCACACTACTAGCCCGTCAGTGTCGAGCAGTTCCAGCACCAGCTGTCGCTCGTACTCCAGCAGCGGCGCCATGGCAATCCGTCGAGCCGGCTGCCCTGACTCCATGGAAGCTCTTCCGGGTCGCAGCCGAACGCAGCCGAAGGAAGCCGACTCCTAGTGGAGAGTAGGCCGAACTCAACCGAAGAGAGCCGAGTCCGAGAGGACGGCAGCCAGCCGAACGTAGCCGAGGAGAGCTGAGACTGAGATGATCGTGGGCCGAACGCAGCCGAAGAGGAGCCGAGGCCACGACAGGCGCGCTCTCAGAAAGCCGAAGAGAGCCGAGCCTGAGAAGGCAAGCGTTGGCCGAACTCAGCCGAAGAAGAGCCGAGTGGAGCCGAAGATTCATGGAGTCACCTGTAGGGGCTGGCGCCCCCTGTCGGTGTAGCTTGCAGATATCAGGCTCCATTCACGTCTCTTTTGAGTTTCCACATCCCCTGGCACCCTAGCCTCAAGCTGCCAAAAAGCAAGGGAAGGGGAAGTAAGCCTAAGGAGCTTAATCCCCCGACATCGACAGTTGAAAAAGTTACTGGTCAATATTCCAAATGCGCCAAGAGTTAGTAGCACCTGTTTCCTAGGGTGGTTTTTGGCCCTTCCTTTTGCGATTACTCCCCATCCTTCTTTTAATTTTTTTTTTCTTTCCCGAGACAGGATGTTGATATGTTGCCCAGGCTGGAGTGCAGTGGCTGTGGAATAAGCAGAATCATTTACTGACTTCAGACCTCTGTTTGCCTCCCAAAGACTTCAATACAATAAACTATTTTTAAAAATCCCTCCTTCCACTAGAGGGACACCTCCCGCAGTGTTTGTTCTATACCTAGAAATGCCTGATAGTTGAACTAGTAGAGGAATTGTTTTGTATAGAAACCCCCCACCTTTGTTATTAGAAAATAGAAAATACAAGTAAACAAAAATGAAAATCACTTGTTTCCATTACTTGGAAATAACCACTGTTAACATCACGAAATCTATTTTATTTAGTCCTTTTTTTTCTATCTATATACACATTCTCTCATCACACGGAGTTCTTTTACCGACACGAGATAATTAATATCCCTGATTTAAATCCCCAGCTTTGTCATTAACATTTGGCAAACCTCTGAACATGATGTTTCATATTCTTTTACAAAGTCCTTTTATATGGCTGATGAGATTTCCATTATGTGGGTGTACTTACCTAATTGCTTATTAGAGGACATTTAGTCTGTTTCTGCTTTTTCCCTTCCAGTAATATAAATAATATTTCACTAAACATCTTTGTATGTAAATTCAGCCGTGGCCTTCAGATACACGTCTAGAAATGAATAATCACTGGGATAAAGAGAAAAAAATTTGTAAGGCTTTTCATTCCATTCACATTGCCACATTGCCCTCTAGAAAGCCTATACCAATTCACATTCACACTAGCCGTTTCCAAGAGGATCTGTTCCTCTACCTCTTTACTGCTTAATCTGGTATTTTGCTTACATTTTGTCAAGATGAAAATAGCATATAATTCCTGAATGCTGTTTAAGTGGAAAGGGTTGCCGGCAGACACTTTACATACAGCGTTTCCTCTGAGGCAGATATTAATCTCGTCAGTTCTGCCAGTGAGAAAAATGGAGGTGCAGGGAGGTTATATAACTTGGGCAAGGCCACGGGAGCTAGTTAGTGTATTTCTTAGATCTATTTCAGGACGTGATATGGGGGTACTCAACACATATTTAGGAAATGAAGATTGAAATGACAAAGCTGAAATTCAAACCTGACTCCCAAGCGGTGGTAGGCAGAATATCGGCTTCCCAAAGATGTTCATATCCTAATCCCTGGAGCCTGTAGGTTGTTTTATGTGGCAAAGGGGGGTTTGCAGATGTGAGTATGTTAAGGTTCTTGAGATGGGGGGATTATATGGATTATCCAGGTGGGCTCAATGTATCACAAATGTGCTTATAAGAGAAAGAGAGAGGTAGGAGGGTCAGATTCAGAGATGTGACAGGAGGCCGAGTTCAGAGTGATGTGGAACGGGCACTGAACCAAGGAATGCAGCCCTTACAAGCTGAAAAAGGCAAGGAAATGGATTCTCCCCTAGGGCTCCCGGGAGGACTGCAGCTCTATCCACCCATTTTGGACTTCCGACCCCCAGAACTGGAAGATAATGAATTTGTGTTAAGTCCGTTTGATCAGATGACGTCCCAAGCTGATCAAAACAAAATAAAATTTAAAAACTATACATAGGGCCGGACGCGGTGGCTCACGCCTGTAATCCCAGCACTTTGTGAAGCCGAGGCAGGCGGATCACCTGAGGTCGGGAGTTCGAGACCAGCCTGACCAACATGGTGGAACCCCGTCTCTACTAAAAATACAAAAATTAGCCAGGCGTGGTGGCGCATGCCTGTAATCTCAGCTAAGGCTGAGGCAGGAGAATCGCTTGAACCCAGGAGGCAGAGGTTGCGGTGAGCCGAGATGGCGCCATTGCACTCCAGCCTGGGCAACAAAAGCGAAATTCCGTCTCAAAAAAACCAACCAACCAACCAAACAAACAAAAACTATACATAGGAGTATACAGTGAAACAATCTTTTTGGAAGGCGATTGGTCAATCTACACAGAAATTTTAAATACATGTATAGATACATATACACATACAGTCATCTGGTGAATGTTTATGGGGCACCCAATGTGTCAGGCACTGCTCTAAGCTCTGGGAGCTTACTAGTGGGCAAAGCGGGCATAGAACTTATATTCTAGTGGGGAGCTTGTATATGAAGATGTGTATTCATTATATCATTGTGTGGACTATTGTTATTTCTTGGATATTTCTCCTAAATGTCCAAGAATAGGAGAGTAGTTAAAATTTCTTTGTGCATCTCTGATAGGTAGAATATTAGCCATGAAAACCTGTATGTGGAAAGATACTCAATATGTATTATTGTATACTGAAAAAAGCAGTTGCAAAACAGTAATGTATAGTATGGTCCCATTTGTATAAAAACAAAACGGTAAATGGTATGTGCATAGAAAAGTCCTAGAATAAACAGATCTTAACCACAGCAATTACTTCTGGGGAGCTGACATAAGTAGTGGGTTTCAGGATTAGACCTTTGTATTTCAGTATATGCCCTTCTGCTCTGTTTGACTTTCTTATCATGAACTTATATTGCTTTTATAATAAAAATGAAAGAAAAAAACTTCCCAGCTACTGTATAAATACTTCATCAGCACTAAAAAATATCACCTTGTGAATTCTAGATTTAAATGTGTGTGGTGGGCAACATTTAATGTCAAATGTTGGTATCTGGGGAAGTAGACTTTTATAAATTGTGACAGGTTGTGGCTACACATTTTATTTTTGTCCCTGGGTAAAAGCTTTCAATCTGAGGTGAAGATTTTTTTTTTTTTTTTTTTTTTTTTTTTGAGACAGGGTCTCACCCTGTCGCCCAGGCTGGAGTGCAGTGGCATGAACTTGGCTCACTGCAACCTCGGCCTCCTGGGTTCAAACAATTCTCGTGCCTCAGCCTCCTGAGTAGCTGGGATTACAGGCACACACCACTATGTCCAGCTAATTTTGTATTATTAGTAGAGTTGGGGCTTCGCCATGTTGGCCAGGCTGGTCTTGAACTCCTGACTTCAAGTAATCTGCCTGCCTCAGCCTCCCAAAGTGCTGAGATTACAGGCATGAGCCACCACTTCCAGCCTAAAGTTTGTTCTTTATATCTCTTATGGTTTTTGATGTCCTTTCTGCTTTAAATTATCTCCAATGAGGATTTTAATTATTCTATTAGAATTTAAATTTCCTCATTATTCTTTTCTTAATTTGGCTTTTTGTTCTGCATTTCTGTCTTTACCTTTATAGCTCCCTACTTTTGTTTCATAGAAGCTTCTTGATTTTATGTTTATTTCTCTATCTATCTCTACATAGATTTAGATATATGCAGATTTTCTATATATCTACCTAGATATATTTAGATATAAATACACATTATCTTTACCTAAACTATAGATATAGATAGATAGAAACTTACAGTTGGCCCTCTGTGGGTTCTGCATCTGTGGATCCAACCAACTGTGGTTTGAAAATATCGAAAAGAAAAACCAATTAAAAAATAACAATACAGCAACAAAATAATTTATAAAATTAGAAAAGTTAAATTTTATTTGAGGTTTTCCCAATATTCTACTTAAAATTTGATACTTTTGTCCTAATCCATAACATATAGGGATTTAAGAACATAAAGCATAAATTTGGATATTTACACATTTGTTTAGTGAAGAGCTCTCAAGCAAAGCAATGCTTCATCGCAGTTGTCCTGCCTCTCCCTACTTTTCTCTGGAACAGAGAATTTTAAGGGCATCATCACCAGAACTTTATAGACATACAAATATCTATGCTCATACATCAGACTTATAGCAAGACTCTTGTAAAAGTGGAATGACTTCATATAAGATGTATGCAGCTTTCCAAATGCTGTTTGTTTCTAAGTGTTCCTATATAGAAATATGAGAGGTGCCTATTTTTACAGTCTTAGAAGGCACACACATTTCAGGCGCCAGGAGTGAGAAACACCTGCTGGTGTAGGAAGAGCCAGAGATACTCTATTTAGATATTAGACCAGCTATCAATATTCCACAAGAGCGCCTGTGCTGAGAATTGGTGAGTTTCTGCCCTCAGACTCCCTGCTGCATGATTCTCAGCAGTCGTAACTCCCTCTGGTTGCTGGCATTGCCGGCTGAGCATGCTGAATTTAAAGAATTTAAGTACTAAATATAATATTTACACATCTGGAGGAATTCTGCCAATATGCACTAAATGACTGTGAACCAGAAGTCCCTCTGAATCCACTGCTTTGGCATGGCTCAGTGTCTGCAGTGGCTGCGTGCTCTAGGGGACAGAACATGGCCTTTAGTCACGTAGACCTGGACTGAGGTCCAGCATTGCCCGAATAATCACTTGGCCTTGGTAAGTCACAAAGCCCATCATTTATTAAACAATGTGTCTTAGGTGGCGGGTGCTCATGCCTGTAATCCCAGCACTTTGGGAGGCCAAGGCAGATGGATCACTTGAAGTCAGGAGTTCAAGACCAGCCTGGCCAACATAGTGAAACCCTGCCTCTACCAAAAAATACAAGAATTAGCCCAGCATGGTGGCGTGCACCTGTAGTCCCAGCTACTCAGGAGGATGAGGTAGGTGAATTGCTTGAACCCCGGCGGGGCAGAGGTTGCAGTGAGCTGAGATTTCACCACTGCACTTCAGCCTGGGTGACAGAGTGAGACACTGTCTCAAACAAACAAACAAAAAAACAAGAACCCAATTGTCTTAAGTCATATTCCCCAGAAGCAGAGCCTGAGAATTCCTGTGTGTATCAGCCAGGGTTCAATCAGAGAAACAGATCTACAAGGAGTAATATGGAATAAGGGATTGATTACAGGGTTGTGGCCTAAAGCAATGATGGGAGATGGTTGAATTGTTTATGGTCATTGCTTCTGTGTTTGGTGCTGGGCTTGAAGTCAGCAGGGCAGGCAGACAGGAAAGAAAGATGGGTGTAGAATAGAGGAGAGGAGGAAGAACTGAATCCTATGGGGATGAGCTGGAACTCACATTGGTTTCTTAACCACTTGCATGCTTCCGACTTCCATGATGTGGAGTCTCTTGTAGGGGAAGGTGGTGCCCGTCATCATGGGTTTAGACACTCACCTTGGCCAGGAAGCAGAGTTGAGGAAGGAGGAGAAACTAAAAGGGGAGAGGCTGAAGGGGGAGGGCTGTCAGGAGATGGAGTAGCTGTGGACCTGCTCACCACCCCTCACCAACCAGGTAAGCCTGGGAACCAATGACAATATAGATGAGTTGCAACACTGCGTACTGCTCACCTGCTTTTGGATGCTGCTTCACTCTTGCCCTCCCCATTGGATGCTAAATTCTCCTGTGGCCAAACCTAATCCAGAACTGTATAGGGAAGGGAATTCTAGGTTATGTGGTTCCAGCTTGGTTAAGTGGACATGGTGAGGTAAGAGGCGAGACTCAACTCAGGAGGTGGGACTCAACTCTGTAGGTGGGACTCAGACACCGGACCAAATTGAGGACTAGCTAAAACAGGGATGGGGTGGAAGCAGCTTTCCATAAGATATGTCCACCAGTGTGCCATGTCAGCTTACCATTGCCATGGCAACACCCAGAAGTCACTGCCCTTTTCCATGGCAACAACCTGGTAACCTGGAATTACCACCCTTGTCTAGAAATTTCTGCATAAACTGCCACTTAATTTTCATATAATGAAAAGTGGGTATAAATATGACTGCAGAACTAGGTATTCTGGGCACACTGCCTACAGGATAGCCCTGCTCAGCGAGGAGCAGTCCCTCTGCTGCTGCTCTGAACTGCTGCTTTAATAAAAGCTGCTGTCCAATATCACCAGCTCGCCCTTGAACTCTTTCCTGGGTGAAGCCAAGAACCCTCCTGGGATAAGCCCCAGTTGTGGGGCTTGCCTGTCTTGCATCAATAGTGCAAATCACTGTGCTGTGCAAGTGATTTAGGAAGGGAGGGATCTCAGGAGAAACTGGTAAGGAAGTGGGGGAAGCAGAACAGGAAAGGGAAAGAAGCCAAGCAAGGTGTGATTTTGGGCAAAGCCTAGGCTTATCCCACGGGTTCAAGGGTCGAAGTTACCTCTCATAGTTATCCTGCCCTGAGGCAAGGGAGCTGGGCTTTCATAAACTTGCACCGTCAGTTATTTTCTACTGGCCCAGGGGTGGGGAGTAAAATCCCAGGCACATTTTATTCTCTGCAAATACAGGCACAGCAGCTCCTCTGGAGGAGTGGCAGGGGCAGGTTTTAGGAAGCAAAAGCAAGCTGCAGCCAAGCTAGCTGAGTGTCATGGACACATGGGTTGGTTTCATACCTTGGCTATTGTTAATAGTGCTACAGTGAACATGGGAATGCAGATGTCTCTTTGACAAAATAATTTCAGATCTTTTGGGTAAATATCCAGAAGTGGGATTGCTGAATCGTATGGCACTTTTATTTTCAGTTGTTTGAGGAATCTCCTTATAGTTTTCCATATGGCTATACTAATTTACATTCCTACCAATAGTGTACAAGGATTCTCTTTTCCCCACATCCTTGCTAACACTTGTTACCTTTTGTCTTTTTTATAATAGCCATTCTGACAGGTGTGAGATGATCTCATTGTGGTTTTAATTTGCATTTCCCTAGTGATTAGTGATGTTGAGCATTTTTTTTTTCATATATTTGTTGGCCATTTGTATGTCTTCTTTTGAGAAATGCCTATTTGGGTTGCTTGCCCATTATTCATTTTTAGTTTTAGTTTTTGAGACAGGGTCTTGCTCTGTCAGCCAGGCTGGAGTGGAGTGGCATGATCATGGCTCACTACAGCTTCAAGCTCCTGGGCTCAAGCGATCCTCCCACCTCATTCTCCCAGGTAGCTGGGACTACAGGTGCATGCCACCATGCCCAGCTAATTTTTCTATTGTTTTTGTAGAGGTGGGGTTTCACAATGTTGCCCAGGCTGGCCTTGAACTCGCGGGTTCAAGTGATCTGCCCATCTTGGCCTCCCGAAGTGTTGGGATTATAGGTGTGAGCCACCTTGCCCAGCCTTGCTCATTTTTCAATTTTGCCTGTTTGTTTTCTTGCTATTGACTTGTCCAACTATCTTCTATATTTTAGATATTAACTCCTTATTGGAGTATGGCTGGCAGACATTTCCTTTTAATCCATAGGTTGTCTTTACATATTGTTAATTGTTTGCTGTGAAGAAACTTTGGTTTGATGTAATTCCATTTGTCTATTTTTGCTTTTGTTGCCTGTGGGGTCAAATAAAAAAAAGTCACTGCCTATACCAATGTTATATAGTTTTTCTTCTGTATTTTCTTCTAGTAGTTTTACAGTTTCTGGTCTTACGTTTAAGTCTAATCCATTTTGAGTTGATTTTTATATATGGATATGAGATAAGGGTCCAATTTTATTTTTTTTATATGTGGATATCCTATTTTCCCAACAGCATTTGTTAAAGAAACAATCCTTTCCCTATTGTGTATCCATGGCACCTTTGTTGAAAATTGACTATACATGCATAGGATCATTTCTGGGCTCTCTATTCTGCTCCACTGGTTGGTGTATCTGTTTTGTTTTGTTTTGTTTTTGCCAATACCATGCTGTTTTGATTACTATAGCTTTGTAGCATAGTTTGAAATCACATAGTGTGATAACTTCAGCTTTGTTCTTTCTGCTCATAATTGCCTTGGCTGTTGAGGGATTTTTTTTTTTGTGTGTGTGGTTCATCATGGAATTAAATTAATGTAATCCATGTAGAACATTCAGCACAGTTCCTGACAAGACTAAGTACTCAACAAATAGTGGCTCTATCTAACTGTAATATTGGAAAT
Organism: Homo sapiens; assembly: GCF_000001405.40. Taxonomy (NCBI): domain Eukaryota; kingdom Metazoa; phylum Chordata; class Mammalia; order Primates; family Hominidae; genus Homo; species Homo sapiens. Next base: position 13,911,863 of record NC_000016.10, on the reverse strand, counting down.
TGAGGCTCGTAACTGAGGGTTATATAAGCTGATAAGCTTTACCCAGTAAGTCAGGACTCAAACTCCTAGTCCGGGGCTCTTTCTAAAATTGTTCTGCCTCCCCAGATATTCTCCAACTATTCATTTACTATCCTTTTACTACATTGCTACTTTTGACTTGCTAATATTTTATGAAGGGTTTTTACATTTGTTTTCCTAAGTGAAGTGGGGTTTGAGTTTTCTTGTATGTGCTATGTTTATTTGAATTAGATGTCAAGATTACAATAATTTTGCAATGGGAGTCAGGTAGCTTTTTATTTTTACTGTTGAAGAGGGAATCTATTGTTTAAGGATTTGGGAGAACTTGTCTGTCAAACTCTATGGGCCTGGGGCCTTTTTCTCTTTCTTTCTCTCTTTCTCTTGTGATAGACCTTTGACTACTATTGAAATTTCTTTTATGGTAATTAGTTTCTAACTTTTTTATTTTGTCTTGGGCCACCTTACATAAATACATCTGGAAACTGCATTTCGTTTAGGATTTAAAATTTAATAGCACATAAAGTCCATTGTAATCTCTTTTGATTTTTAAATCATGGCAATGCCCACTGGTATGTCATCCTTTACATTGCTAATATTGTTTACTTGTCACTTCTTTGTTTTTCTGAATCAAAATTGCTGAGAGTTGTCTATTTTATGTATCTTTTCAAAGACCCAGCTTGTGTCTTTGTAGGTCAATTCTAGCACTTTTTATATTTAATTTCTATTTTTATTTTTTTTTCAGTGATCTTTGGCTCTATTTTGTTGTTCTTTTTCTAAGCTCTTCAGGTGAATGTTTAGTTCACTCTTTTCTCAATTTTTAAATATGCAATTCTAGTATATTAAGGTATGTGGTTATAAACATCCGTCCAAATACCACTTTGTCTATATCACACACAGTGCTTTCACTGTCATTTGGTTCTAAATATTTTGTAGTTGCTACTTTGATTTCTTGTTTAACCCATTAAATAAAAAGAGCATTTTTAGGTCTTTTTTTTTTTTTTTTTTTTTTTTAGACGAAGTCTTGCTCTGTCACCCAGGCTGGAGTGCAGTGGCACGATTTCGGCTCCTGAGTTTGCGCCACTGCACTCCAGCCTGGATGACAGAGCAACGTCTGCCTCCTGGGTTCAAGCAATTTTTACCTGCCTCAACCTCCTGAGCAGCTGGGATTACAGGCGTGCACCACTACCCCAGATAATTTTTGTATTTTTAGTACAGATGGGGTTTTACCGTGTTGCCCAGGCTGGTCTTGAACTCCTGACCTCAAGTGATCCACCCGCCTCAGCCTCCCAAAGTGCTGGGATCACAGGCATGAGCCACCAAGCCCAGATGGTGTTTTTAGGTTTCTAAATGTATGGAGGCTAGATAATATTGTTTTTTGGTAGATTTATAATTTTATTACACTGTAATCAATATGAGATCAATTTTTATGAAATTTATTAAGGCTTCCTTTGTGGCTTAAACACACGGGCTTTTTGTGGGTACATATTTTATGTGTATTTGAAAAGAATGTATAAACTGTTGGGCTTTGAAAATCTTTTATGCCTTGACAAGAGTTTTCAGTTTCTGAGCATGGTGTGTTACAATCCGTTCTGACTATGGCTGAAAGTACAGATAAGCAGAGTCAACAGTTCTGCAAAAACATTTGAATGGCAAAACCCCAATGATTCCTCACTTAAGAAGAATGTGAAAGCCCTGGACTTTTGTACTGGTGGTTGTGGCACTGCCAGGTGGCTCGATTCTGCACAATGACATTTCCTTGGCTGAGAAGCCCGTGCATTATCCAGAAAGAAGGGCATGTACTTGCCAGCCAGACACAAGCTGATTGGATGGAGGCATTTAGACAGTCAGCCACTATTTCTTTTACTCCCAAGAACAGGCTTTTGCTCTGCTCACTCTTCTGTGGGTAAATGAAACCTCTGGTGGCAGACTTCCATACTTCTAGTCTTGCCTATTGGCAGCCTTTCCTGGGTATTTTGCCGGGTACTCACTCATTGCTATTAATTTTGTGACCAATCTGCTTCCCACTTCTACTCCAGCCCTGTTTCTGTTGAACAATTTGTCTTTTTTCCCCTCCAAAATCTGTCCTTGATAAAGTCCAATCCATTGAACATTTGCAAGTATTGTTACCTTTATGCATACTTTAAGATACAATTTGTGGGCTGGGAGTGTTGGCTCATGCCTGTAATCCCAGAACTTTGGGAGGCCAGGGCAGGCAGATCACTTGAGGCCAGGAGTTCAAGACCAGCCTGGTCAAGATGATGAAACCCCGTCTTTACTAAAAATACAAAAAAATTAGCTGGACATGGTCATGGGTACCTGTAGTCCTGGTTACTTGGGAGGGTGAGGCAGAAGAATCGTTTGAACCTGGGAGGCATAGGTTGCAGTGAGCCGAGATTGTGCCACTGCACTCCAGCGTGGGTGACAGAGCCAGACTCCATCTCAAAAATAAAATGAAATAAAATAAAATAAAATAAAATTTGTTAAAATTCCAATGTGCTGGGGTTGCATTCGTGTTCTTAAATCAGGCTCTGCAGTTTACTATTGCCATGTTCATTAATAAGCGGATTTTAAAAAACATTTTAAATAATAATATTAAAATACTAATATTTTACTATTTTTATTTAAAGTGTACAATTTGGTAAGTTTTGACATATGTGTACATTTTGAAACCATCACCAAAACTCATGAATGTAGGCAATACCCTCCAAACGTGTCCTCGTGCCCTTGTAACCTCTCCCCGTATGAGTGCCTGACACTGGTCCCACTAATTCTTCAGCCTGGTTCTTCCCTGGCCTTGAGCTAACCCTAATATGCACGCATCCATCAGTCCACAGCTGATTTCCCAGGGAACCACTCCAACCTTCTCTCTCAGGCCACGCTCTTTCCTACAGGACTGTTTTCTGCCTTGGTCTTCCCTAATTTGCAGATCCATCTCCTTGACACAGGGCATCTCCTGGGCATTCCGTCCCTGGAAACTCTAGTTAGAAAGCTGGAGCAATCACAGTTTGGGCTCACCTTATTTGTTTTCCACCCTGAGACCCCTGTCCTTCATTGCCTGAAGTCTACTGCCTTGAAACTGCCATTTCACACACTTTGCCGGTATTTTTGTTGTTTCAGGTGTGAGGGTAAATCTGGCCCCCGTTCCTCCATCTTGGCTGGAAGTGGAAGTCCCGGTGGATATTTTTGAGCCCCTGATGTATGCCAGGCACTGCTGTAAGCACTGAGTATTCAAAGATGAACAAAATGATGTGGCCCCAGTCTCCTAAAATTTACTATCAAGAGAAGAAGACAACAGGTAAATAAATACACAAAATTATTATAGATGGTCATGAATGCTAAGAAGTAACCATGGACCAACATGAGAATAATGGGGACAGGAGTTGCTGCACACTAACAGGTGAGGTAAAGTCTGAAGAAGCAGCCAGTCATATGAGGAGGAGGAGGACAAGCCTCCTAGTCATGGAGAACAACTGTGCAAAGGACGTGGAAAGCTTGGCATGCTCTAGGCACAGATGGAAGGTCAGTGTGCCTGGGAGATGTAGGATGACATGGCGTTGGAGAGGAGGGTAAGATCCAGGTCATGGGAGCCTATGAGGCCATCCTAGAGTCTGGGCTGACTTCTAAGCACAATGGAAAGTCACGGAAAGTTTTAAGGAGGAGCACTCCATGATCTAATTTAATTATAGGAAGGTTGCCCAGGCATAATGGCTCATGCCTCTAATCCCCGTTCTTTGGGAAGCTGAGATGGGAGGACTGCTTGAGGCCAGAAGTTCAAGACCAGCTGGGCAACATTGCAAGACCCTGTGTCTATCTTATTAAAAAGAAATAATTGTAGAAGGGTCAGTCTGACTATTGGTGGAGAATGAGTTAGATGGGACAAAAAATAGATCCAAGGGGACCAGACAGGAAGCTGATATATGATTCAGCTGACAGATGATGGTAGACTTGAAAAAGGCAATGCTATGGAGGGATGAGAAGGGAATGGACCTGAGATATATCTGGGAGAACAGTAGACAGATTTCTTGATAGATGGGATGTGAGAGGAGGAGGGGAGGAAAGGAAGCATTAAGAATGACTCCTAGGTTTTCGACTAAAGCAACCATGTGGTTGGTGGTGCCTTTGGTGGGGATGAGGAAGGCTAGTGAGGGGTTGGACATGAGCTGGAGGCTGGAGAACAGGTTTGGGATGGGAAATCAGTAGGTTCATTTAGAATCACGAGTTTCATACAGGAAACCACTGAAAAGTGGAACAATGGAGACATTATAACCAGGAGCAGTGTCTTCTGAGTCTCTGTTGCCTTATCTGTAAATGTGGAATAATAATACCTTCCTCCTCGTTGTTGTAAGGAATGAATGAGGAAATATGCTGAGCATCACTGCATGGCTGCTCAAAAAAGTAAATTTCCTTATACAATTAAAGCAAGCTCTAGGCAAAACCATTAACTAGGTCAGTGGCTCCCAGAATTTGAGTTTATAGACTGAGACAGTAACTTAAAACAATGGATACAACTATGGGTGGCTGCCAAATTCTTATTTTGCCAAGGTAGGACATTAGATAAACAACTACTAACCATGATCATCATCACTTCATAAAAGAAATGACGTTCTAATACCAAAAAAATGTAGGAAGGTTATTTGTTATTTTCAGCTTAACAATAATAAAGGGTAATATGTCAACCTCTATCTATTTTCTTTTTCTTTCTCTCTCTCTCTCTCTCTCTCTCTCTCTCTCTCTCTCTCTCCCTCTCTCTCTCTCTCTCCCTTCCTTTTTTTCTCTTCTTTCTTACAGGATCTCACTATGTTGTCCAGGCTGGTCTCAAATTGCTGGCCTCAAATGATCTTCCCACCGCAGCCTCCCGAGTATCTGGGATTAGAGGTATACCCCGCCATGCCTGGCTATACTGTCAACTTAGCTTTCTAATGACCACTTCCTGTTTCATTTTCCCCTCGCACCACAGGGCAGTGAACAGTATCATGAGCAGGCATTGGGTACCTGGGTGCCTTTTGAGGAACCACTGAACTGAGCAGCAGCTGAATTCAGCCTCCTCTCCTTCACTTGTTTGCATCCCTGATTCCTCTCTACGTTTTTCTCCCTGGTTTGCAAGGATTATGTTGTCCTTTCATCCCTCCTGATGGCATCTATGGATGGTATCCCATTGTGGTTGTCACTATTTCCCATCATCCCCCTCTTCCGGGCCACCTAAAAGCCTACATTTTCCAGCTCCCCGCAGTTGACAAAACCATGTGACTATTCTGGCCAATAGGATGGGAGTACAAGCATTATGTCACTCAGAGGTGGAAGCATTTAAGGGCCAGCATGTGAGTCTCTGTGATGTTTTCTTTTTTTTCTCCCTCCATCCATAGTGAAGCATCTGTTGAAATGGAGGTGCCACAGATGGAAGCAACCATGGCACGGAGGGCAGCTTCCCCAGAAAACTGCCCAGACTCACAGAGGTCTTTGTGGGAGGAAGGAATAAACCTATGTAAAGCTCCCGAGATTTTTGCATTGCTTATTACTGCAGCATCACTTGGTCTGCTCCAGCCAACGGCAGCATCAAGATGTGTTTGACTTGAGCAAACTTAACATCTGATTTTGATAAATATCAGTCTGAAAAGAAAACAATTCCTGCTTTTCAATTTTTAATTTTTTAAAAAACTGAAATTATCTTGCATTTGCCTCCGTTTGACCCCTACTGGGATGCTAGGTTGAATTCTTTGTTGATGATTTAAATTAAAATCTCATAACACTAGGATGGAAAACAATCAGATATCCCCCAGTGCCCTTTATTACTGACCAGATTGCCTTTAAAGCTGCTTTCTTTCTGGGCATTCTCAGAGAATCTGGATAAATGACTTATCTCTCGCATTTTCCTCAGGGTCTTGTTATTCTTTTAAAACTTCTGTTATATACAGTGCTAGGTAAACACAGCATAATATGTTGTTTTGGGTTATGCTCAAACAGCGAAATTGACGGTTCTCTAGTTAACTGGATCCAAGCAAGAAGCCAAGCCCACTTATTTGGATATCTTTAAAAGTAAATTGTTGATTACTACTCATTTGTTCTTAAGGCATTTGTGGTTCATCTGCTGAACACTTTTCTCTGGTGAAAAAAAAAAAAGATGAAAGATGGCAGGTATGTGTAGGGACCAGCCCCACAGGGTTGTGGGTCTCTCCTCGTGTGTGGCGACGAGAGAGTGTAGAGATAAAGACACAAGACAAAGAGATAAAAGAAAAGACAGCTGGGCCCGGGGGACCACTACCACCAATGCGCAGAGACCAGTAGTGGCCCTGAATGTCTGGCTGTGCTGTTATTTATTGGATACAAAGCGAAAGGGGCAGGGTAAAGAGTGTGAATCATCTCCAATGATGGGTAAGGTCATGTGGGTCATGTGTCCACTGGACAAGGGGCCCTTCCCTGCCTGGCAGCCGAGGCAGAGAGGGAGAGGAGACAGAGAGAAAGACAGCTTATGCCATTATTTCTGCGTATCAGAGACTTTTAGTACTTTTACTAATTGACTACTGCTATCTAGAAGGCAGAGCCAGGTGTACAGGATGGAACATGAAGGCGGACTAGGAGCGTGACCACTGAAGCACAGCATCACAGGGAGATGGTTAGGCCTCCGGATAACTGCGGGCAAGCCTGACTAATGTCAGGCCCTCCACAAGAGGTGGAGGAGCAGAGTCTTCTCTAAACTCCACCAGGGAAAGGGAGCCTCCCTTTCCCGGTCTGCTAAGTAGCAGGTGTTGTTTCTTGACACTTTTCACTACCGCTAGACCACGGTCCGCCTGGCAACGGGCAGTCTTCCTTGACGCTGGCGTCACCACTAGACCAAAGAGCCCTCTGGTGGCCCTGTCTGGGCATAACAGAAGGCTCGCACTCTTGTCTTCTGGTCACTTCTCACTGTGTCACCTCAGCTCCTATCTCTGTATGGCCTGGTTTTTCCTAGGTTATGATTATATAGCTAGGATTAATATTGGAATAAAGAGTAATTGCTACCAACTAATGAGTAATGATATTCATATATAATCATATCTAAGATCTTTATCTGGTATAACTATTTTTGTTTTACATTTTATTATACTGGAACAGCTCGTGTCCTCGGTCTCTTGCCTCGGCGCCTGGGTGGCTTGCCGCCCACAGGTATGTGCCTGCATTTTGGGATGCCTTGGAGACATGCAAAGGACTTTGGGTTTTATTCTGAAGGCAACAGCTGCAGCCTCACATTCTCATAACTATAGTTCACTGGAAAGAGAATGCCTTTTCCCATTTGTTTGGTGCAAGTTCTGAGAGTCACCCTAATTGGACTTACCTGAGTTGGCTACCCATATTGCATCATTCTGGGTAGAGGAATAGAATCATGCTGATTGGCCAGGACAGAGTCACATGCTCAGTTTTGTACCAATCAATAAGGGCAGGAGTCAGCAAACCACAGGCTATGGGCAGGTTGTCTATTTTTGTTAATAAAGTTTTATTGAAACATGGCTACACCCATTTATTTAAAGTAATGACTATGGTTTCTTTGCCACTACAGTAGCAGAAGTGAGCAGGTGTAACAGAGATCATATGATATGTTGGGCTCTGTGTTCCCACCCAAATCTCATCTTGAATTGTAATCTTCATGTGTCAAGGGAGGGGCCTGTAGTCCCCACGGGTAGAAGGAGGGAGGTGATTGCATCATAGGAGTGGTTCCCCCATGCTGTTCTCATGATAGTGAGCAAGTTCTTACAAGAGCTGATGGTTTTATAAGGGGGTCTTTCCACTTCACTTTCTCTTCTCTCTCACCTGCCACCATGTAAGATGTGCCTGCTTCCCTTTCCGCCATGATTGTAAGTTTCCTGAGGCCTCTACAGCCTGGCGGAACTGTGAGTCAATTAAACCTCCTTTGTTTGTAAATTATCCACTCTCGGTAGTATCTTTATAGCAGTGTGAAAATGGACTAATACTCTATGTGACCCACAAAGTCTGAATTATTTATCGTCTGACCCTTTACAGAAAAAACTCTGCCAACCCCAGGGCCAGGAGTGTTATTAGTTTGCTGGGGCTGCCATAGCAAACAACCACAGACCAGGTGAACTAAGCAAGAGAAATTTGTTTTCTGACAATTCTGGAGGCTAGACATCTGAGATAAAGGTATAGGCAGGGTTGATTTCTCCGGAGCGTTCTCTCCTCTACATATGGATGGCCGTGTTCTCCCTGTGTCTTCATATAGTCCTCCCTCTGTGTATGTCTGTGTCTTTATCTCTTCTTCTTATAAAGATACTCGTCATCAGTTTACAACCCACTCTAACGACCTCATTTAAAATTAATTACCTATGTAAAGACCCAGTCTCCAAATATAGTCACATATTGACGTCTCAGTGGTTAGGAAGTCAACACGTGACTTTGGAGGGGGACTTAATTTAGCCCCCAACAAAGGGATGATGGGGTCTGATTGGCCATGGCTGGGTAGCAAGTTCCACTGGGGCTGAGTGAGGGGAGGTCATTTTTAAGTAGAAACCAGGATATTTTCTCTAAAATACAGTAAAACAGATGCTGGGTGGCAAAAGAATTTGTCCAGTGACATTACTATTGCTTTGGGGGCTCCAGAAGATGAAAGTGTATGGGCTGATTAGAAAGAATGCTAAAGAAAAAAATTCATGTTTGACAGTGGGATGAACTGAACTGCTAGAGAGATAATGAATCAAATAATATGTTACAGGACAAAAAAGGACACTATCTTCAAGTGCAAAATAAAACAGCAAAACCTAAAGCTGTAAACAGAAAACCCTTTTGCGCAACACAATTTCGAGCTATTGTCTGTGAAAACCCTGGCATTAAAAATCAAGGGAAAATAGAAAAGATAAAGAGCTCACAAATTGTAGGTTTACATTAACTACAGGGATCTTTGCCAGGACTAAAAGTCCATGTTAGCAACTTAGCAAGGTTTCTTCTAATGGCAGACATGGAGGGGCACACTGCCAAAAAAGAAAAAGAAATAGGCAAAAGGTACAGTTCAATATGTCTGGGAAAGGAATTCTTGGCTTACAAAAGGAAAAAAAAGAATGACTCAGTTCCCAGTGGCTTGTTTTCTTTATAGTCTCTAAGAAGAAAATTATCCAAATATATTAGCAGTGAGCTAGCACAGTGGTTCTCAAAGTGTGGTCCCCGGAACATCAGCATCAACATCAGCATCAGCACCCATAGGCTGTGTCAGAAATGTGGATTCTCAGCCTTCACCTCAGCACAACCAAATCAGGAACTCTGAGGATGGAACGCAGCAATCTGTATTTTAACAAGCTCTCCACGTGACTCTGATCCACATCAAAGTTTGAGAACTGAGTCTGTGAATTTGGAATAAAATCTTTAAGCTAGGCATTACTGTACCAATTATAATAAGATTCAGCTGCATATTAAAGAAAACTAAAATAAGAGTGGCTTACATAAGATAGATGTTCATTTTCCTTGTACAGATGGGTAACAGCTGGTAGGGTGGCTTCATGATCATCAAAGACTTAGGCTCCTTATAATTTTTTTTTCTCCACTAAAAGGTAGGCTTTTATATTCAAAGTGCCTCATAGCTCAGTATGGCTGCTGGAGCTCCTGCAATCACATTGGTTTTTCCAGACCGGAAGTAGGAGGCAAAGGGGAAAGAAAAAAGGCATATCTCCTAGTTGGCTCAGACTTTTTAATAAACTCCCTGGAAACTCCAGCCAACAACTTTTGCGTGTAGAACATTGATTAACCCCATTGATTAAAGAGGCCAGGAAATACTCCTTTAGCTGGTAACACTACTCCGTGAAATGAGGTTCTTTTAGTAGAGGGGAGAGAAAGTGAAAATTAGTAGGTGACTAGCAAGCTCTTCAGTAGTTGCAAACTGACTCAGCCTTAGGGCTTTGCAAGTTGGGGAGAGGGAGGTGTATCCAGGGAGGGGAGGTCTTTCCCTTTAAGAAGATGAGGAATCTCATTGCCCTTTTCTCAGGGAGGTCGTAAAAATTTGTAAGAGATTTGGAGAATGAGTTTTTGGGGAGGGCTGCAGAGCTGAGATTGAACAAGCAGATTAAGGGGAGGGAGATGGCACAGGAAAGATTTTACTACTTGTGATGGGTCCATGTCTTTCTTTTCTTTTCTATTTTTGAGATGGAGTCTCACTCTGTCACCCAGGCTGGAATGCAGTGGCACGATCTTGGCTCACTGCAACCTTTGCCTCCTGGGTTCTAGTGATTCTCCTGCCTCAGGCTTCTTAGTAGCTGGGATTACAGGTGTGCGCCACCACACCCGGCTAATTTTTGTATTTTTAGTAGACATGGGGTTTCGCCATGCTGGCCAGGTTGGTCTCGAACTCCTGACCTCAAGTGAACTGCCCACCTCGGCCTCCCAAAGTGCTGGGATTACAGGCGTCAGCCACTGCACCTGGCTGGTCCGTGTCATTAGATTACTCCCTTTTGCAACTCAGAGGAAACCCTTAGCAGTGACGACTTTAAACTTTTCTTTCTTGTATTGAGTATTCCTTCTGCAGCTGACCCAGCCCTTCAGTACAGAATGTCACAATACAGTACCGGCACACATTGTGGTTGTGGCCTTGGGGAGAATGAATGACAGTGCAATAAGGGGAAGATAAATGTTTCAGAGCCGAGCAGACTCAAGAGTGATCATCATGCACCCACTTACTTATGGAAAAAGTATGCAGCATGTATCTTCTATGATACATGAGATAATTTTAGATGGTAAATAGAAATAACATTAATAGCATCAAAAAACAATGAGTAACTAAATCAGCTGGGAGGCACACCCTTTTTCTCTTCTATTCATTCTCTTTTTTTCCTCCTGGTATATGGATGTGATATTTGGAGCTCCAGCATCTATTTTGTGACCATGAGACAACATTGAAGATGGAAGCCATATTTTAAGAATAGCAGAGTAGGGCAGGGCATGGTGGCTCACCCCTGTAATCCTGGCACTTTGGGAGGCAGAGGTGGGCGGATCACCTGAGGTCAGGAGTTCGAGACCAGCCTGGCCAACATGATGAAACCCTGTCTCTACTAAAAATATGAAAATTAAGCCGGGCACAGTGACTCACGCCTGTAATCCCAGCACTTTGGGAGGCCGAGGTGGGCAGATCACGAGGTCAGGAGATCAAGACAATCCTGGCTAACACGGTGAAACCTCGTCTCTACTAAAAAAAATACAAAAAATTAGCTGCATGTGGTGGCATGCACCTGTAGTCCCAGCTACTCGGGAGGCTGAGGCAGGAGAATCACTTGAATCCCAGCTACTTGGGAGGCTGAGGTAGGGGAATCACTTGACCCCAGGAGATGGAGGTTGAAGTTAGCTGAGATCATGCTACTGCACTCCAGCTAGGACCACGGAGTGAGACTCTATCTCAAAAAAAAAAAAAAAAAAAAAAAAAGAGGCTGGGAGTGGTGGCTTACACCTGTAATCCCAGCACTTTGGGAGGCTGAGGCGGGCGGATCACGAGGTCAGGAGATCGAGACCATCCTGGCTAACGGGGTGAAACCCCATCTCTACTAAAAATACAAAAAATTAGCCAGGCGTGGTGGGGGGTGCCTGTAGTCCCAGCTACTCGGGAGGCTGAGGCGGGAGAATGGTGTGAACCCAGGAGGCGGAGCTTGCAGCGAACCGAGATCACGCCACTGCACTCCAGCCTGGGTGACAGAACGAGACTCTGTCTCAAAAAAAAAAAAAAAAAAAGAAAAAGAAAAAAAAAGAGAAAGAATAGCAGAGTAGAAAGACTGCAGAAACTTAATTTTTGTGATATACATCTACCTCTAGCCTTGGCTTGTCTACTTCTGGACTTCTTTCATATGTGAGAAAAATAAACCTCTAATTTGTTGAAGCCACTGTTATCTTTTTGGGATTTGTCACTAGCTGATAAATGTAATTCGTAACTGTTGTGGAGACATCTTGTGTTATTTAAAAGTGTGGAATGTTTATAGGCAAATAGTAACCATTACTCACTGTTGTAATTAATGTGAAAAACTGCAGTGTTTTTATTAAGAGGGAATTAAGCTTCAGCATTAAGCTAGTAATATCAATAAGAGGCATTTATAGTAGCTCTGAAGATAGCTGCAAGCTGTCATTACCCTAATAGGGTACAACACTCGCTGCCACAGCCGGGATCTTTTATCTTTTTTTTTTTTTTTGAGACAGCGTCTCGCTTTGTTATCCAGACTGTAGCGCAGTGGTGTGATTTTGGCTCCCTGCAACCTCCACCTCCTGGGTTCAAGTGATTCACCTGCCTCAGCCTACAGTAGCTGGGATTACAGGCGCTCACGTCACCACGCCTGGCTAATTTTTATATTTTTTAAGTAGAAACAGGGTTTCACGATGTTGCCCAGGCTGGTCTCGAACTCCTAGCCTCAAGTGATCCGCCCGACTTGGCCTCCCAAAGTGCTGGGGTTAGAGGCGTGAGCCAGCACTCCTGGCCCACAGCCAGGATCTTGGTAGCAGCTGTAGGATCAGTGCCACCTGATTCGGTGGTCGTTTGAGAGGCCACGCAAACTTAGGTGAGGGTAATAACACACATGCTGCATTTAATGCATAAAATAAGATGATTTATTTTAACAAAATGGTGCACATCAATGGGTGAACCCAGGCCATAGCAGCGCCTTGAGTAGGGATGCACAGCAAACTGACTCTGGGAATAAAAATGTGATGGGAGAACTTGTATGTATCCAAGCATTGTGATCTGCTTTATTCTCTTTTTTTTTTTTTTTTTTTTTTTTTTTTTTTTTTTTTTTTTGAGACGGAGTCTCATTTTGTTGCCCAGGCTGGAGTGCAGTGGCATGATATCGGCTCACTGCAACTTCTGCCTCCCAGATCAAGCAATTCTCATGCGTCAGCCTCCGGAGTGGCTGGGACTACAGCACCTGCCACCATGCCCAGCTAATTTTTGTATTTTTAGTAGAGGTGGGGTTTCACAGTCTCTACTAAAAATACAAAATTGTTGTATTTTTACAACAATTTTGGCCAGACTAGTCTCAAACTCCTGACCTCAAGTGATCCACCCACCTTGGCCTCCCAATGTGTTGGGATTACAGGCGTGAGCCACCCTGCCCAGTGTGGAATTTGCATTTCTAACAAGTTCTCCTAGGTGCTGGTGCTGCTGCTAACTCTGGTCTGGGGACCACATTTTGAGAACGATTGTATTAAGCCAAGTCCCATAGTGGAGTTATTTTTAGATGAAAAAGATCCATTTGAGCTGTTTACCCAGATCAAATTAATTAGGTACTTGTCAAATCTCCTCATTTCACTTTCTGAAGTGTAAAAATGAAATTAACCTCTGAAATGACTTTCCTTTTATTCCTCCCTCTCTCCCATGTTTTGAGCATTACTGAACCAGGCACAAAGGAGTGTAGTAAAAGGACATTTCTTACCCTGAGCCTGGAAAGGGCATGGCATTTGCAGCCTGGCAGAGTCTGATTTTCACCCCATTCCATCCCATCTGACTTCATGTGAGTATTTTGGTCTTAATGCCCTCATCTGAAACATGTTAACGATTTCCTATCCTAGACATCAAGCTGATGCAGTTATTAAAAAAGGAGACAGACGAAGCGAAGAGAACCTCATGCATCCCCTTGGAAAGAGAATTTTTTTTTCTTTCTTCTTGAGAAAATTCCTATAGCACTGATTCAAACTTTTTTCTTCCTTCTCTGCTTTTTTTTTCTTTTAAAAATGCTACCACAAAGCTGATATATATAAAAGCAAAATCTGGAGTTTTTTAATCATTGATTTGAGAATTATGCCATGAAGGGGAATAGAAAATAGGGTCTCACTAAAGAAGTGTGCTCATTTATTGACCTTGAATAGTCAAAGTTAACCATGATGCCAGTGTAGCAGTGTTCAGTGACCCAGCATCGAGTAAAGCCACGGGTAGGAAATTACCATTCCATTGTCAGTTACTTAAAAACAAATTGCTTATATTATTTGTTGTTTCCTGCAGCAGTTTATAAAGTAACAACTCAAATTCATTTTACTTCCTTTAGAAGATCTTGACCCTGGGACTACATTAAATATTTCTTTAAAAGGACAGGAGGGAGAATAAAATAAAAATATACAGCGTCCCAGTGTTATCTGAAAAATTCCTGCAGATTTTCTGAAATGCTTGAAGAATTCATAACCTTAGGCACTCCAGTATTAATAATTAATATGATTTGCAAGTTCTCTCCCTATTTCATGTTTTGATTAGAAGCTCAGTCTGACCTCTAAGTCATGTCCAGTTCACAATAAAATATGAAGCTGTTGTTGCTTCATTTGCTATCGGACACATCTCTGCTTCTTAATCATTTAAAACACTCCCAAACAATCACAGGTTTTCTAAAACAAAGAACAAGTCATCATGCACACAGGCCTCAGGGCAGAGACAGCATTCTCTGTGTGTTAGCGTATTTAATTATCCCATTTTGGGGAAGATAATCCATTTTAATGTTCTTACACCCTGTTCCCCTGCTTTATTATTTTCTTTACTTCAAGGATCAACTTGACAACTGTTTTTCTTCAAAACAAGGTTTATGGTATTCCTCCGAATGTGTCTGATTTCATGGCCTTCTGGGTTACTTTCATGTATTATGAATTTCTCATTAGCAGTGTTTATTAGATGGAAACTTACAACTCCTTGCAGTATTATTCTGCGGAAATTGTTGCTGGGTTTTTTTTAAAAGAGAAAAAAGTATTAATGTTTTCAGAGGAAGCCGAGGAATAGTTTGCTATTAGTTTGCAGCAGTCCCCAACTCATATTCATTCCCTCCCTCCCTCTTCAAAATCCTAAACCCATTGATGAGACTAGGGTTTGAGCACAGAGGTCTTTTCTCTAGACTTAGAATAGGGGGCCTTGCAAAACTGCCTAGGCTTCTGGGCTAACACCAAACCAGCAGGGGGAGCTAGCAAATTTTGGAACAGAAATTGCATTTGGCTGCAAGTAACAAACTACTGTTTCATAAAATAGTGGCTTAAGCAGTTTACGAAGTGGCCTAAACAAACACAAAGAAGTCCAGAGGCAGGCAGTCTAGAGCTGGTGTGCCAGGAACACAAAGTTATCAGGGACTTCTGGCTCTTTGTATCTCCATCCTCACTTTATGGCTTCGAAGATCAAGGTCACCTCATAGTCCCATACAGCTACCAGTGCACCAGCCATCACATCTGCATTCTTTTCAGCACGAAGGTTGAAAGGGAGCTTTTCCCAGCCCAAGCAACTCCTTTTGAAAGATCTACCTCAGAAGTCACCTGTAACATATTTATTTGAATGTCACTAGGCAGAACTTAGTCATATGGCCTTATCTAGCTGAAACAGAGACTGAGAAGTTTAGCCATTTTGTAATGGAGTTGTGTTACTAAGGAGGAAGGGGAGATGAATACTTGGAGACACTAGCAGTGCCTGTCAAAGGTCTGGAGAGGATAGGGGACAGAAGCAGGATGAGGTTCATGTGTGCTCAGTGGCTCAGTTATCATGGACCAGACACCATGTGCCCTTCATCCTCCTTGATGCAATGGGACAATGTAAAACCAATAGAACCTTATCACAGCCATGCGAGGGGGCAGAGAAGCACCTGAATCCTTCAGACCGTAGGAATGGGACTTGACATAGAAATTAAACAGAGTTATAGAAAATAAGAAAGCTTTGGTTTCTGAAACACTAGTTTATGGATTGAGAGTTGTAGTCTTTAGGGATAGAGTATCTAAAAGTTCAAGCTTTGATTAAAAAATACATACATATATTTTAATTAAGCGAATTAAGCGGTTTACAAAGTGGCCTAAACAAACACAAAGAAGTCCAGAGGCAGGCAGTCTAGAGCTGGTGTGCCAGGAACACAGAGTTATCAGGGACTTGATTAATTTTCTTGTTGTAAAAATGCAACATGTTGGAAGGCTTGAGCGGCATTTTTCTAAAATGATCCATTATTTGCTGAGGGCAGGGCTGATCCTTTTATCTCTGCAGAGTATCTGGCAAACATAGGCACTTCATGTATATTTGTTAAAAGCATAAATGATAGTAATCTAAGAGATTTTGTCCCCTGTGTTTTCATATCTATTTGTGTGCTTCTATATTAGTTAGAACTCCTTCAATTCCAAGTAATAGAAATTGAAGTCAAAATGCTTAAAATTGTAATTTATTGGCTCTTATAAACAATGGGCTTCAGGCATGGCTTGATCTAGGGGTTCAGTGATCTCATTAGAACAAAGTCTTGTGCTCTTCACTGAACTTTTATATATATTGATTCTATTTTCAGATAGACTATTCCCTCGTGGTGGCAGAATGACTGTTAGCAGCTCCATGAAAACTTATCTGTTTAGCTTTGAGTATAGTGGGTAAGAACACCTTTTCTCAGGCACCAGCAACAACTATCCCTCATTGAAGTCTCTATTGGCCTTGATTGTTCTAATTTGGGATCAGGACCCGGCTCAGAATCCATCGTTAGGATGTGGCAATCTAATTGGCCAGGCTTTCAGACTCATGTCCACTGTGTCGGTCAGGATTCAGTCAGGAGACAGAATACCATACCGGTTATTTTAACATGAATAATTTAATAGAGGTAGGCCAAATCTAGTCCATGGCCTATTTTTTTGTAAATGAAGTTTTATGGGAACGTAGCTACAACCCTACATTTAAGCACTGTTTATGGTTGATTCTGTGCTAAAATGGCAGAGCAGAGTAGTTGCAACAGAGAGACTGTGTGACCTGCAGGTCCTAAATATTTACTATCTGCCCCTTTACAGAAAAAGTTTACTGACTCCTTATTGGATATAGGAAGTGACAGTGACATATTGAAGCCCTGAAAAGAAATAAGAAAACAGTAAGATATCATGAAGGAATATACTGCAGGAAGCTATCTCTAGGGCAGAAAGAACAAAGAGAAAAGATTGGAATTATTAAAACTTAAAAGTTTGGAGAAGAGGCCCCACAGAGTAGAAACTTCAGACCTCCAAGGAAGGAATAATTTGATGCTGGTTTTGGTGACGTTGAGAGGGTTCAATTAGGCTGGTCCCATGGGTATTGAAAACACTGCAAATTGTGATCAACTGCTGTTTCTGGAATAAACTATCACTGCTGAGGCAAAAGAGCATTGCTGTGGGTGACAGTGATGAGAGAATAGGAAGTAACCATAAGAAAAAACTTCCTTTTCCAGCCTCCTGATTTTCTCAGTGTAGAGTCTCATGGGAGCAGCTGTGAAGGGCAAATACGGGTGCATCACCAAGTGGAGCATGGATGTGTGGGTTTGAAGCTGAAATAGTTCAAAAACTGGCACAATCCACTCATTAGCTACTCAGTCTTCATCCACACTCTTCTATGCATATCTGAATTTCAGCCAAGATCACAACTCTAGCCTTCCACCTAACAATATACAGCTATCTTTCATTCAAGTGAAGACACTCTCACCCTCTGCCCACAGTAAGAAGACTGAAAGTCTCAATAGTCATCGTAAGCTGATTACCTTCCCAAATCAGTCATTGTCTCAGCAGAATATTCTAACGCTTGGTGACTAAACTGTAAATTTAACTGCTACTACCAAGACTTGTGTAAGATATTGGGGGAAAAAATTAGCACACTTAGTACACACGCACACACACACACACACACACACTCCTTGAGAAAAGAAGTTATTCACAGTTGCTACAATCCTTGCTTCTATAACTGGTCACAAGTATGCAGTTGATATTATGAGTTTCTTCTACACCTGGCCTGTGCTATGTTTGTTCTCAGCCAAGACCTCAGCTGGAAGGGTTCATTACCCAGCAGTGAAATCCAAGCTTTCATTCCTGAAGGATTGGGCTTCTCAATGATCCTGTCTTTTTGTGTGTGTGTGTGGTGATTGTAGCTTTCCATGGAAGTACTGAGAGGGACTCCAGAGACCTCTGGTCCAGACACAAGCCTTCTTGCTCTTATGGTGTCATAGCAACCCTATTTCCTCCTAATGACTGGTTTCAATCTCCCTAGCCAGTAGAGGTGCATCCTGGCTACTCCCCAGCCAGTAGAGGTGCATGCTCATTAATTCAGTAGCATAAGAATTTGGTCCGTGATGGGCAGGTCTATGTAAACCCGCCCCCAAAGTCTGAGGGAGCTGAAAGGCTGAAGGAAAAGGCTTAACAATTCAGTTTCTTAGAAAGAAACATTTAATAGGGACTTATGAAAAGAAGCCATGTCTGTGTCTTGGGCAGTGGCGACACAAGATGGTGGATCCCTGCGCCGTTACTGCCCCAGACGCAGGGCTTCTGTACCATAGGGAAAGGGTGGTTCAGAAGGGACAGGCAGGACAACTGAGGTATGAGAGCATCAAGGTTTTTTGACCTAAGGCTAGAATTTATAGTAACCGCATGCTGTTACATAAGGAACAAGAGATAAACTGGAAATCTTAGAGGCCTTTTGGGAACTGCAATTAATCAGAAGTTAACATGGTTAATTAGCATCCAAGGTGGAACTGCTTTGGCCTCCATGGAAGTCAAAAATGTTTGGGTGGTAATTTCATCTTCTAATTCAATGGAATCATTCTTGTGTCCCCTGGTGCAAGCATTTCCCCCTTTAGGACTAAGATCTCCAAAGCAGCAGAGCTTAAAGTTGCCAGGATGGGAAGCAAAAAAAAATCCTCCCAAGTGGGTCATTGGATGTCATAGTGAGAGGAGCCAAACCCACTTCCACCCTTTGATTCCTGGCCCCACATAATCCGAAGTTAAAACCAGGTACTGTGATGACTCACCTGATTTTTGATTCTTGTGATGGTGCTTTTTGTTTGTGGTTAGTTTTTAAAATTTGGTGTTCTCGTGGGGGTATGGGAAGGGCGAATGGTGCAGGCTTCCATTGGCCATCTTGCTTGCCCCCTCCAATGTAATCTGGCTGTAGGATAAGCAGCATGAGAAATTGGCTGCTGAATCAAAGCACAGATTGCATCCTGTAGCTAGAACTCCATCCTTTCTGGGTGCTGTCTCCTCAAAGGCTTTGTAATGAAGCCTTCAGTAGACTATTCCTCCATTCTGTTAGGCCAGCTCGTCCTAGATGATTGAGTGTGTGGCAGAGCCAGTGAATTCCATGAGTCTGAGCCAAATGATGCATTTATGTTTTGTGAGAGGCATTTCTTGTTCAGGAGCAATGTAGGGGCAATGTTGTGACACTGAATAAAGCATTCCTTGAATTCATAAATGGTGGTGCTAGCAAAAGCATTATGGAGATAGAAGATGAACCTACATACAGAACATGTGTCTGTTTCAGTGAGGATGAATCTCTGCCCCTGCTGTGATGGAAGGGGTCCAACGATTCCTCAGGTTTCCTGTGATGGAAGGGGTCATTCTGCCGCTGGTGGTTGGCTGGTCTCCCCAGGGAATGATGCAATGGTGAGCTTCAGTGTTGGTCTCTGCTGCTGGCAGATTTGGCACCTGGTTAGCCTTGGTCGGGGAAAGTCCATGTTGTTGAAGCCATGCATGGCCTCCATCCCTGCCACCCAGGGCAGTTTGCATGTGGATCCAAGCACTGGGATGGCTGGCGAGAAAAGCTGACCAACATCTATAGAGCTTGCCACATAGATTATTAAATCTCTACTAAAAATACAAGAAAAAAAACAGCCGATCATGGTGGTGGGCGCCTGTAGTCCCAGCTACTCAGGAGGCTGAGGCAGGAGAATGGCGTGAACTTGGAAGGCAGAGCTTGCAGTGAGCTGAGATTGCACCACTGCACTCCAGCCTGGGCGACAGAGCGAGACTCTGTCTCAAAAAAAAAAAAAAAAAAAAAAAAAATTTCTGTTACAGGGTTTTGGAAAATTTTTGGGGGAAATACCTGCAAAATACTTAATCCAGTGTCAGGCACATCATAAGCCTTATACGCAAAGCTAATATTTTTTTTGTGCATATTTATATGTCATTTTTTTCAAGTGTGTTAAACAGTAGTATTGTAGTATCTTCATATAAAAACCAGACTGTAAAAATCACTCCTGGACACACACATCTACACACTCATACATATATATATTTTTGTGAGTGGGATCTTTTTATTTTGTTGGTTTATGAAGTAGCTATTGATTTCTGTGTATTTATCTTATATTTAGCCATCTTACAGAACTCGTATTCTAGTATTTCCTAAGCTAATTATCTTGGTTTTCCTGGTTGTTCAATCATATTGTCTGCACACAGTTTATTTCCTTTTCAAACTATTATTTGTGAATTACCTTGAACTTGAATTTTTTGGGAGGATAATATTTATCCTTGGAATCTAAGCCGGAATTACATATTATAAATAGACAGTTTGATGGGGCAGCAATCCACAGTTTAAATTACCTCTGCAGTTGAATAGGATAATTGAGATGATTGCATAGGCCATTTGAAATTAAAAGTTGGATTTTTAATCTGCTAGGTAGAATAGAAAACTGGTTCTTATGTGTGTGATTCAATTTAATGGACTGTTTATATGATCTCCACGTTCCACATGTGAAACCATGCATTAATTTCATCTTGAACTGAGGACAGGTTAGAGAAGTTTAAATACACACCTCTTCTTCTCTTGCCTTACTGTTGATTTGGAATGTAGAGTGGATCTTGATTTCTAGAAATGCAGATTGACACTCACTAAACATTACATGTGTTTAAACTAAAGAGAAGCATACAGAGGGCATCTGGTACAGTTCCTGGCACTTCCACATCTATAAATCACAGGAAGCAAAATTATGTAAGAAACATAGCTTTCCCTCTCCTGGCTTTTATTTTTTGTTTTTATTTTTAGAGACGGGGTCTCCTTCTGTAGCCCAAGCTGGAGTTCAGTGGTGTGATCATGGCTCAGTGCAGCCTCAACCTCCTGGGTTCAGGGGATCCTCCCATCTCAGCCTCCTGAGTAGTTGGGACTAGACGGGATCTCCCTCTGTAGCCCAAGTTGGAGTGCAGTGGTGTGATCATGGCTCACTGCAGCCTCAACCTCCTGGGCTCAGAGGATCCTCCCATCTCAGCCTCATGAGTAGTTGGGACTACAAGTATGCACCACCATACCTGGCTAATTTTTTATTTTTGTAGGGGTCTCGCTATGTTGCCCAGGCTGGTCTTGGGCAACATACCCTCCTACCTTCTTGGCCTCCCAAAGTGCTAAGATTGCAGGCATGAGCTGTGGTGTCTGACGCATCTTCTATCTTTTAAAGGCATATATCCAAGTGGTCAGTATTTTCAATTTAAGTTCTTACCATGGCTTTCCAGGCCTACAAGGTCCACCTCCTGTCTCCACCTTCCTGTTATTTTCCTCCATCTCTCTTCACTCCAATCCTAAGACCTTGGTTTTCCTTAAGCCTTTTCACTGGCTGCTCCTTCTGCCTGGAATGCTCTTCTCTTCATAGTCACATGGCTGTCTCCTTGGCTTCTTCTAAATCTTTGCCCAAATGGCTGCTCATCAGAATTGAGGACTTCCATGACCACCTTAAGTTATCATTCCCTGGCTTATCAACCACTCTCTATTCTCTTCTGCTGTTCATTTTTTCTGTATAGTCTTTATCACTAGCTGACATATTTTATATCGATTTGTTCATATGTTTGTTGTTGCTTTCCTACCTCCTTTCTACACACACTGGAATGTTAGCTCTATGAGGGTAAGGGCTGCTCAGGCCTTACTCTCTCCTATATCTCCTGTGCCTAGAATATTGCCTGGTACATAGTGGGTGGTTAATACATATTTTCTTTTTTTTTTCCTTTTTAGTATTTATTGATCATTCTTGGGTGTTTCTCGGAGAGGGGGATTTGGCAGGGTCATAGGACAATAGTGGAGAGAAGGTCAGCAGATAAACACATGAACAAAGGTCTCTGGTTTTCCTAGGCAGAGGACCCTGCGGCCTTCTGCAGAGTTTGTGTCCCTGGGTACTTGAGATTAGGGAGTGGTGATGACTCTTAACGAGCATGCTGCCTTCAAGCATCTGTTTAACAAAGCACATCTTGCACCACCCTTAATCCATTTAACCCTGAGTTGACATTGCACATGTTTCAGAGAGCACGGGGTTGGGGGTAAGGTTACAGATTAACAGCATCCCAAGGCAGAAGGATTTTTCTTAGTACAGAACAAAATGGAGTCTCCTATGTCTACTTCTTTCTACACAGACACAGTAACAATCTGATCTCTTTCTTTTCCCCACATTTCCCTCTTTTCTATTAGACAAAACTGCCATCGTCATCATGGCCGGTTCTCAATGAGCTGTTGGGTACACCTCCCAGACGGGGTGGCTGCTGGGTGGAGGCGCTCCTCAGTTCCCAGATGGGGTCGAGGTCGGGCAAAGGCGCTCCTCTCTTCCCAGTCGGGGCAGCGGGCAGAGGCACTCCTCACTTCCCAGACGGGACAGCCAGGCAGAGATGCTCCTCACCTCCCAGACGGGGCGGCCGGGCAGAGGTGCTCCTCACTTCCTAGACGGGGTGGCGGCTGGGCAGAGGCTGCAATCTCAGCACTTTGGGAGGCTAAGGCAGGCGGCTGGGAGGTGGAGGTTGTAGCGAGCCGAGATCATGCCACTGCACTCCAGCCTGGGCAACATGGAGCACTGAGTGAGCGAGACTCCGTCTGCAATCCCGGCACCTCGGGAGGCCGAGGCAGGCAGATCACTGGAGGTCAGGAGCTGGAGACCAGCCCGGCCAACATGGTGAAACCCCGTCTCCACCAAAAATACAAAAACCAGTCAGGCGTGGCGGCGCACGCCTGCAATCCCAGGCACTCGGCAGGCTGAGGCAGGAGAATCAGGCAGGGAGGTTGCAGTGAGCCGAGATCAAGGCAGTACAGTCCAGCCTCGGCAACAGAGGGAGACCGTGGAAAGCCGGAGAAGGAGAAAGGGGAGGGGGAGGGGGAGGGGGGGAGGGGGAGAGCTATTTTCTAAGTTCATTAATGCGCAAATGTTCCAAGCTGTAAGCACATTATTTGCGATGATGAGCAACGAAATGATCAGGCTTGATTTAGCAGAATCAGACACCAGATGCTGATATTTCCTGGGGCATACAGAGATGTTGTTTTTGAATTGTTTGTGTAGCTTTCGAGTCCACCAAGAGAAGGTCTGGAACATAAGAATAGCTGTAATTTTAATTGATAAAAAATAGGTTTGAGTTCTGCTCTTTGTGTCTCGTGTCCTTGAAACAGTGACTAGCTGGGTCCTGGTTTTCTCGTGGTGAGTGGCAGAAGTGCAAGATAATGAGCAAAAATACCTATTGCCTCTGGAAGCCTCTGCTGGGAATTGGCACGTTGTCATTTACACTCAAATTTCACTGGCCAAAGCAGGTCATATAGCCAAGCCAGTATCAGTAGGATTCCGCAATATACCCTACCCACTCTTGTGTGAGATACTGTCCTGTCGATGGGTGTGAATGTATAATTCTATTACAGGAAGGGCATGAAGAATTGTAAACAATGGTGAGGGGTAGAAACCCATGTCTAACCAACTTAAGCTAAAATAAAAGCTGGGTTTTTGGCTCACTTAAGTAAAAATCCCAGAGGAAGGTCAGGTTTCAGGTACAGGAAGAGGTTGTAGCGTTATTTGTTATACAGCAAGAGATGACTGAAACAGGCAACAATCCTCAAATTTCTTTAATGATGGAATCTTTTTGTCCTCATGGGGAAGTTTCTAAGACTAGTTTGAGCCCCTCATTGCGGAGAAATGATGGTCTGAATATCTCTCAAAGAATCCTACATAAGTATTCCTTTATTCCACAAAGCTTTTGGTGAGAGTTGGATAGAAAAAAAAACCCTACCTACAGTTCAAATTAAGTCTGATTGTTTTTTACAAAAATTGTAGGAAAACCCATAATGGTAGGAAAACCCCTTAAAATTTACATTTATTTTTTGAACTACTATAAACATGAATAGGAAGGTGAAAGAAAGGGTGAGAATCAATCATGCACTTTTGGTTTGCCAGTTTGCAAGGTTGTACATCTGGGAAGTGGTTATTGGTGTGAGTTCAGTGACTCAGTAAGGTCCGACTTGATATCTTTGCAATTCTCATGCCCTTTCCTTTGTGATCACAAGTGATTGCAGCCCAGCCATCTCATGTCTCAAATCCAGCTCTTTGTAAATTTTTTAACTTATGCCTGCGTTGTGTCACATCACCATCTCTAGCTGCAAGGGAGTCTGGGAAATCAAGTCATGGACTTCTCTAGGCTCTATAGTAGGAGATGGCAAAAGTTGGGAAGAGTGATTGGGACAGTCAATCTATTGACTCTTGATTTAAAAATTGGAATTTTTATCAACATTTTTGGCCCTTTGGAGGGCCTAAAATGGGGGAGGTAATGGCCTTCCTCTGGCCCAAATGCTCTTCCTCATGGATGTAGAAGTAGCTTATCTGGGTGCTGAGAAAGATGACTTGATGACTCCTTGTGTATGGTCAACTTCTTTGCCCTCTCTGCCTGCAGGTGGAGCATGCTTTCCCCTTTTCTTTCCTTCTGTTACCCCTGCTATGTTTTCTAGCTGCCCTGCTTAAAGCAAAAGCAAGAAGAAGCAGAAACCCTTGGTTCAAGCAAGGGGACCAGGTCCAGCTACCATTAATGAAGTTGGCATTCTGATACTTCCAATCTCCTAGTTCTTAATTGGGTCAGAATTTTGGGTGGGCAGACAAAAACACCCCCAATCCCAATACCTTGCTTTTTGTGCTTTCACAGTTTATATGACAATTTCACATACATTTATCAATAACTTCGTGAGTTTGGCATTGCAGGAATTATTTCACTCCATTTTACAGGTAAAAAAACAGTTCAGAGAGGGCAAATGAGAGACCCTCGCCACTAGTGGTGGCATAGCCAGAACATAATCCTACCCTCACTGCTTCGGTACGTGACACTGCCATCCTACAGCATCTATTCTACATGCCTTTTGTGCAGTCCCATCACTTCCGCTTATCCTGTAGTATCAGTTTTTGCATCCTGTTGTCCCTCCTGCATCCCCCTTCAGCCCAGGAGAGCAATGTCTCAGCAATCGGTCAATGCCAACATGCCAGCAATTTCCCACAGCTTTGTCGTTAAGGAGTCTGTCTTGACTTATTATTCTACATGTGTTGCTTAGGCAACATTGATTAACAATTTCTGCATGACGAGGTAATCATAGAGCCTGATGAATCTGTTCAGGGAGCAGAGGTGGCCTCTTTAGAAGGGATGAGATGTTCAGCCCTATACCAGACTGTCTGCGGGTGCCACCCTACACATTTTTAGCTTATGCTACACTGACACTGCATTTGTGTTTCCAGACTTCTAAAAGGGATATTGACTTTCAGGTTGTGTTTTTCTGCTTTGTTGTCTATGCGTACATTTTGGAGTAAGGTGTTGCCACCAAAATGTAGTAGAATAGCTTTTGGCTCTCAGTTCTAGTTTTGTCAGTGGGAAGCAACGCCTAACATACAGTTGGCTCTTAAATGTTTGTTGAACAAATGAATGAATAAATGAGCCCCTGGGTAGTAGGCTTTCTTGGTCCTGGCTGGCCACGGCTTCTTTCTCTATGTCTTTGATGTCTACATGTAGTATGAGAGTTCTAGAGTCTCCTTGATTCTACAATATTTGGGTAGCTTCCATTCACTTTGAAAAATACCTGGAAGGGGCAATAGAGCACTATGGTTAGTTCATCACCTCTGGGGTCCCATGGCCTGAGTTTGAATCGCACCTCTCACTTTCTACCTCTGTAACTATAGGCACATTTTTATTCCATCAAGCCTCAGCTTCTTCATCTGTAAAACAGGAGTTCTGTTGTCAGTGCCTACTTCATGGGTGGGGCAAGATTCAACGAATCAAAGCATGTTGAGTACTTAGCCTGGTATCCAGCACCTGGTTAAATCCCCAATAATTACCAGTTTTTATTTCTGTTTAACTCAGGACTTAAGGAAGACTACACTAAGATTAGCCGGGAATGCCTGAATCCACCTGATGGAATGAAAACTCAACAGAGTTTGCTATAGAATTAGTTCAGGTCAAATATTTACAGTAATCATGAGAGGAAGTACAGAAGGATTACCAAGACGTGGCGGTAATCAGTCTGACGTGGCTAAGAGAGCAGGGTGTACTCTTGTTGGCTTAGAGCTTGCTTCGTGTTCAACACATTCTGTTGATCTTATTTGCACTTTCCCCACCATCCTTAGATCTCCTGATCTGTGTTGGGATAGTGCTTTGCACTTGTTTGTTTTGTTTTCGGACCTTCATTCTCAGTCTTTGCTTTGTCAATTTGTCAGAATTCAGATTTCTAGCAAGCAGAACTTTATCAGCTCTATCCCCAGGGAAGTGGCTTCCCTCCAATTCACTCTGCAAAATGCCCCCTGTTTGCCCAGGAAAGTTTTCAGTTTTTCCTTTTGCTTATCTCTGCAGCTCTTAGCCTCTTAGCAAACTTGGGGCTTGCACCTTTGCAAATTTTTATTGATGCATAATTAGAAAGAGTAAAATGCACTAATTTAAATGTACAGTTTAATAAATTTTAACAAATCTTTTAAGCTATATCACTCAAATCCTTATAAGATACAGCACATTTTCATCACCCTAGAAGATCTCTCATACCCACTTTGAGCCGCCCTACCCTCCAAAGGCAACTGTTGCTCTGCTTTCTATCCTTATAGATTAGTTTTTCATGTCCTTGAACTTCTTTTGCTCAGTCTTATGTCTGTCAGATTTATCCTGTTGCATGGATTAGAAGGCCAGTCGGCTGGGCAGGGTGGCTCACGCCTGTAATCCCAGCACTTTGGGAGGTGGAGACGGGCGGATCACGAGGTCAGGAGATTGAGACCATCCTGGCTAACACGGTGAAACCCCGTCTCTACTAAAAACACAGAAAATTAGCTCGGCGTGGTGGTGGGCACCTGTAGTCCCACCTACTCGGGAGGCTGAGGCAGGAGAATGGCGTGAACTCGGGAGTCGGAGCTTGCAGTGAGCCAAGATGGCGCCACTGCACTCCAGCCTGGGTGACAGAGCGAGACTCCGCCTCAAAAAAAAAAAAAAAAAAGAAGAAGAAGGCCGGTCACGGTGGCTTACATCGAAATCCCAGAACTTTGGGAGGCTGAGGTGGGAGGATCACTTGAGTCTGGGAGTTCGAGGCCAGCTTGGGCAACATAGTGAGACACGGTCTCTACAAAAGATTAAAAGGTTAGCTGGCATGGTGGCATGTACCTGTAGTCCCAGGTACTTGGGAGGCTGAGGTGGGAGGATCACTTAAGCTAGCGAGATCAAGGCCACAGTGAGCTGTGATCATGCCACTGCACTCCAGCCTGGGTGACAGAAGGTGACCCTGTCTCAAAACAAAAACAAAAACAAAAAACGCAGAGGCCAGGTGCTGTGTCTCATGCCTGTAATTCCAGCGCTTTGGGAGGCCAAGGTGGGCGGATAACCTGAGGTCAGGAGTTTGAGACCAGCCTGCCTGGTCAACATGGTGAAACTCCGTCTCTATTTAAAACACAGAAAATTAGTTGGGCGTGGTGGCGTGTGCCTGTAGTCCCAGCTACTCGGGAGGCTGAGGCAGGAGAATTGCTTGAACCCAGGAGGCGGAGACTGCAGTGAGCAAAGATTGTGCCACTGCATTTCAGCCTGGGCAGGAGGGTGAAACTCCATCTCAAAAAAAAAAAAAAAAAAAAGAAGAAGCCTAGAACCTTTTATTGCTTAGTGGTATTCCATGATATGAATCTACTGTGCCTTATTTATCCATTCTCGTACTGGTGAACACTGGAGTTGCTACTAGTTTTAAACCGTTATAAATAAAGTTGCAATTAGCATTCTTTTACAAGACTTTTTGTGGACATATGTTTTCATTTATTTTTGTGGAAGTATTTAGGAGTGAAATTGTTGGATCGTAAAGTAAGGGAATGTTTATGGGAATTGCCAAACTCTTTTCTAGCATGGCAGTCTCATTGTGCATTTCCATGAGTTTCAGCTGCTCTGTACCCCCACCAGCTCTGATTATGGTCAGTCCTTTTTATTTTAGCCATTCTAGTGAGTGCATGGTGATATCTTATTGTGGTTTTAATTTGCATTCCTTTGATGACTAATAATATTGACCCTGTTTTTATGTGCCTTACATTTTAAGCTAATTAACATTTTTTCTATTGTCTGGAAGAGTAATTTCCCAGTTGGAGTCCAAAGTGAATGCTATTTTTCCCATGAGTCCAAATAATGGGTGTTACCTCTTTTCTTGCAGAACTCCAAAACCGTCCCCTTTCCATCATTTTCTCCCAAAGTGTCCCAGTTCGGCTCTATTTCTACATAAGTATTTATACATAGCCCTGTGCTAGCTTTGTTAAATAGGCCATAAACATGTGCTTGGTGCTTTCATTTAACGTCTTCAGGATTGCAGTTAAAATCCTTGCAGAAAAACGGTATCCGAAGTTATCTTAAGGCATTGAATATGGCCCCATTCAGAAACAGTGGCCTTCCATTAGTATGGCATTAGAGATTACGGTTGGGTGGTGGTGTTTACACTGGCTTTTACGCTGCGGTTCCTTAACGATGTTTTCCAGCTGAATGATATGATCAGGCAACATAAAAATGAAATGGTTCTTGCCCTCTTAATAGCAGAGTGAGTAATAGAATAACTAGAAGGATGATAAACCTCCGCGGAAGGAGGATGATTAAGGATGCTGATGGATGTATCAGCAGGAGAATAGAGATTCGTCTCTCACTGCGGGATGAATGCAGACCTTTTTTTCATGACATGAACTCAAGCATATAACATTCTGAAAATCAAAAACTTACATCAATCAAAGCCTGCGTGCAACGCTTCAGAGACATGGAGGGCAGGGATTTTTTTTTTGTTTGTTTCTCTTTGAGACTTTACTTGCTTGTTTAGTTTTAAATTTATGTACTAATCTATTGATGTATTTATCTCTTGTATCTAATATTTATTTATTTATATTTATCTATTTTGGAGACAGGGTCTTGCTTTGTCATCCAGGCTGGAGTGCCAGTGGCACAATCACACAGCCTTGACCTCCTGGGCTCAAGTGATCTTTCCTCCTCAGCTTCCTGGGTAGCTGGGACTACAGGTGTGCATCTCCATATCTGGCTAATTTTTTGTGTTTTTTTGTAGAGATGGGGTCCTGCTATGTTGCCTAGGATCATCTTGAACACATGGCCTCAAGTGATCCTCCTGCCTCGGCCTCCCAAAGTGCTGGAATTACAGGCATGAGTTACTGTGCCCGGCCTGTTTATTTACTTAAAATGCATGAACAGAACAAGTTACTTCTCCAGATTGGAATAAAATAGAGAATGAATTGTTTCTCCAGCTTGGGGTAAAAGATATCCCTAATATTTTAATTTTTGTAATTAGCTACCCCTCATACTTATGTTAACAACGAGTCCAATATCCTCCCTCTTCAGAGCTCCGACCTCTCTGAAGATTATACGTGAACGTGAACCCCAGGGTAAGACTTTAAGCTCTGATCAAAGGGGATACTTTGACTTTCAAATACAGGCAAAGAGAGAATTAATGATTTGGAAACTAGCTCACCTGGTGGCTTGGAACAGCTTTTGTTGGCTTCTGAGTATCCTGCCTGCCTGCAGTGCGGGCCCCCTCCATCACTCTAGCCTCTGCCTTCTGTTCAGTGATGATTTCCAGTGCTGGTCTAACCAGCCTTTCTTCACTTAACCCTGGGGCCTGGTGTTGAGGCTCTGCCACTGGTTCAGCGGTCCTCATGGTGACATGATTCCTTGCTTTGTAGCCTTGGTGTCCGTTTCCCAAGACTCACAATCCCAATGCATCCTGGAGGTACTAGCATCACCACCACCATTATCATCATCATCACCAGAGGAAGGATTGCTCTTCATTTCTCTCTTCCCAAAATGCTTCTGGTCCTCTTGACAAATTTGCCCCTGTCCTCCCCATGTCCTTCTAGTACCCTTGCCAGGTCAAGGATATCAGAAGGGGCAGCACCTGCCAGGTCACAGGGGTCCCATTATTTCCCCCAGAGGATATTGGGCGCCTGTGAGCCTGAAACCTGCCCACCTAGGACTTTGGGGAAGAGGCTAAGTGGTTCTTCCCTATAAGTCTTTTTGTGTCTACCTGGCCAGAGTAACAAACTCAGATTCTCTTACAGAAACATCCTAAGAAACAACTTACCAGGCACTCTGGTATGAAAGTAGTGCCCGTTCGTTATTGCTGATTTAAGAAATATAGGTAAACAATAAGAGAATAAACAATGAGAGAAAATTAAGCCACTCGTTCACTCTTTATTCTACCATGTGGAGGCAGCCAGTGTCAACTTTTGTTATGTATGATTTCAATCTCTTTTCCATTTACCTACACACACACACACACACACACACACACACACACACACACACACATGACTGCATTATTTGTATTGTATTGTAATGTTTTTTCCACTTAATATATTATTTTTGAATTTATTAAAGATATCTATTGAAGACAGGACATGCCTGTCTTCAGGCATGTCTAATAAAAGCTATTAGACATTTATATTATGTTTGTCCATGCAGAGATTATCCCTGGAAGAATAAAAAAAGAACCTCCAGGGAAGGAAACTACATAGATGAGAGTCAGGGGCAAGACAGAGGCTTACTTTCCAGAGCATGCTTTAAGAATCTTGTACCATGCATGTATCTATCACCTTTATAGAATAATAAATTTTGGCCAAGTGTGGTGGCACACGCCTATAATCCCAGCACTGTGGGAGGTCAAGGCAGGTGGATCACCTGAGGTCAGGAATTTGAGACCAGCCTGGCCAACAGAGTGAAACCCCGTCTCTACTAAAAATACAAAATTAGCTGGGCATGGTGGTGCATGCCTGGAATCCCAGCTATTTGGGAGGCTGAGGCAGGAGAATCACTTGAACCTGGGAGGCAGAGGTTGCAGTGAGTCCAGGTTGCACCACTGCACTCCAGCCTGGGCAACAGGAGCGAAACTCTGTCTTAAAAAAAAAAAAGAATAATAAATGTTTATTAAAAGAATAACCCCACAGACATTTCAGCTGTGGTTTAATATGTTTGCGATAGTGTTTGTAGACGAACAGTACTCTATGGTAGTAGTTGTAGGGACCATAATCTTTTTTATGTTAATTCTTTTTAAAATATTGTATTATGAGTGATTTTGAACATAAACAGAAGTAGGTAGGATAGCATAAGTCAAGGATTGGCAAATTCTTTCTGTAAGGGGCCAGATACGAAATATTTCAGGCTTTGTGGGCCAGATGGTTTCTGTTGCAACAATTCCACTCTATTGTAGCGCAAAACCAGCCAGAGAAAATCTGCAAACAAATAGGCATGGCTGTATTCTGATACAACTTTATTTACGAAAACAGGCAGAGGGCTAGATCTAGCCATTCAGCCATGGTTTGCCGACCTCTGGTATAAATAAGCCTCTACGTACCCAGACCCCAGCCCCAACTACCATCAACCCAAGGCCAGTGCTGCCCATCAACCACCCCGCAAATTACCCGGAAGAAAACTTCAGACATCATATCATTTTATTTATTTATTTATTTATTTAATTTTTTTTTTGATGGAGTCTTGCTCTGTCACCCAGGCTGGAGTGCAGTGGCATGATCTCAGCTCACTGCAACCTCTGCCTCCTGAGTTCAAGCTAGTCTTCTGCCTCATCCTCCCAAGTAACTGGGATTACAGGCATGCATCACCACACCTGGCTAATTTTTTGTATTTCTTGTAGAGACGGGGTTTCAACATGTTGGCCAGGCTGGTCTCGAACTCCTGACCTCAAATGATCCACCCATCTCAGCCTCCCAAAGTGCTGGGATTACAGGCTTGAGCCACTGCGCCCAGCCTCATTTTGTCTTCAGTGTTTTCAAATAAGGATTCATCTTTCAACATCACATATAAAAAGTCAACAAGAAGGCCTTAATATTATCAAAATCCAGCCCCTTTTAAAATTTCTAATTGTCCTATAAATGTAATACATTATTATTATTAGCAATTGTTTGTTGGGTCAGATACAAGTAAGGTCCACACAATGCTCTTAAGTCTCTTCTATATATTTTTACGTTGATTCTACTTGTATGTCTTTTAGCTGTAAATTGGGCATTTCTTAAGAGTTTAAGTCCAACACATAATACAAGATGCTCTATGTTACCTCCAAAGTATTCTGATTACAATCCGAGGAATTGCCACCAGCTGGATAATAATTCCAAAATTATGGAATCATGACCTCAACAGCAAGTCATCTGTTAACAACTGGTTGAACAAATCAAATATCCTCACGCGAAGGTATCAATAACTTCTCTTCCGTATATTTGAGCCTTCAGGCATTATGAAAGAAAAATTCATTTGCTTTGTGTCAGTCACCTCACTCCCAGGAATTTGTCCTAATAAAATATTCAGAGATAAGACCAAGACTGCTGTGATGAAGGATTTTATGGCTGCATTATTTATAAGGGTACAATATTAAAGACAACCAGAACATCCAACAATAAGGAAATGATAGTATTAATTACAATGTCGGTTCATTTACCTAGTAAAATATTAGATAATGATTAAAAATCATGTATTTATGAGAACACATGGACACAGGGAGGGGAACAACATACACTAGGACCTGTCGAGGGAGGGTGGAGGCAGGGGAGAGCATTAGGAGAAAGAGCTTATGTATGCTGGGCTTAATATCTAGATGATGGGTTGGCAGGTGCAGGAAACCACAACTGCACATGTTGACCTATGTAACAAACCTGCACATCCTGCACATGTACCCCAGAGCTTACAAAATAAAATAAAATACATAAAAATAAAAATTATGCTTTTTAGTATTCCAATCGTTTTAAGTCAATGTTCTTGACAAAATTTTTAATGAAAAAAAACAAATCTAAAACTGCATACAAATATGACCACATAACTACCTGAATGGAAAAGCAGGCCAGGCACGGTGGCTCACGCCTGTAATATCAGCGCTTTAATATCAGGGCTCTGAGGGGCCGAGGCAGGCGGATCACTTGTGGTCAGGAGTTCAAGACCAGCCAGGCCAACAGGCTGTAGTCCAGTGCATAGAGCAGCACCTGACACACTGTAGTCGCTCCATAGATATCTTTTTTTCTTTTTTAAGAGACAAGGTCCTGCTCTGTTGTCCCAGCTGGAGTAGCGTGGTACAATCATAGCTCACTGCAGCCTTAAATTCCTGGGCTTGAGTGGTACTCCTGCCTCAGCCACCCAAGTAGCTGGGGCTAAAGGCTCACACCACCACTCCCAGATAATTTTTTTAATTTTTTTATAGAGACGGGGGTCTCATCTTGTTGCCCAGACTGGTCTTAAACTCCTGGCCTCAAGCAATCCTTCTGCCCTGGCCTCCAAAAGCACTGGGGTTACAGGCATATGTGTGTATATATACACACATATATAATACACACACTCTATGTGAAAACAAACTTTATATTCTTGGTTTATTGGAAGAATTACAGGGACACAGAGGGAACAGCCAAGAAATTGAACCCTGGAGAGAGCGCGTTGGTTGGAAGTAGAGGGTAGGGTGGGAATCTTTCAATATGCTTCCCCTCCCTCCCCCATTCCAAAGAGCAAGGACAGAAAGAATTCTGCATGTTGGAGCTTGTTGAATATTTGAAGGTCCATTCTCTTCTTTAAAACAGCAAAGAAAGACAAAGATCAATTAGTAAATCCTGTTTGCTCTACTTTCAAAATGTCTTAGAATCTCAGCACTTCTCCCTGCTCTCCAACCTGGCCGAAGACCTCATCCCCTCTCAGCTGGCTGCCCTGACGGTCTCCGCGAGGCTCCTGGCTTCTACTTATTGCTTCCTGCAGTCATGGAGGAAGATATAAGGTGTTACTAGCTATGAAACCCCAGAGGAGAGATGTCTGTTGAGGATGGGTGGGGTTCAGGGAAGATGTTGGAGAGGAGTCCACATTTTAACTAGATCTTTAAAGATGAATAGGAGTTTTCCAGGTGAACTAGGGCAAGAAGGAAGATTCCAGGCAGATGGAACAACATTTGTGAAGTCAAGGAGGTGAGGAAGAAAATGGTGAGCTCAGGGGAGTTCAGAAAGTTTGTGATAGTTGCGTGTGTGTGTGTGTGTGTGTGTGTGTGTGTGTGTGAGCAGCCATAGGGGAAAAACCTGGAAAAGATAAACAGAGGCCAGTGAATGAAACTCCATACCCACAAGCTTAGATTTTATGGAGTAGACCAGGGGCTGAATACTCAAATGCCTTTGGAGGTGACACACATACGTCAATGAATGAGGATGCCTGAACATAAGAGAAAACGTGTGTGGCACAAGTGTGGTGATAAAGGACAAGACATGCCTTGGCATGAGGAAAATAAAGTGCGCAGTCATTATTCATCTTAGCCAGTGCTTGGTCCAGGGAAACCTGGGATCAATGATTGCAGATCTTAGGATTTTTAAAGAAAGGCTGAAAATCTAGATTTCTATGAGAAAACTGCAAATGCAGAACTCTTGGCAACAATTTCAAGTAAAAAAATATACTGTGGTCACTACCGTGTAGATAAGACAAAATTTGTCTGTAGGTTGGAGTCTGCCTAGGGGCCATGAGTTTGAGACGCCTGATCGGGGTGGTGGTTTATTTGGTGATTTGATCTTATTAGGGTCCTAGACTTGCTCATATGTACACTTCGTTGCCACCCTGTCCTTTCTCAGGCTGTGCCCTCTATATTAGGGTTCTCCAGAGGGACAGACCTAAGAGGATCTATGTATATAGGACATGGAGTTTATTAGGGAGAATTGGCTCACACAAGCACAAAGCGAAGTCCCACGATGGGCCATCTGCAAGCTGGGGAAGAAAGAAGCCAGTAGGGGCTCAGTCCAAGTCCAAAAGCCTCAAAAGCAGGGAAACTGACAGTGCAGCCTTCAGTCTGTGGCTGAAGGCCTGAGGGCCTCCGGCAAAGAACCTGGACTCTGATGTCCAAGGGCAAGAGGAACGGGAGGAAGCATCCAGCATGCGAGAAAGATGGAAGCCAAGAAGACTCAGCAAGCCAGCTTATCCCACCTTACTCCGCCTGCTTTGTTCTAGCCATGATGGCAGCCAATCGGATGGAGCCCACCCACATTGAGGGTGGGTCTTCCTCTCCCAGTCTACTGACTCAGATGTCAATCTCCTCTGGCAACACCCTCACAGGCACACCCAGAAACAATACTTTACCAGCTCTCTAGGCATCCTTCAATCCAATGTCAATATTAGTTGACACCTAATATTAACATCACGGCCTCAGCCTGTGTATACTTCAAGAATGATTTGAGATGCCCTTTACTCATGGAAGCCCCATGCTGGGTTAGATGCCCTTTCTCTCTGCTCTTAGACTCTGAGGCTTCCTGGTATGTGAGGAGTTAATGGTGTTGCTCTATCATTACCTGCTCACAATCAGTCTCTTTTATGTAGTTGAGCTGTGTGAGGACAGAGCTTGTGCTTTATGTATTTATGTTAACACTTAGGCCTGGCTTACTTAATATATTTGTTGAGCATGATTATATTTTATGCGCCAACCAGACTGGTGAAGACAAAAGTTTTGTTTGACACAGGCAGACCGCTTTCCCAATTTTGGCCTGGGTAATCTTCAAGGTATGGTCTCCATTTGTAAAATGGGGATAATAATACTCACTCTGTTTGTTGTGAGGATTAAATGAGATTATACTTCATCAGCAAAACGCTTGACAAACGTTCACTTTTTTTAAAAAAGTAAATACTTTTTATTAATGGCATCTATTAATAATATGGTGTCTATGATGTCATCTGGGACACACCAGGCACATAGAAAGAAGTCTGGAAATTGTGTGTTAGAATGGTTCAGGGCATTCCTATGGTCCATAGCCCATGATTTACTGGTGGACTGATAGTGTTATCTGTGGGCAGAAAGGTCAGAACACAGATAATTCAGGCTGAACCAGATTTCCTGATCTCTAACCTAGATTTGTTTGTGTTGAGGATGTTCCAAGGGGTAGAGGGATGCTCAGTTAGACATGGGGAAAACCGTCTCATCCTGGGACATAAACAAGAGCAAATGTTGGCAATAGGTGTCTGAAACCTATTTAGCCTAGAGCAGAAATAGGCACACACTTCCTGTAAGGGATCAAATAGTAAACACTCTACAGGGCACGCAGGCTCTGTTGCCATTACTTAATACTGCCACTGGAGCACGAAAGGAGCCATAGACAATATGTAAATGAAGAGCGATGGCTGTGTTCCAATAAAACTTTATTTCTAAAAACAAGCAGCGGGCCAGATCTGGCCTGCAGGCTAACCCCTGTTAGGTTTACCAACCCTTGTCCTAGAACCTTCAGATCCCATTGATGTGGTAAGAGATACAGAGGGGCATTTTTTCAGAAGACTTTAAGGTCTCCTCTACTGATTGGGGTAGAATGAGAGTTGGAATTCTCTCTCCCCTGTATTTTCTATGTTGGATACATGTAATTTGGTATTTACTAACTGATGTTGTTAAGCTGAGGTTCAGGGTTATGTCTCTGTCAACAAAAAGAGTCAAACTCTGTAAAATATTTGAAGAGATTTATTCTGAGCCAAATATGAGTGACCATGGCCCTTGACACAGCCCTCAGGAGTCCTGAGAACATCTGCCCAAGGTGGTTGGGCTGCAGCTTGGTTTTATACATTTTAGGGAGGCATGAGACATCAATCAAATACATTTAAGAAATACATTGGTTTGGTTCAGAAAGGCGAGACAACTCAAAGTGGGGGATTCCAGGCTATAGGTAAATTTAAACATTTTTTGGTTGACAATTGGTTGAGTCTAATGACCTGGGATCGATGGAAAGGGAATGTTCGGGTGAAGATAAATGATTGTGGAGACAAGGTTCTTTTGAAGTCTCATAGTGGCTGCCCTTAGAGGCAATAGATGACAAATGTTTTCTATTCAGATCTTTGAAAGGTGCTAAACTCTTAGTTACTCTCTTCAGGATTGGGAGGGCCTGGAAGAAAAATATCTAGCTATGTTAATAGAGATTTTTTACAGATGCAGATTTTCCCCTACAAAAGACAGCTTTGCAGGGCCATTTCAAAATATGGCAAAGAAACATGTTTTGGGGTAAAATATTTTGATTTTCTTCCTTGTCTCGTAATGTTATGCCAGGGTCAGGTTGGAAAGTAAGTCATGATATAGAGGGTTAAATAAAACCCATCTGATGAGAATTTATGGTTGTATGGCATGACTCCCCAGACTCCTTAGATAGGAATTTGGACACGATTAAAAAATCAGAGCTTAGTCCTCATCTCCAACACCAGAATGCTGGAAGTACCCCAGTGGGGAGGCTTAAAAAACCCAGGCTTTGGAGCCAACCTGGGTCTTAATCACATCTGCATTTGCCAGCTGTGTGATCTTGAGTGAGTTATGGAACTCCTGGATGCTTCAGTTTCCTCATCTGTAGAATGGAAGTTATAATACCTATTTTCTACGAGTGTTGAGAACATTAAAGGTGATAACAACATGTAAAGTGACAAGAGCTGGGCTTCTCAGTCTCAACACTTGACATCTGGGGCTGGATAATTCCTTGTCCTGGGGGTGCTGGCCTCTGAGTGGAAGGATGTTTGCCGCATCTCAGGCCTCTATC
This sequence comes from Homo sapiens, assembly GCF_000001405.40. Lineage (NCBI taxonomy): Eukaryota > Metazoa > Chordata > Mammalia > Primates > Hominidae > Homo > Homo sapiens. Next base: position 13,874,427 of record NC_000016.10, on the reverse strand, counting down.
TACAAAATGCCAGGAGCACCCCTCCCCCAATTTTCACAACCAAAAATGTCTCCAGTGCCTGGATTCTTCCTTCAATCCCCCAATAACTGTGGCCTTCTGGGTTAAATCAGTGACTATTCTCACCAAAGACAGCTCTGCTGAGTGCATAGAAAAAATTTTCTAAGATCTCCCACCTTTCCTGCAGCTGAGCTCAAGAAAGATCAGCTGCTGGGACTCTAGGTTAGGCAAGTGCAGTGGGCTGCTTTGAGACATGCTTCCACTTTAGAGAGGGACTGTGAGCCCAAGTACTTACTTCTGTTCTCCTTCCGGATAGCAGAAAAATGTGCACAGGCAGGAACTTAGAAATCCTAGCTTGGAAAGCAATGTCCATTTTTTTTTTCCTTACCACAAGGTGGCACTCCGATGCCTGCATTGGAAACTGGGTCGGCTGGAGAGAGGGCTCCTTGGACCACCATGCAAATAGAAAGCCACTGCTCTCATCCATGTTTGCTTTACAGTCCATGCTAACAAAATGTGGTAATTTTATTCCAAACACGTAAATATTATTGAGTTTGCCAAGGATGTTGCCTGAATACGGGATAGAGGACTGACACTCAGGACCAAGAGGGTAGGGGAGGGAGAAGGCTGGGGGAGGAACAGAAAAGCTTGCCCACCCTGGCTGGCTTCAGCTATTCATTCCATTTATTTATGCATTTTGGTATTAGCACACTGCAATGCGGATTTCTGGGGGACTGAGGCTCATACAGACCCTGTTCTCTAGCTTCAGGCTACTTTGCTGTTTGCTCTAAGACCAGGATAAGGGATTACAGAAGCAGAGAGGCACCTGCCCGGTCTGTGGTTTGATTTCTCTCATCTGCTCAGCCTCCCCTGGATTTCTTCTCTTTCCTTCTAATTGATTAATATCTGATACCTTCTTTAACTGAGGGTCCAGTTTCTCTTGAAGGTCAGGCCTCAGGTTTGCATAATTTCAATAAATGAGAGACACATCCTGTCTCCACCCAAGTCAACATCCCCCCATGACTAGCCTGGGATTCTTGAGTCTTATCTGCCTTGTAGAGAAGAGGAGGTGCCAGAAGCACTGGTCCTTCCCATGAGCCAGTCTCCTTTTTATCTGTCATAGCTTCAGAGACAAAGGATTTCCAGTTTCATTGAGTTTGCCACACTCCCCACTCAGTGCTTTCTTAGGAGCCTAGAGGCTTTTGGATGAGAATTTTCCTAAAAACAACAGCAGCCAGAACAAAAATCAAAAGCAAACCACCATCACCACCACCACCACCACCACCACTACCACCACCACCACCACCACCACCACCATCACCACCACCACTAGGGGTGAGAAAATGTATTTATTTAACTTACTGAATAGAAAATTCTAGGATACAAGTTATAGTTTTCTGTTATAAACATCTTATCTTATTTTGCTTGATCACAGAGAATTTTGAAGCATAGAATTTAAAATATGTACACATCTACTTCAACTATGTTAACTGTCTCAGGGCACTTCATGACCTGCTTTTCTTGCTACTTCTCTAGGTTTATCTACTTTCATCCTAAACTCAAGTGTTTTGCAGATTCTTGGTCTGCATTCTGCCATTCCTGCAGGTTATGGAGGCATGACTTGAGCTTGTATTCACTCCATCACCCCCTTATTAGTTAGGATTCTTTGGGTTGCAAGTGACAGAAACTCAACTAAAGTTGGTTTAATTAAAAAAATAGTGCATATACATGATTTATTGGTTATGTAACAGATAAATTCAAGGGATTCATAATTTGCATTCAGGAACAGCTGGATCCAGGAGCACAAATGGTGTCATCAGGGCTGCATTTCTTTCTCTCTGCCACTCATCTCATGTGGTCTTTATTCTAAGCAAGCTATCTCCATGTGATGGTTTAGAGAAGCTCCAGTCTTCCTTTCTATTTGCTTAGCAATCCCAGGGGAATGAAACTTTTATCAAGAGTTTGGAGTTGGAGGGTCATTGGACTACCTTTGGTCTGTGTAGAAACCAATCCCTGTACCAGGGAAGAGTTGTACTGGTTGGCCAGATCTTGGTTATGGTATCACGGCAGTGCCAGGAAATGGGAACAACTTAAATCATGCAGACTGAGAGTTGGGAAAAGGGGAGGGTGGATTTACAAAGGAAAATTGAGATGCTGTTACCCAAATTCTGGACAAGCAAATCAACAGATGTCCATTCTAACTGCCCCACTCTGGTGGACAGCCATCAGCTCAAATGCCACCTTATCTGTGGCATCTTGTCTGACCTGTCACCTTCTTTGTAGCCTTGTGCAACATTTGCACATCCCTCCTTTTAAACCACATTTGGACACAGCTTTGTAAGGGCAAGGACCATACCAAATTCAGCCTTTTTATTTTTGGTCTTTTAATTCTACAAACTTAAATTAGTTTAAGAAATTTTCTTTCCCACTGAGCCACTTTAAATACCTTTCAGAACAGAAATCTATTTATTTTTCTATTTACCTTGACTGTCAGGATGCTCAGAGCAAGTTTTGCTCAGCTTAACCTAGACTTTCTAGTATAATTATTCTATTCATCTCTCTGTTTTCATGTCTTGACTTTCATCTTTTTACTCTTTAAAAAACCTTTATTTTATTAGACTTTATTTTTTAGAGAAGTTATAGACTCCCAGCAAAATTGAGCAGAATGCGCAGAGATGTCTAAATACTTCCCACCACCATACACAGTTTTCCCCATTATCAACATCCCCCAGAGTGGAAAGACCAGAGTGGTTCATTTGTTTTTGTGTGTGTGTGTGTGTGTTTTTTTTTTGTTTTTTGTTTTTTTTTGAGACGGAGTCTCACTCTGTCGCCCAGGCTGGAGTGCAGTGGCGTGATCTTGGTTCACTGCAAGCTCCGCCTCCCGGGTTCACGCCATTCTCCTGCCTCAGCCTCCCGAGTAGCTGGGACTACAGGTGCCCGCGACCACGCCCGGCTAATTTTTTTTGGATTTTTAGTAGAGACGGGGTTTCACCGTGTTAGCCTGGATGGTCTCGATCTCCTGAGCTCTTGATCCACCCGCCTCAGCCTCCCAAAGTGCTGGGATTACAGGCGTGAGCCACTGTGCCCGGCCCAGAGTGGTTCATTTGTTATAGCTGATGAACCTACATTGACTCATCATTATCACCCAAAGTTCGTAGTTTACATTAAAGTTCACTCTTGATGTTGTACATTCTATGGGCTTGGACAAATGCATACAAATGCGTGCCCACCATTAGAGTATCATACAGAGTAGATTCACTGCCCTAAATGTTCTCTGTGCTTCATCCCTCCCTCCCCCTGGTACCTGACAACCACTGATCATTTTATTGTCTCCTTAGTTTGCCTTTCCCAGAATGTCATATAGTTAGAATCACATAATATGTGGCCTTTTTGTATTGGTTTCTTTCACTTCTTTAACTTAAATATGCATGTACATTTCCTCCATTTTTTAATGGTTTGATAGCTCATTTCTTTTTAGGACTGAGTGATATTCCATCAACTGGATGTACCACAGTTTATTTATTCATTCACCTATTAAAGAACATGATTGACAAGTTTTAGCAATTATGAATAAAGCTGCTATAAGCATCTGTGTGCAGATTTTTGTGTGGATACAAATTTTTAACTCATTTGGGTAAATACCAAGGAGTGAGATTACTGGGTCATATGGTAAGAGTATGTTTAGTTTTGGAGGAAATTTGCCAAACTCTCTTCCAAACTGTCTGTACCATTTTGCATTCCCACCAGGAATGAATGAGAGTTCCTGCTGCTCAACATTCTTGCCAGCATTTGGTATCGTCAGTGTTCCAGATTTGGGACCATTCTAATAGGTATGTGGTAGTAGTAGTACTTTATTGTTGCTTTAATTTTCCTAATGACATATGATCTGCAGCATCTTTCTTTTTTTTTTTTTTTCTTGGAGATGGAATCTCGCTCTGTTGCCCAGGCTGGAGTGCAGTGGTGCAATCTCTGCTCACTGCACCCTCTGCCTCCCGGTTCAAGCATTTCTTCTGCCTCAGTCTCCTGAATAGCTGGGACTACAGGCGTGTGCCACCAGACCTGGCCAATTTTTTTGTATTTTTTTTTTTTTTAGTAGAGACGGGGTTTCGCCAAGTTAGTCAGGATGGTCTCAATCTCTTGACCTCATGATCCACCTGTCTCTGCCTCCCAGAGTGCTGGGATTACAGGCGTGAGCCACTGCGCCTGGCCAGCATCTTTCATATGCTTGTTTTCCATATGGATATCTTTTTTTTTTTTTTTTTTTTTAACAGCGTCTCACTCTGTCACTCAGGCTGGGCTGTAGTGGCGTGATCTCGGCTCACTGCAACCTCTGCCTCCTGGGTTCAAGCAATTCTCCTGCCTCAGCCTCCTGAGTAGCTGGGATTATAGGCACGTACCACCACACCCAGCTAATTTTTGTATTTTTAGTAGAGATGGGGTTTCACCATGTTAGCCAGGCTGGTCTCAAACTCCAGACCTCATGATCCGCCCACCTCGGCCTCCCAAAGTGTTGGGATTACAGGTGTAAGCCACCGTGCCCGGCCCATATGCATGTCTTTTTGATGAGGTGTCTGTTAAGGTCTTTGATACATTTTTTTTTTTGTATTAGGTTGTTTTATTTCTTATTGTTGAGTTTTCAGTTATTTTTGTATGTTTTGAATAATAATCCTTTGTCAGACACGTCTTTTGCAAGTATTTTTTTCTCAGTTGGTGGCTTGGCTTTTCATTCTATTGATAGTGTCTTTTACAAAGAAGGAATTTTTAATATTAGTGAAGTCCAACTTATCAATTGGTTCTTTCATGAATTGTGCCTTTGGTGTTGTGTCTAAAAAGTCATTGACAAACCCAATGTCATCTAGAATTTCTCTTATGTTATTTTCTAGTACTCTTACAGTTTTGAATTTTACATTTCGATCTACGATCAATTTTGAGTTTTTTTTTAGGGGTATAAGATCTGGGTCTAAATTTTGTTTGTACATGGATGTCAGGTTGTTTCAGCACCATTTGTCAAAAACCATATCTTTTCTTCATTATGTTGACTTTACTCCTTTGTCAAAGATCAGTTTATATATGTGAGCCTATTTCTGTACTCTCCGTACTGTTCCACTGATGTATTTGTCTGTTCTTTTACCAGTACTACACTATTTTGATTACTGTAGCTTTACAGTATTAGCTATTCTGTTTTTTCTTTTTCTTTTTTTTTTCTTTTTGCCTCTCTATATAAACCTTAGAGTCAGTTTGTCAATATTCACAAAATTACTTTCTGGGATTTTGATTGAGATTGTATTGAGTCTATAGATCAAGCAAGGAAGAACTGACATTTTGACAATATTGAGTCTTTCTATCCATGAACATGGAATATCTTTCCATTTATTTAGTTCTTGTATTGCTTTCATTAGTTTTGTAGTTTTCTTTATATAGATCTTATACATATTTTGTTATATTTATATCTAAGTATTTAATTTTTGGAGGGGGTGCTAATGGAAATGGTATTGTGTTTTTAGTTTCAAATTCCATTTGTTAATTGCTGGTATATAGGAAATCAATGGACTTTTCTATATTAACCTTGTGCTCTGCAACTTTGCTATAATTGCTTATTAGTTCCAGTAATGTTTTTGTTGGTTCTTCCCAATCGATCTAAAGGAAAAACCTCTCTACCCATCACCAAATTGGAGGAGAATGTTGCTGCCTTCTGGGAGATATATACAGAGAAGTTTATAGCTAACAGCTTTCTTACAGCTACAAGGAAACTGGTTTTAAGATAATACTAATGCTTTGGCTGGCAGAGTAGCAAGATGGAAAGAACCTAGGTCCTTAACAATATCATCGAGTGGCTGAAAAAAACCAGCTCTGAATCCCGCCCAATCTCGGAAATCCCTAGACTTCCTGTTAAATGAGATATATTAAATTGTCTTTATTGTTCAAACTAGATAAAATTGATATTTTGGTTATTTGTAGTAATAGTTTTCCTTTTTAAAACAGACTTTAAAAGGAAACTGAAGTTTAGAGAAGTTAGCACCAACAGCAGCATCAACAACAACGATATTAAATGACAAAGCCAAGACTCCAACCCTTGATAGTCTGCAGGCTACACTCCATGCCCAAACCCAGTCCCACAGTGTTGCCTCCTCGTGAATACAATATAGAAAGTGTTTGGGAGTTTCTCAGGGGTTTGAGGAAGGGGGAGAGAAATAACTGACAAGTAGGGAAGATGTGGAAAATATTAAATAAACCCCATTATTCCCATAGAACTTGGAACAATAGACATGCCAGCAAAGAGAAAAAATGCTTGGTTCAAACTCTAGTAGAGAGATACAGTTATACTACAAACTTTGATAAACTTCATGGGACTTGAATTTTGATGTAAACTACAATTGATGCTTTTGTGTATTTTTGGAGGGACTACCCTACCCTTTTTAATCTTCCTTCCCTTCGTTTCTTGTTCTGTGATTAGGAGATGGGAAGAGATCATTTTCCTACTTAAAACCAAAAGAAAAAGCCCACATCCCTTTAGTCCAGAATAAAGGATAGGTTGACAAGTCATCACTACTTGATTTTACTTTTGTTGCTATCTCCTGGAGTGTGACTTATTGGACCTTTGCCTAAAGTTGGATTTGCTTGTCACTTAGATGTTGCAAAGTAGCTTCACGAAAGCTCTCTTAGCAAACTTGCTGATTGATGGAATGGATGATGCAGTTGAAACTGAAATCTGCTGAGAGACAAAGTAGAGAAAAATTTTGATTGTTAGAAAAATCAAGAAAGTAACTTCACTAGAAAAAGCAGAAGTTGTTTTCAAATAGTAGGCTCCACTGCATGCTATAGGACCTTACATTTTTATTTTGAAAAGGTTTAAGAATACAGAAAGCTTGAATAGGCATTTCTCCAAGGAAGATACATAAATGGCCAATAAGTAGATGAAAAGGTGTTCAATATCATCATTAAGGACATGCAACCCAAAACCACAGTGAAATATCCCTTCATACCTACTAGGATGGCTATAACAACAACAACAACAAAGAGAAGATAGTGTTAGCGAGGATGGGGAGAAATTGGAACCCTTATGAAGCGCTGGTTGGAATGTAGGACGGTTTAGATGCTATGGAAAGGAGTATAGTGGTTCCTCAAAAAATGAAACATAGAGTTACCATATGACCTAGCAATTCTGTTCCTAGGTATACAACAAAAAATTGGAAACACGGACTCCAATAGTTACTTCCATGGCAATGTTTATTGTAGCATTATTCACAATAGCCAAAAGGTGAAAACAACCCAAGAGTTCATCAACAGATGAATAAATAAACAAAATGTGGTACACACACACACACACACACACACACACACACACACGCTGGGGTATTATTCAGCCATAAAAAGAAAGAAAGTTCTGATACATGTTACAACATGGATTGACTTTGAAAGCATTATGCTAAGTGATATAGGCCAACAAAAAGGACAAATATTGTGTGATTCTACTTGTATGAAATATCTAGAATAGGGAAATTTATAGAGACAGAAGGTAGATTAGAAGTTACCAAAGGCCAAGGGAGAGGAGCATAAGGAGTTATTGCTTATTGCTCTCTCTTTAGGGTGGTGAAATTTTGGAAATAGACAGTGGTGATGGTTTTACAACACTGTGAATGTAATTAGTAAAATTTAAACAAAAAATACAAAAAGGAACAGAGAATAATATAGCAGTCACCCATGCAACCACTGGGTAGAATTGACAAATATTAACAATTTTATTTTATTTACTTCAGATGTTTCTTAAAAATAAAGCAAAACAGTGGCGGTGGTTTTACAACATTGTGAATGTAATTTGTAAAATTTAAAGACAAAATGCAAAAAGGAACAGAGAATAATATAGCAGCCACCCATGCAACCACTGGGTAGAATTGACAAATATTAACATTTTATTTTATTTACTTCAGATGTTTCTTAAAAATAAAGCAAAACATTGCTGATACAGTTTTTCCCATGTAGCAGATATGATTAGTATCCCATGCCACATCCCTTGGCCAATCTCTTTAGGCCTCTTGCAGCTATGGTGGATGGTTTCCAGGCACGCTGACTGCTTACGCCCTGGAGCACACGTTTCTCTGCCCCAGGGTTCCCTCTAGTGGCGAGAGAGCTTGCTTAGCCCGTCCACAGGGCAATCCCAAAGGACTGGAGGCGCAATGCCCCAAGGTCAATCCTCGATCAATGAGAGAAGGGAGTTGGAAAATAATTATCCCAGCTGCCTTGTCCCTTAGTGGATTGATTCTGAGGCATGGCTATTCAGGAGGTTCCTGCTGAGATTGAGTCCCAATTGCCCTAGATTAATACACACTTTATTGACTTACTCCCCTTCCCGTCTCTCTTTCCCTGCATCCTTACTATCTTCCTGCAATTGCCACCCCAATAAACTACTTGCATCAGACTCCTTGTTTCAGGCTCTGTTTTCAGAAGAGCCCAAAGTAGGACAGCCGCTTCCACTCTGTTCCTTTCTTCATTCATAAGAAGCAATCACTTTCATGAAGATGGTGTAAATGCTCCTGACCTATGTTTTTAAACTTGTGGCTAATACATCAACAATATACAGTTTAATGGATTTTAATAATTTTGTGAATGGTATCATTTTGTATGTGTATGCGTGTGTGTGTGTGTGTGTGTGTGTGATTCTACAACTTGTTTTTCTCACTCAATGTTTTTGAGATTGCTCCATGTGATAAGAGAGACCTGGTTCATTATTTGTAAGCACTGTGTGTAATTCTCACTATTGTATGACTGAACCACATTTTGTTTAACCACTCACCCCCATGATGAGCATTCATGCTTTTCCCCTGTGTTTTGCTATTAGAAAACATGTTCCAATGAACACTCTAACACCTTTGTTTTGTTTTTTTTTTTTTGAGACAGAGTCTCACTCTGTCGCCTAGGCTGGAGTGCAGGACTTCTTTGCAGAGTGTTTAAATAAAATGTTTGTTTAAACAGCAGCTAGGCTGGGCCCTTGTGGATTTATTTACTGGTCATTAGCTGCTAGAAGGAGAAGATGGGGAACAATAAGCTGAGAAGCTTCAATTAAAAGCTAGAAATTCCTGCCATTGAATATGAAGAAATGGATATGAGTAAAGTTGTAAATATCCAAGGGAAATTAATAATAATAATAAAAAGGACCCCTTTAAACCCAAACTCTATTTACAAGCAACCGTCTTCAAAGCTTGGCAGACACTGTTTCCTCTTCACGGACTACTCTTTGCAGCCATATCTCTGCCTGCCTAATTTCATTTAAGCTTCTACCCTTTCAGTTCTCCTTTTCAGGAAGCATTCTCTGACCTCTTGTATCAGGATAATTACACCAGTTGCATGACGGGCCAAACCTGAAATCCCAAAAGTTAAACACAATAAAGCTTATTTCTCACTCACATAAAGTGCCATGTAGGTTGAGCAGCCCTATACCGCCATGCTGCTGTTGGGGCATCTGAAACACGTGGACTTCAAGCTCTCTGAAGAGAGAAGAGGGGAGAGAGGAAGAGGAAGCAGAACAGCTCCTAATGACTTTGACCAGGAAGTGACATGTGTTACTTCTGCTCACGGTCTCTTGGTCAGAATTAGTCACATGACTCCATTGTAACTGCAGAGAAAGGTGGAAAATATAGGGGGCAATATAGAATATTTGGTGAGGATGAACAAGATTAGTCTTGTTAATCTGCTATACCATCAAGATTGTATCTGCTATGCCATCAAGAGTAGGTTGAGTGTCCTTTCTATGGGTTTTTAAATCAGCCAATCATAGCACTTCTCTCTCTTTCCCTTTTGATAATTTCCTGTGTATTAGTCCACCCAAGTCCCAAGCCTATAAATTCTTTGAAAGAACTAGAACTCATTCTCATTGGATCTTTTGCACTCAACCAAACACGGCACATTCAATAACACTCAATAGTTATTGAATACAAGGTAAAAGAAAAGGAATAAGTGGCTCTTCCAGGAATACAGCCATTAAAAAAATGGAGGCATAATTGTTTTTATATAAATCTCTAGCCTAGGAGATTGATTGTTTTATCTGTGGATCAGATAGCCTTTAATCTTCTAGATGTCAATCAAGTTCTTTGATCTGAGAAACTTCTGACAGGAGCATTTGAAATCTCCTCTCCCGTAAGCTTGTACAAGTGGTATATTTAATACCAGGCTCTATTCAAAGCTTCTTGGCTTTATTTTAGCTTGCCTATTAATTATGACTTCTTTTATGTCTTCCTATCATGCATACACAAATTAGGGACAACAAACTTATGACTTTTTCCCCTGAAACATGACCCATTTAAAAAAATTATTATTGTATTAGTCAGGGTTCTCCAGAGAAATAGAAGCAATAGAACCAATAGTATCTACCATTGGTTAGTATAAATAAGGAGGAATTGGTTTATGCTATTATGGAGGTAGGGAGGTCCCACAACCTATTTTCTGCAAGCTGGAGGCTCAGGGAAACCAGTGGTGCAATTCAGTCTGAGTTTGAAGCCTGAGAACCAGAGGAGCTGATGGAATAAATCCCAATCTAACGGGAGGAAGAGATGAAATGAGATGTCCCAGCTCAAACAGTGAGGCAGGGAAAAAAAGGGCAAATTCCTGCTTCCCCTGCCTTTTGTTCTACTCAGGTCGTCAGTGGATTGAATGATGCTCAACCACTTTGGGGAGGGAAATCTACCTTACTGAGCTCACTGATTCAAATGCCAGTCCCATCCAGAAGCAATCACAGACACCCCCAGAAACAATGTTTAATCTGGCCATCTCATGGCTCACTGAAGATGACACATAAATTTAACCACCACAATTATTATTATGTTTATGTAAAAGTAATATACACTTGTAAGGTATGTATTAGGGTGATGTTAGCTGCTATAACAAAAAAACCCCCATAAATATCAATGGCTTATTCAAATAGGTTTAATGTGGATATTTCCAATGGGCAGGTAGCTTTCTGTGCAGTGAAACGGGGAGGAAGCCTCCTTCTATCTTCTGTTCCTCTCTCCTCTAGGGCCTCAGAGTACTCTAATTCCACTTTCATTTTCATTCTACTAGCGAGAACTAGTCCTGTGTCCAACCTAAACACAAGATAGGCTGGGAAATGTAGTCCATGGCTAGATAGCTCCTCCCTAGCAAGACACGTCCTAGGGACATTTACTGGAGGACTCTCCAGCATCCACTTTGCGCCACAACAGAAAGGACCTTGACTTTGCTTAGTGGAATTCACCCTCTGCCATTGATGTGGTTTGGCTGTGTTGCAATCCAAATCTCCTCTAGAATTGTAATCCCTATAATCCCCATATGTCAAGGGAGGGACCCAGTTGGAGGTGATTGGGTTATAGGGGTGGATTCCCCCATACTGTTCTTGTGATAGTGAATAAGTTCTCATCAGATCTGATGGTTTTATAAGGGGCTCTTCCCTCTCCACTTCCTGCACATTCTCTCTCTCGCCTGCTGCCATGTAAGATGTGCCTGCTTTGTCTTTTGCCGTGATTGTAAGTTTCTTGAGGCCTCCTCACCATGCAGAACTGTGAGTCCATTAAATCTCTTTCCTTCATAAATTACCCAGTCTCGGTGGTATTCTTTATAGCCATGTGAGAATGGATTAATACAGCCATTTTCAGCCACATGATTTGGATGGAGTTGACATTCTTGCTACAGTGGGTGGTGCAAGGCAATTAGCAAGTTGTGCACCATTGGCCACAGTGACTGGGTCAGGGATGGGCACATTATATAATTCAGGCCAATGGGAAAAGTGAATTTTCAGACTTGTGCTCAAGTTGTCAGAAGACTCTTTCTTTATTTTGTAAGATGCGTTTGAGAATGAGAATGTGAGATGTGGAATAGCTTCTGTTGTTTAGCTATCATGAGACAGAGAGCATGTGTCTGTGTGTTTGTGTGTGTGTGTGTGTGTGTGTGTGTGGAGTGGTGTGGGAGGGATGATCAAGGATCACTGCTTGGAGTCAGAGGATGAAGCCAACTTCTGGAAGGCAGAGCCCTGAGACAGATAGAAACCAGGTCCTTGGTGACTGTATTGTTGTGTCTGGATTATGCTTTGACTGTAACTCAACCTACTTTTTGACTTTTCCATTACATAAGTCAACAAATTCCCATCATGGCAACGGAAGTTTGAGTTGGGTGTTTTACAATTTGTGACTGAAAATATTAACTCATATGGACTATTTTAGTCAAATAAAAATATTTAAAAGTTTGGCAAAGTTTAAAGGTGGCCAAAGAATTTTTATATGATTCCACAGAACACATTTTATTAGTTTTTACATAGTCGAGATCATGAAGAACACTTAATTATTTTTAAAATGCTTATTTATCATATTTATTATTTGTATTTATATAAACTTATGAAGTACAAGTATAATTTCGTTGCATGCATAGGTTGTGTAATGGTGAAGTCAGAACTTTTAGGGTATCCATCACCTGAATAATGTACATTGTACCCATTAAATAATTTCTCATCATTCCCCCCACCCTGCTGAGTCTTTGTTGTCTATCATTCCACACTCTGCATCCATGTGTACACGTTATTTAGCTCCCACTTATAAGTGAGAACATGCAGTATCTGTCTGTGTCTGAGCCATTTTGCTTAAGATAATAGCCTCCAGCTCCATCCATGTTGCTGCAAAAGACACAATTTCATTTTTTATGGATGAATATTTGAATACTTAATTTATTTCTGCTCTTTTCTCTGAGCATGGTGTTGTAAGTACCTCCTTGTGTCATTAAAAATTTGTAAATTTTATTTAAAATGCCTTGCTCCGTATTTTAGTTTGTTGTCGCTCCCTCACTGTTGGGCATTTAGGTTGCTTTGAGTTTTTGCTTCCTTGATTTTTTCTTTAGGGTGTATTGCTAGCAGTGGTATTACTTGGTCAAAGGGTATGAGCATTGTAAAGAGCTTGCTATCTATTGCTCAGTTATTTTCTGGAAAAGTCAGACCAATTATACGTTCTCTAGCAATGGGCTAGCATCATGGCTCATGTTGGTCTTCCTGTACCCTAGCCAGCATATCTCAAACATCTTCATTACTGCAACATGCTGAAAGTGGGCCTTCATTTTAATTTGCTTGATTGCCAGTGATGTTGAAGTTGTCTATTATGTGGCTCGGCCTCTGACCTGACTGCGGATATTTACCCTGTTTTAGGGTCAGCTTCTAGACGTGGTTCTAAATGACATACATGAGGGTTTGCCAATCTTGGCACTATTGACATCTGGGGATCAGATAATTGTTTGTGGTAAATCAATGCCGTCCCATGCATTGAGGTCTCCCCACCGCAATGTGACAATCAAAAACTGTCTTGAGACATTGCCAAATGTCCCTTGGGAGCCAAAACAACTCACAACCCATGGTTGAGAGTAATTGACTTCAATCAGCTAAAAAATGAGGACAAAATCAGGCAATTGTGGGATACTGTTTCTGGTTAGATGTTTAAACTTGGTGTTTATTTTATTTTCATTTTTTTTTTTTTTGAGACAGAGTTTCACTCTTGTTGTCCAGGCTGGAGTGCAATGGTGTGATCTTGCACTCCACCTCCCAGGTTCCAGCGATTCTCCTGCCTCAGCCTCCCAAGTAGCTGGGATTACAGGTGCCTGTCACCATGCCCGGCTAATTTTTTATTTCTAGTAGAGATGGGGTTTCACCATGTTGGCCAGGCTGATCTTGAAATCCTGACCTCAGGTGATTTGTCTGCCTCAGCCTCCCAAAGTGCTGGGATTAGAGGCATGAGCCACCGTGCCTGGCCTGGTGTTCGTTTTTCAAAACATTTTCATCCTGGAAAATTCCAAACACATACAAAAGTAGACACATAGTATAATGAACCCCCATGTACCTACCACCCAGTTTCCACAATTATTAATTCATGGCTGATCTTGTTTCAGCTCTACATACCACTTTTCCCCTTCTCATATTTTTAAACCAAATCCCACACCATATCCTCATCCATACACTGGGATTTTAGCAGAATACGGTGCTTAAAGGTCTCTGTAATTTCCATCCAATCATCCATATCACAAAACTTTATAGCATGCCTACTAGGTGACAGGCACTGTGTCAGGGACTGAGGACCCATGGATGAACAAAACACGTCCACGTATTGCATTCAGAGCCTACACACTACAGACAATCAACAAGGAAGCAAATAAATAAAAGATTCAGATAGTGATCTATGCTATAAAGGAAGAAAAATAATTTGGAATGATAGAGGATGCTTTTGGGGTGGGAGGCATAATATACAGGGTGAACAAAGAAAGTCTTCCTAAATGTTGAGCTGAGTCCTGAGAGACAAGAAGGAGTCAGTGAGGAAAAACCTGCAGACATTTTCCAGATGGAGTTAAAAGCACTTACAAAGTCTCCAAGGCAGGAAAAAAGCCAAGGGCAGGCTGGCAGGGCCACAGTTAGAAAGAGTAACTCTGAGTTGTATAAGGTGACTCAAAAAGGTAGGCAGGAGTCAGATCCGGGAGGATCTCAGTGGACTTGGTAAGGATTTTGGGTTTTATTCCGTGAACAATGTGTCTTTGGAAGGTTTTAAGTGGAGGATGGCAAATCCGATCTCAACAAGGTCACTCTGGCTGCTGAGTCAACGAGAAGTCCATTGTAGTGGTCCAGGTGTGAGTGATGGATACTTCAGTGGCAGAAGAGTATGAGAGGTGGACAGGTGTGATTTTTAAAACAATTTTTAATTTTTTAGCTTTATTGAGATTGATAAAGAGTTGCACACATTTAACATATACATTTTGATGAGTTTGGATATATGCATTCACCACCATGTGATCACCACAACCAAGGCAGTAAACATCCATCACCTCCAGAAAATATCTGTGTGTTCTTTTGTGTTATGTTTATGTGTGAGCTTCGGCAAGGACACTTTACATGAGATCTGTCATCTTACCATATTTAAAAGAGCACAACAGCACATTGTAAACTATAGCTGCTATGTCAAATAGCAGATTTCTAGAACTTACTCGTCTTACATAACAGAAACTTTGTACCCATTGAAAAACAATTTCCGTTTTCCCTCTCCCCCAGCCCAGAGCAATCACCATTCGACTCTCTGGTTCTGTGAGTTTGGCTATTTTAGATACTTCAAATAAGTAGAATTGTGCAATATTTGTTCTTCTGTGACTGGCTTATTTCGCTTAGCATAATATCCCCTAGGTTCATCCACGTTGTTGAAAATAGCAGGATTTTATTTTATTTTAAGGCTCAATAATATTTCATTGCATATATATATGTATGACACTTTCTTTATCCATTCCTGTGTCAATGGACATTTGGGTTGCTTCCACATCTTGACTATTGTAAATAAAGCTGCAATGGGCATAGGAGTGCAACAGCCATCTCTTTGAGATGTGTGATGATCTTTTGATGTGTCAGCTTGGCTACGCTATAGCCCCATGTGATTCAATCAAACAATAATCTAGGCGATGCTGTGAAGGTATTTTGTAGCTGTGATTAAAGTCTATAATTGGTTGGCTTTGTATAAGGAAGAATATCCTGGATAATCTGGGTGGGCATGATTCGATCAGTTGAAAAGTTTTAAGAGCAGAGCTGGACTCCCCTACTGAAGAAGAAATTCTGCCTGAAGACCACAGCTTCAGCCTGTGCCCAAGAGTTCCAATGTGTTCTTCCTGGTGCACTGTCCTGCGGATTTGGGACTTGTCTAGTCAGTGCTTACAATCTCTTAAGCCAATTCCTGGCAATAAATCTCAACATATATATGTCCTTTGGCTCTACTTTTCTGTTGAAACTTGATTGATATTAATACAATGGGCTTGGAATATTGAAAGGCAGGGCTATGAGGTTTTGCTGATGCTCTGGATGAAGGAGTGAGGGAAAGCAGTTGATTAAAGATTGCCAGTACCTTTGCCCATACGATTGTCTCACATACATACCCTTTACACTAGAAAGAGCAAAGGTGTTGCCAAAGTCAGGGTTGGATGGTTCACCTTGCACCTTTCTAAGTGATTTCACACAGTGCCTTTGACACTGTCCTCCAGAACAGGGCTCACCTCTTCAGATCCTATTTATTGATCATTCCTTAAAGTGCTTGAATGTTTCCCTGGCCATGTTCAATTAATTAGCACATTTTAAGAGCAAACCTGCTGGAACTTTCAGCAGAACTCCATGAAGTACAAACCAGCATTTTCAGTGCCAATGGTTCCAGCCCTCAAATATCTCGAAATGACAATGTTCATGCCTTTCCCTTGTGGTTCATCGCCTTCCTGTTGTGGCTAAAGGATTTGCGATGGGTGTGGGTGGGTTTTGAGCTGTGTCCTTCTGGGAAGGCCCCAGAGTGGGAGAGGCTAAGAGGGGAAAAGATGGTTTTGATTCATGATTTCCTTCTGGACAGCATGATAACAGGTGACCTCTGGAGCCCTTTCAAAGGAGTCTGGAAAGGTGTGCGGCTGCTACAGTGTTGATCTCAGGGCAGAGAACCGTTCTCCGTTCTCTCTTATGGATGATTCATGGGGAGATTGCTCAGTTGACCGCAGATCCTTCTGAAAGTTTCTAGATGCTTTTGAAAATCCCTGCTGTGGGCGGGTAAAGAGGCATCTAGAAAGTGGAAAACTGGGGCAAACGTCTCCCCTAGGGCCCAGGAGGGGGTCCACAGTTTCAGGTTCTTTTGAGCAGAGTGAGTGACTATAGGCTACAGACAAAAACGTTTAAAAAAAGAAGCCGTGCTCATTTATAGTCAGGCGGCTCATGACCCGTGTCTCTTTTCCCATCACAAAGGCTAAGGGGTGGGGGGACGTTTCACTGTGGCACCTGCCCCTGTTCAAAGCTTTCCTTGAAAGTCACAGAAACCAGGAAAGAGCTTCCTGCATTGTAAAAATTATGTGTGCTCATTATAAAAACAAAATTCACACAGTGCATATATATATATATATATATATATGTCTGTGTGTGTGTGTGTGCGTGTGTGTGTGTGTGTATAAAGGGGAAAGAGAAAAGCCTTCCAAATTTCTACTATCCAGAGATGATCTCTGTTACATTTTGATATTCTTCTAGATTTTTCTGAACACACCTTCACACACAGGCACTCTCTCTCTCTCTCGCATACACATGTTCACTCTGACACACACTCGCAAACACATACACATGCTCACACACACACACACTCAAAGCTTTCTCATACACACACTCACACACCCACATAAACTTCTATGTAAATGAGATCACATCGAACCTATTTTGTAACCTGCTTTTATACCTGACATTATGCCATGATCCTCTTTCTGGGTCAACACATTTAGAAATATCTCATCAATTTTAATGGCTACTTAAAATTCCACTGTGTGGTTAGAACATGGAATAGTTAACCAGTTCCCTATTGGGGGATGTTTAGATTGATTTTCGTGATTACTGTAGAGACTGTTGCTATGAAAATCCTTGTGGTTACATCTTAATCCACATGTATAATTTACTGCTTGCTTTAACATGTCTTTTTTTTAAAATCTCTTTTTTAAAAAGTATTTACATAACAGTCTTTTCGAGGAGCTGAAATCAGAAAATAATGTGGCATTTCCTGAGTTGTCTGAACATCCTAGGAACGTTCTCAGTATAGAAATGAAACCAAGAAACCAGGCTGAAGTCAGTGCTGCCCAGACTTTCTGGTTATAAGGATCAGGAAGGTCACATGCGAAAAGCCCAAGATCCTGGGCTCTCTGTGACCTGCTGCATTACTCTTCTCAAGGGCTGTCCCAGAGGCACCAGGTATAGATGGGGACTCAGCTGCAGCAGGAGAAAGTGCTGGGAACCCACCCACTCTCTTCTCTTTCTTCACAGGATCATGCTTCTGTGGTTCAGTTGTACCTCCCTCCACGATGACATCATACAACTCCAGGAAAACTAATCTTAGGTAGGTGTGGTCTGACTGCTTTCAAGGAAATTGCTATTTTTCCTGCCAGTGCTTGCTTCAATAATGGGCATTTGATACAACTTGGTCCAGTGAGAGGAAAAGGGAAACCTGTTGAAAGATCCAGACAAAGTTTTATCTTTCCAAAAAAAAAAGGAAAAGATAGCCTCCTTCCTTCCTTGGGGGGCTATGGACTCAGAATGTTTACCTGGAATTGCTGCTCCAGCCATCTGACACCTGAGACCTGAGGATGGAGCCAACAGTAAAGAGAACAGAGAGGAGGCTGAAAGAAGCTGGGTTTTTCATGACACCACTGAGTGCCCGGATCAACCTGCTCTAAGAACTGCCCTCTTTGTGTATTTCCTATTATGTGGGATAATGAACTCTTCTACTGTTTGAGTTAGAGTTTCCACCTCTTGCAGCCCAAGCATCCTAACCAATATACACCCACTGACTCAAAATCTCCAGTGATAAATCTGCCTCAGGTGATTCTGACTTATCCTCAAGTGTGGAAACTGCTGGAAAGCTGGAGAGGACATTAAATTGGTCATCACAGGTCCAGTTGCTGGCACTGGCTCTGCCATTAAATTGCTGAGCCATCTGGGGCAAGTAATTTTCTCTCTCTGAGCCTCAGCATCCTCAGGAACCAAAAGGCTACACCATAGGGCTTCTGCCTCTCTTTGTGGTCTCGTGTTTTGCTGCAATGTAGTTCTAGGCAAGTATGGTGGGTACCGTGGGCAAGACAGAACACAAACAAAAGAAAACATTCTACTAAATGCTTTGACATCGGTACTGTTGAGCAGGAAGTTTTGGTCTTTGAAACAAAAGCTGGCTGCAGACTTTTCTGCTTTTTAGAGGAATGGCAGAATTAATCTCAGGTTGTCAAAGGTTCTATGGTTCAGAAAAATGCCTTGAGAGACATTTTGATTCCAATATGGGGCACACCCTCCACCCACCCCGCAAAGCCTGGCTGAGTGGTGGTGAAATAAAAGGGGGCTGGATTTCTTTGCGCTGTATATTAAGGTGCAATGGAATCTTGACTTTCTAGCAGTCCATAGAAAAACAGGGTGAGGGGCTGTAGGAATAGGAAGACAAAGGAAAAGATGAGGAAGGTCTAAGGAAAGAGAGGCCTCAGAAGACGGATGATGGTGAGCTGGGGCCTCTGGAGAATGTGGCCAGAAATGCATTTCCTGGGATGGAGAGTGGTCCATGAATACCAGGACGGTGACATCTGAGTTCAATTCTAATCTGGCCCATTTTATGCTGTGCTGTAATTCCTCTGCACCATCCTAAACCTTCAATGAAAGTTCATTTTGAGTGCATTGGAGGAATAATGAAAGAATTGAGGATGAGTTCAGTGTGATAATGAAGGTATGTAGAAAGACTGCAGACAGGCCGGGCGCAGTCACGCCTGTAATCCCAGCACTTTGGGAGGCTGAGAGGTTTGGATCATGAGGTCAGGAGATTGAGACCATCCTAGCCAATATAGTGAAACCCCATCTCTACTAAAAATACAAAATTAGCCAGCCATGGTGGTGGGCATCTGTAGTCCCAGCTACTCCGGTGGCTGAGGCAGAAGAATCGCTCGCACACAGGAGGCGGAGGTTGCAGTGAGCCGAGATCGCACCACTGCACTTTAGCCTGGCCACAGAGTGAGACTCCCTCTCAAAAAAAAAAAAAAAAAAAAAAAAAAAAAAAAGACTGCAGACATCCCCCAAAGAGATTTTCAGAGAGGAGATGATAAACACTGCAGAAGCAGAAAAACCACACCAGAAGTGACCAGGTCAACGTAGTCCTTACTCCTGAGACCCAGCACTACTGGGAGATGGTCATTAATTTAAACACAAAAAGCAGGATGAGGGCTTGAGCTGTGCTCTGTGAATATTATAGACAGGAGTAATCCAGGATACTGAAGGGGCCTGCAAGCACCCAGGGGGAACACCTAGGGGACTGTATTACAATGGCAACTCTCTTCAGAGTGTTTTATAGGCACATTAGTCCAGGTCATCCTTTCAATGACCTGGTGAGATCGCTAATTATTAGACTCATTTTCAGGTGTGAGTTCAGAGAGGTTTTCTAAACTTTCCTTATGTCTTCACAGCAATTTCCCAACTGGGCTCTCTTCCCTCTGCAGCAACATTTTTCAGCCTGGTCCTCCAATACTCCCTCAGGGAAGAGACAGCACTACTTCAAGTGATGACTAGTTTTGCCTTTAGTATGCCTTGTAACCCTTCCTTCCTTCCTTCCTTCCTTCCTTCCTTCCTTCCTTCCTTCCTTCCTTCCTCTCTCCCTCCCTCCCTCCTTCCTTCCCTCCCTCCTCCTTCTCTCCTTCCCTCCCTCCCCCATCCCTCTTTTTCTTTCTTTTTCTTTTTTCTTTCTTTCTTTCTTTCTTTCTTTCTTTCTTTCTTTCTTTCTTTCTTTCTTTCTTTCTTTTCTCTTTGTCTCTCTCTTTCTCTGTCTCTTTCTTTCTTTTCTCTTTCTTTTCCTTCCTTCCTTCCTTCCTTCCTTCCTTCCTTCCTTCCTTCCTTCCTCCTTCCTTCCTTCCTTCCTTCTCTCACTCCATCACTCAATGCAATGGTGTGATCTCAGCTCATGGCAGCTTCCACTTCCAGGCTCAAGCAATCCTCCAGCCTCAGCTTCCTGGGTAGCTGGGACTACAGGGGTGAGCTACCACGGTAGCCCAGCTAATCTTTGTATTTTTGGTAGAAACGGGGTTTTGCCATGTTGCCCAGGCTGGCCTCAAATTCCTGAGCTCAAAGCAATGCACCTGCCTCGGCCTCCCAAAGTGCTGTAATTATATGTGTGAGCCATCACGCATGGCTGAAATTTTTTTCTTGATAGCTAGACTTGATGTACCAGGTAGAAGGAACTCCTGTAAATAGACCTCAAGTGATGTGGTGGTAAAGTGTCAGGGGAGGGGAAGTGTTCTACAGTCCTATGATTAAGTCTCAGTCTTTTAGTGAGCCTGTGTCTCTGGGCTTTGAACTTCATAAGCGCTTCTCAGTTCTCTCTTTCTCTCTTAGGTGAGACAGGATGGCCTGAACTGGCTGGAGTTGGTAATTTTCCTTTCCCCAGGTCAGTTAGGGTAAGACAAAACCCCAGAAAGTTAGGCTCTGGTAAAATAGTTTCTCCCAAGGGTAGACCTTGTTAGGAAGAACAGAATACTCCAAGTATTTCCAAATGGTTCCTTTTCCCCTCCAGATGCTGTAAACATTAGGAGACTTTTCTCCAGTATTTACTGTGAGAATCTCGTTGAACTCTTGGAGGTAAAATTCACAAAAGCGCAGGGTACCCCCTTGTGACTGGGTGCCCCTGGAGATTTTAACTCTTGGATTTGTCCACATTCAGCCTGCAGCAATTTGTCAACTGCAATTCAGGTTTTCCTACCCTGGCACTGGTTCCTGCGTGGTGGTTTCCACTTGTGAGTCTCTGCTCCAGTAAGCTGTATTTGCCTGTCTGTCTCTCCAGTCTTGGTGGCAGTGGTCTGCCCTGTATCCTTACTTTCTTATGGATCCAGGAAGAATTGTTGATTTTTTGTCTGCTCAGCTTTTTACTCATTGTCAGGATGGAGTGGTGACTTTTTTTTTTTTGAGACGGAGTCTCACTCGGGACCTAACCATCCAGCCAAGTCATCAGCAACTGTCTACATATTGGTGTAGTTCAGGGATTCTTTTTTTTTTTTGAGACAGAGTCTCACTCTGTTGCCAAGGCTGGAGTGCAGTGGCGTGATCTCGGCTTACTGCAACCTCCGTCTCCTGGGTTCAAGCGATTCTCCTGCCTCAGCCTCCCAAGCAGCTGGGATTACAGGCACCCACCACCATGCCTGGCTAAGTTTTGTAATTTTAGTAGAGATGGGGTTTCACCATGTTGGCCAGGCTGGTCTTGAACTCCTGACCTCAAGTAATCCACCTGCCTCGGGCTCCCAAAGTGCGGGATTACAGGCATCAGCCACCACGCCTGGCCTGGAGTGGTGAATTCCAAGCCCTTTCCATGCAGAACCATGCTCTGAATAGTTTTGATTAAGAATATGAAGGAATAAAGTATTTTCAGTGAACAATGAGGCTGCTGATTTAACTGATTTTCTTTGAAGGCATCTGATTGGGTCCTTGTCATCCTGTTTTTCCAAGTCCTTCCTGTCTGACATTTTCAGGTGGATGAGGAACCTGGAGACGGATGGAGCTTTGTGATGTCAGCATCCACTTCTGAGGACTGTGGCCTGCTTTCCGAGGCAATATGCATTACTTGTGGCAAGCTGGTCATAGGAAAACAGACCCAGTGAAACCCTCCAGTGGTACTGGAGGCAGCCCACCCAACCCTCCCCAGCCCTGCCCACCCAACCCTCCCCAGCCCTGCCCACAATCTAGAAATGATCAGTAGTAAAGACATAGTTCCAAGAAGCCAGGGTTATGACTCAACCAGCTGAAGTCTGTAGGCTGTGCTGACGTGATGGGGGCAGCCATACGCCGAGCCCACAGCTGGCTACCAGTCTAATGACACACAACTGTGTTAAGGAAGTCACTTTCCTCTATTGTCTTTTTTTTTTTTTTTTTTTTTTTTTTTTTGATGGAATCTTGCTCTTTCTCCAGGCTGGAGTGCAGTGGTGCAATCTCAGGCTCACTGGAACTCCTCCGCCTCCCGGGTTCAAGTGATTGTCCTGCCTCAACCTCCCGAGTAGCTGGGACTACAGGCATGTGCCACCATGCCCAGGTAATTTTTGTATTTTTAGTAGAGACGGGGTTTCGCCATGTTGGTCAGGCTGGTCTTGAACTCCTGACTTTAGGCGATCTGCCCGCCTAGGCGGCCCAAAGTGCTGGGATTACAGGCGTGAGCCACGACACCCAGCCCACTTTCCTTTATTGTCTTATTCAGCTCCTCAATCTCCCTCCATTACTGTTGCCATATTCTGTGGATTCTACCCCAGCAATAGATTTCATATTAGTTTCCCCATGCCGGAAGTTCTTCCCACTGTCACTGACTTATTAGTTCAGGCTGTATATCATCTCTCATAGGGATTGCCATCATAGTCCTTAACTGGTCTCCTGGTCTCTCGATTCTAAATTCTCTGGATTTTTAATTTGCCATCAGAATTTTTAAATTATCTCTCTTAGAGGTTCTCTTAGCTCTAGTGTCATACAGAATACCTTTGGCTTTGACTAAATCTTAGTCTCTCCCGTCTCCTGGTTCCCATCGCTTTCCTCTTACAAATACTTTACCGAGATAAGAGCTTTTTTTTTTTTTTTTTTTTTTTTTTTTTGAGACGGAGTCTCGCTGTCGCCCAGGCTGGAGTGCAGTGGAGCAATCTCGGCTCACTGCAGGCTCCGCCCCCTGGGGTTCACGCCATTCTCCTGCCTCAGCCTCCCGAGTAGCTGGGACTACAGGCGCCCGCCACCTCGCCCGGCTACTTTTTTGTATTTTTAGTAGAGACGGGGTTTCACCGTGTTAGCCAGGATGGTCTCGATCTCCTGACCTCGTGATCCGCCCGCCTCAGCCTCCCAAAGTGCTGGGATTACAGGCGTGAGCCACCGCGCCCGGCCGAGATAAGAGCTTTTTAAGACCAGACTCCACTTGTAGATTCCAAGGGCAATTAGATAAGCAATAAGGGACAGGAACATGCTGGCAAATTTTAATTATTTTTTATAGCTCACTATTAAATCATATTAATATGGGCCCAGACACTAATTTCCATCTGAGGTTTATTTTTGAGCACCTTCTCCATGTAAGTCTCTAGGACGAGTTCTGGAGGGAAATAGGTTATACAGCTGTTGCTCAAAGGATCTTGTCGTACTTGATGATGACTTTTTGTGGGACTTAATGCTACCTTCTGAATTGATTACAGCACATCAGGGATTCTCTAGTTCTTGAAAATGTCCAAGTAGAGTGCCTGAAATGACCTCAGTTTTGCCACTTTTTGTCTGGGAAAACTCAGATTCCATCTCTATATCTACTGTGACTAAATAGGAAAGGCAGTTGAAAAAAGCATTTTTGATGAAGTGCAAATGAAATGTGGTCAGCTAGTCCTATGTTTCATTTGTAGTAGTTTTTTTAAAACTTTGTTTTAGAACAAAAGATAAACTTTATTTTTAAAACTTTTTTTTTTTTTTGACGCAGTTTTACTCTGTCACCCAGGCTGGAGTGCAGTGGCACAATCTTGGCTGACTGCAAACTCCGCCTCCCAAGTTCAAGTGATTTTCCTGCCTCAGCCTCCTGAGTAGCTGGGATTACAGGCATGTGGCATCACACCCAGCTAATTTATTTTTATTTTTATTTTTTTATTTTTAGTAGAGTTGGGATTTCACCATGTTGGTCAGGCTGGTCTCAAATTCCTGACCTCAGATGATCTGCCCGCCTCAGCCTCCCAAAGTGTTGGGATTACAGGCATGAGCCAAAGCGCCCAGCCTTTATTTTTAATTCTCATAAGGCAACTTTTAATTCATGTTTTATTCAGGTTTAGGGTGGCACAGTATAGAAAAGAGTAATAGAAAATCAAAGGTTTGGGATTCTGGCTCTTCTTTTGATATGTTCTATGACCTTGGGCCATGTATTTAATCTTAAATGACTAGAGGTTCTGATCTGTAAAATGGGAGGATCATCCCAGATGAGGGTCATCAAGTAGGTTTCAACTCAAGTCCACTACTACTGGCTACCTGGAGTTCTGTGTTGAGAATTCTGAGGCTGAGCCATGATCAGTTAGTGATAACTGCCGTGGTTGCAGGATAGGGGAGCACAGGTTCAAGGCATTTTCCATCCTGTTTTTTTGAAATGGAGTCTCACTCTGTCACCCAGGCTGGAGTGCATTGGCGAGATCTCGGCTCACTGCAACCTCCGCCTCCTGGGTTCAAGTGATTCTTCTGCCTCAGCCTCCTGAGTAGCTGGGACTACAGACGCCCGCCACCACACCCAGCTAATTTTTGTATTTTTAGTAGAGACAGGGTTTCAGCATGTTGCCCAGGATGTTCTCGATCTCCTGACCTCATGATCCACCTGCCTCGGCCTCCCAAAGTGCTGGGATTACAGGCGTGAACCACCGTGTCCAGCCTTTCCATCCTTTTAATATGACCTTTACACTGTTCTTCTGGCATGTGAAGGTTTATTTATCTTTTCTTACAAAATAATAAACCACTCAGATGCTCAGGTTAAGCTATCTGCAGTGTGTTGTTTACTAACTCAGACCTAAAACAAGCTCCAATCTTAATTCAGCCGTCGCAATTTGGAGCAGTGAATTGTAGATTATCTTTGACATTCGAGGTTTGTTGTCTATCTTCCTGTGCTACACAGATATCTTTTGACGTTTGGCTGCTTGGGATCAGAGATACTGGGCCCATTCTTGTTCCTGACTTTGAGTTGTTTAGAAGCAGTCATTGTGAAGATGGTCATCACAGGGACGTTTCTTCTGAGTCTTCATTAGCTTGTAGCTACCTGGCGACTTGTGAAGAACAAAAGTGAAGTGATGACAAAGTTGAAGTGAAATATGAAAGACCAAACCACAAAGCTTGAAATGATGCATAGAATAGAACTGAAGATCCATTTAAGAGCAAAAGGTGTGAATACAGGGAATTTAGGAAGGACCTCAGAGGTCATGAGCCCCCTCTAGAGACACTGAGACCCTGAGAGGTAAAGTAATTCCTCCAAGAACCCATAGCTAGTAAGAGGCAGACTTCAAGAAGATAGGGCTTTTTCTCTTATACCTGTACTATGCAGCACTGTCCAATTCACTCCAAAATGTATAGAAATTGGGATGAAATTTGTCACAACTGTAGAGTACAACTGTGGCTATATTGTTTTATTTTTTCCTTAAAATAAGAACATGTGGGAGTTCCCACATGACATATTTGCATGAAACTCAGTATCTACTTTAGGGGCTCCACCCCACACCCCATGAATTGGCCAAGAAAATTAGAGGCTTATGCATAAGCTTATCCATTCAGGCAGAGAGAACTTGAGGTGATGGCAGTTGGTTGTTGCCATTGCCTCTCACCACCACAATGCTGTCACTGTGGAACACTGGGCTGCAGTCCAACGGCCAAGCCTGGTCCACGTGGAGCATCTTCCTTCCATGATCTGCTGGTGCCATACTTGGCTGAGGACATTGCGACTTAATGTTCAGTACATTTGGTCCCAAACACAACTGCGGCGGGAATGGATGGCACAGGTGATTTGAGCATTTGTCCTTTTCAGACTTGGGACCGTTGTCTCCCATGTTTTCCCTGGGGATCTATACACCCTGGGTGTGTATTGCCGGGGTGAGGCAGTTTTTCCTCTTAAAACCTCTCAAAATCAAAGGATATTGATACTCTTCTTTCTCAATAACCTTCTTTCTGCAATGTTAGACATTCTTTCTCCAACGTTGCCCTACTTCAATCAATACCTTTTCTTCTCCAACATTAGACCTTGATCACTTCTACAACAGTAGTTCTCAATTGGCCAGTTTTGCCCTCCTGGGAACTTTTGGCCATGTCTGGAGACATTTTGGCTGTCATAACTCCTCAGAGAGAGGGCAGTGTTTGCTACTGACATATCATCAGTAGAAGTCAGAGATATTGTAAATGTTCTACAACGGACAGGACCACTTTACAACAAAGAGTTGTCCATTCCAAATGTCAATAGTGCTGAAGTTGGGAAACCCGTTTCTAAAGGTTTTTAATATGACATTTGTGCTTCAGTTGTGATTTATCTTCCCAAGGGTAACTGAGGTAGCTTTTTTAAAACTCTAGAGTAGAAAGTAGGGCGTTGGGGAGGGGGAGAGAAAGAGAGAAAGAGAGAGAGAGAGAGAGAGAGAGAGAGAAATATATAACTTAACTCTTCAGCAGGGCATCCTCAGTACTCTTACTAGGAAATTCTTTGTCTTGGCAATACTTCCTTATATCTACCAAGGTGATAGTTGGGTGAAAAAGAGCTTGTTGTGGGGTGGGCGAGAATGAAAACAAACAGAAAATTCAGAACAATGCACAAAGAAGATACCATCAAAACACTCAAATATAATATTGGCTTGCCAAACATAGTGGAAATTGTAGCTCTAGGCCTAAATATTGTCAGCTTTATAGGGTGGAACTAGACATGCAGAGTAGAGTATCGCTATATGTCTATAAATGTTGGAGTTTTGAAAAATGTAGTCAGCCTTTCTACATGCATTTGGCTGGGGTTCTCTTGATTCTAGAATATCTTCTCATTCTGCTTTAGATCCAAGCTTCCTGATTTTCCCCATGTTCTCTTAACCTCTCAGTTTTTTTCTCCAGTAGACTTCTCTTCTTCCCCATCCTCCTTCGTGCAATTTTCTCAAGTGCTTTTCCCATGTTATAGGATATTACAATAAACATCTTTGCCCATTTACAACTATTGATATTTTATTTTTTCTTGGGTCAAAGTCCCAGGAAGGTCAATGTAAATGAATTTTTTATGGCTAATGAAATACGTATATTTTCCAAATTATTTTCCTTCAAATGTAGAGTGCCAAGTCATAATAAATAAGTGTGCCTGTTTCTTCACACACTCGTTGATACTTGATTCTTATAACTTTTCTTATTTTATTTCTGATTTAAATAGGCATAAAATCACTTCATTTGAATTTATTTCAATTGAAAATTTTAATGTTTGCTGTTTGTATTCATATTTTAAAGGGAAAAATGTTCCTTTAGTTGATGTTTGTGCCAACTTTTGAGGTATATAATTACTTTTATAATCATCCCCTACTTCTATTTGAGAGTGCTTTTGGATGAAGCCAGTGAGTTTTATTTTAGCATATTTTATGGAATTGAATTTTTCTAATGGACTAGGATATGGACTGTATATGTATGTGTGAACTGTCTTCTAATACATTAATATACTTTTTCAAGTGCTCTCATTGAGCAATTGGCAGGAAAGGAAGGTCAAATAAATCTCAGGGTTTTTTTTTTCATTTAGTCACATTTGCACATTGCTGAAGGGTGGTAATAGACCCAGTTGTTTAGAATCCTAGAGGCAAAGGAGGATTTGCCAAAATACAGCCCATGTTAACATTGTATTTTCTGGTGAAATTTATACAGTTGCTGAGTATAGAAAAGCCAGGTTGCTTCTCCTGACTAGCAAAATCTGTCTAGCTGCAGATGTGGAGACACTCGGGAAAGGACTTCTGCTCACTGGCTCTGTTATCTGTTGCTGCATAACAAGTTACTATAACTTCATGGGGCTTAGAACAAACACACTTATTAACTCACAGTTTTTGTAAGTCAGGAGTCTGGATATGGCTTAACTGGGTCCTCTGCCACAATCAAGGCAATGGTCAGGGCTGTGGTCTCATCTGACATTCAACTGGGGAAGAATCTGCTTCCAAACTCACTAAGATTGTTAACAAAATTGATTTCCTTACAGTTATAGCACTTCAGGAAGTAGTTTTGTTCTGGCTGTAGACTAGAGGATGCTGTCAGCCCCTAGAACCTTCCTACAGTTCTCAGAGGCCACCCTTCTCCTACCATTTAGAATGGGGGCAGTTCTTTTTTTCCATGTGGATTTTCCCCAACATGATCTCTCACATCATCAAGCCTGCAAAAGAGAGCAAATCTCCTTGCAAGATGAGCATTATAATCTCCCGTAACAAAATCATTCACATGTAATCATGCACATGAGGTCACGTACATCCCATCGCTTTGCTGTAAGGATTCTTTCTACAACTGGCTTCCACAAGATGGAAGGAAGGGCTATGGAAATTAGAGTTTCAGGATTAGGGCTGGACTCACTGCCTTTCTCTTATTATACACGCATCTTGTGGATGACTGTAGAATTTAATTTCCTGCTTTCATGAACCAACACATTTCTTTAATTGAGTCAGTTCTCTCTCACCTGTCATTGAAAAAGTCCTTACAATACATTCCATGCTGCAGTGTCTGCATCTATAAATGGGGATAATAAGAGAACCTACCTCATAGGGTTATTGTAATGAGCACAGAGCTCCTAGCACTGAACTGCTGTTATTATCATTACTGTTTGCAAAGACCTGGGAGCTAAGACTGTATTAGGGAGTTTATGTGCAGAGACTCTTTAATATTATCTAAGGTTGACCAGGAGGCCTTGAAGAATGGAAGCCAAAGTTTGGTTGCAAAACATGCTTCCTGACCTGGAGTTGAGAAATATTAAAATAAGTGATCGAATGCACTGTTCAACACATGCTTCCCCAGAAATCTTTGTTGACTATGCTGGTTCATCACCTGTCCAGGCTAGAATAGATTTTCATGGAGGCCAGAGGGAGTGTTGGTGACTTCTCTGAGTGGGAGGCTGGTTGGCTTCTCCCCCAGGTCTTCTCCCGTCTTTTCCTGACAGTGCTTTCTTCTAAGAGAAAATCTATCACATGACAGGATCTTTTTTGGCACCTGCAGACCCACTCCGGGAGCCATCTCAGAGGGAACAAAAATGTTTTCATGGTTTGTATGTAACACGTCTAGGCCTAAGTTCCCAGAAAAGACTGAACCGTGTATTAATACATTGCATTTCTACCAGGTAATTAGAGCATGTTTTCTCTACACAGCCAGTTTGGAGAATTTTCCTCTTATGACAGCAGAAACTCTATTCTTCATATCTTACAGGTTTTTAAGATGCTTTTTTTTTTACATTCTGAGTTGCTTATTTTACTACATGAATTCATTCTGAGTCCTTGAATGTGCAAAACTATAGCTGCTGCATCTTTCCCAGGTGAGATGGGAAACCAGCAGTGCATGGAGATGCAACTGAATACCCTGTTCCTCCCTGGACTTTGTACAGAAAATAAGAGGATGGGAAGGTCATACCCAATGGTCCTTGCCAATTCTTATCTTGTATTGCTGATACACCAATTACTCCTTTACCTTAAAAAAAAGTCCATATATCTTAAGATTCATTTATTTTCTCTATAAAGAGTGTTTCTACAAGCAGGGGGAGCTGACAAATTCTTATTGTATTTTCCCAAAATGCAACCACATAACACAGAAATATGGTGCGTTTAGTTTGAAATCAGTCCTGAGAATACGTAACTTACCTGCAAGGTTGTAAAGTCTTTGAAGACTGTGCCTTATTTATATCCCAAACTTGCGGTCTGATTTATAGTAAGTCAAGGGTCTCCAACCTCTGGGCCATGGACCAATACCAGCCACTCCCCATCACTCGCATTACTGCCTGAGCTCTGCCTCCAGTCAGATCAGTGACAGCATTAGATTCTCATTGGAGTGTGAACACTATTGTGAATGACACATGCAAGGAATCTGGGCTGCGCCTTCCTTAAGAGAATCTAATGCCTGATGATCTATCACTGTCTCCCATCACCCCAGATGGGACCATCTAGTTGCAGGAAAACAAGCTCAGGGCTCCTCAGGGCTTCTACACTATGGTGAGCTGTATAATTATTTCATTATATATTACAATGTAATAATAATAGAAATAAAGTGCATAATAAATGTAATGTGCTTGAATCATCCCAAAACCATCCCCACACACCATTCGTGGAAAAATTGTCTTCCATGAAACCAGTTCCTGGTGCCAAAAAGGTTTGGGACTGATGTCATAAGTGATCAGCAAATGATTCGTGAAAGATTGTAGGACGCTTAGATGCTCGTAATGAAAGAAAATTAATATTTCATTTGGGTTACCTAATGTTAGCCTCTGTTGTGGGTTGACTAATGACCCCCCAAATATATGCCCTCTCAGAACCTCAAAATGTGACTATTTGGAAATAGGATTTGGGTTGGGATTAGGGTTAGGGTTGGGGCTGTTATTGTAGCCCTGGGAATCAAATGTAGCCTCCAAGTAGAGTTTTTTTCTCAAGATGATAATGGTCTGAAGCACAGCATGTTACAGGTGAAAGTGAATTAAAAGAATAGCACTAGAACTTGTTTTCCAAATGAAATCTTATGTGGGACCCCAATCTGTAACACAGGTAAGAATGGATGTTCTTGGAGTGAGTGGGCTGGAGGTAATCTCAGTCGTGCTCTCTTGGCCTCACTAGGATTTCCTGCTGTGGTCTCCAAGCCCACTCTGAAGAATCCAAGTTCTCCTTAGAAAGAGAGATTCAAGATGTCATGTCTAGCCTACTCCTCACTGAACCAATGAAGATGCCGAGGCTAGGAACAGGAGGTCACCTGGCTAGATCCCCATATATGTGGGTCTTAAGTTTGGGTTCCTCCGTCTTACAGAGTTGGACCCAGGACATAGGATGAGGGTGATGACCTCAAGTATCTATCACAGCCAGACAGGTGAAGTAAATGACTGATGCAGGCAGGGACGGGGCCCGGTGAAGGAGAGAACCTGCCCCCATCACTCATCGATGGCTGCAGGGAGGGAGATGGGCTCAGGGAGGCAGATCTTATGATGGTTTTCAAGTGAAGCCATAAAACCATACATGTATTTAAAACAGCCCCCCAGCTGGGCGTGGTGGGTCACGCCTGTAATCTCAGCTGCTTGGGAGGCTGAGAAAGGAGAATCGCTTGAACCCAGGAAGGGAGGTGGAGGTTTCAGTGAGCTGAGATTGCACCACTGCATTCCAGCCTGGGTGACAGAGCAAGACTCCATCTCAAAAAAACAAAAACAAAAACAAAAACAAAAACAAAAACAGCCCCCCTTTCAGATGTTGACATTTAATGAAAACTTTTTAAGGCATTATGTGGAAAAAAGGTAGCAGAAAGAAAAAGAAATAACCTGAAGGTTTCATTAGACCTTGTGACGTGGCAAGAACTTCCAGCTCCCTTGGATCCATGGGAGCTGCCTCTCTAGTGTCTGTCTGTCCTTGCTTCCAATTGTACCACGCTGAGACACAGTCAGCTGTTAGTCGGGATGGATGGGAGGACGGGGGGAATGTCAGAGAAAAGATTTTAAACCAAAATATGTATTTGATTTAACAAACACTTAAGTACTGGTTACCATGTGCCAGCCCTGCTCTAAGCACAAATATCAACTCCCTTCATCCTCATAATAGTTTCACTGGGGATACTATTATTGATCCCTTATTACAGATGAGGAAACTGAAGCCAGAGAGGTGTCATAGCTTGCCCAAGGTCATGTAGTTAGTAACGGATGCAGCCAGGATTCACACCCTAAGAAGTCTGGCTCTGGGGTCTGTGCTGTAAACTGCCACTCCAGCTGCCTTGGAAAACAAAGCAGAAGAAGCAATCTTTGCTTTCTATGTAATATAGCGTCGTCCTCAGAACAGAGAAGTTGAGAAAAGAGAATGAAAATCAGCCAGACTGAACTGACTCTGAAGGTCGTTAAAGCGTCTGGAAAATCTTGGTAAGAACCCAGCCTTCTCTGTACTCATTATATAAAGTGCCCCTGGATTCCGTGAAGGCCCCCTCAATTCTCATGTGTTCTGGATTGTGGCTCAATTATTGCAGAGAGGGATGGCTCTCAACCTGAAAAACAAAGAGAAACGAGGTGAAGTATTAGTGTCTCTAAAGATAATTAGACCCAGAGAGATAAGTTTAAAGTCTACCTTTAAAAAAAAGCAGACAAAGCTGAATGCATTTCCAGTCATCAAAAGTGTTCTTCATAATCTAAGCATCGGAGCAGAGGAGAGAGCAGGAGAGAAAGGAGCACGCATATTTACGCTTCATCAAGAAAGCTGCAAGCTCAGGAACTTCTGCATGGTGGAAAGGATCAGCCACTTCTCTCTGCTCTCTTGGGTGTGGATGGCATGTCAAAATTGCTGAAACTCATTGTTCAATTCCCACCTATGAGTGAGAATATGCGGTGTTTGGTTTTTTGTTCTTGCGATAGTTTACTGAGAATGATGATTTCCAATTTCATCCATGTCCCTACAAAGGACATGAACTCATCATTTATATCACACTCTGGGGACTGTGGTGGGGTGGGGGGAGGGGGGAGGGATAGCATTGGGAGATATACCTAATGCTAGATGACGAGTTAGTGGGTGCAGCGCACCAGCATGGCACATGTATACATATGTAACTAACCTGCACAATGTGCACATGTACCCTAAAACTTAAAGTATAATAAAAAAAAAAAAAGGAAAAAAAAGAAACTTAAAAAAAAAAAATTGCTGAAACTCAGCTGGATATGGTGGCTCACACCTGTCATCCCAGAACTTAGGAAGGCTGAAGTGGGCAGATTACCTGTAGTCAGGAGTTCGAGACCAGCCTGGCCAACGGGTGAAACCCTGTCTCTACTAAAAATACAAAAACTAGCCAGGCATGGTGGCATGTGTCTGTAATCCCAGCTACTCAGG
Source organism: Homo sapiens (assembly GCF_000001405.40). Taxonomy (NCBI): domain Eukaryota; kingdom Metazoa; phylum Chordata; class Mammalia; order Primates; family Hominidae; genus Homo; species Homo sapiens. The sequence continues at coordinate 13,841,391 of NC_000016.10, read as the reverse complement.
AGACTGAGGGATGAGAATTGCTTGAACCCAGGAGGTAGAGGCTGCAGTGAGCCAAGATTGCAACACTGTACTCCTGCCTGGGAGACAGAGCGAGACCCTGTCTCAAAAAGAAAAAAAAAAGAAAAAAGAAAAAAATTGCTGAAACTCTACTAGCAGAGTCGGAGATGCTCTGGACCCTGCTAGCCCGGTAGATGGTATGAAATAGAGAGACAGGGGAGACAGCCCTGGGTTTTCCAAGTGCAGATGAAGTTTCTGTAGGGGCATAGGCAAAGTAGCAAGGGTCTCTGAAAATGGGGAGCCTCCACGTGTGCGAAGCTTGTCATGGGGTCTGAGATCATTGAGTTCCTGATCCTGTGTTGAAGTTTTGTTGGTGGAAATGAGGGTGAAGCCAACCAGCTAATGGAAAAGCCTGGTGAAAGGAATGTGTGGGAAGTTCGCTGACCTGGGTTTCAGCTGCATCTCTGACTTTATCTAAGTTGTCAAAAAGACCACCAGGATGGCTACATCGTAGAAAGGAGAGCTTTATTGGTGATATCAGTTTGCAAGCTGGGAAGAGAGGGTTTTCAGCATGGACCGAAGGTGCTCTCTCTTTGAAGAGGGGAAGGAGAGGTTGGGTTTTATGCCTCACTGGGCCTGTATCATACATATTCAGCAGATGGGGTGAAAGCTATGCCTATTTGTGAGGGAGCCGTGCACAGGTGTAATTCGTAAACATCTATGCAACATACATCCCATGCTCTCTTTGGGGTTGAGTTTTAGAATTAAAATGAGATGCAATTTGGCTCTTTACGTCAAAAGGCGAACTATAGGGCACAGAGACAACTTATGCATAGCCTGTATAAGTTGCTGAAACTGGCTTGACATCTGCAATATCTTATCAGAGAAGAATGTTTGTAAGTCTCATCCTCTGTCCAATCAGAGTTGTAGTGGTCTGGGTTGTAAGTGGGGTTGACAGCTCATATTGTTAGTGAGTTCAGCCATAGGAACTTAGATATTTGCCATGCCAGCCCGGCCCTGAACCTGTGATAGTGGGTAACTTGGTTTCTTTAACCGTAGGGTGTCAGTTGATAAATGAGCATCTATTTTGTTCTCTCTAATCACATCTACAATGGAGTGGGAACTCTAGAACATGAGCTGTAAACACAGAAGTCCTGGAGCAGCCAGAGAAGGCCCAGGAAAGTCCATGGAGAAGCCCACACTTCTGCTTCCCAGAGCTGAGCTGAAGGAGGAATGCAGAGTAGTATATACTCAGCTGCTCCAGCATGTGAGTACACAGCATAACTAGCATGTGTACTGTCCCTTTTCTGTCCTGCCCTCATAGAAGACACAACTAATCAATCAAAATGGGCTTTTCTGCAAGCCTGGATGTGACAGCCACCACCAATAAATGAACCTGACATGATGCCCTTCCTAAGCCCTCACCCATCTCCTCTTCCCAACTTGCACTACATCGAGGGAAGCAGTGTAACACGTTAGTTAAGGTTCTCATGTCAGGCCACTGGGGTTTGAATCAGTTCCACTGCCTACTCTGTGATTTTTGTCTTGTCACTTATCCACACCAAGCCTCATTTTCCTCTCTTGTGAAATGGGGGCAACAGCAGTATCTCCCCCTACTGGTAGAACATTTATTCCTGTGGTGGTATCATCAAACTGATCTCCTCCGTTAGACCAGGAGCTCCATGAGGCCAAGGGCTTTGTCTGCCTTGCTTACCTTTATCTCCCTGGAGCCCAGCACCTGGCCTGGCACTCAGTGGATGCCCAACATGTTATTTATTGACTAAATGAGAGAACATAAATGAAAGTTCTATGCTCTAGAAATGTTGTTCTGGCCATATGGAAGGGAGAGAGATGGACCACAGTGGTGGCCAGGAGACCAGAGAGGAGGCCAACTCCAGAAACCAACTGAAAAGTCAAAGTGACCTTGTAAGATGGTGACAGTGGGATGGGGAGAAGCAAATGATATTGAGAGCCAGGAGGGAAGCTTTGTCTTAGTAGATTACTGGCAAGTAATTCATTCTTTTTTTTTTTTTTTTTTTTTTTGCACTGACAGCTGCCATCTTGCTTAATAGAACTTCTAAAAGGAGAAGAAGAAGAAAAGTAAAACATAAACTATTTTGCAGACTGGGATGGGGGAAGGCTTATAGTCTCCATGCTCATCAGAAGTGGGCACAATCCATCTACCAAACCCCTCTCCTCTGGTCCCCCAACAAAAGGCCGTTCCTTACCACCCTTTAAAATCAGCACCTTGCTCTGCCAACTCGCAGCTCAAAATGCCCAGTCGGAGTGTCTTATGAGCGCAGTGAATTAACTGCCGAGTCGAGAAGAACAGGCTTATTGAAGTCGTCAAAGCTGAAAGCCTGTTTGAACCGTGATGTGTCCTTGCCGAGCATTTTATGAATATGCAGAATCAAATAGGAGCTAGTAGAAGCCAGAGGGAGCAGGCAGAAAGGATCTCTTTAAAATCCCAGCCAAGGCAGGCACACATTTCAACTCATTAAAACACACAACAGACTGTTACAGACACTTTCAAAAAGAGCTTTCTACTGAGTAATATCCTAGAGGATGTATTTTTTTTTTTTTGTAGAAAGTTTCCCGGGGCAATACCAAATGTCCTAAGGCAGGTGTTTGTCTCAAAGGTCTAGACAGAAGTGAAGGGCAGCCTTTCTGTCGGTGACAAATCAGATCCATGATCTGGGCTTTCAAAAGACACTTCCCTCCGTTCCCCAGTTATCCGTCTAATCTCCCAGATTCATTTACACTTTTCAGTTTGATGGTCTTCACTTGACAGCATGGTCCATATGCTTGCCGCGTGTGATGGAAATGGTTCTGCTTGAACTCCCTTAGTTTTAATTTTCTAATTTTAGGGTTGGCTCTGGGTTTTTTCACCACTGGCAAAAAGTGAAGGACTCCCTCTCCTTTCTCACACACACCTTAGTGGAATGGTCACGCTCCCTCCCTGAGAACTGAAGTTCCTTCCTAGAGTCACCTTGAAGATTTCTCAGTAAAAATCTATCACTGTGCAGATCCTTCTTACCACTTACTTAGGTGGGAGACTCCTCCCTGAAGCTCCTTCTCACATGAGGTGGCATCGGATGCTGTCATATTCTTTTTCTTTTTTTTTTTGAGACGGAGTCTCACTCTGTCACCCAGGCTGGAGTGTAGTGGCGCGATCTCGGCTCACTGCAAGCTCCGCCTCCTGGGTTCATGCCATTCTCCTGCCTCAGCCTCCAGAGTAGCTGGGACTACAGGAGCCCAGCACCACGCCTGGCTAATTTTTTGTATTTTTTAGTAGAGACGGGGTTTCACCGTGTTAGCCAGGATGGTCTCAATCTCCTGACCTTGTGATCCGCCTGCCTCGGCCTCCCAAAGTGCTGGGATTACAGGTGTGAGCCACCGCGCCCAGCCAGAATATTAACTTTTAAGGCAGCTGATCATTTTTATTCCCGATTAATGCTCTAACTTCCTAACTGGCCTTGCTGTGAATGATTCCACCATTATTTTCTGATGCTGGTCGGTTTTTCGGTGTTTTCCTTCTTTAGTTGTATTGACATGCTTTATATATACTTACAGCCTTTAGTGAGTTCTTATACATATTTCCCGGTGCATATTTGTTCCCCTACAGAGAGGAAGCTCCTTACTCTATGATAGGTATTGTTCAAAGCATTTTACAAATACAATCATGCACCGTGTAACGACATTTCGGTCAACAATGGACTGCATATGTGATGGGGGTCCCATAAGATTATGATTCTGGAGCTGGAAAATTCCTACCACCTGGTATTTACTATACTGTACTTTTTATTGTTATTTTAGGGGGGTAATTCTAAGGCAGGTCCTTTAGGAGGTATCCAGAAGGCATTGTTATCATTGGAGATGACAGCTTTGTGTGTGTTATTGCCACTGAAGAACTTCCAGTGGGACAAGATGTGAATGTGGAAGACAGTGATATTGATGATCCTGACAGTGTGTAGGCCTAGGCCCAGATTTGTGTTTGGGTGTTAGTTTTTAACAAAAAAGTTTAAAAAGTAAAAGAAAAAAGAACTTTTATTTAAAAAAAAACTTACAGAATAAGGATACAAAGAAAATATTTTTGTACAACTATACACTGTTTTTGTGTGTGGGTTTTTTTTTTTTTGAGATGGAGTCTCGCTCTGTCAGTCAGGCTGGAATGCAGTGGCGCCATCTCAGCTCAATGCAACCTCCGCCTCCTGGGTTCAAGTGATTCTCCTGCCTCAGCTTCCCGAGTAACTGAGACTACAGGTGAGTGCCACCACGCCCAGCTGATATTTTGTATTTTTAGTAGAGACGGAGTTTCACCGTGTTAGCCAGGATGGTCTCGATCTCCTGACCTCGTGATCCGCCTGCCTCAGCCTCCCAAAGTGCTGGGATTACAGGTGTGAGCCACCATGCCCGGCCTGTTTTTATGTTTTAAACTAAGTGTTTTAGACCCATTTGTAGCCTGCAAAGCCTAAAATATTTACTCTCTGCCCTTTACTGAAAATGTTTACCAATGTCTTGGTGCACAGGGGCCTATCATTGTGTTAGCTTGGAACACAGAGCTAACCAACGCAAGATCATCAACTTCAAGTCATTCCCAGTCGGCCTGAGAATGTTTAGAGCCATAGACTCCAGAGTTGCTCTACTTGGGTCAGATTCCAGCTCTACCACTCACTGGCTGCGTGACCTTGGGCAAATTACTTGGCTACTCTTATTCCTCACCTATCAAATGGTGTTTCCAATAGGACCTACCACGTAGCATTGCTGTGAGAATTAAATAAGCTGCTGTAAGTGTTAGACCAGTACCTGGCACATGGTAAAAAGTATGTAAATTGTAGCTGGCATCACTCCACTGGGTTGTTATACAGACTGGATGACAGGAGGCAGAACTTCAGTTGTGCTATATTGACTAAGCATGGGACTTGGCTCACATGTTTCAAGCTTTGAGTTTGCCCAAACCACATTCTGTTTATTCCTGGGTGTGCAATGTGCTGTCTTCTTAATCACACTTACAGGTGTATCTAAATATATACAAAAACACCGTAGAAAAATGCGGCTGGTCTCCTGCCAACAGATGGTAGGTGAACTGAGGCTTGCTCCAGCTCTCCTGGCTACAAGGTGCTGCTCAGCCATCCCTGGGATCTTCTCAAGCTCTCCTATCCTGCTGTGATGCTGTGTGGTTTCTCAGCAAAAAATGGAGGAGCAGCTGTTACCAAGGTGTGCACCAGCGAGCCGTTTTCGGCTGGCATCTGTGTGTAGCTGCTGCCACTACCGAGCGTTGAGTCACCGTGCTGCTCTGTCAGCAGGCTGAGCTGAGATGTGCAGAGAGGAAGGTACCAACTTGGGAACTAAAGTCATCCTTTTCTTCTCCAAAGTGATGAGATATTGAGAAGGGCGTTCTGGAGACCACTCCCAGGGGTCCCTTGCTGACCAGCGTTATTGGTTGAGACTCGGGTGTGTGTTATCTTAAAGCCACTTTGTCTTTCTCAACTTCAGTTTCCCTCACCTGGAAAATGGAAACCATGTTGTTTCTTGGTTAATGGGAAGATTACAAGAAAATATTGTAAAGCAGCTGTCGGCAAATTATTGCCCAATGCTAAAAATGGCTTTTATATTTTTAAATGGTTGAGAAAAATCAAAAGAAAAACGATATTTCACGACATGTGAAAATTATATGAAATTCAAATTTCAGCAGCCAGAAATAAACTTTTATAGGAACACAGCCACACTCATTCCTTTACATATTGTCTATAGCTGCTTTTGTGCTGCAATGGTGGAGTGGAGTGGTTGCAAGAGAGATGGTCTGGACCACAAAGCCAAAAATATTTACTGTCTGGTTCTCTATAGAAAAAGTTTGCTGACACAGATGGAAAGTATTATTTTGGTTTCGGTTTCCCCAGGGACAAATTTTGAGACAAGAATTGTATTCAAAACAAGCGCTTTATTTGGGAGTTGAGCTCATTGAACACCAGTGGAGAGTGAGGGTGTAATTTGGGGAAGGAAAGTTAGCTTAAAGGGTATGTAGTCCAGGTGCCTCACTGGAGCTTAATTCCATTTGGCAACTTTGGTAATCAGTGTATAACACAGCCTTTGAGTTATTCCACCCCAGGGATGTGGGAGCCGGGTATATATCCATTACACCCATCAGTCATTGATTGCAGGCTCCTTTGGAGAAAGAGCGTAGCATTGATTTTCTGGCATTTCTGAAAACAAGCATATTGCCTTGTATGTAGTAAGCATTCCATAAGTATTAGGTATGAGTAAAAAATTAAGACAACTGTCAACTTTGGAAATTGGCAAAGTGTGTTGGTTGAGTCAGACTTCATGCTACCTTGGGCAAATACTTAACTTCTCTGAACCTCATTAAGACAGTAGTCAGGATTAAATGAGATAATGCTTGGCACCAAGTAAATGTGTCATAAATTTTAATTACTGCTAATACTTGTTAGATTGAAATATATTCACACATTGAGTCAGATTCATAAAACTTTTATGAAAATTGTGTCTGTTTCTTTTAAAATCCCTGAGCATGTAATAAGATTCCGTAATTAAAATATTCAAGACATCTGAAAGTAAGGGAAGTCAAATATTAATGAGTTAAGAGAGGAGAACATGGGCTGATGGTGCCATTCTGTGAGAGTCTTAACGAAGGGCATGGATGCCTGTGTCTGAGCATAGGAATGTCCTAATACTTAATGAGTTCCCAAGGTCTCTGCTGCAGATCTCATTTTTATGGAAGTGATGAGGCTTAGGAAGTCCAGGACACATTGCTAAAAATCCTGTTGGTGCCCTTGAGAACTTTCAATCCAATTTATTTCAACAAATCAATGTCTTGGTGCACAGGGGCCGATCATTGTGTTAGCTGGGGACACAGAGCTAACCAAGGTAAGGTCACCAACTTCAAGTCATTCCCAGTCTGCCTAAGATGTTCTTACCCCTTACCGTGAACTCCTCAGTCAGACTAATGCTACTGAAAATAAAAGCAGGAGGTTAACTCTGGACATGAGATTCAGCAATGATGTCCCCAAATTGGTGACAAAAGTGGGCCAGGAAGGATGAGATGGATTTTGATAGTCAGGAAAGGGAAGAGAAGACAGGTATTACTGGCAATGGTGAGACAAGCCATAAAATAAAAACTTAAAAGAATGTGGAAGACAGTGCTTAGTCCATTAGAAATGGGGCTAGAGCCAGAAAGATGGGTTGGTGTCATCTTGCAACGGCATCTCCTGTTTGAATTAGAACTTAATTTTATTAGTGGTGGGCAGTCATCTGATGTTTGAAAGCAGGGATTTAACATGGTAAATGCTCTGTTAGAACTTCTTCTAGCCCAAGCATGACCTGAGCATGAAGGAGGTAAGTGGAGAAGAGTAGGAAGCTGGAAGGAGAGGGTTCCAGTCAAAGCTCTGTAACTGCTCAATGGGTTCACCTTGCCCACTGCCTAGACAGAGACAATTTCTCAAGATAGGGGAATTACAATAAAGAAAGAGTAATTCACACAAAGCTGGCTGTGCAGGGGACTGGAGTTTTATGATTACTCAAATCAGTCTTCCTGAGCATTCGGGGATCAGGGTTTTTAAGGACAACTTGGTGGGCTGGGGGAAGCCAGTGAGCCAAGAGTGCTGATTGGTTAGGTAGGAGATGAAATCATGGGATGTTGAAGCAGTCCTCTTGTGCTGAGTCAGTTCCTGGGTGGGGGCCACAAGATCAGATGAGCCAGTTTAGTGATGCCAGCTGATTCTTCAACTGCAGGTCAGCAAAATATCTCAAGCACTGATCTTAGGAGCACTTTAGGGAGGGTCAGAATCTTGTAGCCTCCAGCTGCATGACCCCTAAGCCATAATTTCTAATCTTGTGGCTAATTTATAAGTCCTACAAACGCAGTCTAGTCCTCAGTCAAGAAGGAGGTTTGTTTTGGGAAAAGGCTATTAATGTCTTTGTTTTAAACTATTTATTAATTATAAACTAAGTTCCTCCCAAAGTTAGTTCAGCCTACACCCAGGGATGAACAAGGACAGCTTGGTGGTTAGAAGGAAGATGGAGTCAGTTAGGTTAGATCTCTTTCACTGTCTCTGTCCTAGTTTTTCAAAGGCAGTTTCAGGTCCACATAAGAAGCTGGGATTAGACAAGTCTTGGAAGAAACAGAAAACTGGGCATGAAGTGGTCTAAGTCTCTTAATGATGATCTTTTTCCTCAGGAGGCAGAAGGGAGGAAAGGAGGCAGGAAATGGATGAAATAATACGTGTGTTGTATTTTTAGTTAGGGCTGCTGCATTTTTCAAGATATCTGTTCCCTGGCCCCCACACTGTCTCTGTTGGAACCTGTGTTTCTCTTTGAATACTGGTTCTTCTTTGAGGAAGGCCTGGCAACTAAGTCTTTTGGCTTTGTCTTTTGGGTGAATTGGTACTTAAGAAAGTTATTCACACTTGAATGTGGATCCAAGAGAGGTAATGGAATGAGAAAGCAAATTAAAAAAAATAGTAACAAGGGGAGGGAGGAAAAGACAGAATCCCCAAAGGGATGGAGAATCTAATTAAAAGAGAAGGGTAGGCTGGGCGCGATGGCTCACGCCTGTAATTCCAACACTTTGGGAGGCTGAGGTGGGCGGATCACTTGAGGTCAGGCATTTGAGACCATCCTGGCCAACATGGTGAAACCCTGTTTCTACCAAAAATATAAAAAATTGGCTGGGCATGGTGGCACATGTCTGTAATCCCAGCTACTAGGGAGGCTGAGGCAGGAGAATCGCTTGAACCTGGGTGGTGGGGGTTGCAGTGAGCAGAGATTGTGCCACTGCACTCCAGCCTGGGTGAAAGAGTGAGACTCCATCTAAAAAAAGAAAAAAAAAAAAAGAGAAAAAAAGACATGAGAAACTACAGACGTGGCGCCTTTTTAAAAAAATTGAGTCAAATTTGTATTACAAAAAATTAACTCTTAACCACTTTAAAGTAAATGATTCAGTGGCATTCAGTATATTCACAAGATTGTGCAGCCACCACCTCTATCTAGTTCCAAGATGTTTTCGTCACCCCAAAAGGAAGCCACAAGCCCATTAAGGAACCCCCACTTCCCTCTCTCCCATTCCCTGGGAGCCACCAATGTACTTTTTGTCTCTATGGATGTATCTATCCTGGATGCTTCATATAAACAGAATCATACAATGTGACTTTTTGCGCTGGCTTCTTTCACTCGGCCTAGCAAACCTTGAAAGCATTAAACTAGGTGGCTTCTTTTACAAGGAGACCAATTTATGTCTGTTCTAATTGCAGGGACTTTGCAGCTGCTATCCTCTTAGCCTGGAATGCTTTTTCCTCAGATGTACACATAGCTGACTCCCTCATTTCATTTTACATCTTTACTCAGATATCACCTCCTCAAAGGACTCTTGCTCAGAGAAGACAAAGATCTCCAGAGGAAGCACTTGGGTTGTAAGGAGAAGGGAATTCCCCAAGGTCATTGTCAGTGTCAGTGAGCTAAATGTTTTATGAACCTACCTTGTCTCAGCTGGTTTTACTTGGTAGCTACTCCTGAATGGAAGGAAACTCTGTGACCAGGAGACTCAAGATCTCTTTGATTGGTGGCTTTTGGGAAAGGGCTTAGACTCTATTTTAAAATACAGATTTTGGCCAGGTGCAGTGGCTCATGCCTATAATCCCAGCAGTTTGGGGAGGCCAAGGCAGGAGGATCACTTGAGGTTGGGAGTTCGAGACCAGCCTGGCCAACATGTCAAAACCCCGTCTGTAATAAAAATACAAAAATTAGCCAGGCGTGGTGGTGCACACCTGTAATCCCAGCTACTTGGGAGGCTGACGAAGGGGAATTGCTTCAACCCTGGAGGTGGAGGGTGCAGTGAGCCAAGATCGCGCCACTGCACTCCAGCCTGGGCAACAGAGAGAGACTCCATCTCAAAAATAAAGAAATGAATAAAATAGAGATGTTATTATTACTTAGGTATGGTAAGGCCAGCAGATCAGATGACCGCCCTTGAAAAGATAGCTTGTTGTACTCACAGATCCCAGGAGAAGGGGTCATGCCATGCTACTGAAGGCACATGGAGAAGCACCAGGGTTGGTCAAGAGGCAGAGGGAACGGGGGAAAATGTGTGCAGAAGCTTTGATTGTAGTTTCCATGGGAAAGAACGGGCGAGGCATTGTGAGCAGGTTTAGAATTGGCTAGTTGGAAATTTCAGTGGGCTCTGAGGTGGAGGGGATGTCTCTAACTGTCTGGTATCTGGCTCTGGGGTGGTTGGGGCCAGGAGATAAAGAAGGAGGACGCCTGTAATCCCAGCACTTTGGGAGGCCGAGGCGGGTGGATCACGAGGTCAGGAGCTCAGACCATCCTGGCTAACACGGTGAAACCCCGTCTCTACTAAAAATACAAAAAATTAGCTGGGTGTGGTGGCGGGTGTCTGTAGTCCCAGCTACTCAGGAGGCTGAGGCAGGAGAATGGTGTGAACCCAGGAGGGGGCACTTGCAGTGAGCCGAGATTGCCCCACTGCACTCCAGCCTGGGCGACAGAGCGAGATTTCTCCGTCTCAAAAAAAAAAAAAGAAGGAGGTTGGGGGTGTGGGCTCTGTATTGGGTGGTTTGCATACGAAAGGTGCACTCACTGAAGAGCTGTTTGCTAACTCCAGGAATTGACTAGCTCTGGGAGGGGAAGTCCCTCCAGGCCAGCAAGACCCAGATGTCCAAGCTCAAAATGCAGAAAAAAATAAAAAACTAAAAAAAGACATGGCTAATATATGTTATCTCTTACAGTGAGTTGGTGCCTTGACTGCTTTTCCTGCCATTGCTTCCTCTAGGAAGGATTATGCCCACCCAAAGGCATTTGGATAGGAAGGGGGAGGAAACCTGAAATGATTCTTGAGGGGGGATAAATAAGCTAATGTATGGAACATGCTTAGCATAATTGCTGGCACACGGTAAGACCCAATAAATGTTTCTATAGTCATCTTTATTTTATTTTAATTTTTGAGATGGTGTCTTTCTCTGTCACCCAGGCGGGAGTGCAGTGGTGCAATCCCGGCTCACTGCAACCTCTGCCGGCAGGGTTCAAGCAATTCTCCTGTCTCAGCCTCTTGAGTAGCTGGGACTACAGATGCGTGTCACTAGGCCCGGCTAATTTTTGTATTTTTAGTAGAGATGAGGTTTCACCATATTGGTCAGGCTGGTCTCGAACTCCTGATCTCAAGTGATCCACCTGCCTCAGCCTCCCAGAGTGCTGGGATTACAGGCATGAGTCACCATGCCCAGCCTATCATCATTACGTCATTTTTAAATAGAGACTCTACTCCACAGAGAGCCCCTTTGTCTCTGCCATGGGCAGAAACTTACAGAATTTTTTGAATAGATGCCAAAGAAACAGCCAACACTGGCACATGGAGGAGATTAACTGCAAGGACAATAAACACAAGAAGGAAATAGTCTGGGAGGGGAAGTCAAAGAGGGATCTGTAGACACACAGGCATTGGCATTGCCCGATTTCTCCCCATCACACCATCCCCTGCCATTACCAGCTGCCGAGATAAACCACCTGCTAGGAATCGTCAGGAGAGAAATGCCACATCACAGTTCCAGAATCTGAGCACAAAATACTACAGACTCAAAGGAAAAACATATGGTACAACAGGGAAAAAAAATGGCTTGAATGTCTCCAAGAAGCAAGACTAATCAGATGAAGGAGAGGCAGCCACCACCACAAAGCAATTTCGAAAGAGCAATCCGCCCTAAATGAAGAAACACTAAATAAACAGCTCCCAGGACATCAGGAGCCCTGAAAAGCCCTCACGCAGAAAGTGAGCTTCTCCAAACCGAGCATCCATAAGTAGGGGTGGCCAAGGGCACTGCAGCTGCCCCCATTGGCAGCTGAAGGTGTATTCGAGAGGGCTCCAAGACATTCAGTACCATGGCTCATAGATAGAGAAGAGTTTTGGTTGTTACTGGGGGTATTTCATCATCCTATGCATGGTAATACTCCTGTAAATGGCTCGCATTAACCCATTCCTTAATTCATTCAACAAATATTTATTGTGCACCTGCCATGTGTCTGGTCCATTTTACTCCATGCGGTTTATGATTCTGCAGGCTGCAAGGGTACCAGTGGAAGGGAAGGAAGGATGATTCATTTTCAGGGCAAGGAGTTACTATCATATGGTCTTGGTTTCTTCAGGGATCGCTTGCTCCAAGTTTTGCTTAAACTTCATTGGATAATCTTTATGCTTCCAGCTTGTGTTACCTCTGTTTAGATTAGGAAATTGTATTATCGAGCCCCTACCATGAGCTACTATTTTCCATCTAAAAATATGAAAAATATTCAGTTTTTTTCCCTTGAAGAGTTTACAGAGTAGCGGGGGGAGACACAGAAACAGAGGATTTCAATGTAATATGGCAGACGCAAGGACAAAAGTAGGTAGAGAGCCCTGTAGGATGCAGTGGAGGGGCACTTAGCCTTGCCAAGGTGTTCATGGAAGCCTTCCTGGAGGAAGAGATGCTTTAGCTGAGTCTTCAGAGATGTGCAGAAACTAGTCAGGTAACAATGGTGGGGGGTGAGGGGGTATACCTGCCAAAAAAAATGGAAAGAGCAAAGTCATGGAAATATGAAATAGCACATGTGTAGGAGGTCTAAGGAATTTATTGTTTGCATTAATTCATTCAGCATTTATTGAGGTTCTTTCATATGACATTAAAATGTAGTGTGTCTAATATGACACTAGAATATAATGCACTGTATTGTATGTTGGGTAAACTTGGTCTTTTGAGCATATAAATATATAAATTACAATTATCATTCTGTAATCATTTTGTATTGCATAATATACATTTTGTCAATACAAAATGATTACTGAATGGTAATCGTAACTTACAGATTTATATACTTGAAGATCACATTTGATTAGTGTACAATATAGTATTATATTGCATTACAAGTAACGTGTGACAATCCAAAATGATTACAGAATCATACAAAATTTTTTTTTTGAGATGGAGCCTCACTCTGTCACCAGTCTGGAGTGCAGTGGGCGCAATCTTGGCTCACTGCAATCTCCACCTCCCGGGTTCAAGTGATTCCCCTGCCTCAGCCTCCCGAGTAGCTGGCACTACAGGTGAGCACCACCACACCTGGCTAATTTTTTGTATTTTTAGTAGAGACGGGGTTTCACCATGTTGGCCAGGATGGTCTTGATCTTCTGACCTCATGATCTGCCTGCTTCAGCCTCCCAAAGTGCTGGGATTACAGGCATGAGCCACCGCACCCGGCCCCAGAATCATATAATTTTTTATACCATTTGACCCAGCAATTCCATTACTGAGTATATACACAAAGGAACATAAATCATTCTATTGTAAAGACACATGCACTTGCATGTTTATCACGGCGCTATTCACAGTAGCAAAGACATGGAATCAATCTAAATGCCCGTCAATGGTGAACTGGATAATATGGAACATATATACCATGGAATAGTATGCAGCCATAAAAAATGAAATCATGTCTTTTGCAGCAACATGGATGGAGCTGGAGGCCATTATCCTAGGTGAATTTACTCAGGAACAGAAAACCAAATACTGCATGTTTTCACTTATAAGTGGAAGCTAAACTTTGAGTTCACATGAACACAATAGGGAGGGAACAATAGACACTGGCACCTTCTTGAGGGTGGAGGGTCGGAGGAGGGTGAGAGGAGGGTGAGGATTGAAAAACTACCTATTGGTTACTATGCTGATTACCTGGGTGACAAAATAATCTGTACACCAAATCCCCAGGACATGCAATTTACCCATATAATGAACTTGCACATGTACCCCTTGAATTTAAAATAAAAGTTAAAAAGTAAAAAAGTTTTTACAAAGTAAAAGCTTATAATTTCTAATTTATGAGCTAGTAACACTGTAATTCATTTTCAAAATAACAAAATGTGTCAACATTTCTCAGTCTTGCCACATCTTCCCACCATCCCAAAGGAGACAGTGGAAAGAGTCAGGAAATTATAGGTCCGATTTTTACACTTGCAAATGGGACCTCAGGAAAGACACTTTTCCTCTCTGTGTCTCAATTTCTTCATCTATAAAATGGAGACAATAATACTGCCTCCCTTATTGGTGCATGGGGTGGATTAAATAAAAACTGATAAAAACAACTTGCACAGAAAGTGGCCCATCATAGGATATTACTCAGAGAGTAATTACTCTTTGTGGAGTAATATCCATATGGAAAAACAAGGGCTTTGGAATCAGGCCTGGGTTCCAATTCCAGATGTATCCACCTAGTTGCTATGTAACTTTGGGCAAATTACTTAACTCTTGTATATCTGTTTCCTCATTGCTGCAATGAGCATAATAAATACAGCACTTAGCACACAATTGGAACTTAATACTGGCAACTACTAAAAGCAGCCCTGCGTGTGTTTTTATTTTTAGTTACATTTTTCTTGGAAGCTTATAGAATGTCTTGGGGTAGACAAAGCTGACACAACAAATAGACCTCAAAATGCCTAGTGATTCCAACACAAGTTTATTTCTTCTCATACCAGTCTAAGTTGAGTATTTCTGGTCATTCAAAGAGACCTCCACGTGGTGATTCAGGGATCCAAGATCCTTTCATCTTGTACCATGCATTGCCCTCTAGAGCCTGTCATTATTAGTATTTGGTTGTATCCATTCATGAGAGCCAAGAGGGGATAGGAGAAGTTGGCCAGCTGTGTGCCCGGGAAGAAGACATGGATTTTGGTGAACAGTTAGCAATCTCTGCTACATTAAATATCTTTAAAATCATTTTCTTGCCATTTTGTCTCCCTGTGCCCCTATTCTTATGAGAATGATCTTTTCCTATTGATCATGGCAAATGCTGTTTCTGCAGGGAGGAGACAGATTAGGATTTATGCCTCTTTTTTTTTTTTTTTTTTTTTTTTTTTTTTTTGAGACAGGATCTTGCTCTGTTGTCCAGGTTGGAGTGCAGTGGTGCAATCATTGCTCACTGCAGCCTCAACTTCCTGGCTCAAGTGATTCTCTTACCTCAGCCTCCCAAGTAGTCGGGACCACAAGCATAAGCCACTACACCTGGCTAATTTTTGTAGTTTTGGTAGAGATGGGCTTTCATCATATTGCCCAGGCTGGTGTCAAACTCCTGGGCTCAAGCAATCTACTGGCCTCAGCCTCCCAAAGTGCTGGGATTACAGGTGTGAACCACCATGCCCAGCTGGTTTAATGCCTCTTCTTTTTGACTTCTGGGGAAGAGGCTGCAGAGATGTAATACAGGGTAAGTTTATAATTTTGGCCCTTTCCATTTGATTCAAGAGTATTGTCTTGCAAAATATCTCTATTCAAGGCATGCAACGTTATTGATCAGCCAAACAGTTCTGAGTCCATTAATTAAATTCACTACTACATGTGTGCATGTGTGTGTAACAGGGGTTGCAAACTTAATACTTTCGAGATCTGGACAGGAAATATCAATGAGTGAAGTGGGTTGGGTGGCTATGGTGATAAAGTGGGAAGTTCTTGCCCCATCAAGAGTGGGCAGCCAGTTTTGGGAATATGAGAATGTGGGTCCGAAATCAGATGGACTGATTTTCCAAGAAAGGTTAGAACTATAGATTATATAAAAGCATATTACTTTTAAATGTTGGCAACTAATTGAAATGAAAATACTACTGGAGGTCAAAAAAGACACAGCCATGGGCTTTGTGTGGGCCTGGGAGCCGGTGGTTGGTGACCTCTGACATACTTAACGTGCATAGGAGAACCCTGTGTTCTCATTTGCAGGGCTGCTAGGGTGAGCGCTGCAGTTGGGTGAAGGAGAGGAAAATTCATTTCTTTCTCTATTGGGTGTGAGGTCCAGCAGAAAAGCTACTGGGGAAACCTGATCATAAAGAGGTTCATCAAAGCAGGTGTCTGAGCCTCTCAGGACAGACACGATTTGAGTTTTTCCTCTTGTGCATTTCTTCTTAATTAAAAAAGTAATATATAGGACACAAAGATTTAAGCAATTTATGGAGTAATGAGGAGAGTCAACATTCCTTCCCCACCGCTGTTATGACCCACAAGAAAGGTAGGGGTTTGATTTTCTCTTTTCTTTCATGACCTAGTGATGGGGAGGCAAGACAACAGCAACCAGCTTTCTTTGGTTTTAATAAGGCCTCACAGCATGAGTTTGCCTGTGATGGAAGTTGCAAGTCTAATTCTACTTTGTTCTTGAGCTGCACATCTGGTGATTGTAGGACATTATTCTCCCCATATTTTTCATGTGCCACTTAGCCTTGGGGGAGGGCTAAACAGAGATAGTGGAGAGAAGGAATAGAGTGCTTGAACCAAAGGGCTTTTTTGGAGTCCTTACTCACATGACTGTTATTTAATATACTCCTACAATGTGCTGGGCTTGGTGGCGGGTGCAAGGGTTTGGGAATGTGATGGTGGATTCCATAGGCATGATTCCTGCCTTCAGAGAGCTGTTGCACTATTTGGAGGAGCAGGCATCATTTTAGACACTGATAAGTGTTTTTAAGAAAACAAAACAGATGGAGCACAGAAGGTGATGGTGAATGAGGGTGACTTTTGGGTGACCTGGAGATCCCGTCTGAAGAGTTGACATCAGAGTTGAGACCACGATGGCAAGAGGGAGCCAGTTATTCGATCACGAGGGGAAAAGAGTCTTCCAGGCAGAGAGGACCATAAGTGTAAAGTACTTCAGGCAGGAACACCATTGGTGTGTGCTGGAGCCAGAATAAACACCAGTGTGGCCAGAGTACTCTAAGTGAAACGTGGTAAAACAATTTGCAGAGACTTGCCCATCACAGGTACTCAGAGATTAATATCCACATGGAAAAACATGGGCTTTGGAATCAGACCTGGGTTCCAATTCCAGATGTATCTACCTAGTTGCTTTGTAACTTTGGGCAACTTATGGGGACAGTGGTGGATAATAGATTTGGAGGATAGGCAGGGGCTAGATCATGCGGAAAGCAGTAGATTGTGGCTTGGGATCTGAATTCTATTCTAAATTTGATGAGTCCCCTTTACAGAGTCATAAACGGGGAACTGAAATATTCCAATTTAGGTTTTAAAGTTCCATTAGTCCGTTCTCACGCTGCCAATAAAGACATACCCGAGACTGGGTAATTTGTAAAGGAAAGAGGTTTAATTGATTCACAGTTCAGCATGGCTGGGGAGGCCACAGGAAACTTATAATCATGGTGGAATGGGAGACAAACATATCCTTCTTCACGTGGTGGCAGCAAGGAGAAGTGCTGAGCAAAAGGGGGAAAGCCTCTTATAAAACCACCAGATCTCGGGAGAATTCACTCACTACCATGAGAACAGCAGCATGGGGGTAACTGCCCCGTGATTCAATTACCTCCCACTGGATCCCTCCCATGACACGTGGGCCTTATGGGCACTACAATGCAAGATGAGATTTGGGTGGGGACACAGCCAAACCATATCAAAAGTGATGCTGCTGGTTACCATTGGGATAAGGAGTTTGAGAGAGTTGTGTCAGTCACTGCTGAATAACAAACCACTTTGTAACTCAGCAGTTTTGGTACAGTTGGGGTAAAAAGAATCATTTTGCTCATGCTTCATGCGCAGTGATTTAGGTCGAGCCCAGCTGGGCAGTTATTTCTTCTGCTCCTGGTTGGGCTCACCGTCATCTTTGCTCCTCTTGGCTGGGTTCTCTCACTTATCTGGGACTTTGGCTGGGACAACTGAGATCTGGTCCATGTGGTCTCACATCATCCAGCAGGCTGGTCTGGGCAAGTCACACAGTGGCTCGGCGGGATCCCAAGAGAGAGTGGAGGTGCAGAAAATCTCATGAGGACTGCGCTCAGAGCTGGCATGGTCAGTGTCACTTCCACCCCCCTCCTTTGGCCAATGCAACTCCAAAGACCAGACCAGATTCAAAGCGTGGGTAAACAGACTCTAACCCCTGATGGGAGAAACTGCAAAGTCACATGGCAAGGTGTGTACATACAGGGATGGGAATAATTACAGACCGCCTCACAGAGAATCTACTGCAAGGGGTAGAAGGAGAAGCAGGGAGACCATTCAGGATGCTACTGTGGTTACCCTGGTGAGATTTGGTGGTGGCTTGGATGCAGGATCCAGTCCTCATGGTTGATACTTGTCCCTTCTACCACTGCTGTTATGTTTCATGGGGACTCACTTCTGAAACAGTAGATGAGAGAGGTAACTGACATCCACTGAATATTTCTGAGGCATCAAACTCAGTGGTAGTTTAGTCCTTGCTGCAATCGTTTGAGGTAGGAGTCGTTGTCCTCATTTTGTGCATAATAGGCTGAAGCTCAGAGACATTGGGCAACTTGCCCAAGTTCACCTGCTGGTAAATGACAGAGTCAGGAGGTGAGACCAGGTGAAAATTTATTTCCCTTTCCCCAGTACCCAACACACTCACCATCGCCTACTGAGTAAGAGTGCAGACTATAGGGTCGGGCGAGGTGGCTCATGCCTGTAATCCCAGCACTTTGAGAGGCCAAGGTGGGCAGATCACTAGGTCGGGAGATCGAGACCTTCCTGGCTAACATGTTAAAACCCCATCTCTTCTAAAAATACAAAAAATTAACCAGGCGTGGTGGCACATGCCTGTAGTCCCAGCTACTTGGGAGGCTGAGGCTGGAGAATCGCTTGTACCCAGGAGAAGGAGCTTGCAGTGAGTTCAGATTGCGCCTCTGCACTCCAGCCTGGGTGACAGAGCCAGACTCTGTCTCAAAAAAAAAAAAAAAATTAAAAAAAAAAAGTGCAGACTATGGAATCCAATGCCTTAGTCTGAATTCCAGTTTGCTCATCACTAGCTCTTACTTAATATCTCTGAGGTATGGTTTTCTAATCTGTGAAATGGGGTGACAATAGTACCTATCCCATAGGATTATTACAAAGATCCAATGAGTTGCTGCTTTAAAGCACTTGGAACAGTACCTGGTATATAGTAAACTATATAAACATTTATTTAAATAAGCCAGGCACGAAAGACTAACATTGCGTGTTCTCTCTTATTTGTGGGATCTAACAATCAAAACGATTGAACTCATGGACATAGAGAGTAGAAGGATGGTTACCAGAGGCTGGGAAGGGTATTGGAGGGTTTGGGGGTGGGAGATGAAGATGGTTAATGGGTACAAAAAATGTAGTTAGAAAGAATGCATAAGACCTACTATTTGATCACACAACATGTTGACTATAGCCAATAATAACTTAACTGTACATTAAAAAATAACTAAAAGAGTATAACTGAATTGTTTGTAACACAAAGGATCAATGCTTGAGGGGATAGACACGCCATTCTCCATGATGTGATTGTCACGATTTGCATGCCTGTACCAAAACATGCCATGTACCCCACAGATATATACACCTATTATGTACCCACAAAAATTAAAAATAAAAAAATGAAAAATGAAAAACAAACTGCATTTGTTGAAGAAATAATAGAAAGGAAAATAATGCTGGAGTCTGGCTTCTTGCTATGCAGATGGACCTTTAGGTACTGGAGAGGAATTACAGGATGTAGTTGTGTGAGACACCTGGTAGGTTTATCTTTTTAATTCTCATTAGCATCTCTTGGTTGTCCATGAATTCGTTTTGAGTGCCGAATGCAGAGTCCTCCCCTCCAATACTTACACGGGTCCCAGGAAAAGGACCAGGAGCTCCTGGAACAAAGAGGCAAAATTCACTGGTTCTCATATTTGACAATAAATGGAGACGTTTTCAGTTGTCACAACTGGAGTGATGTGCAACCGTCATGAAATGAGCGGAGAAGGATGCTGCTAAACATCTGACAAAATACAGGTCAGCCCCCACAACAAGAGTTATCCAATCCCAAATGCCAATAACGTGGAGGTTGAGAAACCCTCACGAAATTTGACCTTGGTTTGATCTTTATAAGATGGCAGTTTTGAGACAGTCTCTACTGGGATATACAGCCATTAGAAATCACCAAGCTGGTGGGGCTCTCATGCCTATAATCCCAGCACTTTGGGAGGCTGAGGCAAGTGGATCACTTGAGGACAGGAGTTCAAGACCAGGCTGGGCAACATAGTGAGACCCCGTCTCTACTAAAAATACCAAAATTAGCCAGGCATGGTGGCACGTGTCTGTAATCCCAGCTACTTGGGAGTCTGAGGCACAAGAATAGCTTGAGCCTGGGAGGCAGAGGTTGCAGTGAGCCGAGATTGCGCCACTGCGCTCCAGCCTGGGCAACAGAGGGAGACTCCATCTCAAAAAATAAATAAATAAATAGAAGGAAAGAAATCACCAAGCTTGAAAGGGCCTATAAACCCTTTCTGCTTCCAGGTGAGGCCATATGTATTAGGTATGAGTAAAAAATTTGAGAGTAAAACTCTGTCTAAAAAAAAAAGAAAAGTGGCCAAGCACGGTGGCTCATGCCTGTAATCTCAGCACTTTGGGAGGCTGAGGTGGGTGAATCACTTGAGGTCAGGAGTTTGAGACCAGCCTGGCCAACATGGTGAAACCCCGTCTCTACTAAAAATACAAAAATTAGCCGGACGTGGTGGTAGGTGTCTGTAATCCCAGCTACTCAGGAGGCTGAGGCAGGATAATCTCTTGAAACTGGGAGGTGGAGGTTGCAGTGAGCCAAGACTGTGCCACTGCACTCCAGCCTGGGCAACAGAGGGAGACTCCATCTTAAAAAAAAATAAAATAAAATAAAATAAAATAAAGGAAAGAAATCACCAAGCTTGAAAGGGCCTACAAACACTTCCTACTTCCAGGTGAGGCCATTTGCACTGAGCTGTTCTCCGTGTTTCCTTTTTTACTGGAAAATTCTACAGAGAGAGTTGGTGGAAGTCAAAAATCCATCAGCTCTCATTTTGCCAAGTATTTAGGAAAATGACTTTTCTCCTGCAAAAGAAATTACATGAATTATATTACAATCGATGCTAAAGTAATAAAATTACATGCTCGGGACTCTTCTAAAAAACTCTCTCTTTGTCTGGCAGGGTAATTTGAGAGGGGAAAGACAGTCTTCACATCCGCTGCACTTTCACATAAAAAGGGAACAGAGGAAATTGGCTCAACCACGTTCTTGCTGCATGTATCTGTTCTGTGAAATTCCCGTTTTTTTTTTTTTTTTTTTTTGCATCTGCAGATCTCACCACAAAGCAAACTTTCTGATGCAGATCCATGAGGTGAATGATTTGTTTTTTTTTTAAATTGCACACTTATAGGAGGAAACTTCAAATCATCAAATGGACGGCAGTGCCCAAGACTGGCAAATACCCTTGGAATTGGGCAGGAATGGACCATGATGCCACATGAATCATCCTCATATTTGGTGCCAGGGCTCTGCTGGCTTGAAGAAAAATGTATAGAATTGCACATATAATGAGAGAAAACTCTTTTGCCTCCAGTGTGGTAACAATTTTTAGCTGATAGGAAAAAAAAAGTCATCCTTGCTTTAATGTATGAAAAAATCAAAATGACTAGGGAAAGTGACATCTGTTCTTAAAACTTTTCCCAGTGAAAACTTCAGTCATTTAGAGGCAAATGGATGCATGTGATCTCTTGGCCAAGGCCATGAGGGATGAGGCTGGCATGGACAGGGAGTGTGTCTGATAGAGACAGAGGACCCAGTTAGCATCCTCGCTTGGGTGAACTGGGGGTTTGATCTTTTAGAATAGTGGTTATCAGCCAGGAAGTCATTGTGTCCTCCTAGGGGACTTTTGGCAACATCTGGGGGTGTTTTTGGTTGTCACATTTGGTGGGAAGTTTCTGCTGACATTTTGTGGGTAGAGCTCAAGGATGCTGCTGAATTTCCTACAATGCGCAGAACAGCTCCCACACAGCACAGAGTTACCTGGACCAAAATGTCAATGAGGCTGAGGTTGAGAAACTCTGTTTTGGAGCTTCGATTTCTTTATCTGTAAAATAGGGATAGTTGCACTTGGTTTTTCTAAGTATGAAAGGTGTATGTGGGAGTATTTGTAGTAGAACACTTTCTACAAATGGCGGTCGCCTTCACTGCTGATTGAGATCTCTAGGGCATCCTCAAATTTTATTTCCCTACCTAATATTCTGTGCTGTTGCCAGCCACAGAACTCTTCGTAAAATGCAAATTTGATCCTGCCACTTCTCTCCTTAACATCTACTTCTGGTCATTCGTTGACTTCCATAATATACCCAAACTGATCTTTGCAATTTCATGTTTCAGCCCTGCCTCTTCCCCAGCTGTGTAATGTAATGTAGAGGTCCACGCCTGTAATCCCAGCACTTTGGAAGGCTGAGGCGGGTGGGTGACCTGAGGTCAGGAGTTCGAGACCAGCCTGGCCAATATGGTGAAACCCCATCTCTACTAAAAATACAAAAATTAGCTGGGCATGGTGAAATGTAATGTAATAGGTCCACTCCCACCTTTATGCCTTTGCACTTGATATTCCCCTTCCCTGAACCCACTCATTGCATTGCCTCACCCAGCCAACTACTACTTTATATCACCTCTTCCAGGAAGTCTTCCCTGACTACTTCATGGGAGAGGAGGTGCATTATCTGGGCTCCCACAGTGTCTTGTGTTTACCCTATCCCAGAGCTTGTAGTACTGTGCCATAAGTTAATTTAAAAATATTTTATCTCTTCCTCCAGGCTGTAAGTATTTAGCTCACTATTGTATTCTCAGTACCTAGTATAGTACTTGACCGTCTAGTACAGTTCAGTAAATGTTTGTTGAATGAATGAGTGCTCAAGTAGATCTTTAAATATAGCTGCTTCCACTAGAAATAACTCACTTTGATTTATTTTCCTTCTGCTTCCCTGGGTCAAAGTCATGCAAATGGGCCACAGTCCAAAGGTAAAAGTTTACAGAGAAGAGCACAGCAAAAGGTCAAGATACTTTTTAGCTTTGGCCGATGGCCTTGACATAATCCAGAGGGAAGTGTCCTTTCCTGAAAATAACCACCTTTTCCCTTTAAAGTGATTTAACTGCTATTTTCTGGAGAGTATGTTGGTCAGGAAGAAATGCAAAGTTTGTGAGTTGCCAATAGCTCTGGTGCTTATGCTTTTGTGTGTTTGTGTTCTTGTGTGTATTCCAGACTATTTTTTTTATTATGTGTTCATACGAACATCACTTTCTCTGTTACGTCTTAAGTTTCAGAAAGACCAATGCTTCGTCTTTTTTTTTTTTTTTTTTTTTTTTTTTGAGCTGCAGTTTCACTCCTGTTGCCCAGGCTGGAGTGCAATGGCACGATCTCGACTTACTGCAACCTCCACCTCCCAAGTTCCAGTGATTCTCCTGCCTCAGCCTCCCGAGTAGCTGGGATTACAGGTGCCTGTCACCACGCTGGCTAATTTTTGTATTTTTAGTAGAGATGGGGTTTCACCATATTGGCCAGGCTGGTCTTGAACTCCTGACCTCAGGTCGTCCACCCTCCTCGACCTTCCAAAGTGCTGTGATTACAGGCGTGGACCTCTGCTTTGTCTTGGAGGGCCCTGGGCATCTTACATATGTATGTACCTTGTCAAAGTGCCTGATGAGGGTACCTTTCAGGTAAGGATGTGCGGTGTCTCCGTTTTACAGATGAGTAAACTGAATATTCTCAAAGAGAATAACTGTGTCCACACAGTGAGTTAGCAAGAAAGCCAGGACTTAAAAAAAATGACATAGCTTTATTGGAGACAAATTATAGAAGCTGCAATGTCTTTAAATTTAGAAAACAAAGTTAGCTCCTGCCAGAGTTTTGAGGCAGCTTTGACGTCTTCTGAAAGCCACTGCTCCCATCCAATTTTATTCTTAAAGTAGAAAGCAAAAGCTCCCAGGGACACACTGATGTGTCTCCCCCTCCATTTCTCAGGGTTTTCGCCTCTCATTATACCCACGACCTGCTTTACTTGGACTCCTTTGGATGTCAATGAGCATATTACAGTAGGTATTGTCCTTGTAATTTTTTAAAGTTCTTTAAGCATTATGAACAAGGTCTTAAACCCCAGCTGGATGCCACAGCCTACTTTGGCTCTGCTCTATTTCCTTAAGAAATCTAAAGAATGGTGTTGTCATCTTCCAAAGCAGGAGCCGATAAAGAAAAGCTGCCCTCATACTGAGAATTTTCATCCCTTTCTGGGAGGCAGCGGAGAAATTGCTAAAATTGAATTTTATTGTGCAAGATGCTGTTGCCTTCTAACCAATAGGAAGCAGGAAGATAGCATTGGAAGAAAGGGGCATAATTTGCGGAAGGAAAGACCTTTGCTGCTCAACCTGGGGGAGAAGGAGCCAACACTCTACATTATAATTCCAGTCTGTGCTTGATGGATGGCCGAAAACAGCCCACCCGAGCTTCCTGGGCATACAGCAGCACAGAAAGGCTGGATTCTGTCTTTGGACCTGATCTCTGGTTACTGTGGGGCTTTCAAAAGGGGATTTGGGTCTCTGTTTTGTTTTCTGCTCTGGGCTTTATCCAACCAAGTGTAAAAATGATGAGCAATTCTCAGCAGACTTCCTTGAAGCTGTTTTGGCATCTTGCAGGGTAGCAGGGGAACATGGAGGGGGTTGAGTTCCAAGGTTTGGAAGGGAGTGTGTTGTGTGGAGGGTTTGCTCCTCAGTGGGTGGAGTGAGCTCACACAATCTAATTTGAGGGACTCCAAGAAGACCCACTCAAGCTCCAAAATATTCCCCCTTTGGATTTCAGAAATGTCAGCTTTAGCATCCATCCCTACATGTCCATCACATCTTTCCACAACTTCCTGTGAGGAGGCAGCACACAAGTCTGTAACACCTCCATGTGGGTGGTTTTCTCTGGACAGCTTTTCCTCTTGACTGTACATACTGGGTGGTGGGGTGGAGAACAGAAGCTAGATGATATAGCTGCCACTGCCTTTGGCCATTGGAACCCCCTTCCAGGTAGCTCTGGTGTCCCTTTTACCTACCAACAACTTACTGAACCCCTCTGCATCTTTCTTTCCTTATTTGCCAATGGGGGCACTTATACCATAGGCTTATTTGATTAATTAAATTAGAAATAAATGTGTATTCGGTCTTTCTTGCATTGCTATGAAGAAATACCCAAGAGGGGGTAATTTACAAGAAAAGTGGTTTAATTGGCTCATGGTTCTGCAGGCTGTACAGGAAGCATGGCCACAACATCTGCTTGGCTTCTGGGGAGGCCTCAGGAAGCTTACAATCATGGTGGAAGGTGACAGGGGAGTAGGCACATCACATAATGAGAGCAGGAGCAAGAGACAGAGAGTGGAAGCAGTGCCACACACTTTTAAATGACCAGCTCTTGCAAGAGGTCACTCACTATTATGAGGGCAGTAGCAAAAGGATAGTACTCAACCATTCATGAGAAATCCACCCCCATGACCCAATCACTTCCTACTGACTCCACCTCCAGCATTGGCAATTATAATCCAACGTGAGATTTGGGTGGGGACACAAATCTAAACCATATCAATACGTAAGAATATGGCCTTCCTATTCGAGTGCTAGCCAAACATATGCAAAAAAGTCGTTGTTACTCTCAACAATGGGAGTATGTCAAAGTGACAGGGAGGCCAATAGAAAGAGCTCTCCATGGCTGAATCTGGAATACTTTGAGCAACAAAATAGTGTGGGACTGGATTAGAGCCTAAAGTATAAAATAAATATCCATGAGTCCTACTGGTATAAATAAATAATTGAACACATAAACAAATGGAGAAGAGACAAATCTCTCATGCAGAACAATTCCAAATAATTTATATAGACACTCTGCCCTCGAGAAGGAGAAGCAAAGCTGCCTACGCTTGCAGTGTGAGCTGCATATATTGACTTCCTTCCAAAGAGTACAGTATGAAGAGGGAGAGAAAATAAGAGTAACTGTATAGTGGGAAAAATCTGACAAACACCACCTCAGCCAGGAGATCAAGGTTAAAATCAACAGTGATAAATCATGCGGATCCTAACTGCCCTTGATACGATGCAATGAGAAAGGCAGTTTCTCCCTGTCCTCTTCCTCCCAAAAACCCATAGCCCCAGTCTAATCATAAGAAAAACATCAGGCAAATCCCAATAGAGAGGAATCCTGCAATATACATGACCAGTAGTCCTTAATACTGCCAAGGTTATCAAAAACAGGGAAAGTCTGAGAAACTGCTTATAGTCAAAACGGGCTCATCAACTTAGTGGGATGTGGTGTTCTGGATGGAATCCTGGAACAGAAAAAGGGAAGTAGGTAAAAATGAAAGAATTCTGAATAAACAGTGGACTTCAGTGAATAATAATGTATCAATATCAGTTCCTTCATTATCATAAATGTTCCAAACCAGTGTAAAATCTTATGAATAGGAGAAAGTGGGAACAAGAATGAATATGGGAATTCTTTCTTCTGTCTTCTCAAATTTTCTGTAAAGCTAAAACTGTGCTGAAAACTAAAGAGTATTAGAAAAAATTTACTATTATTATTATTATTATTACTTGCTTTGTGAGGTTCTCTCTCCTATGGAAGACTCAAGACATCATTCCCAGTTGCTACTCCCTTTGTTAGTGAAGCAGTCCCATCCTTTTTGGTTGTGGTTGGTTTGGCTCCCACAAAGTACAACAGGGGCAATCTGGCTGTCCACACGCTTGTCTAAGGGAATACATATTGACTCTGAAAATGGTAACCTAGTGGAAGGATAGAAACCATGTCCACTAAAGAAAAGTGTTTAGATAAACTAGGATTTAGCCTCCGTTCTAGACAGAATTCATCATTTCTTTCTCTGCCAATACTGCCTTGTGCTGACCTTGGCTGAATCACTCATCCCATTGGAGTTTCATTATCCGTCTTCTCTACCCATCTGTGAACTCCCAGTGGAAGGGAGTTTTCTTATTTATCTGTGTACTTCCAGGGTTTAATCCTATGCCAGGTATAGATGACTCAAAAAGTGATGATTGAATGGAGGACCAGGGAACAGAGTTTAATTTTGACAATGATGAAACTCAACTTAATGGCCTGGGCTACAAGAGAAGAGATGGTGTGGCAGATTGTATGTTACAAAGATTGCCTCAATAATATCTCCTATTCCACATGCTCATTCTTCAGTGTGACCTTGCCACTTCTTCCATAGCATGGTGAGGTAGATGTCCCTTCCCCTTCCTTGACCACTAGCATGTGGTAGAATTGTTGCTATGTGAGTTCTGAGGTTGCATTATAAAAATGTCATGTACTTCTCTGCCTTGCTTTCTTCAGACACTCTTTCTTGGAACCAAGTCACCATGCTGTGACTAGGTCCAACCAGCCTATGGAGAGGTACCTGTGGGGAGGATCTGAGGTTGTGGTCTACATCCTCAGCTGAGCTCCCAGCTGACAGTCAGCATCAACTTACCAGCCATCTTGAAAATGGATTCTCCTGTCCCCAGCCAGACTACTCCAGTTGATGCCATGTGGAACAGAGATGAGCCATCCCATCATGCCCTGCCCAATTTGTAGATTCATGAGTTAAGTCAATGACTATTGTCGTCTTAAGCCACTATGTTTTGGGGTGTGTTATGTAGGAATAGATAACTAAAACAGATGGGCAAATAAAATCTTTATGTGACTGAAAATAAGACTTGTGAGTTATTTTACCTTCCTTCCTATGTTATGCAGATAAAATAGGACACCGACAGTGGAGCTTCTCACCATGAATAGAAACTGACTGAGACAGATAGAGCCATATTTGGAAGTGAGTAACCAGAAAGTTCTCAAAAATAACACATAACAAGTTAATCAGTCAATTAATGAATTCAGCAGTTATCTGAGTACCTGTAGTGGCCAAACCTCTGGCTAAGTGCTGGGATATGTTGGTGAATGAGATAGACATGGTCCTCTGTCTTCAAAAAGCTCAACTTTCTAGTGAAAACACTAAATAATCACACAAGTACGTTTCATTAATTCAATCTTAGTGGTGGAAAGGACTGAGGATATTTACCCTAGAGAACAGCTTCTTCAAGAATCTAGAAGATTGTGCCATGGTTTAATCACATGGCTTGGGATTTCCCACAGCCTGGCTGGGAGGCTGCTCCATTCACAACAGTTTACCCTTCTTTGGGATGGTTTCCTACTCCTCATACACCTCCTTCACCATGATCTTCAGTAGGTGTCTCTGCCCCTGGTTGGGGTTGATTGACCCAGGGATAGACACCTGACTTAGGCTGAGCCAATAAGATTCTTGGAGCTGTAGATAAGATTTGTTAGTGGTAATGCTAGAAACAGAAGGTTTGATGACACCTTCTGATGAGGTAGGTCCAAGCCTGCCCAAGTTCCTGCATTCCTGGAGGCTGATGATGATTCCTCTGCCCCTTCTTTATTGCCCTGCTCCTCTTCCTCCTCCTCCTTATTCTTCTTGATTTAATCAAATGCCCCAGGATATTTCTAGTTAATTTCCTTTAATGCTAAAGCTTGCTAGAATTAGTGTTCATTACTTCCAATAAAAACCAAGCCTTCACTAGTACAATGTAAAAGAGGGATTATCCCTGCTCTTTAAGCTTCCCAAGGGATAGAACTAAGACCAAGGGGCAGAAGCCACAGTGGGAGGAGTTTCAGCTGAATAAATAAACTTCCTAAGAACCATAGATGTACATATAGATATACATAGAGATATAGGTAGGGAGTTTTCAACCTTTGGAAGTTTTCAAATAAAGGCTGGTCAACCACTTGTATATTATGTCATTAAGAGGATTTAAGCATTCACTTTAGGATTGGGCTGGTTGTTAATAACAACAACAAGAGCTAACAGTTCTGTGTACTTACTGTTTTCCAGGCACTATGATAAGTGTTACATGCACTATCTCATTTGATCCTCACAATAACCCAATGAGGATAAACTATTACTATTAACTACATAGCAAATGAGGAAGCTGAGCCTCCAGAAGGTAGTTAACTCACTTAAGGTCATTTATCTGATGAGCCAGATTTAAACTCAGACTATATGAACCAAAGAACCATGCTCTTTAGTCTTAAGTGAACCTTATTCCATGCTAGCCCCAAAAGCTAGCAGGATTTCACCTCTTTTTCCTTATTCCACATTTCATAAATAACTCCAAAATTAAAAAGGTAAAGCAAAAATCTTGGGAAGTTGAATCCTGAACAATACAGAGTATGTCCTATGGGAAAAAGAAATTCAGGCATAGTAGACAAAACGATTCAGAAGACCAAAAAAAAACGAGGTCTCCAAGTACAGTGAATTCTGTACAGGTAGGTGGAGCAGCTCTCACTAAATACATCTTCCATAGTGTTGCTGGGCAGATGTTTTTCTTTTTCATTTTTTCTTCTTTTGTTACTCCTTCCAATTTGAACACTTACCTGAATCCTTTCTATTCTCTTTTCCTGGACTAAGTTAGGTTTATTATTATTGTTGTTTTGTTTATCTTTGAAACGCAGAGCATCCCTCCCAGTTTTGAGTGACTCATTCTGCCACAGATATTGCCGCTGACAAAGGGTGTGTTTGCGTGGGGGAGCCAATTTGAATTGCCAGTAGTCTGTTTGATGACTGTTTCCCAGAAGCAGGCATAATTAAATTCAGCAGAAGTTTCTCTTAAAAATGAGCTTAAAAACATGTCCAAACTCTACCTGATCATTTATCATTATTTTAAATGATAGGGAAAATTGAAGGTTCCTATCATTTTCTTAATTGAATAAAGGAGACAGACTTGGATGGATCCTGTTGAATACTGAACAGAATCCAAGCTCCTAATTAGAGCATTTACCCACAGAGTTCCCTTTGCCGGGGAGGCTCTGAGCCTGGCTTCTCTCTCACCTGTTTCTGATGTGTTTCTACATCCTTAGCAGGTTAACATTGCAGCCAACCCAATGTGCACTTCTTTAATAGGATACTTAAGCACATTCCTGTTGCGGAGAGAACAGCAGCTCTTCTAAGAATCTTCCAGGCTTTTGTTAATCCTATTATATTGTTTCCAAGGAAATGGAGTTCAGTGGAAGTCAAAGGTGTTTGGTGTGTGTCATCTGGGAACAGGGAATCTTGTTTACTGAACTGGGACGGGAAATTCATTTCTTTTCTCTTTATTTATTTTCTTTTTTCTTTTTCTTTTCTTTCTTTCTTTCTTTCTTTCTTTCTTTCTTTCTTTCTTTCTTTCTTTCTTTCTTTCTTTCTTTCTTTCTTTCTTTCTTTTTTTGAGATGCAGTCTCGGCTCTGTCACCCAGGCTGGAGTGCTGTGGGTGTGATCTTGGCTCACTGCAACCTCCGCCTCCTGGGTTCAAGCAACTCTCCTGCCTCAGCCTCCCGAGTAGCTGGGACTACAGGCATGCACCACCAGGCTGGCTAATTTTTTTTGTATTTTTAATAAAGACAGGGTTTCACCATGTTGATCAGTCTGGTCTCGAACTCTTGTCCTCAAGTGATCCTCCCACCTCGGCCTCCTAAAATGCTGGGATTAGAGGCATGAGCCACCACACCCAGCCTAGAGACTCATTTCTTTATCACTCATTTCCTATTCCCAAACCGGGTGATGCTTGAGTTTAGGAATTATTTGCCTTCCATGAGCATGTTGCTGAAACTCTCAGCTTCATGGGCCTAAAATAAGCTATTTCAGATAAATAAAGAGAAGTACATTAAATTCTCTAGACCTATGAGTTCTGCTGGCTTGACATAAGAAACCTCTTAAATCCGGGTTAAGTTCGAGTCCCATGCAAGGAATGGTGATGCCCTTCGGAGCCCTCTGGGCAATGCTGGTAATAATAGCTGAGGTTCACTGAGTGCTTAACCAAGCACCAGGCACTGTGTCAGGGGTAGGGGGAGGTGCACAGGATAATATTGCTTCTATTGCTAAGAGAGAAAACAAGACTTGGGGTTTCTCCATCTCTGGAGCATCAAGAATCTGCTCTAACCACACAGAAAAAAGCTGTGAACACCACATGTCAGCTTACATTTCCTGCAACCACAGAACAGCTGTTTTTCTTTTTGAGACGGAGTTTCGCTCTTGTCGCCCAGGCTGGAGTGCAATGGTGTGATCTCGGCTCACTGCAACCTCTGCCTCCTGGGTTCAAGTGACTCTCCTGCCTCAGCCTCCCGAGTAGCTGGGATTATGGGTGCGCGTCACCACACCCAGCTAATTTTGTATTTTTAGTAGAGATGGGGTTTCACCATATTGGTCAGGCTAGTCTCAAACTCCTGACCTTGTGATCCACCTGCCTCGGCCTCCCAAAGTGCTGGGATACAGGCATGAGCCACCACACCTTGCCCTCAGAACAGCTGTTTTTAAGGATACTGGAAACCCCAATGTTTAGGCAAAAACTATAAGCTCCATGACCCTAGAGAGATATCTTTTTTGTTTTTGTTCACAGTTGATTTCTATTACCTAAGTTAAAGCCTTTCACATAGCACAGGGGCCACCAAATGTTTTTCCAGAAATGGCCAAAGAGTAAATATTTCTGGTTTTATGGGCCATTTGGTCTCTGTTGCAGCTACTCAACTCTGCCCTTGGTAGTGCAAAACCAGTCACAGATAATACATAAAGTGATATGGCTGTGTTCCAATAAAACTTTATTTATACAAAGCAGTCATAGCTTTTAGACTGTTGTTTGCTAACTTGGATACAGCACATAGTAGGTGCTTCAAAAATATATGTTGAATAAATAAATCTGATACAGAAAGTTCAAAGAACTGGAATTTAAAACAAAAAAACCCCTGATGTTTATAGAAAGTTTATAACAGTAAATAACTGCTTATTGCACAAATACTTAAAGAACAAAAATGTAAAAAGGACTGTAAAAATTATGACTAAAAGATAACCCCAGTTAACAATTTGACATAATTCCTTTTAGTCATTGTTGTATAAATGTCTTTTTAATTAAAGAATAAATAACTAGAATTTTAAAAATATTATGATATGAATTTATTCCATTTTCATGGAAAATGACTGATGAAACCAGCCTCCTTTGGGACTCATTCAAAAGCAGCAACTCTTGTCTCCAAGAGAGTAAAACGATATGCCCTAAGTCAGCCCCTTGACATTAAAAAATCAGATTTCTGTCCATGGTCCAGGTTTTGAAAAATCCCAAAGTACTTTTTGGATCCCAAAGGAAGATTTAATTTAAAAACGCACTAGAATTTCAGCATTGAGTACTTGTGTTGCTTGTGTGTGGGACAACTTTTTAAACTAAAGGATGACATTTCTCCCTAGTTCTGGTTGCTGGGGCATTCCTGGAATGCTGTTTGCATAGGCCACATTTTGAGAACATGTTACCCTAAAATGAGCCAAGAAGGGCTGTGATGAATGACTGAGCCACAAAGAGTTGATAACTTGCTGTGAGAGAAAGTGATCAGGAATATTGTATTTCTGTGGTCATGGAGAGCAATACTATTCCAGACTCCCTTCCCCAACACACACACACACACACACACACACACACACACACGCACGCGCACACACACACACACACACACACACTTCCCTGTATGCATCCTTGAGGGTGTTTGACCTGCCCTAGTTTGATATTTAGGCCTGCACAGCCTGACACCCGACACTGCCATTGACCCTTCACATCCTGTCTCTATTGCTACCCGCCACCTCTACAGAACCTCATGCATGTATTGCTCATTGTTGGAAGGCAGAGGGCACATGGCCATGTAAAGCAGTTCTGATACCATGTAGCCATCAAAAAAGAATGAAATCATGCCCTCTGCAGCAATATGGATGGAGCTGGAGACCAGTATCCTAAGTGAACTATTATAACTCACAAAGAGAAAACCAAATGCCACAGGTTCTCACTTATACCTGGGAGCTAAACAATGGGTACCCATGACATAAAGATGGAAATAATAGACACTGGGGACTCCAAAAGAGGGGAAGTAGGTTGGGTGGGGCGAGGGTTGAAAAAGTACCTATGTTACTTTGTTGGTTACAATGTTACTTTGTTGGTTACATTGTTGGTTACAATGTTCACTGTTTGGGTAATGGATACACTGGAAGCCCAATCCCCGGTAATACACAAGATACCCATATAACAAACATGTACATATATCCCCGAATCTAAAATTTTTTTAAAAAAGCAATTTCGAGGATGCCGAGAAGCCCAGCAGTGTTCAGATGGCCTCTAAGTCTGCCAAGCAAGTGATGACTATTCCTCCCCAGTTGGGGAATGCAAAGCCAGCAGGAAACATTTATATTCTGCAACTGTTAAATTATGGATATTTGGCTTGGTGGAAAAGAGGGTGGCCGAATCATGTGCGTGAAGCACATTTGATATGCGTCCATCTGGGCTCTTGCTATTCTTGACGATGATTGTACGGAGTTCCTCCCTCCACCCTGAACACCTCCTCTGTTCTCCTCAAAGGCCTATGGTGGCTATTTACCAAATATACTGCACCATGTCCCCTTTAAGCTACTGAATGTTCAATCTGAGAACCTCCCTTTCATACCGGGAGGGAAGAGGATGAGGAAGGATAGGGGAGAGGGGTGAAGTCCCCACGATGTGCCTAGTGCTGTCCACCGGTGCTCTGATGTATTTTACTGAACAACACTTGTTGGTAGGAGGAGTAACCATATTTTTGGACTGGGATAGACTCTTTTTGTTGGCAATGACTTTATTTTCCACCCCCGGGTCTGCCCCTCTTAAAGCACTTAAAGCAGTGCCTGGTACAAGGTAAGGACCATGTAATTGTCAGCTATTATTATTCTTGCTGCTGTTGTTGTTCTTTGGCTCAGCTGGGCTGTGGGAGCATCAGAGGACTTAAGAGCATCAGCTTCGGCCTTGGATGGACTAGTGTTTGCGTCTCAGCTCTGCCTCTTCCAGGCTGAGCTCTTTGGGGCATGCTATTTTCTGATTCTGTTTCCTTACCTGAGAAACGGGGGGTGAACACAAAGTTGTGAAAATGCGCTCAGCACATAGGAAGTATAGACTAACTGATAGGTCATTCTACAAGATCCTGGGCTGAGATAAAGACCTTTTACTAGCCAGAGGTGTTTTCCAGCTAGCTCTGCCAACTTTGGAAATCATCTGGTTAACTATTATTTTCTTAGATGATCGTGGAGTATCTATGATATGCCTGCTGATGTTCTAGGCACTGGGGAAGTAATGCAGAACTTATAACCTAGTTAGTAAGAGAGGAACAATGAACCAGCAAGCAATCAAAATCAACAGTTAATTTTAGATAAAGAAAACGAAGCAGAGTGATGTGATAGTGACAGGAGGCCCACAGCGGAGAGCAACATTAACTGTGTAACCAGGAAAGAGATCCATGAAGAATATCATTCGTGCTGAGAAGGGGCCAGCCAGGGAAAGCTTTGGGGATGAGGGCAGAGGGGATAACAGGTGTAGATGTTAAATGATTTTCTGGGCAAAGTCCCATTTGCTTCTGAGCCACACTTTTCTTCTCTCTAGAATAGCAAGCTATTAATTCAGAGTTGCCTGAAAGCACGACACTCTGGGCCAGGTCAACCTAAGGACACCCAACGCCTAATTAGGGACTTGGGGGCAACTCCAACTTGGGGATGAGTTGAATGGCAACCTTCATGATCAGAGAATGGTATACAGGCTGCTGCTCAATTTTGGAAAAGCCCTAAGCCCTCCTAAGTCATTGATGGATGGCTATTGGAAACCAGAGCCTAGTCACTCCCCCAGAAACAGTCCCAGACCTATCTGAGCATAGACGGATTCGGATGCAACTGGCTTCCAGCAGCTGATATAAGACATCCGTGAAGTCATTCTGCAGGCTCATCCCAGAGAGAGTGCAAGCCTCTGTGCCTGATGCATAGGTGGTGTGATTACTTATCTAGAAATAAGGCTGCAGAGGCATTTATTAACTTAGCAAAAGGTGCTGAACATCTCCTACTTGCTAGGCAATCTCCTAGATTATGGGAGTGCAAAGATGAATAACACCTATCCTATTGTCTGTTCTTTGAAAGCTTATTGTTTCATGAGGAATTGAGTCTTAGCATTTGCAGTTATTGATTGCTTGGTTTTGGCTATGCTATGTCTTATCTGTGGGGCTTTGTTTTCACATATACAACTTGACAGGACTCAACCAGGTGAGTGGTGGGGTCTTCCCAGTACTGTAGTTCCAAAGGTTAGCAAGGCAAACCAAAACAGGGCTATATGACAGCAGCAAGGAAATCAATGCTGATGGAGATAGAGGAGGCTTTTGGGAATGGGATGCAGTAGAACGGCCCTCCGTGTTGCTTATGGGCTTGCCCGTGGGTTGAAACAGGCTTAGTTTTTTAACTAAAGAAAAGGCCTTCAGCAATGCTGCTTGAGATGAATTCTCTGGTCTTGATTTTTTAAGTTAAAAAAAGGCGTATTCTTAGAACTAGTGACTGCAGAACTCACTGGTAAGTTTCCAGTCACATTTCAGATTGAATTTGGAACAGATGGCTTTCAAGTAAATGGAAAAAAAGTGGTGATAAGGAATCAGCATGAATTCAGAAAGCAAAAGCCATTCATGAATTAATTTAACAAATATTTTTTGAGAATATTTTATGTGTATGTGCCAGGCACTGTTTTAGGCACTGGGGATATAGCAATGACTAAAACAATTAAAAATTGATTTTCTTCTCTTATGGTAGTTTACTTTCTACAGGGGATGGGGGTCGGGGCAAGCAGATAGCAGAAAAGATAAATAAGTAAAATGATATAGAGCGTGATATGATAATAAGTCAAATGGAGAAAAATAAAGCAGAGAAAGAAATAGGGTTGCTGTGATTTCTTTATTTTTATTTTTATTTATTATTTTACTTTTTAAAAAGTCAGGTTTATTGAAGTTTAATTTCCATACAGTACAATTAACCTTTCTTTCTTTTTTTTTTTTTTCTTTTTGAGACAAAGTCTCTCTCTGTTCCCCACGCTGCAGTGCACTGGTGCAATCTCAGCTCTCTGCAACCACTGCCTCCTGGGTTCCAGCAATTCTCCTGCCTCAGCCTCCTGAGTAGCTGGGACTACAGGCACGCACCACCACACCCACCTAATTTTTGTATTTTTAGTAGAGACGGGGTTTCACCATGTTGGTCAGGCTGGTCTCGAACACTTGACCTCATGATCCACCAGGCTTGGCTTCCCAAAGTGCTGGGATTACAGGTGTGAGCCACCATGCCCGGCCCAATTTACCTTTTTATATGTAGTCGGATGAATTTTGGCAAACACATATAGTCATGTAAAGACCTCTACAATAACAAGATATATATTCCAGCATCCCCCCAGTACTCTTCCTTACTTCTTTTCATAGTTTTTCCCTCACTTCCAGCCTGACAATGACTAATGTGATTTTTAACTTTATCGTTTGCCTTATTTGGAATAGAATCATACAGTATAAGCATTTAAGTCTGGTTTCTGGTTTCTTTCTTTTTTCTTTTTTTTTTTTGAGACGGAGTCTTGCTCTGTTGCCCAGGCTGGAGTGCAGTGGCGTGTTCTTGGCTCACTGCAAGCACTGCCTCCTGGGTTCATGCCGTTCTCCTCCCTTGGCCTTCTGAGTAGCTGGGACTACAGGTGCCCGCCACCACACTCGGCTAATTTTTTTGTATTTTTAGTAGAGACGGGGTTTCACGGTATAAGCCAGGTTGGTCTCAATCTTCTGACCTCGTGATCCGCCCCCCTCGGCCTCTCAATCCCTGTGCTGGGATTACAGGAGTGAGCCACCGTGCCCGGCCTTCTGGTTTCTTTCACTTGGCATACTGCGTTTGATACTCATTTATGTTACATGTATCTGGTTTGTTCTTTACATTGCTGAGTAATATTCCATTGCATGCATGTACCACAATTTGCTTATCTATTCACTAGGTAATGGACATTTGGATTGTTTCCAGTTTTGGTAATGATAAATAAATCTGCTATATACATTCGTGTACAGCTGGACATGTTTTCATTTGTCGTGAAGGGTGGAATTAGGAAGTGACTACTTAATAGTTATGAGATTTCCTTTTGGGGTAATGAAAATGTTTTGGAATGCGACCAAGGTGATGGCTGCACCACATTCTGCATGGACTGAATGCCAGTACCCTGTATATGTTCAGACAGCTAACTTTATGCTATGTGAATTTTATCTCATTTTAAAAAAGAGTTATCAGGAAAGGATTCTGAAAAACAGACAGTTGATAAGGATCTGAAGGAAGAGCCAGGCAGAGGGCAGGGCAAATGCCAAGTCTCTGAGGAGAAGACTGCCTGGGTTGGCTGATATGATTGGAGTACAGTGAACATGGAGGCATTTGAAGACGAGGTTAGAAGAAAAGTGGGGGCAGGTAACTCATTTAAAAATTATGAAAATAATGAAAAATATTAAAGTATAATGAAAAATATTAAAATATAATAATATAATAACAATATAAAATATAATAATATTGAAATTATGAAAAATAAAAATAATGAAACATTTAAAAATATGTATTTTTTAATAATGAAAAATATTAAAAAATACGTATTTTTCTTTTTCGTAAGGTGACCAGACTGGCCATTCAGGAAAAACAAGGGGCAGCCTTGCATGATGTCTTTTGAGATATATTGGTGGGAGAGATGGAGAGATAGGGGCTCCTGGTTTCAGGGCAACTTGTACATGACCATGCCTCAATTGTGCTGCTCAAAGGATTCACGCCAACCAAGTGTGTCCAAGAAAATAACACACCTGGAGAACTGTGTTTAGTTCCGAGAGTCACATGTTTTCTGGAAGCCTATTTATAAACAGGAATGTGTTTCAGGGAGGTAGAAAGGATGGTGAGGAGACCCTCAAAGACATGAGTCATGACGAATGGTTAAAGGAATTGGGGATGTTTGACCAGGAGAAGGAAGGTTTTGGGGGACTTGATTGCCTCTTCAGGTGTTGGAAAGGGGCAGGGGTGAGACCTCTTGTTGTGTGGTTTTAGAGGGAAGAATTGGAATCAATAGATACAATCCAAGTTACAAGACCCAGATTTAGTTTCAACACAAGGAAGAATCTCCAGCTGCAGGAAGTGAGTTTCTCAGCCCTAAAAATGTTTGAGAAGAACCTCACTCCCTCAGTGAATTTCTTCATTGAGAATTAAAATTCTCCAATTCTGATCTTTCCCATGGAAAGCAGACTAGAGATTTTACTTGTTATGTTTTTTCTTAACGCTTACCTATTTATCACTTATCATTAAGATTAGAAAGGGGCGGGCTTCTGCAACCCAAAATTTCCTACCCAAGTTTGCAAAATGGATTTATCATAATATTGACTCAGAATAATCCTCAACTGACCATTAAAATATTCGTTTTAAGAGCAATTGCCTGCACATTTAAGACATTTCAAGCAGTAAGCATCCCTCTACCTCTGAGTTCTAGAGTCCTTTGTTATTCTGAGACAACCACAGGAATCAGGTTTTTGAGGCTCTCTCTAGAGACCACAGTGTCTTCGCAAGCATGTATAGATGTTGGGGGTTTGATGAGAGTGAAGATATGACAGTCTTCTTTGCCCCTTCCAAGCTCTGAACCATCTGAGGTAGGACATGTGGCTGCAGGGAATCAAAACAACAGGTTTACTGCTGTTGGTGCTGCTGCAAAGTTGCTATAAGGATAGGGAGAGAGAGGCGGAAGTGTTAAATGAAACAATTCCCTCAACATGGAAGTAAACAGAGAAAGTGATGGATTAGTGTTCCTTTAACCATGTATTTAAATCTCTGTCCTTAAAATTACAAGTAGTAACTTATCATTCATGTTGTTCTACACCTTGCTTTTTGCACTTCAATAAACATCTTCAAGACTGCTTCATCTCCGTGCAATGCCATAGAGATCCCAATTCTTTTGACGAGATGTAGGGAATTCCATTAATTGAATAGATCATAATTAGTTTAGCCATCCCCTACTGATGGACATCTGGGTTGTTTGCCATTTGTAGCTTTTACAAATAATGTTGCAATAACTATATTTATGCATACATGCAAATACACCTTGATCTACCACCTGGCTGGCAGATTAACCAGAGCTCTCGGGACCAGAGCTTAATTACTAATAGTGTGGGTTCCCATAGAGACTAGGTAATGAATGTTAATTACATCAGAACATGCTTATCTCTTTTTAAGGGAGATCATATTTCAATAGTTAGAATTCTCAACTACTGAGATTTATGTTTGATAAATTTTGTGCCTTCTTGATTGTGAACTTGTTAATGATCCGTGGTGGTGAAACTAGTGCTGTCAGACAGACAAAGTTTCAGGAAGCGTGCAAATTTTCAAAGATCCTTGACTTACTTGGGAACTGCCAAGTTCTCTCTATTCCTTTATTTGTTCCTTTGATTCAAGGGGCTTGTAATAATAATTAAACAAAGCCTATGCATGATGTTAGGTGTCTGGTATCAGATTGCTCAGGTTTAAATTTTGGCTTTGCCTTTTATTGGTTTCATCATCTTAAGAAATCACTTGTCCTCCCTCTATAACAGTTTCTCAGACTTGACCCTATTGACATTTGGGGCTGGATCATTCTCTTTGCTGGGGTTGTCCTGCACATTGTAGGATATTGAGTGGTATCTTTGGTTTCCATCCACTCGATGCCAGCAGCACTCCCCCTCCCACTAGTACAACAACCGAAAATGTCTCTAGACATTGTCAAATGTCCTCTGCAGAGAGAAGAATCAGCCCTTATGGAAAACTACTGCTCAATAAGATTGTTTCCTCATGTGTAAAACGGAGATTACATTAATACCTACTGCATAGGGCTGGTGTGAAAGTGTATGTAAAGCAGTTAGCACAATAAAATCTTGCTGCTCTTTTGCTCTTATTTTTGTTCTTATTGGGCATTTGCAAGCTGAAAAGCATGTTCTCAAAACTCAATAGCCTTGTCAGAGAGGTGGTATTGTTCTCCTTCTAAAGAGGAGGAGCTGAGAGTCAGATCAAGGGAACGAAACAGTGGTAGAGTCATGAGAAGTTAAGACAGGCCATCAGAGACTGTCTTTAGTGTAGGTTCTTTGGAAAACAGAGTCTGTATTCCTGTTTAGAGTAGGAAAGCACACTCATATCATGGGTGTGTGTTAATTCTGTTAAGAATGAATTCCTGTCTTCTTCAGCATGTTAGAGGTTTGATGCAACAAACTTTCTACCAGGTGGCTGTATGGCCTGCTTAAATAATTGGGCCATCCTGAAGCCTCAGAGAATCAATAAGTCTCTACTGACGCAAGATTGGCCACTGAGCAGTAGTAGTATCTAATTAGCCTTGGGGAGAGGAACACAGGCTGTTGGGTCCATGCATTGCCTCTATCCCAGGCATCATTGCAGGTGGCTAGTAGACTGACTGTTGAAGACCTAGGCTGGTCTTGGTTGGAAGATCTAGGCTGGTCTTGGTTGGAAGATGTAGGCTGGTCTTGATTGGAAGATCTAGGCTTGTCTTGGTTTGGGCAACCAGAGCACCTTATATAGCACTGGTCCTGAGTCATGGGTAGCCCATCAGACGTATGTTCTTCAGATGTCTCTCATCACCCATGAGATGAGCCTAGGCGTGTTCTCATGTCAGTTGGTGAGGGGCATGAGAAAGAGGAAGCTCAGCTGAGCCAGTGTTTATCAAGCTTCTGCTTCTATCACATTGGCTAACATCCCTTCAGCAAAGCAAGTCACATGGTTGAGCTCAGAGCCGTGCGATGGTGCAAACGCTCCACCTTTAGGAGCAGGACATTACAAAGTTATATAGCACAGGCCTAGGAC
Source organism: Homo sapiens (assembly GCF_000001405.40). Classification (NCBI taxonomy): domain Eukaryota; kingdom Metazoa; phylum Chordata; class Mammalia; order Primates; family Hominidae; genus Homo; species Homo sapiens. Next base: position 13,800,858 of record NC_000016.10, on the reverse strand, counting down.
ACAGGAAAGAGCCAAGAATGTGGGTGATTTTTGCTATATGCCTTAATCCACCATATAACAATCAACCAAGGACCAGGAGCCAGGAGGGGCTGAGCAGATTTGGGGAGATGCATCAATTAGGTCTGGTATAAGCTCATTCTATGATTCTGCAGTTGCCTCCATACTCATTAAGAAGAGACTAGACTTTATTGCCTCTAAAGTCCTTTCAATAGAAGGCTTTTGTTTGAAATACCTGGTGACACCATCTGATGGGTTGCCCATGACTCAGGACCAGTGCTATATAGCCAACGCTATGTCCGCTTAACCCTACTGGTCATGTCTAGGGTTAAGATAATCCCTAAATGGAAGTAGGATATTGGCTGCTTAGATAGAGACTCACAGGGGTCTTTGAGGTTAAGATGAGTAATCAGAGATGCTGAATATTACCCAAAGGAATAGTTTGAATTGTTGCATGGAATTAGACTAAATTTAATTTTTTTTCTTGCTACCTAGTAGGTGGGGGCTCAGGGGAAAGACCAGATCTGTAATAAAATAAACTATATGTTTTTTCATGTCTGAGGAGTAATGTGTGTGAACTTAAAATCCCAAATCATTTGTATACTCATTTTTTTTTGGCGGGGAGAGAATTGAGGAGCAAAGAGATTCTTCAGCCTTAGGGTATCTGATAGCTATAGAACCTCAAAAATTGAAGAGCCTTCAAGCTCCCAGAAAGCACAAGCAAGATTTTTGGCTTGTCATAAATAGCAATAGGCCTGTTGAGGCTGTGAAAATAAAGCTTGGTTCCTTCGTAGGGTAGTGGGAAGAAGAATGGGAAACAAACTTTATTTTCATCTACCATTGATAATTGATAGAGTTTTTGTTGTTGTTTTTGTTTTCTTGTTTGTTTGTTTTTTAGACGGAGTTTCGCTTTGTCTCCCAGGCTGGAGTGCAGAAGCACAATCTTGGCTCAGTGTAGCCTCCATCTCCCAGGTTCAAGCAATTCTCCTGCCTCAGCCTCCCAAGTAGCTGGGATTACAGGCACACATTGCCATGCTTGGCTAATTTTGTAGTTTTAGTAGAGATGGGGTTTCACCATGTTGGCCAGGCTGGTTTCGAACTTGTGACCTCAAGTGATCTGCCCACCTTGGTTTCCCAAAGTGCTGGGATTACAGGCCTGAGCCTCTGTGCCTGGCCTGCTAGAGATATTTCTATAGGTTGCATCTGAATTCACCAAACTTCTGGAATAAACTATCTTGTTTTTCTGTTTGGATAAGGGTGACAGATTTGAAGTGGGACGCATAAGTGTCTAGTAAGTTGTTTTGCTCTACTAATTGCTTACTGAACATATTAATGCATGGGACACTGACAAATTATCCTACACTCTGACTATAAACTCTAAAAACATCTTTACACAAAGACCCATGTGCAAGCATATTGATATAAAATTGTTTGTAATGGGAAAATATTAGATACAGCCTGCTTGTATTTAATATTAAATTATCCTACACTCTGACTACAAACTCTAAAAACATCTTTACACAAAGACCCATGTGCAAGCATATTGATATAAAATTGGTTGTAGTGGGAAAATATTAGATATAACCCACTTGTATTTAATATTAAATTATCCTACACTCTAACTACAAACTGTAAAATCATCTTTACACAAAGACCATGTGCAAGCATACTGATATAAAATTTTTTGTAATGGGAAAATATTAAATACAACCTACTTGTCCATTAGTAGAAAACTGGTGAAAAAATGATGGTTCATCCAAATAATGGAATAATAAAACATACAGTAATAACAAAACAGCTATTAAAAGGATGAAACAGATCTATGCATACTGAAATGAAACAATCTTTAAGATATATTATGAAGAATTCTGTGTATAGTATGCTTCCATTAGTGTAAAAATGAGCCTATAGCTATATATCTATATTTACATCTGTATCTGTGTCTATACATATACCTACATCTATACCTATACACATCTAAAACCATGTTTATAGCTATTGTGTTTATTTTTAATAAATAGAATATTTTTGTCAAGATTTATCAGAATCTCGTACTCTTTGCTGCCTTTATGGAGAAGAACTGGGTGGAGGTTAGGGAATTAGACACAGAAGGAAAATTACTCTTTATTTGAAATCCATTCATTCCATTTGATTTAAAAAATTATTTGCATGAATTACTTAAAAAATTTTCAGATTAGAAACCATTGGATTAAAATATGAATTTTCAAGATAATACAAAAAAAGCCAATCATATGCAGACACATGGCACCTGGGGTTGAAAGTTAAAATCAATTAACCAGGCAGAATCTGGTTTTTACTAAACTGCAGCTGTAGGGTTTAAGGTTTTAATCTTCTTTCTAAGCTGCCAGACATAAAGAGAGAACCCAACTTTAATCCAAGTTCAGTTATTTTGGGCCGAATCAAAATGAAGGGGAGGGAAGTCCATGAGGGGGCGGGGAGAGGCTTCTGATCCTTTTGTCTCATTAATTCAGCACCCAAGCACCTTCTGGTGATGTACACCAAGGCTTGCTGAGAAACCTTGAAAAAACCTGGAGGGCAGAAAAATAGGGAAAAGGAAGCTGCATTTCTGAAGTATTTTTTGGTTTCAGGAACTTTTTACAAAGGTGGTTTTCTTCATTCTTAGAAGACCTCCTTTTTTTTTTTAAAATAATTTCAACTTTTACTTTAGATTCAGAGGGTACATGCACAGCTTTGCTACATCGGTATAATGTGTGATGCTGAGGTGTGAGGTACAATTGATCCTACCACCCAGGTAGTGAGCATAGTACCCAATAGTGTCTCTCTCTTTCTTTCCTTCCTTCCTTCCTTCCTTCCTTCCTTCCTTCCTTCCTTCCTGCCTTCCTTCCTTCTCTCTTTCCTTCCTTCCTTCTCTTTCCTTTTCTCTTTCTTTTTTCTTTCTTCTTCCTTCCTTTCTCCTTCCTTCCTTCCCTCATTACTTTCTTTCCTCTTTCTCTTTCTTTCTTTTTTCTTTCTTTCTTTCTTTCTTTCTTTGTTTTTCTTTCTTTTTCCCCTTCCTTCCTTCCTTCTCTCTCTCTTTCTTTTTCTTTCTTTTTTTTTTTTTTTTTTGACAGAGTCTTGCTCTGTCTCCCATGCTGCAGTGCAGTGGCTCATTCTTTGCTCACTGCAACCTCTGCCTCCCTGGTTCAAGTGATTCTCCTGCCTCAGTCTCCTGAGAGGCTGGGATTACAGGTGCGTGCTCTACCACACCTGGCTAGTTTTTGAATATTTAGTAGAGATGGTGCTTCACCATGTTGGCCAGGCTGGTCTCGAATGCCTGACCTCAATGATCTGCCCGCGTTGTCCTCCCAAAGTGCTGGGATTACAGGCATGAGCCACAACACCCAGTCACCCCACTAGTTTTTCAATCCTTTCACACCTCCATCCATACCCTCCAGGTAGTCCCCAGTGTCTCTTGTTGCCATCTTTATGTCCATGATTACCCAGTGTTTAGCTCCCACTAATAAGTGAAAACATGTGGTATTTGGTTTTCTGTTCCCGCATTAATTCACTTAAGATAATGGCCTCCAGGTGCATCCATGTTGCTGCAAAGGACGTGATATTGTTCTTTTTTGTATGGCTGCATATTATTCTATGGTATATATGTACCACATTTTCTTTATCCAATCCACCGTTGATGGGCATCTAGGTTGATTCCATGTCTTTGTTCTTGTAAACAGTGCTACAGTGAACGTGAAAGTGCATGTGGCTTTTTGGTAGAATGATTTATTTTCTTTTGGATACATACCCAGTAATGGGATTACTGAGGATCCCCATTTTGTATATGAGGAAACTTCGAGGCTTAAAAGGGTAAGGGGATTTGTCCAATGTCATCCAGCTAGTAAGCAGGAGAGCTAGGATTCAAGCCCGGGTCTGTATGGCTCATCAATCTTGTGATCTTTCCACTACATTTTGATTTGCCTGTTGAGGTTTGTCTGGAGTAGAAGGGGTGGGGCCAGCTCCTGGGCATCATGGTAAGCCATGAGATAAATGAGACACATCCTCCTAGAGCATCAATTATTTATGATGAAAGGTAATATAAAATTAACTTCTATAGGTGTGATATGAAATCGAATGTAGAAGTCACATGAGTTTTTAAGAAAAACTTCACATGAATTTTTAAGAAAAACTTGGAGATGTCAGAGAAATTCCTTGTTTGTTTCACAATCCTTTCCCCATAGCCTCTGAGCATTTGTTCTTTGTGATAAGCAAATGTCATGGGCACTTCATGGTACCACCTTCCAAAAACCAGTGGAGTGTGTGTGTGCCCATCCCAAAGGCTACTGTGGATTGTAAATCCACCTTGAGACCAGACTAAGGGGTCCAGAGGTATCAGGTATGGAAGTCAAGAGGATTCGAAGGAGTGGAGGAGTGCCTTCAATGTGCAAATACATAATATCAGTTATTGGATAGAAATTCTGTAAAGTCCTGTGTTTTATCCAACCCAGAGGGGACTCTTTAGAGTCAGGCAATGTCTGGAAGCAGTATGGTGAAGATAAGTCAGAGATGCAAACTATGTGCTGGACCATACCACTGCTCCTCAGTCCCGTGTCTATGGCAGAACTTGCCAATCAATTGCAACACATATACTCCACTGAGCAAGGATTCAGCCTCATGATTTACCCTAATATAGCCCTTCTGATCTCTACCATAGGGTAAATGGAATTGTCATTTGCAATGAAAATCTATCTGCCACATGAGACTTAAGTATAGTGGCTAAAGCCAGCATTTGGGAGCCATACTGTCTAAGTTTGAATCCTGTCTTTGACACTTAGTAGCTATGTGGCCATGGCCAAGTCACTGACCTCTAGGAACCTCAATTCTCTCCTATACAAAATAAGAATAAAAATAGTACCTTACCTGATAGAGTTGTTATAATGATAAAATAGGTTTATATACGCAAAGGTCTTAGGACAGTTCCTGGCACACAGTACGTATTCTCAGCATGTTTATATTATGGATACAGTTGAGTAAGGCAGCTCCATGTGACAGATAAAGAAACTGAGGTTCAGAGAGGTGGAGTAGCTTGCCCAAGGTCATTCAGGTGGGAAGTGGTGGAGCTGGGGATTTGAATGCAGGTATGGGTAGCATTACTGCTATTCTTTGTGACAATCTGCATTATGAATCCCATTGTGGTCAGTTTTCCTTGCATATCCAGCAGTGTGTGTGTTGGGCTGACATGGAGATGAGGGGCACTGCCAAAGAAGCAGAATGTGGGGTTGAATGGGTGGCATGTGTTGTGAGTGGAGGAGATAGAGAGAAAACATGGAGACTCAGGAGTCTGGCCTTTGATGAAAGAATGGGTTTGCCTTTGATTCTTGAGGGCAGCAGATGGGTTAGGGTTTATGCTGTGCTTCATTACGGGGTGTGTTGGGAAGTAAGAGACATCTGGGAATCCAATTTCCCATCATTCCTTATGGGTACAAGTCAATGGATTATAAGTGAATCATTTAGCCACTAGGCAAATGGGGCTTCCAAAATAAACTATTCCCTTCCCGTCACTTCTGGGCAAGTACCTCTGTGTCTATTTGCAGTACATTGCAAAACTCGCTATCATGTGCCTCTCATTCAGAAAGAGATGCTATTGGTAGTAGAAGTATAAGTACCAGTTCTGAGCCCAGTCCCTGCAGGGTTCTCCCTTGATATTTTTGGAATCCTCCACCACTATGTGAACAAGCCCAGGCTAGCATAATGGATGATGGGAGACATATGGTCAGAGAACCCCCGCCACTGCCCCTGCTGCAGCCAGCCAACCATCAGCCTACCCCAGGAGGAAAACCATCCCCAGGCTGCCCTAACTGACCATCAATTGACCAGTGACCATCAATCTGATGGCTAATTGACCGTTGATCTCAGACACATGCATAAACCTCATTCGAGACCAGCAAATCCATCCCAGGCCAGAAGAATATCCTTGAGAACCCAATCCAAATTGCTGACCCCTGTGGATCAGAATGGTGATGGAAATAAATGATGATAGTTTTGAACCAACCTGAAGTTTTGGAGTGATTTGTTATGCAGCAACATATTACAGATACTTGAACTATGCAGGGATGGGAGGTAAAGCCCAACCAGCCAAAACAGCCAGGAGAATCCAAGGCTTAATTGTAAAAGTTTTGATTTTGCAGCTCCAATATCTAGTCAAGTTTTGCTGAATAAGGGTCATTTTAATTTTAGACTCATGTTGTCTCTGGTTTTCAAACATGGGTGGCTTTAAACCCAATGAAAACTCAGACCCATGCTTCCTTTAGCATGGCAAAGAAGGGGGCAGGGAGGATTCTCAGTGCTTTTCAATCTATAATTAGCTGCTCACAAGAGGTGATGGAGTTGGGGCAAGGAGCTGGAGCCCCAAAACCTATTCTCTCTCCAATTTTCATGAGCAGCAGGACTTTATTTTTTTTTACATATACATTAATCTAAAAATGCATCTTTGTGCACTCACTATGCTCTAGTCAAATACTTTTTTTGAAACTCTGATTGCCAAATCATTAAATGATGAGCATGTTTGTTCAGTGACAGAATCACCTGCTTTAAAAAAGTTTGAAACCCTTTGCTATATGCAATATTTTCTCAGTGTCCTTTTCGGAAGGTGGAAACATTTTCCTGGAAAGTTAATTTTGGCTCTTGTTAATTCAGAGCCATCTGTGTGTCTGCCAAGAGGCTGGCTTGGCTGGAGGAGGGGCAGGGGCTGGCTTCCTTGAGGTCTGGGGGGTTAAGTGGTGCAGGGTAGAGCTTTTGGGTGGTCTGCCTGGCTCACAAGATCACCTCAGAACCTTCCATCTGAAGTCCACCCTCATAGGTCGTGGGGAGTCCTGAACCCCAGCTTCTGGCCCAACTCCCAGCTGCTTCTTGGCATCACCCTTGCTTCTCCCTCTGCAAACCCTGAGTATTCCTTCTGGCAGTGGCTGCAGCCAGAAGGGAGCAGGCTTCCCTGACAGCAGGGAGTTTGACTGCTTCATTTTTCATTCTGCTCCTCGGCATTCTCCTGTCTTCTCTCCAAGTCCTGGCACTCAGCAGCCTGGCCAGAGAGGGAAGCACTAATCTTCCAACCCTTCCCATTCTCTTCTTTCATTCCTTTAGGTATAGATGGCTTGTTTCCTTTCCTGTTATTTCTTATGTACTTTCACACACAGGAGGCAGACATTGGATTAGAATGGAGGAGATGGGGTGCAGGAGACCAGCTCTATGACATTGAGAAAGTTATCTCTCCTCTCTGGGCCACCGTTTTTTTAATAGTGAAGAGGGGGAGTTGGCCCTAGTGCCTCTCAAACCACCTGTTTTTTGCCACCTGCACTGCTGGGACACTACCCCAGGGAGATGAAGCCTGATCCAGGCTGTAGCCGGAGACTTGCTCTCTCTTTGTTAAAAAGGAGATGAGCCAGTGTTAGACAGGTGTCAAAGACTGAGTGACACCAACCTGAGACTTCGTTGTACAGAATGAGAAAGATTGCAGACAATTGAAAGGGAGAGAACTTTCCCATTTTGTGAATCTGTGTTTTAGTGCTTTGTTTGTGTCCCACCTAAAACGATTAGCAACATTGGGACCAAAGGGGAAACGTGGGGATGGAGACCCTCGGACACCTTTTTAAGTTCTAAAGGTCTGTATTTATTTAATGTCTTTGCTCTGTATTTCTTCCAAGTCATTTAAATCCTCCTTATCTTGCTTATCATTGTGTCCTTTCCAGGTCAATGATGGACAATGAACGCCAAACGAACTTGAGAAGTGGTTGCTGAAAGGCGCTGATGTTTCCACGTGAGATTTCTGGGTCACCCTCCTGGTGACTCTTGTGCCTCTGACTTCTATCTGATCCTAAGTCCCTGTGCATTAAAATACAAGCAATTGGCTGGATGCGGTGGCTCATGCCTGTAACCCCAGCACTTTGGGAGGCCCAGGCGAGTGGATTACCTGAGGTCAGGAGTTTGAGACCAGCCTGGCCAACATGGTGAAACTCTGTCTCTACTAAAAATACAAAAATTAACTGGGCGTGGTGGCAGGTGCCTGTAATCTCAGCTACTCGGGAGGCTGAGGCAGGAGAATTGCTGGACCCCAGGAGGCGGAGGTTGCAGTGAGCCAAGATCATGCCATTGCACTCCAGCTCGGTGACAATAGCCAGACCCCGTCTCAACAACAACAACAACAGCAACAACAATAACAACAACAACAAAACACAAGCGATTGTATGCTATAGGAAGATAATTCTGGAGTTTAATTGCTTTAGACTAGAAGATGAATGGATATGCACATGTTCAAAATATCAAAAAAATGTTTTTTGGGCACTGACTTTGAGAACATTATTGCTCTAGATGCCAGGGAACGAGCAGTGAGGCAAACTGAAGGGGAGACAGACAGCAAAAATCATTAGTGTGAGGGCAGAAGAAAGACTCCCCAAGATGTCCATGTCCTCATCACCAGAACCTGTGATTACATGATGTTACATAGCAAAGAGAAACTAAGGTAGCAGATAGAATTAAGGTGGCTAATCAGATGACTCTAAGAATGTGCAAATACATAATGTGAGGTAGTGAGAGTGTCAAAGACTGAGTAACACCAACTTGAGACTTCGTTTTACATAATGAGAAAGATTGCAGACAATTGAAAGGGAGAGGATTTTCCCATTTTGTGTATCTGTGTTTTAGCGCTTTGCTTGTGTCCCACCTAAAACAATTAGCATCGCTGGGACCAGTGGGGAAACACGGGGTGTCCTCATTACCAGAACCTGTGATTACATGATGTTACATAGCAAAGAGGAATTAAGGTAGCAGATGGAATTAAGGTGGCTAATCAGAAGACTTTGGGTAGTGAGAGGGTTATCCAGTTGAACCCAAAGGGAGCACAGGGCACTTAACTGTGGAAGAGGAAGGAAGAAGCATGAGGGTCAGAGAAATGGTCCTGTGAGAGGTATTCGACCAGTCACTACTGGCTTTGAAGATAGAAGGGAACTGAGAGCCAGGGGTACAGGTGACCTCTAAAAACTGGAAAAGACAAGATGGCTCCTCCTCAAGTAACCATAGAAAGGAGCACAGCACCTTGATTTTATCCCAGTGACACACATGTTAGACTTCTGACCTCCAGAATTGTAAGATAATAAATTTGTGTTGATTTAAGCCACTAAGTTTGTGGTAATTTGTTATATTGGCAATAGGAAACTCATACAGTAGGATTCTGCATATAGGAGCAGTGCCTATCTGTGATGCCTTGATTGGGTTCCTACCAGAGCCAAGGGCGCAGATTTGATGACCTTGGGGTGTGTGTGTGTGTGTGTGTGTGTGTGTGTGTGTGTGTGTGTGTCCTGCCCCCTCAGAAGACTCGTTTGCTAAGTTATTCAGAAGTATGTCTATTTCAAGCATGAGAGTTTTCTAAGTTGCTTGCCTTTACTGAAATAAAATACCTCGGGTCATTGTCTCTCTTTCCCCGAGATAAAACCAGTCAAGCATCAAGCTGAATAATTACAACTCTCCCATGGGCAGAGCAATTGGGAGAGTAGCATTTGATCGCACAGCATTTCAGAGAGGAGTGGCTAGACAGCGTCTCATTTTCTCCAGGTGGTGATATGACCTTTAGGTACACAGTAGTTCCTCCTTTATCTGCAATTTCACTTTCTGTGGTTTCAGTCACCCATGGTCAACAGCAGTCTGAAAATATGAAATGGAAAATTCTAGAAATAAACAATTCATAAGTTTTAAATTGCCCACCATTCTAAGTAGCATGATGGAATCTTATGTGATGTTCAAGTAATCTTTATTTTACTTAATAATGGCCCCAAAGTGCAAAAGTAGTGATGCTGGCAATTTGGATACTCCAAAGAGAAGCTAAAAAGTGCTTATTTTAAATGAAAAAGGTGAAAGTTCTTGACTTAATGAGAAAAGAAACATGTCTGCTGAGTGATATGGTTTGGCGGTGTTTGCACCCAAATCTCATCTTGAATTATAGCTCTCACAATTCCCAGGTGTCATGGGAGGGACCTGGTGAGAGGTAATTGAATAATGGGGGTAGCTCTTTCCCTTGCTGTTCTCATGATAGTGAGTAAGTCTCATGAGATCTGATGGTTTTATAAAGAGGAGTTTCCCTGTACAAGTTCTCTCTTGCCTGCCACCACGTAAGATGTGCCTTTTACCTTCCCATGACTGTGAAGCCTTCCCAGCCTCATGGAACTGTGAGTCAATTAAACCTCTTTTTCTTTATAAATTACCCAGTGTTGGGTATGTCTCTATAAGCAGTGCAAGAAAAGACTAATACACTGATGTTGCTAAGATCTACAGTAAAAACAAATCTTGTATCTGTCGAATTCTGAATAGTATTCTGTTATAATTGTTCTATTTCATTATTAGTTATTGTTACTAATCTCTTACTGTGCTCAATTTATAAATTAAACTTTATCATAGATCTGTATGTACAGGAAGAAACACAGTGTATACAGGAGTTAGTGCTATCCATGGTTTCCGGCACCCACTGGGGGGATTTTCAATGCATCCTCCATGGATGAGGGAGGCTACTGTAATGTAAAGATGTAAGAACAGCCCTGCACACAGCATCCTGCTGTCTGGGTGTTAGGAGGATGCCAGAGTGTGGTCAGACTGGACAGGGAGGAAGTCTCTGTGAGCTGACTTCAAATCTCAGCTCTGCTACCTGGTAGCTGTGGGACTTTCAGCAGGCCCTTTCACTTTTCTGAGTCTCTGTTTCCTTATTCTAAAGGATGATCTGAGAATTCTTCTGAGACAAGACAAGTAAAGAATAATATTTAGCATTTATGGAATGTTTAGGCAGAACTCTCCAAAGGTTTAACATCTATTAACTCAAGAATTTTTATGACAACCCTATGAGGTTGTGACATTATTCCCATTTCACAGATGAGGAAATGAGGTACAACTTGTCAAAACTCACAGTAGTGATGGAGCTGGTATTCAAACCAGGCATCCTGGATCCAGGATCCACTCTCAAGACCACCCTGCAATAGTGCTTTTCTCTTTTTTTTTTCTTTTGAGATGGCGTCTTCTCTGTTGTCCAGGCTGGAGTGCAGTGGCACAATTTGGCCCATTGCAACCTCCATCTCTGGGTTTAAGCAACTCTCCTTCCTCAGCCTCCTGAGTAGTTGGGACTACAGGAGTGCACCACCATGCCTGGCTATTTTTTTTTTTTTTGTATTTTTAGTAGAAGCGGGGTTTTGCTATGTTGGCCAGGCTGGTCTCAAACTCCTGACCTCAGGTGATCCACTCGCCTCAGCCTCTCAAAGTGCTGGGATTACAGGCATGAGCCACCATGCCCGTCTCATAGTGCCTTTCTTAGCACAGTGCCTACTGCACTCAGTAGGTGTGCAACAAGTGGTAGTGCTATTATGATTACTAAGCTCTGTGGAGGAGGCTTGGAAACAGACAATATTAGAATCAAATGAAATTGAAAGCTCATTTACTTCCCAGGTCAGAAACTTTGTCTGTAAAGGGCGATATAGTAAATATTTTTAGTTTTGCAGGTCACAGGGTCTCTATTGCAACTACTCACTTCTGCTGTTCTAGCACAAAAGCAGCCAAAGACAAGGCAGAAACAAATAGGCATGGCTGTGTTTCAATAAAACTTTATTGAGTAAAACAGGCAGCAGGTCATAGTTTGTCAGCCCTTGATCTAGTTCAAGCCTCTAATTTTACAGATATGGAAACTGAGATTCAGAAAGGAGAGGTACCTTTCCACAAACTGTATTGTGAGTTATAAGCAAAGTCTGGACTAGAACCAAGTAGGGTGGACTAACTGTAAAAATGTCACCAAATCTTCACCCCCCCGCCCTGTACCCAATTATCTTGCAATGTGGCTTTGCAGTGGCTTCCACCAAGAAGTAGGGTCTCTTTTCCCAGTTCTTCAATCTGAGCTTGCCTGGTGACTTGCTTTGGCCAATAGAGTTTGGCAGAAATGATGATGTGATAGTTCTAAGTCAACAGCTCAAGATGCCTTGCACACTTCCTTTCTGTCTTGGAAACCCACCTAAGCATTATACTAACAAGACTGGGCTACCATGCTGGATGATGAGCAACACACTGCCTAGTCACCCCTAGCTGTCAGCTCACAGCCAGTCAGTCAAGACACACATGAGTTAGGTCAAAGCCAAATCCAGCCAAACTTATGGGTGACACTTGAGCAAGCCCAGCCAAGACCAGTTGAGCTTCATCCACCTAGCTGACTAATAAATAATAAATGCTTGTTGTTTCAAGCTATTGAATTTTGGAGTGGTTTGTTATGCAGCATGAGCTAGCTGATGCAACAGATCTGATTTCCAGATCATGGTTCTTCCCTCTGCATTTCAGTTACCTCTCTCTTTTCTACTTGTAAGAGCATTGTTTTGATCTTTGGAAGTCCTCTCCATTCCTGAGAAGAGACTGGTGGATTTATCACTAAAGAAGCCAGAAAACAATCTTGCCGTGGCTCCTTAAAAAACTTAGCAACAGGGCCGGGTGCGGTGGCTCACGCCTATAATCCCAGCACTTTGGGAGGCCGAGGTGGGCAGATCATGAGGTCAGGAGTTTGAACCAGCCTGGCCAGCATGGTGAAACCCCGTCTCTACTAAAAATACAAAAATTAGCCGGGCATGGTGGCGTGCACCTGTAATCTCAGCTACTCAGGAGGCTGAGGTAGGAGAATTGCTTGACCCCGGTAGGCAGAGGCTGCAGTGAGCTGAGATCGTGCCACTGCATTCCAGCCTGGGTGAAAGAGGGAAACTCCGTCACAAAACAAAACAAAACAAAAACTTACCAACACAACAAATAATGGATGGCGTCTCAACTGGCATTTGGAATCTCATGTTTTCTTTCTCAGTGTCCCAGGCTTCCCCACTTAAGAGCCTGGCCACATGACAGTATTTTTCTGGACTTGTGTGATGTAGACAGCCTTTTGACAAAAGCCACCCCACTGAAGATGCTGGAGGCTGGGGTGTGCCCAGAGATCTGTTTTGAAAGGTCTTGAATGAGCACTACAGCTTTGCCTCGTGCCTGCAGCCTATGGAGGGGAGTGTAACCTGCTGAGTGGCCTTGAGTCTCGGATGGCATAGAACCAGCTGAAAACTAGGGGGTTAAAGTTCTTTTGTAAGTGCCTTAGATGTCTTCCTCTTTTTTTGTATATTCATAAGGTAAGATTCTCTACATTTTAACATTTTGATATATAACATATATTCAGAAAAGTGAACGTAATCCTATACATACAGATCAATCAAATATCACAAAGCAAACACGTGTGAAACTGTCACTCCAGCTCATGAAACAGAACATTGTTGGTCTCCAGAAGCCCCCGTGTGGACTCCCAGTAACTACTCCTTCCCTCCTTCCCGAAGGTAACCACTAACCCGCCCTGTTACATCCCCCTTTTTCTTTTATACATTTCCCAAGTGAGAATTCAAACAATATCAAAGCTAAAACGAAGGATTGACCGTGTGTGGGTATTTCTCATTAGTAATTTCTCTCTCTGTTAAATTTATTATGAAACAAATAAAAAATAATAGTGTACATGATAATATAAGAGGCGGCTACTGCCCACCAGGTTGCTTAAGAAGTAAAACATAATTGGCCGGGCGCGGTGGCTCACGCCTGTAATCCCAGCACTTTGGGAGGCCGAGGTGGGCGGATCACGAGCTCAGGATATCGAGACCATCCTGGCTAACATGGTGAAACCCCGTCTCTACTAAAAATGCAAAAAATCAGCCAGGCGTGGTGGCAGGCACCTGTAGTCCCAGCTACTTGGGAGGCTGAGGCAGGAGAATGGCGTGAACTCGGGAGGTGGAGCTTGCAGTGAGCCAAGATCGCGCCATTGTACTCCAGCCTGGGCGACAGAGCCAGACTCTGTCTCAAAAAAAAAGAAAAGAAAAGAAAAGAAAAAGAAGTAAAACATAATCAATATGATTGACGCCTCATCTGTTTCTTTTCCTCACCCATTTTACCTCCCCCAAGTTTGATATTTATTGAGTCCATGCATATCATTATATTTTTACTATCTATGTTTGTGACCCTACCTCATAGGTAATTTTGTCTTACATATTAAGGCACCATATTATACTGGGCATATATTTTTTCCTCAACCTTACTTGTGAGTTTCACTCAGGTTGATACATGGGGCTCTTGCTCACTTATTTAAAAACACTTAAGCGTCTTTGAGTTTTTAAAAAGGAAATGGTTTATCCCATCTCTGCCCTTTCCCCAGTCACTCTCACCAGAGGTAAACACAGTTAGTGGTTTGGCATATGTAATGTGCCAGCTTTTAAAAATGCATGTAGGTATCCACATGTACACACATACATGCAGAATGTTAAGCATTTAATTATAACAAGTGGATAAGCAGAACAGACATGAGCTCAAGCCCTAGAGTCAGATAGTCTGGCCCTGAATGGCTGCTCCCTCACTTAGCAGCTCTGCAATTTTGGGCAACTTACTTTCTCTCTCCACATTTTGGTTTACTCACCTACAAAATGAGATAATAAAAAATAGCTATGATGGCTGGGCATGGTGGCTCACGCCTGTAATTCCAGCACTTTGGGAGGCCAAGGCAGGAGGATCACCTGAGGCCAGGAGTTCGAGACCAGCCTGGCCAACGTGGTGAGACCCTATCTCTATTAAAAATGCAAAAATAAGCCGAGTGTGGTGGCAGGTGCCTGCAGTCCCAGCTACTCGGGAGGCTGAGGCAGCAGAATCGCTTGAACCCGGAAGGAGTTTGCAGTGAGCTGAGATTGAGCCACTGCACTCCAGCCTGGGTGACAGAGCAAAACTCCATCTCAATAAATAAATAAATAAATAAATAAATAAATAAATAAAAGAAAAAAAGCTATGTCAAAGTGTTGGTTAGAGGATTCAGTGAGGTGACATCTGTAAGTGCTCTAGCAAGTGCTCAGTAAATATTATCTATTGTTGTTACACGTTCTGTAATGTGTTTTTCATTTAATATTAATAGTTTACCCTGCTGTCTTTCCATGTCTGTAAATATAGGACTCTCTTGTAATAGGAAAATACACATACACACATGCATGACATGTATGTATCCCACGTGCACACCCTCGCCTCCCACAATACCCATAAGAAAGGAATACTTTGCAAACCCTCCATTCATGATCAATTTCAACTGATTTTATTGGCCTATTTGTGTGCCCTGCTTTTCCATCCTATAATCAACAGGCCGGGCAGTTCTTATCCCGGAATGACCACCCCCAGTTCCTGCAGTTCTGAAGATAAGATATAAAGAATTAGTCAACTTGGATAGAAAAAAACTTTTTCCACTGACCTCTGACTTTTAGCATTTTTTTCTATTATGAATGTAGGCAATAAAACCATGGTGGAATCTACAATTCTTGTGACTTTGTCATCATTGGAAGTCATAGTTATTTTAATATCTCATTACAATTGTTATGGAATCTTCAAATATCCTTAATGAATATCATTTCTTTGAAATTATAGTGGTTGTTAGATCTGCTACTAGATTTTGTTCTTAATATATTAATAAAGAAAAATATGTATTGCATATATTGCTGTATCACAACTTTGTTTTAATATTTCTATAATTACATTTCAATGTAATTTGTTTCCTTTGTATTCTTTCTAATTTGTTTCTAATGTATTCTTTTAATTTTTTTTTTAAATGTTATACTGAGAAAGAATCCACAGTCTTCACCAAATTATTAAACAGAGATCTATACCATGATAGAGATTAAGAACTCCCTCCTCCTGGAGTCTGGATCCAAGAGGAAAAGTCTTGCCTCTTGTCATTTACTTCCTATGTTACATTAGGCAATTCCTTTCACTTTTCAGGGCCCCAATTTCCTCATTAGTAAAGTGTGGGCATTGAACTTCCTAGATGTTCTGTGTTTAAGATCTTTTCCAAGTTAGATAAATGTTCTCTGTTCTCTGACCAAATTTTGTAGGTGTAGTAGATATTTATTTCCAGTTTTTTTTTTTGTTATTGTTGTCCGCTCGGCATCTGAAGTTTTTATGTTTGAAGGAATCTTCCAAATGACGAAGCATAGAATATAAGGATGGTCTGCCTCCTTGCATATAAGCTGAAAAGGATGGACAACTGCTTTCTCAGCATCCTTTGCAGCTAGGGCACAGGCCCATTAAATGACTCATCAAAGGGTGCTGCCAGTCAAATGGCCCTGGTCAAGTCTTTCAATCAAAACCTTGCGAAGAAGGAGAACCATGCAAAGTCAATTCTGACAAACAGAAGCAGTCACTTCCTCAAGCTAGTTGCAGCTCTAGATTGTAGTAGCAACATGGGTGTCCACTGTTGGTAGTGTCGGGCGTGCAAGCTATGATGTCTTCACTGGATTTACTCCAAGGATGAATTTTCCACCTTGTGCCTGGTTGTGTAGCCTTCAAATCTGTAATCTTCCAGCCCTTCTGTAGATTCTGTAAAGTATCCAACATCCTTTAAATAACCCTTCTTCCTGCTTAAAATAAGCAGAGGGCTTTCGTTGGTTGCAGTAGGAGTCTTGGGCTTAGGGGATAGTGGAAGGTATAAATCTTGCTATGGACTGATTATGTGTTTAACTCCCAGTAGGATGGCATTAGGAAGCAAGGCCTTTGGGAGGTAATTAGGTCATGAGGATGGAGCCCTCTGAATGAGATTAGTGCCCTTATAAAAAGACATGAGAGAGTCTGGGCATGGTGGCTCATGCCTGTCATCCCAGCATTCTGGGAGGCTAAAGTATGAGAGGATTGCTTGAGATCAAGGTTTTAAGACCAGCCTGGGCAACATAGCAAGTTAAAAAAAAACCAAAAACGAAAAATGAGTTTGCTTCTTTTTCCTCTGCTCCCTGCCATGTGGAAATATAATGAGAAGTCTGCCATTTGGAACCTGGAGAAGAGGGTCTTCGCTGGAACTTCATCATGGTGGCATCCTGATCTTGGACTTCCAGGCTCCAGAACTGTGAGAAATAAATTTCCGTTTTTTATAAGCCACTCAGTCTATGGTGTTTTGTCACAGCAGCCCCTTAGTTTTGGGAATCCATCTCTGAGGTATAGGACTCTGAGTTTCTCCTTTTCAAAAGCGTCACTCAGCACGTGTGTGTTTCCAAAACAAGTGAGTACTAAAGAATAATAATGGACCCAACATTTGGTAGCCGTTCTCAAAGATGGAACCAGTGACCCTGGCCTCCTGGTATTCACACTCAAAGATGACCTCCTCCCACGTTGTACGAGGGTTGGTCTGTGTGACCAATAGCAAGTGGAAGAAATGATGGAATGTCACTTCTGATGATAGGTTATAAAAGGCTGAGGCTTCCACTCTCTCACTCCTCCTCTCCCTTGAGGGCAAGCTGGCTGCAATATTGTGAGAAGCTGTGTGGAGAGGCCCGTGGTGGAGGAAATGAGGCCTCTCGTCAAAAGCCAAAGAAAAACTGAGGTCTGCCAGAAAACACATGAAGTTCTACCCCAGTTGAATCTTGAGATGGCTGCAACTCTGGCTGAGAGCTTGACTGCAAACCACCAGAACCATTTGACAGTGCTTGATAGAACCATCCAGCTAAGCTATTCTTACATCCCTGTCCTTTGAAATATGTGTAACAAAATAAATATTTGTGATTTTGAACTGCTTTTTTGTTTTGGCGGGGGGGAGATAATTTGTTACACAGCAATAGATAACTAATACACAAGGTAAAATGAAATGTTCTCACTGGTTAGCAAATGAAATGTTCTCACTGGTTAGCATGTACAGCTTGGTGGATGAAAAACATGGTACAAGGATAGTTGGAGGCAACATGGTCTTTCCCCTATTATGCAGCCAGTAGAATTCATCATAACAATCAAATGGATAATAGCTGTTATATATAAAGAGTTCCTACAAATCAGTATGATAAAAATTAACTACCCAGTAGAAAAACAGGTGTATGATCTCAGGTAAGTAGCTTAACCAGGTTTCCCATTTGTAAAATTGGGATAACAACAGTGCCTCTTTATGAAGTTGTTAGAGTGGTGTCTGGCACAGAGGAAGTACTATGTAAGTGTTACATAGGGTGATTTGCAGAAAAATTTACAATTTACAGAAAAATTAGCTATAAAATGGCCAACACATCTAGGAAATGATGCTGTACCTCATCAGTGATCAGAGAGATGCTGGATTCAACCATCTGTGCAAAGGATAATAGTGTCTGGCACACCATTGGTGCTCAATAAATATTTGTTGAATGAATAACACTTCAATAAATATTTGTTGAATGAATAAAAGAATGTGAGGGAGAGCATACATATATAGTGAGCTCAGGTGTCGTATGAGCTTCCAGGCAGAAGGAACAAGGTGAAATGACAGAAGAAAGGAGCATGCCCGGCTGGTTTGAGGACAGTCAAGGATCCTGTTGTGATTGAAAAAAAAGTGTGCAAGGGGGAGAGTCAAAAGTGAGGGTAGAGAGGTCCTGGGGATGGGAACAGGCTTCCGGGCCATTGTGAGGACTTTGGCTTTTACTCCGGGTGACATGAAGAGACAGCAGCGGGTTTTGAGCAGAAGAGAGATGTCATGTGAATTACTCTGGCTGCTGTGCTGCAAATAGACAGAAGGCCTCAACATAGAAGCCGGGAGTCTGGTTACGAGACTCTGAAGGTTCCCAGGTGGGAGCTCAGACCAGGTTGTTGGCAGTGGAGAAGGTTACAAGTGGTCAGATTTCAGATGTGTTTTTGTAGGTAGAACCAGGGCTGACTTTATGGGCATGTGACCTGTGGACGGTGGCTCTGCATTTTTATTTTGAGCTTGGCTACACCAGTTATGTAACCAGTCCTGGATAGAACTAGCAGGATCTGTCAGCAGATTGGATGTGGGGTGTAGGAGAAAGGGAGGTATCAAAGACAACGCCAAGATTTTTGGTTTCAGTTAATTGAATCTGGGGTTGCCACTGAGTGAAGTGAGAAAAACTGAAGGGTGATCAAGACTAGGGGAAAGAAAGATTTGCATAGGAAGAGACTTTTCTAGAACATGGGGTCGTTTGGGAACCATGCTGGGGTTCTTTTTGGGGAGAGTTTTCTTCCTCCGTGTTCCCATCACAGAGGCATCCCCATCCTAGTGTGACTCGAGCCACATTGGCATAAAAACAGCAATAACAACAGCTGTGTCCTCCTTGGGGACAATGGTCTGACCTCAGAGGGACTCTGCACGTAGCTGACTTATTTTTAGAAGCTCTCATTCCTCCTCAATGGCAACTGGGAGGTCTGGATGAGAAATTCTGAGGCTGAATGCATATGGCTGAATAAAAACCTTTCATTAAGAGTTAAGGACTTTAATCTGACTATAACTTGGTTTTATTCCTAGATCCTATAATTCTGAAAGAAAAAAAATCATTGAGAGGACACCACATACCATCCAATACACAGCCATGAACATGTGGAGCCAAACAATTGTGGTCTCTTTGGTAATTAAACTCTCCACGCTTCAAATCATTGCAAGAACAAGTGTTTCTTCTCCCCATCTGAACTGTGAATTTTTTTTCTCCATGTTTGCCAGTTTTGCTGACTCCGCATGGAAATATTCTTTTTCCCTCTCTGCAAACACCCCCGCACACTGCTGTCTTGTCCACGCTACCTTCCTCTGCCCCCTTCCTCCTGAGTAGCCCAGATGAACCATCCAACTAACATGGCGCTTCACGTCTTTTTTTGGCCAGTGAAAAATGGAACAAAAAATGCAAATTTGTTACAATTTGTAGGAAGGAGGCAGAAGCTTCCGACAGGAGGGAGGATTGTTGTGCTTGGGACGCCAACTGCTGACGTGACTGACAGGGAGAAAAAGCCCTTAGAATTTCAATTTCTCAGATGTAAATAATTAAAGGTTTGGAAGTGCTCACCTTTGGACTCGTTGGAGCTGTTAGGAACTTGTGCAGTGGGGGAAAACAAAATTGCTGAGACAAGCCGGAGAGAAGCAAGCTCACTGGCCTGGACTTGATACAGCTAGGGGAACAGCTGTTGAGCGTGGTGGGGGAAACCAGCCAATTCAGGGGAGGAGTTTGGGAGGGCTGGGGACCCCCCCCCCAGGACACATGGGGACTGGCTCTGGATAGGAACATCCTCTGTCCCCCATTATAGGAGTTGAAAATTATCTTTGCTACAGAAGGAAATGCAGAGGCAGGTAATTCCTCTTATGGTAAAAGAAAAGGGAAAAATAGAGTCATAAGCAATATTAAGACAGTGCTTACTACAGGCTGGGTAACCTCCTAGGTCAATGGTGGGCAAACATTTTCCATAAAGAGTCAGACAGTAGATAATTTAGGATCTGTGGCTCATGCAGTCTCTGTAGAGGCTGCAGCTCCTCAACTCTGCCATTGTAGTGTAAAAGCAGCTGCAGGCAGTATGTAAATGAGTGGGCGTGGCTGAGTGCTAATAAGACTTTATGGACATTGAAATTTAAATCTCGTTTTTCATGTGTCATGAAATATTATTCTTTTTATTTTTTCCTTAACCCTTTAAAAATATAGAAACCACTTATAAAAGCACTTGCTTGCTGTACAAAAAGAGGTGGCAGGTTGTATTTGGCCCTTGGGTGGTAAGTTTGTTGAGCCCGTGTTCTAGGCGCTTTATGCATGTTAATTCCTTTAACCCTCACAATCCTATTACAATCCTACTTGACAGATGAATACGATGAGACATAGGGAGAAAAAGTAATTGCTCACTACTATAGATTGAATTATGTGCCCCTTTCCTCCAAAACCCTGCAATGAATTCGTATGTTGAAATCCTGACTTCCAATACCTTCAAATGAGGCTCGATTTGGAAACAGGATCATTGTGAAGCAGCATCACTGTCTGGGGTAATACCCAAGGTTAGTCGTCTCACGCCAAAATTAAACATACAGACACACACACAAGGAGTGAGTTTAGGAGTGGAAGGTTAATAGGCAAAAGAAACGGAAAGGAGAACAGCTCTCTCTCTCGCGCGAGAGAGGGGTGCTGGAAAGAGAAAACCGCTGTGGTGTTCACTGGATTTTATAGACACGCTTGAGGAAGTGGTGTCTGATTTACGTAGGGCCCACAGATTGGTTGGATCAGGTGTGAAATTTACATAGCGCTTGGGGAAGGCTGGCCACCCCACCGTAATCTTATTATGCAAATGGACTTTCCACTTGGGCGGCGCCATGTTGTCTGCTCCTTACTATCCACGTGGCTGGCAAAGAGAAGGGAGCATGAAGCTGTCATTTTGAACATGCCTAGTCCCAGGTAGCCTTTTCTTATTGGCAGAACTTCCAGCATTCACCCGTGCAAGCTTCTAGCTTGCTTGTCTATGTCTGCAGCTCGATTTTAAAGGCTGCTTTTTGTTAGAAAAGAAAGTGATTTGGGGGCTGCTTTTCATTAAAACGAAAACCTTACTGAGGACTCCTATGCCCTCACTATCTGTCTAAATAATTTTTTCTTAACCCCTATATCAATTGCAGCTATAACTAGTTATGATGAGGTCATTAGGGTTGGCCCTAATTCAGTACGACTTGTGTCCTTATTAAAAAAGATGAAAATTTGGCCAGGCCCAGTGGGAGGCTGAGGCGGGCGGATCACCTCAGGTCAGGAGTTCGAGACTAGCCTGGCCACCATAGTGAAACCCCGTATCTACTGAAAATACAAAAATTAGCTGGGCATGGTGGCACACTCCTGTAGTCCCAGCTACTCGGGGGGTTGAGGCAGGAGAATCGCTCGAACTCAGGAGGCGGAGATTGCAGTGAGTCGAGATCATGCCACTGCAACCTCCAGCCTGGGTGACAGACAGAGGCTCTATCTCAAAAAATAAAAATAAATAAAATACAATGGAAATTGAAATTTGGTCACAGAGATGCATGCGGGGAGAACTCTATGTGAAGGTGAAGGCAGAGATGCTTCATTAAGCCAAGGAATGCCAAAGGTGGCCAGCAAACCACCAGAAACCAGGCAAGATGCATGGAACAGATTCTGTCTCGTAGCTCTCAGAAGGAACCAACCCTGCCATCGCACATTGATTTTGGACTTCTGGCTTCCAGAACTGTGTGGTAAGAAATTTCTGTTGTTTAAAGTCACCCAGTTTACAGTACTTGGTTGCAGAAGCCCTAATAAACTAATAGAGTTGCACAGCCAATAAGTGGCATAGCTGAGGTTTGAAGACAGTTTGACCTCAGAGGCTGGGTACATTACCACTGTGCTATTATTCATTGTAATAAAGAGTGTGGCTTTAGAGCCTGACAGGGTCAGTTTCAACTAATGACTATAATTTCTTTCTTTTTTTTTTATTTTTGAGATGGAGTCTCGCTCTGTCGCCCAGGCTGGAGTGCAGTGGTGTGATCCCGGCTCACTGCAAGCTCTGCTTCCCAGGTTCACGCCATTCTCCTGCCTCAGCCTCACAAGTAGCTGGGGCTACAGGCGCCTGCCACCACGCCCAGCTAATTATTTCTTTTATTTTTTATTTTTTTGTATTTTTAGTAGAGACGGGGTTTCACCATGTTAGCCAGGATGGTCTCGATCTCCTGACCTTGTGATCCGCCCACCTCAGTCTCCCAAAGTGCTGGGATTACAGGTGTGAACCACAGTACCCGGCCCTCATAATTTCTATACACTGTGTGACCTTGGGCAAAGTACTCAGTCTGTCTGAGCCTTGCTTTCCTTATCTGTAACATCAGAATTACAGCATACTTATTTTATAGGGATATGTGAAGATTAAGATGACATATAAATAAAAGACTATATCTAATACAAATAATAAAAAGCACGTGGCACACAGTAGGTGCTCAATGATTGCTAGCTATTTTTATTTGTGGAGATATTCTCTGATTATTTTATCTCAGCTTTTTCCACCTCACAAAAATGCTATTTTCTTTTTACTGCCATTTTTAAGCCACTGTCCAGGCAAGCTCTTAGAGGTAGTTGTGTTTCTTCCCTCTACCTGGCCACTCCTGTCCCCAACACAGTATGTCAGGCAGGCTTTCCACTCTCTGTTTGGCTTAGTTCCATATGCCTGGGGCCATGTCTGGTGGAAGAAGTTTCTCTACTGCTCACACTTAAGGCATGAAGAAAACTGCTTGCTAATTTAATATGCTTTGTTCATTGTTTAGGGTTTGTCATCCAGCGAGGAGATGAGGAGAAAGTGCTGGGCCACTCCACTGGAGAAATTGGAGACCTTTCTTCTGGCTGTGTCTAGGGAGCCAAGAGAGTGAGAGAAAACTCTTTGAGGAATTGGGTAAGGGAATGCTACAGTTATGGAGAAAATTCTTGGATGTTCTATAAAAACTCTTTTCAAAGACCACTCTCTTCAAATCCCTTGCTTATTGCATATGGTCAAATCAGATTCCAATTCTTAATGAGTTTCCCATTTGGATTTTTGAGAATAGATAGAAATCCACTCATCTGAGTTAAGACAAATTCTATCCTTCCATCTCCAATTATTAATTCCTGGCTGGAATTTTATCAATAAAGTCCTTTCCAACCAGACATCCAGCAGAGCGTAGGGAATTGACAGATTCCTGGGACATGAGAAGGTAAGTTTAGATAGGGGTCCAGAGTGTGAACAGTGAAAACAGTCTAA
Organism: Homo sapiens; assembly: GCF_000001405.40. Classification (NCBI taxonomy): domain Eukaryota; kingdom Metazoa; phylum Chordata; class Mammalia; order Primates; family Hominidae; genus Homo; species Homo sapiens. The sequence goes on along the minus strand of NC_000016.10, from coordinate 13,777,374 downwards.
ATAGGAGAAACTGCTTATGGAATTACAGGCATAGGCTTGGGAAGCAGGAGGGACTTCAGTACTTAATGGGAGTAATGTGTGAGAGAAGAGGAAGAGAGACATGACACATAAAAGGAAAAAGCAGGATCAAACTTGGCAGAGGCCAGATAGACCCCAGTTTAAAGCCCACCCCTGCCACTTATTAGTTATGTGATCTTGAAAAAGTTACTTAACCTCTCAGAACCTCAATGTTACAATCTTTAAAATGGAACTAGTAAGAACTACTTCATAGGGTGTTGCTGTCAGGATTAAATAAGAATACAAAAAACCAATATAGATCTGTCAGTGTTGTCATGAAGACTAAATGAGACGATGTTTGTAAAGAGCCTAGCAGGAGATTTGGTTCCAAGTAGATGCTCAGTAAATGGGTATGAGATGAATGAAGTTGATGCTCTGCCCAGGTGTACGTGGATTCCATTTTTTGTGTGACCACTGGCTTTTGGTTTGTTTTTACTTTCAAGAGCTCACATCTGGAGCTCTTTTTTTGGAAGACTGTCTTGGGTTATTGAAGTCTAACAAAGGAAGTGCCTGGGAATGTATAGGCTTTGTGAGAGTAGCCATAAACCATAGGCTGCAAGTTTGAAGACTCATCTCCCTTGCCCTGGCTTGGGACAACTCAGAGGTACAACTAAACTTCAGAATTGCCTTAAGCTCCAGGGGCTTGAACTTTCCTTTATGGGATTCTGCCTGGAACTGCGCCCCTGTTTGGCTTTCTCTCCTTCTTTGTCTTGCTTCCCCTTTTATTGGTTTCTCTTGGAAGCATTCCTTGAATGAATCATTTGTGTTTGCACGTAAAACCTAAGAACCATAACCCTTTCCATATTATATTCTAGTCTGAACTTGGGGCCTGTAGAAATAAACAAATCAACAAACAAGAAAACCAAGTTGGGTATGAATATATAGTTTGATAGAAGAAATAAGACTTAGTATTTGTTAGATCAGTAGCATGACTATAGTTTATAATAATCTATTGTGTACTTTTAAAACAGCTGAAAGAGAATAATTTGAACATTTCTAGCATAAAAGACAAATATTTAGGGTGATGGATATCCTAATTACACTGATTTGATTTTTACAAACAATATGAGTGTATTAAATTATCACGTGTACCCCCAAAATATGTACATCTAGTATGTATGAGTAAAAAAAATTAATAATAGAAAATCACCCTGAAGTACTTTTTTTGCATAAGAAATGAAGATATATGGTAGCTCAGGTCTCTAAGCAGAAGGCAAGGGAGATGTTAAAAACAATCATTTGGGGGCAAAGAAGAGAGTAAGATTCTATTTGATTTGTAGAACTTGAGCCAGAAGATTTAGTTTGAAGTTTCTAAAATTTTTTAATTAAAAAAATTTTTTTACATTTATTTCACTCAGTGGCCACTGTCTGAAGTTTTGATTCAAAGGTTAATGTCATTTTAAGGAAGAGGTTCTGAAGGAGAGTCATTTGGACATTATTTATCCTGTGGGAGGATCTGTATACATTTTATTTCTTTTTCTTGTTGTATTGCTTTAGCTAGGACCTCTAGCACAATGTTAACTAAGCCTGATGAGAGTGGATATCCTTGCCTTGTTCCTGATCTTAGGGGGAGAGTGTTCAGACTTCACCATTAAGCATATTACGTGCAGTTTTTGCAGATGTCCTTTAACAGGTTGAAGAAATTACATTTAATTCCTAGGTTGCTATGAGATCTTATTGTGAATAGATAGTGAATTTTTTGGATAGTTTTTTTTTCTGAATCTCTTGATGGGATCATATGGTTTTCCCTCTAGTCTGCTGATACGGGAAAATACGTTGATTGAATTTAAGTGTTGAACCAACTTGGCATTCTTAGGATAAACCTGATTTAGTCATGATGCTTTATTCTTCTTATATATTGCCAGATAGCATTTGCTCATATTTTTTAGTGTATTTGTATCTATGCTCGTTAGGTGCATTGGTCAATAGCTGTACCACACAATATGGTAACCCTTAGCCACATGTACTATGTCAACTTAAATTTAAATGGATTAAATTATGATATAAAATTACGAACTCATTTTATCAGTCACATCAGCCACATTTTAAGGACTGCTTAAAATGTAGCTAATGGCTATCATATTGGATAGTGTAGAAATTTTCATTATAGCAGAAAGCTCTATTGGACAACCGATTTTGGACTCTTTCTTTCTTTCTTTCTTTCTTTCTTTCTTTCTTTCTTTCTTTCTCTCTCTCTCTCTCTCTTTCTTTCTCTCTTTCTTTCTTTCTTTCTCTCTCTTTCTTTCTTTCTTTCTTCTTTCTCTCTTTCCTTCTTTCTGTCTGTCTGTCTTGCTTGCTTCCTTGTTTGCTTGCTTCCTTTTGCATTTCTTTCATTTCTTTGTCTGGTTTGGTATTAGGATAATGCAGTCCTAAAGAATGGGCTGAAGGCCAGGCGTGGTGGCTCACGCCTGTAATTGCAGCACTTTGGGAGGCTGAAGCAGGCAAATCACTTGAGGCCAGGAGTTTGAAACCAGCCTGGACAACATGGCAAAACCCCATCTCTACTAAAAATACAAAAATTAGTTGGGAGTGGTGGCACGCACCTGTAATCCCAGCTACTGGGAGGCTGAGGCATGAGAATTGCTTGAACCTGGGAGGCGGAGGTTGCAGTGAGCTGAGATCATGCCACTGTACTCCAGCCTGGGTGACAGAGTGAGACTCTGTCTCAGGAAAAAAAAAAAAAAGAGTGAGCTGAAAAGTCTTTGCTACTTTCCTATTTTCTGGAAAAGTCTTTGTATATTTGAATGCAGAATATGGTCTATCTTGGGAAATGTTCTGTGTGCACTTGAGAATAAAATGTGTATGTATTCTGTTGTCAAGTGGAGTGTCTTGTAAATGTCAACTAGGTCAAGTTGGTTGGTAGTATTTAAGTCTTCTATATCCTTACTTATTTTCCTCCTATTTGCCCTATCAATTATTGAGAGAGGAGTGGTTTTGTCTCCACTTGTATTTGTGGATTTGCTTATTTCTCCTTTCACTTCTCTCAGCTTTTCCTTTAAATCTTAAAATTCTTTTATTATGTACATACACATTTAGGATTGTTGTGTTGGTAAATTGATCCCTTTATTTATTTATTTTTTTGAGGTGGGGTCTCGCTCTGTCACCCCAGGCTGGAGTGCAGTGGCGTGATCTCGGTTCACTGCAACCTCTGCCTCCTGGGTTGAAACGATTCTCCTGCCTCAGCCTCCTGAGTAGCTGGGAATACCGGCACATGCCACCACGCCCAGCTAATTTTTGTAGTTTTAGTAGAGACGAGGTTTCACCATGTTAGTCAGGCTGGTCTTGAACTCCTGATCTCGTGATCTGCCCACCTCCCAAAGTGCTGCAATTACAGGCGTGAGCCACGGCGCCTGGCCCCCTTTATTGTTATGTAACTGTTTCATGCCCCTCACCCAGGAGTAGAGGGTATTTTTTGTTTTTCCTTTCCCCAGCTTCAGTGGATCTTCACCCATGGCCTGAATTTGCTGCCCTACTCTAATAGTCTTAAGGTTTTTGTTCTGTTGGGGAGAAGGTTCTGGGTGGGAGTTCTTGCATTGACTCCAGTAATGCTCTAGGACTGCACCACCCAGGGATGCTCTCTCCAGTACCTTCCCCTGCTTCTGATCTTTCTCCCAAACACCCACTGTGGGAGGTCTGTGGAGAAGAGGCTGTGTATATGTGCAAGCTCTCCTTGTGTCTGTTAATCATAACATTTCTATAATTTCATGCTAGTCCATACTTGCTTATGCTAGCCCATACTTGACTTTGCTCATGCTAGCCCATACTTGGCTGTTAGCAATTTGTTAAAAGTTTTAACTACCTTCTTCTTGTCCACTTACATGGTGCCCAATGTCTCTTCCTCCTGTGCTTTGCACATGTGATCCAGTGCCTAAATCTGTCTTTCCTTGGAGGAGCCTTTCTTTGAAGTTTCTTTGGAGTTCAGGAGTTGAGGTTTCTCTGTGACCTCGACTTTTGAAAGTTATGATTTTGAAGTTTATCTGCCTTTTTTTTGTTAGGTTGGGAGTAGAGTAAAGCTTTTTCCAGCTTTCTACTTCCCAGGTGGAAATGGAACTCTATATAACTGATAGTTTAATTTTTTTTTCCTAAAAGTGTTCTTGCAAATTTCCAATATAGGAGAGGTCAGCTCCGCATTATATAAAAAGTAAAATTGCTTTAATTAAAAATGGAAAGTGTTTTAGTTTGGCAAATGGTAGGAAAGACAGATTAGTGCTCTTAAAGGATGTATACTTTAAAAATAGTATTTGCAAGTCAGGTTGTATTCCAGAACAAATTTTTAGAGCTAAGTTACTAAGCTACAAGAAAGTAGTTTTATTCAAAAAGTGCTGATACATCTTTCTATGGTATGGTGTAATTTGTTTGATGGCAATTTTGCCACAGTTCCATAGCTCTAGCAAAAGGTATCGTCCTACCAGGTGGGCTCTGTTGGCCCTTTGCATTGGCAAAGCCTTAAGTATAACTTTTCACACAGCACACCTTTTTTCAATAATTCAACCTTAGGACATAAAGATCACAGGGGAAGAGAATTTTGCACTCTATCAAGGCTCAGGAAGGGTGAGGACATAGGAGTTACAGAGAAGAGTAGATTGCTTAGTAAGAGAAGAAAGAAACTTCTCCTTTACCCAGAATTGTTAACGAGAGCAGGAGACATGTAGGAAAGACAGTGTTTCTGAGAAGGAATTTCTTTTTCTGGGACTTCATGCACACCCAAGTCTCCATGCTGGCACCAATGCCATTGATTTGTTAATTTAATTTTTTTTAAGTCACGCGAGCTCCGGGAGAGTCCAGCGTGGTATATTGAAAAAAGCTTTTGGGACATCTCCAGCGGCACAAATCTCATCACAGCCTATATGAATGGTGCCCTGAGGTGCTACTGGGTTTAGAAAAACCTGCATTTTAATGCCCATTTTCCTCTGAGTGACCTTTGGCAAGCTACCTAAACTCTCTGATCCTCCCAGTTTACTCCCAGTGAAACAGGCAAATACAGTCATGTGTCATCTAAGAATGGGGATACATTCTAAGAAATGTGTCCCTAGGTGATTTTGTTGTGGGAACATCCTAGAGTGCACTTACACAAACCTAGATGGTGTAGCCTTCTACACACCTAGGCTGTATGCCATAGCCTGTGGCTCCTGGGCTACAAAGGTGTACAGCATGTTACTGTACTGAATATTCTAGGCAATTGTAACACAATGGTAAGTATGTTTGTATCTAAACATAGAAAAGGTACAGTCAAAATGTGGTTTTGCTATCACAAGGACAGAAAACCAAACACCGCATGTTTTCACTCATAGGTGGGAACTGAACAATGAGAACACTTGGACACAGGGCAGGGAACATCACACCCCGGGGAACTGTCGTGGGGTGGGGGGAGGGGGGAGGGATAGCATTAGGAGATATACCTAATGTAAATGACGAGTTAATGGGTGCAGCACACCAACATGGAACATGTATACATATGTAACAAACCTGCACGTTGTGCACATGTATCCCAGAACTTAAAGTATAATAATAATAATAATAAAATGTGGTTTTGTAATCTTATAGGACCACTGTCATTTATGCAATCTGTTGTTGATGGAAATGTCATTTTGCGGTGCACGACTATCATCTTTATCCCTTAGTATTAGTTGATGGATGAAGTGGTAAGGTTTATAAAGCACTTGGCACATCACCTGACAGTAAATGCCCAGTCAGTGCAACTCCCTTTTTCCCCCTTTTCAGAGCTGTACAATGAAGGGGTTGCAAAGTTTCCAGAGAAAATTTTACATTTGCAATCTTAGGAAGCTGAAAGTGTTTCTGTTAAATAGGTTGAATTTTGTACTTGTGCCCTAAGGTGATATAGTTGTATAGGGTATAATTTAAACATTTTTAATAATTGTTCCATTTTGCAACTTGGAGGCCAGAGCAGTGTTCCCCTTGGCTTGTTGGTGTGGCCAAATATATCCATCAGTGAGGGTTGTGTAACTGGGGTCAGGGAATACCAAGAGCTTTAGCTTTTTGCATTAAAGGTTGATTAAATTAGTTAAAGTTGTCTGAGTCAGACTGACCTAGGCTTGAATCGTGGCCACATCCTAGCTGTTAAACCCAAAAAATCCTTTTCTTTTTACCTCAGTTTTCTTGCCATCAAAATAGATGACAAAGATAATACCTACTTCATAGTGTTGTGATATGAAATGAGATCATGAATATTATGTACCGAAAAAATGCTTATATAAACAACTTATTGACTACTTAACATCTACTGGCTCTGAGCCAGGCGCCTGATATGGATTGTATAGTTGAATGTCCATTACAACTCTATAACATAGGTGCTATTATTATCATCCCCAATTTACAGAGGAAGAGCCTGAGCTATAGAGAAATAAGTAACTCAACATGGACAGGTTGTGGTGGTGATAGGATATAAACCTAGATTTGTCTAACTGCAGGTTAATGCTCTTAACCATATTCCTGTGATCCTTTGTATTTTCTTTAATTCCTGCATCTCCTCAAACCACCATGGAACTTAGAAATAAATTTTGGTATTTGGTGACATATTGGTTGATTGCATGCCCAATATTTCCTCCTCCTCCTCCTTGTCCTTCCTCTTGTTCTTGTCCTCTTCCTCCTCTTCCTCCTCCTCTTCCTCCTCCTCCTCCTTCTTCTTCTTCTTCTTCTCCTTTTCCTCCTCCTCCTCCCTCTCCTTCCTCTCCTTCCTCTTCTTCCTCCTCTTCCTCTTCCTCCTCTTCCACTTCCTCTTGTTCTTCCTCTTCTTCTTCCTCTCCCTCTTCCTCTTCCTCCTCTCCCTCTCCCTCTCCCTCTCCCTCTCCTTCTCCTTCTCCGTCTTCGCCTTCGACTTCGTCTTCATCTTACTGTGTGGCCCAGGATACAGTGGAGCGGTGTGATCATAGCTCACTGCAACCTCCACCTCCCAAGTTCAAGCACTCCCTTCACTTCAGCCTCCCAAGTAGCTGCAACTGGTGTACACTACTAGACCTGGCTAATTTTTAAATTTTTTATAGAGACGAGATTTCATCATGTCACTCAGGCTAGTCTTGGACTCCTGGCTCAAGTGATCTGCCTGCCTTGGCTTCCCAAAGTGCTGGGACTATAGGCGTGAGCCATTGTACCTGGCCAGCATTTTCTTCTGAGAACATGTCTGAGACATTTACAGATACTCTCAGGGTGGTGGAAGCAGCAGAAGGTATTTGGGTTGCGGGGGAACAACTTTTCAATATGGTCACTTTTAACTTTCTGTATCTTAGGCATTTGGAACCTTAGGTTTGCAAGTCCTACTCATGCTTGGGTAAGGATCCTAGGAGCAGAGCGTAGAGTGGTGCCATGTTTCCCACAGATTAATTATTTTCATGGGAGCAGAGTGACTAGCAGGGACTCTGTCTGAGGCTTTCCTCCTTTGAAGACACATCTGAAGTCTATCCTTTAGATCATGCTTGATAAATGGAGTGGTGTGCCCTAGATGGGAAAATAACACTGCGTGCTAAAGGAGGCATTTTTAAGAGGATTTTTACTTGGCATATAGTGTACCTAGAAGACATGTCTTGCTGTCCTCATTTATTTTGCCATTTCCCGTCTGGTCCTAATTAACACACAGTTGGAACTATGAAGTGTAATGGACAATTCTTCCTTTAACCTCCAAAGAACTGTCTGCTAGTGGAGGTGCCTCAGATGGGATTTATTAGTATGGGAATGATTTCCAGAGATATAATCTACAAATGCATTTTTGACAGTCTCCACATTTCTCTAAAACTATGTCAGTTAACAGGAATCTGACTCAAGTACTTACATTCAACACTCTGGGCATTGAATACACTGAATACATTGAATGATAGCACCAGATTCACAATTAGAAATATTTTTTTCCCATGCAGAATAATGTATAGTCATTACTGAGTCCCATTTTGACCTGTTACCCAGGTTACACAGCCATATTAATGTGTGCAGAGGTATGATCACAATTCCTCCGTATGAAATTATTCTTCTCTGTAAAGAAATTGAGTTGATAAATAAGGCCCTAGCAGACTTAAACAATTGATCCACCATACAAAGCAATGTCATCAAGCTCTTCCAGAGAAATGGACCTCCCAAAAGGAAGCATCGAATCTGCACTGCTCATCCTTAATATGCACTCCTGACTCTCACAGATTGTGATAGATGATCAGAAATAATAACTTTTTGCATTCATTTCAAATTCATAGCCATAAACACAATGATCACTATTTATTGCACACCTATTTTAATCCAGGTGTCTACATGTATCTTCTAGAATATTTAAAGCTCTAACAAATGGATATAATTTAATCCACTTTATAAATTAGGAAAGGGAGGTTCAGGAGGGTTAAGTAAATTGCTTAATATCACACAGCTACTATGCTGTGAAGCCAAAATTTGGATCCATTCTGAATTACTTCAAAGCTTTCACCCATCCTTATATTCTATATGCATACAGAGGGTAATGAAGGATAAGATTCAGTATCGTTCTTTAAATACCTTACATGTAGTTAGGGATCCAAGATACCATCATTATGATAAAAAGCTAAATTTATTGGGAACTTAACTATGTGTCGGGGACTGCACTAAGCTCTTTATATAGACTTTCTCATTTAATTCCTTAAACAACCCCATGAAGTACATAGTACTACTATTCCCAGATGACAGATGGCATTAAGTAGCTTTCTTCGTATGGTAAAGCTGGGCTTCCAACCCAGGCAGTCTGATCCAGCTTCCATACTTTTATTCACTGTTGCTTCCCAAGACTGCTGATCTGGGAAACAGATTGTTCAGAAGACATTTTAGTTGAAGTCAGGCTAAATTAGGGGTCAAACCACACGAATAGAATCAATGGTAGTTGCAGTTAGAGAGTTAAAGGCCAAGGCAATCAGGTGATAAATTGTCTATGGCGGCAGAGCTTTCAGGAACCATGGACAGTCACACAGGGAGTTATTTTTATGGTTTATCTAAGTCAGGTAAAGCTATGATCGTGAAACAGGTTAATGTCTTCTATCACTATCTTTGTCATTAATTGACCACCATCCCTTTCCTGCTTTGCTTAGCCCCTGATAATTCATGGAATATTTTTCAATACCCTTAAGAACTCTGTAGTTAATGTAAGCCATTGTTTGGGGCTTCCACAGAGATAAATAACATCCAACAGTGTGGTTGGGGATGAGTGGTGGATAAAGGGAGTGGAGGGGAAGAAGGGAGAATTCTCAGCCCTCTTAATCATTTGGATTTTTTCCTCTAAGAGTCCATTTTCCTCTAAGTCAGGATAAAGTTAAAGCTAGGGTCAGGACCTTGACAAAAAATGTGAACAGTTTAAACAGCTTCTGTGAAGAACACAGGCAGTGTCACAAGAAAGCTCATGAGTGATTGCCAAATGGAAGGTAAAGTCAAATGCCATTGGAGGGTGAAATCATTGTAAGCTGGAGTGGTCTCAGAAAGCAACTGAAGGGTGCATTTGGATAAGTGGAGACAAAGGGAGGGATATTTCAGAAAAAAAGGAAAGGGTACTTAAAAATTATGACAGCATAGAGCTATAGAATGTCTATTGGAGAATAAACAGGATGTGCTTTTTCCATGGAGACTGTGATAGTCTCACATTTATGCATCATCAAAATCGATACTTATTTTTATGTACATATACGAAATATCAGAATGAATAAACATCAGGCATATTTTTGAGCCATTGGGGTAGAGTTGTGGATACACAAGAGCTCATGCACCTCTTCAGTCAGACAGCTCTACTAACGTTGGATTTCTGCTACAATTATAAAACATCATCAGAGACAAGCTGTTCGGTAACATTTCTCACCGAGCAACTAGGGGGCCCGGAGAAGCTGGATTGTCATTTGCGGGAAACAAATGACAATGATCCCTTGAGATGTAATGTGCAGAAAAAAGTACAATCTTATTATGAGATTACTATGGTGATGTAAGGTTTCTTCCTGTTCCCAGCTCAGACAGAGGAGGGAGACAAGGTACCACGTTAACAACAGGACTGAAATTTCGCCCAGAGTACAGAGAGCTCAGCAGATTCCTGGCATTTCTGAAAAACAATCCCTTGGGGTTGAATCAAATTAAATGCTTTAGGAAAAAAAGTTATGATATTCAAGAGAAATAATGTGGCTTAACAACTGAAGTTCCACTTCTGATGGACCTGAGAAGCCTTGCAAATGACGTTTGATTTTCACACTCTTTGAAGAGACAACAGATTTCATTGTGCAGGGGAGAAGCTGCCCAAGTGGACTTCTGGAGTTCTGACTACTTTGGGAGATCCATTGACTGGTAAGGGATTTAGTCATGATTTTAATAAAGAGAAAAAAGAATATCTTTTACGTTGGCTCTATGTGTCATGTGATGGGAGACAGAGGGTTATGTATATTCTATTCATGCCTCTAGGAAATATGTGTGTGTATCTGTGAATGAATACATGCAGATTTTTGGGCCAGGCACGGTGGCTCATGCCTGTAATCTCAGCACTTTGGGATGCTGTGGTGGGAGGATCACTTGTGCCTAGGAATTGGAGACCAATCTGGGCAACATCGCGAGACCCTGTCTTTACTTAAAATTAAAAAATTAGCTGGGAGTAGTGGAGCATGCCTATGGTCCCAGCTACTCAGGAGGCTAAGGTGAGAGGATCGCTTGAGCCCAGGAGGTCAAAGCTGCAGTGAGCTATGATTGCACAACTGTACTCTAGCCTGGGTGACAGAGCGAGACCTTGTCTCAAAAAAAAAAAAAAAAAAGAAATGGAAACTTTGGTACCTAGCATGGAGAATTTAGGACATTGACCCTTCACCAAGCAGTCATCCAGATTATTTCATGCCCAGTGCCTTCCACTCAGCAAAGCACCAGCATGGATAGGAGCTTTGGCATTGGACAGACATGGGTTCATGTCCCAGCTCAATCACTTTCTAAGAGTGTGAACTTGGACAAGTTACTTAAATTCTCTGAGCTTCATTTTTCTCATCTGTGCAATGGGGATACTAATACTCTCTGCAGAGTATTATGGTGCTTGACATGTATTAAGTGCCCATCACACATTCTCACACGATGATCTAAAGCAGTTATTTATCGCTTCCTTGGTGAGGTGAACATCCCTTGTTTTGGTCTTCCAGTTATCTCTTCTCTCCTCTTCTGCTAACACCTCTTTGACCTTCCTTTGAATGGACCACCTATCCCACTTCCTCAGTTCATATGGTTTGGGTAGAGAGCTTTCTTCACTGTAGATGTGGACATATTTTCATCAAAGAGTGTTTCATCTTCCTGTTCACAATGATTGGTTCAGGGATGGACGTGTGACCAAAGATAGGCTAATGAGACTCAAAAGTACTTTGCTGGATCTTTCTGGAGGGAGAAACTCTATTCCTCTGGTGGTTGCTAGGACCATATAAGATAGTTCTTCAAAAAGTTAAACATAGAATTATCATATAACCCAGCAATTTCACTCCTAGTTATATACCAAAAGTAATTGAAAACAGGCATTCAAACAAAACTTGTTAATGAATTTCATAGCAGTGAAATTCACATTAGCTCAAATGGGAAATAATTCAAATGTCCATTAACTGATGAATGGATGAAGAAAATGTAATATCTCCATATAATGGAATATTATTCGACGACGAAAAGGAATGAAGTACTGATACAGGCAACGACATGGATGAACCTGGAAAACGTTCTGCTAAGTGCACTAATCTAGAGACAGCAGGCCATAGATTATACGAGCCCACTTATATTCAATATGCAGAATAAGCAAATCTACAGACACAGAAAACAGGGACTGAGGGAAGGGAGGAAAGGGAGGGATCGGTTCGTGGGTATGGTTTCCCTTTTTGAAGTGATGAAAATGTTTTGAGACCAGATAGATGTGATGGTTGCACAACACTGTGAATGTACTAAATGCCACTGAATGGTATAGTTTAAAATGATTAGATTATGTTATGCTAATTTTGTCTCAGTAAAAAAGAATGTATTAGTACTTTTTGTAGCTATGTCTCCCATCACAGCAGGTGGGCTTGTTTGCATATGGAGCCAACAAGGAGGAAAAGCAGAAGTGAGAGATGGAGAGAGACATTTGACAATGTTTGAGCCCCAGGATCTGCCTGTATCTGAAACCATTGCATCTGGGCGTTCAGATCTGTGGTCCAATAAATTTCCTGCTGTTCCTTAAACTAGCTGGAGTTGGATTTCTGATTATAACCAGAAGTACTTAGCTGAATACATGAAGTTGGCAAAGCTATATTTCTAAATATTTTTATATGTAAATAGAGCTACGTCTCCAGCATAGACCTATTTCTTGGACTCTAGACTCATCTATCCAACTGCCTCTTGACTGTTTCACTTGGGTTTGTATGTGATATCTTGATATGGTTTGGCTCTGTATGCCCACCCAAATTGCATGTTGAATTGTAATTCCCAGTGTTGGAGGAGGGACCTGGTGGGAGGTGATTGGATCATGGGGGTGGATTTCCTGCTTGCTCTTCTCATGATAGTGAGTGAGTCCTCAGGCGATCTGGTTATTTGAAAGCATGTAGCACGTCCCCCTTTACTCTCTCTCTCTCCTGCTGTCATGTGCAGGTGTACTTGCTTCCTCTTCTGTTATGATTGTGTTTCCTAAGGCCTCCCCAGCCATGCCTCCTGCATATGCATAGCCTGTGGACCTGTGAGTCAATTAAACCTCTTTTCTTTATAAACTACCCAATCTCAAGTAGTTCTTTTTTTTTTTTTGACAGAGTCTTGCTCTGTTGCCCAGGCTAGAGTGCAGTGGCACGATCTTGGCTCACTGCAACCTCCGCCTCTGGGGCTCAAGCAATTCTCCTGCCTCAGCCTCCCGGGTAGCTGGGATTACAGGCACCTGCCACCATGCCTGGCTAATTTTTGTATTTTTAGTAGAGATGGGGTTTCACCTTATTGGTCAGGCAGGTCTCGAACTCTGGACCTTGTAATCCGCCTGCCTTGGCCTCCCAAAGTGCTGGGATTGCAGACGTGAGCCACCGCGCCTGGCCAGGTAGTTCTTTATAGCAATGTAAGAATGAACTAATATATATCTCAAACTTAGCACTTATGATGCCAGGCTCATGAATTCCCACTACCCAAGCATATACCTCACTCACAATTCACCCAATTTCAGTTAATACGGAGATTCAGCTAATACTCAACTCCATGCTTCTTGAGGCTCAGGCCCAAAGCCTTGATGTCATCCTCTCTTACCCTCCACATTCACCTCATCAAAAAATTATCTTCAAATTCATTCTTTAAAACATATTCGCAATTGATCTCTTGTCCCCACCTTTATGAATGGAGTAGTTACTTCTGGACATTCGAGGTGGGAGAGAAACTGAGTGAAGAACCCCAGCCTTCCTCGGCCTGTTTGGCCTCAGATCCACCCTTTGTCCTCCTCCTGCAGACATAGTTCCAGGCTCCCACATTGGGTAGACTTGTATCTGAAGTTGGCCAATGGGAGGTACTGATGGAAGCCTAGGACGAAGGAGGAAGGCGTAAACCATGGCGTTGCTTCCTCTTTGTCTCCCCTGGCATCTCTGGAGCAGCTACGTCTCCTCTGTGGCTCCAGATCCCATGGGTTGGGCTTAGCCTTTGCCCTGGGCTTCATTAATACCCCTTCTCCCTTTGTCCCTCGCCCCAGGTGTTGTGGCAGATTTCTGCTGTTTATTAATGTCTGACAGGGCCAGATGAAGCAAATGACACTGGATTGTGCAACTGCAGATTTGGATCCTGTCTTTATTTAGAATTTTGATATTTTCTTCATCATGGAGGCTTTTTCTGCATCCATCTAGGCTTTTAAAGGTATTGCATTAAAATAGGATTGCCTCACTGTCCCATTTAGCATCTCAGTCCTTTGTCACCTGTGCAACTAATTCCCTGTGTTAAAATCCTGCTGGCCAGGCACGGTGGCTCATACCAGTGCACTTTGGGAGGCTGAGGCAGGCAGATCATCAGAGGTCAGGAGTTTGAGACCAGCCTGGCCAACATGGTGAAACCCCGTCTCTACTAAAAATACAAAAGTTAGCCAGGAGTGGTGGCGGGCGCCTGTAATCCTAGCTACTCGGGAGGCTGAGGCTGGAGAATCGCTTGAACCTGGGAGATGGAGGTTGCAGTGAGCTGAAATTGCGCCATTGCACTCCAGCCTGAGTGACAATAGTGAAACTCCGTCTTAAAAAAAAAATCCTGCTGTTTGAAATGCTCAAGTGGTTTCTTTTTCCTGGTCTGATGCTGACTGATGGAGTGCTTCATGCAGATTTAGATTTACACATCTCTATGAGGTAGTATTATGTTCATTTTACATGTGAGGAAAGATGCTCAGAAACCTCCAGGAACCTGCCAAGTGTCACTGAGCTATGTTGGGGAAGAAATGGATCTTGAACCTAGGTCTTCTGGATTAGAGTCCTCACTCTGTGGTATTAAGCTCTGCAGTTTTATTATTATATATATATTTTTTTCCAAAGGACTTAACTAAGAACGAAAGTCACTTTTGATAAGGCGGAAACCTTTTGAGTGCAGAGAAGTCTCTTAAAAGGGTCTCTGTCTGAGCTCTTTCAAACTTGAAATTTATATGCAGAGAATAAAGCCATGTGAGAATGGGTGATATTTGTATGAAACTGAGCATGTTCATATTCTTTTCTGTGCAGATTTGTCTCAGTAAATCCCCAGAAAATATCGCTTGTCTCGTTTTCTTTCAATCCTTTTGTCTGAGCTGAGAATGTTTCCCCCCACCTTTCTTTGTAAATTCTCTTGATTTTGGTTATGTAATAGGACCAAGCAATTGCCTTTCCTGAACAGAAGTCTCAAATGAATACATATCAATGGTAATACCAGTAATTAACAGTTTTTCTCTGTAGTGCTTGTCTGAAACTGCTTTTAGTGATTTATTCTGACTGTTCCATATAGGACAATTTTTCAGCTTGCACAAACATATGCTTATCTCCTTTTGGTTCTGACCATCCTGGCCTCTGTTTTTAAAGACTGTGAACTCCTCAGGATAGCTCTGACAGAGGAGCAGATGAAAGGGAACTAAGGTACCTCAAATTGGTTATAACCTTAGGGAATTATCCATGAGTGTGAAGGATGGAGAAACTCTTAGTCTGAGGTTTAATCTTCTGTGTTTCCTTTCTGATTTAGATGGCACTTGGAGTTACATGGAATTGTGTGTGGGGAGAGTAAAGGGTCTTGGAGAAGGAGTCGTTCATGCAAAGACAGAGGTTGAAAAGGAGAAAAGTGGAAGACAGAAAACCAGTCCCTAATTTTCCCTTGACTTGGATGGTTCTGTTTCTCCATGATCAATCCCAGTCATGTGATTTTTCTTCCCCTCAACCAAGGGAAAAGATGCAAAGTACTGAAAGGGCAATTTTTTGGGGTGGCTGAATGTGTCAAGTTTATTACTTCTTCTTCAGAATTGATACCTTTTTATTAAGTTTGATGTAGAAAACTTAGGTAACACAGAATCAAAGGAAGTAGAGGAGAGGAGAGGAAACTCATTTTAAATATTGTCAAACATTTTGTGGTCATGCCTGCAAACACATCCCCCCAGTAGATTTGAGGTCTTGCTGAACATACCTGCAGAACATATTAGTATTGAATATAGGATTCTGTGATCCATTTTTCAAATTAGTAATATATCACAAACCTCTTTTTATATCAATAATTATACATATGTATCATCATTTTTCATGGTTGAGTAGTAGTATTCTATTGGAGATATATATATATATATATCCATTTTCACACTGCTGATAAAGACATAACTGTGAGTCATCATTACACATGGCTGGGAAGGCTTCACAATCATGGCAGAAGAGCAAGGTATGTCTTACATGGCGGCAGACAAGAAAGGAAATGAGAGCCAAGTGAAAATCATCATATCTTGTGAGATTTATTCACTACGATGAGAACAGTATAGGGGAAACCACCCCCATGATTCAATTACCTCCCACCAGGTCCTTCCCCCAACACATGGGAAATATGGGAGCTATAATTCAAGATGAGATTTGGGTGGGGACATGGCCAAATCATATCAGTATGTATATAATATTAAATCAATCACCTAGTGTTGGATATTTAGTTTGTTTCCTTTCTTTCCTGGTTTCCTTTACCTTCCAACCCTTCCATCGTCCATCCTGAAATAAACACCCTTGATCTTTTTACCTGCATTGGAAGGAAGCATTTGCTTAGAACAAATTCTTATGTGTAGATTGTTGGGTCAAAGTGCGCCCATTTTTTTAGGCTTCTGATGCATTCACGAGTCTGCCCTCTGAGAGTATTCTACTGATGCCTACAGGGAGTATGACAATTTTGACCTCAGAATTAAACCGTCCAGTATCGCCTCTCTGGAGGTGTGATGTTTGCACTGAAAACTGTAGGATGGATATGACTTGACGGGATAAAGGACGGAGATGGTGATAATGGTGGTAGTTGTGATGGCAAGCATTCTAGACAGAGGAGCACACATGTGCAAAGAACACTTGGTGGGAGGAAGTAAGTGACCCTCAGAGAGGAAGGGATGGTCACTGGAAGACTGAGCACATAGAATGAGGTGGGGAGGACATGAGAGGAGGGGCAAGAAGTGGGCAGTGGGGGAGGGAATATGGATGGAGAGAGAGAGAGAGAGATCGTACAGTGCCTTGTGGACCATGCAGTGGATTTAGGCTTTAATCTTAAGAGATGCTGGAAGTCATTGAATAGTTTTAGCAAGGTTGGAGGTCGGGTGACATAAATGCATTCATCATAATTCCATGAAGTGAGTAGGAAAGACATCACTTTCTCATGTGGCAGATAAAAAGACCACTTTTAGAAAGTCTAAGTAGCTTACAAGGCCTCTTCCTTTCTGCAGTACAAATCAGTGTTCTTTTGGTCATACTAAATGACTAATTATGGGCCAACACATGAACTGGGATCTTTAACAACAGATCCCCCAAATACGCTGGTGGGGGCTAGAGTAGATGTTCTCGGTACTCCACCCACCTCCCCTGGGTACTCTCCTTTGCAAGCTGAAGGTTACTTACTTCCAGCTTTCTTCTTGAGGGCTTTTCTTTTCTGGCCACAAGATCAGACACCCAGCACAAAGGGCAGGCTGGAAAGGCCAAGGAGTTAATGCCCCTGGAAGTCACCCAATGGCAGATGGAGTTGGTGGATAAATACCATAACCTTCGCAGTCCTAGGATTGCCAAATAATTCTGAGGCGTGTGCTCCATCTTGCTAGATGGAACACAAACTAAGGCAGGGATGTTTTTTTTCCATTGAATTTGTGCTTCTTGCAATTTTACTGTGAGCACTTGGAACTTGGTAGGCACTTAGGCTCTGAAGATGGAGATTCTTCTGATGAGCATAAGACCAAGACTCAGTATTTGTTTCTCTCTCCCGCTCATGACCACGGAGCTGTTGTCAGGGGAGGATGTCCTTGGGCACTGTGCATAAACCTTGCCTGGGATGCATTTCTGCTCAAGACAGGATTTGACAGTGAGCACCTTCTAGGATATCAGCAAAATAGTGTTAGCACCATGCATGGGGTTACAGGTTTAATCACCAGCTCTTGTCAATTCCACTATAACATGCCTGCCATCTTCTCACACCTGATACCTTCACTACCCAAAAGATCCCAAAGTTGCATCAATAATTCATATAAAAACCGATAGCACCAGACCTCAGGCATGTTTTTCAACAGTCAACGGGTTTCTGGACTTTTCTCTACCTTCTGGGTCAGGGCTGGTACTCTGTTTTCCTGAACAGCAGGTGGTATTGAGTGAAGAATTATCTTCAAGGTGGATACTTGCTGTTATTTCCAAAGGATATCAGTATTGGGGATGTGAATTAAATGCTCATAATTAGAAGGTGTTTTTCTGCCAAACTTCTTTAGGGAAAATTTCCCCCTCATTCTGTCTGATATCCCCATGGAGACGAGGGGGGGAAATTCATATCTGGAAGCAAGCAGTTGTATCAGAAATAATGGCTTGAGGCACTAGGAGAATGTAATCAATATTTACCTGCTGAGAGATGCCATGATGAGAGGAAAATTGACTCTCCCCCACACTGCATAGATCCCATTTTGGTGTCCTGCTTTCTTTGTGTGTATCTGGCAGAGGGGAAAATGCATAATCTTGGTTCTTCATGGAGGATTAAAAAAAAACCCATGGAACTATTACATCGTCAGTCTGCATAAGATAATCCATTGTTGAAGGATGGGAAGCTTAAAATATCCAAGCAAGTCTCCTGGTTATCCACCAGGTTTCTGTTTATTTGTGTCGAAATTGTTGCAGCCTGGGGCATACTTTTCTTTTATCTCCTCCACCCCTTGCCCAGAACAAATAATAATTGATAACACTTGTTTTATTATTTGTGTCATCTCCCTGGAAAAGTGTCCTGGGGGGAAAAAGACATGTGGGTTGCGAATGTTTCTCTGGACTGTTTTACCATAAAACTGGGGTTGTAAGTATAGAGAATCCTCTAAAACTTCAGTGCATACCATCTAGTAGCCAGTCACCTAGGCTAAAGCGCAGCAGTATGATATCTGCTCACTGTAACCTCCACCTCCTGGGTTCAAGCGATTCTCCTGCCTCAGCCTCTGGAGTAGCTGGGATTACAGGTGCCTGCCACCCTGCCTGGCTAATTCTTGTATTTTTAGTAGAGACAGGATTTTGCCATGTTGGCCACGCTGGTCTCGAACGCCTGACCTCAAGTGATCCACCCGCCTCGGCCTCCCAAATTGTTGGGATTACAGGTGTGAGCCTCCACGCCCAGCCATTATCATGTTTTATAATGATGATCTCGTTTCCTTCCATAATTTATCATTATTCCTGTTTTACATGTGAGACTGCTGGGGCTCAGCAACATTAAGAAACTGTAATGGTGGAGCCAGCTTTCAAACCCTAAATTTCAGATCCTAACACCAATGCCCATTGTATTATTTTAAGCTGCTCTTTTGAGAAGAGGGCACTAGCCCTAGGGCAAGAGATCGGTGATGGGCTCCTCAGGGAGAAGAAAGAGCGTTAATTTCTGCCCCGACTCATTTTGGTGGTCCAGGTGCAGAGCTTTGCTCTTAGGTGTGGAAAGGAAAGTGTCCCTCCTCCTCCCAGCTCCTGCTAGTTCCTGGAGGTTCTTGGCCTGCATTCTTCCTGTCTTCATCAGCCATAGGCCTCGTGCAGTAAGCTCTGAAGGAACCTGGCCAGTTCGAAGGATTGGAGACATTCTGAGGGCTCTTAGCAAAGGAGGTCTTGGGTGCTGTCTTAGTTTCTTTGTGTTGCTATAACAGGCTGGGTAATTTATAAGGAACAGAGATCTATTTCTTACAGTTCTGGAGGCTGGGGAGTCGAAGGTCGAGACTATATCTGGCAAGGGTCTTCTTGCTGTGTCATCCCATGGTGAAAGTAGAAGGACAAGCAAGTGAGAGAGAGAGAGAGAGAGAGAGAGAGAGAGAAGAGAGAGAGAGAGGAGAGAGAAAGAGAGAGAGACAGAGAAGGGGGTGCAAACTTATAATTCATCCTTTTATCAAGAACCCACTTCCGGCCAGGTGCAGTGGCTCACACCTGTAATCCCAGCACTTTGAGAGGCCAAGGCAGGTAGATAAAGAGGTCAAGAGTTCGAGACCAGCCTGGCCAACATGGTGAAACCCCATCTCTACTAAAAATACAAAAAGATTAGCCAGGTGTGGTGGCTGGCACCTGTAATTCCAGCTACTCAGGAGGCTGAGGCAGGAGACTTGCTTGAACCCAGGAGGTAGAGGTTGCAGTGAGCCGAGATCATGCTGTTGCACTCCAGCGTGGGCGACAAGAGTGAAACTCTGTCAAGAAAAAAAAAAACAACTCACTTCCATGATGAGGAACCATAACGGCATTAATCCATCATTAAGGTAGAGCCCTCATGACTTAACCACCTCTTAAAGATCCCACCTCTCAACACTGTTGTCAACATGTAAACTTTGGGGAGCACATTTGAACAACAGCAGGTGTTTTTCCTTTCTGTCTTGGAAGCTCATTTTCTGCTCTCTGAGATGACGGCAGGTGACCCCACTTCGGCTGAGGAGGATGTTTTCCAGGATGCTGGTCCCTAGTCCTTGGCAGAAACCCTATACGGTTTTAGGAGACGAACAAGAAACACAGTCTTCTCTCTGAGACAGATGTTCCTGAAGTTTAATGGGCATGATTATCCTTCCTAATAAGGCACGTTGCAATGCAGGGAAAACCACAGAGGCAAAGGTAGCGGAAAAGACATTCAGCAAACCCATCTCCATAAATACTGGGAATGAGATCCTTGGGAAAATAGAGAGAAGGAAAAGAATGAAGTGAATTGTTGACGGAGGACAAAAATCTCAAATAAAACAGGAAGAAAGCCTGTGCCTTGTGAAAATGATCCAAAGTCTATGACACGTATTAGGAACAAGACAGCCATGAAGGGTAAACTTGAGGAGGGAGGGAAGCCGGGAGTAGGGAAGCAGCAGACGTGGAGTGAGACAGATGACAGCAGTAAAAGCAGCACAATGGGAATGATGATAAACTCTTAAGTGCAAGTGAGAGAGATTCAAGTAATGAGAACCTCAGATAAGACAAATACAAGAAATAAAACCAATTTTAGAGCAAGACTGATGAGCCGAACGGAACGGACAGCCAATGGGGGCACGGTGGGGGGTGAGAAGCATGAAAGAGACAAATCCAAAGAGAAAGGAAATGTCTCGGTTGCTACGGCTGTCAAATGGCTTTGACAAGGGAAAGGAAGATGGACAATGGGGGGCTGAGGCTGGCGGACAAATCCTCCAGCCCTGAGTCACATAACATTAGAGGGATTTGCTTTGTGGTCCGTGACCATCTGCGCTCTGGGATGCACACAAGGGTGCATTCAGAATGGATCATGCTGGTTCCCTTTCTGTTTGGGATTAGTTCCAAGGTGGAAAAGTCTACAAAGCAGCTGTAAACTCTCAGAAGTCATGCTGTATTTCCAAACTTACAGTCCCAAAGGAGAAAGTGCTCTATTTTCACATCAAAGCCTTGGGGTGCTTTTCCTCCACGGGTCTCACCTTGGGTTTTAAGTCATAGTTTTTCAAATCTATCCCAAACCCTCACGGTGTATTCACGTAACAGAAGGAAATAGCTTGGTGGATAGGTTATGCAAATCTTGGATACTGATAAACTGTTGGATATTGATACATTGTTAATGCTCTTAGCTCCATCATTTACTGACTTCAGTTTTCTCCCACAGAACGGAGAAGATCATAGCAGGACTCTGGGCAGCAAATGAGATAGGCTGAGTAAAGTTCACAGCAGTGTGGCAAGACCGTGCTAGAGGCTGGGATGCGGAAGGAACAAGACGCAGTCCAGCTCCACACAGAACTTAGAGGCTTTGAAGTGAGGCAGGCATGTTAATATGTGTTTTAGTAAAGTATGAGGAATGCAACCATGGAATCATACCCATGTCCTAGAGATGGCTTGGAGGAGGGCTGTGCTTCACTCCATCAGGGTGTTGTTGAGGTCATGGAGAAGCTTTTAACTTGCAACCAGGAGTTCAATGTGAGGGGAAAGACATTTCAGGCCCAGGAAATACTACAGAAAAAGGCATGGAACGGTGAAACAGAACAGCAAGTCTGGTAATGCAGGTACTGTTTCGTTTTCGAAAAGTGCTTTTCACAGGAGGTTAATAGGTAGAAAAGAAAGGGCTCTGTGTTTCAATGAATTTTAGGTTAAACAAACACACTTTAAAAAATGGGAGGACTTGTAAAAGTCTCAAATCTGCTCATGTGTCCCTCTTGAATCTCCAAGAGGGACAGTATAAGATACAGTATTTTAAAAACTTATTTGAGCACAAAAACCTTTCTGAGAAGAATCTTACAGGCCCAGTATTCTACTCCCCATCCCACTCCCAATAATATTTTTATAAGTTTATGAAATACTTACCTCAAGAGTGAGGAATGCAACTGAGATGATGGTGGGTGCGTTATTTATTATTTGAAAAGTAGGTTGCAATAACAATGGAAACCTAGGACAAAGAGCATCACCACCTTTGGATAGCATTAAATATGAAATCATCCCTACCTAATTAGAGTAGATGATCAGGCTGGCACTCCACTGCCCCAAGGGATGGATGTGGCAGGGCATGAAACAGAACTCACCAGCAAGTCTTCCTGGCTTTTGTTTTGAAAAACGTCTAGGCCAGGTGCAGTGGCTCACACCAGAAATCCCAGCAATTTAGGAGGCCGAGATGGGAGGATTGCTTGAGGCCAGGAGTTCAAGTCTAGCCTGGGCAACATAGTGAGACCCTGTTTTTACAAAAAGTTAAAAAGAAATAGCTGGGTGTGGTGGTGTGCACCTGTAGTCCCAGCTACTTGAGGGGCTGAGGTGGGAGGATCACTTCAGTTTGGGATGTGTGGCTGTGGTGAGCTGTGATCATGCCACTGCTCTCCAGCCTGAGTGACAGAGCAAGAACCTGTCTCAAAAAAAAAAAAAAAAAAGCCTAACCCTCAGTAGAATTTAGAAGTGTTGTTCAGGAGGTAAAAGGCAGGGAGGAGATTTACAGCTGTAGAGAATGTGTCTTTGCTATGTGAAGACACTATCTCTATCCTTGCACACTAGAGGATCCTTTGGGTGTTGGTGGGAAGGAAAGACAGTTCTGTTTTCTTGCAATGCAACTGAGTGACATCAAGACCATAGAGAAATATGTCTGGTTGGTATCTTAGCAGAGAGAGTGTATTAGTTGCGTATTGCTGCATAACAAATATCCCAAACATACTGGCTTAGAAGCAGCAAATATTTAGCATAACATGTATCAAAAGAGGTCTCAGATCAGAGGAAAAGAACACTAGAGGAAATATACCCAAATTGAGTGAGATGCAATGGCTACTGTGCTTCGTACTTAATGGGTCCAGTACACATTTATTTAAATAAATGAAGGAATAAATGAATGATCAGGGGTTTATTGGTTTGGTGCAGAAGCAGAATACAAATAAATAGCTTGGAAAATATTTTTAAAGAAGAGCAATACCATGCAAAATAAAGGATTGGCTAAAAACAACAACAGCAACAAAACAGCAAAACATTTATCATCGTTTCTGTGGGTCAGGAAGCCACCCTCCATTCTTTGCTAGCTGATTCTCTTCCTAGAGAAGCTCACAAGATGGCAGCTGGCTTTATCAGAGTACATGGAGGAGCCAGACAGAGGGGCTAGTAACATGAAAGTCACAGTCTTGTAACCTAATCTTGGAAGTGACATTCCATCACTTTTTAAAAATTGATGTAAATATTTGTGCATGTTTATGGGGAACATGGGATATTTTTTATATTCATAGATGGTGTGATGATTAAGTCAGGGCATTTAGGATAGTCCTTGCCTCAAGCATTTATCATTTCTATGTGTTGGGAACATTTCAAGTTCTTTCTTCTAGCTATTTTGAAAGGTACCCACATTGTCATCAATTGTGGTAACTCTACTCTGCTATCAAACATTGTAACTTATTCCTTCAATCTAACTGCTTGTTTGTACCCATGACCAACCTCTTTCCCCACCCCTACCACACACCCTTCCCAGTCTCTGGTGTCTATCATTCTATTCTCTACCTCCATGAGATTCACTATTTAAAGCTCTCACATATGAGTGAGAACGTGATGTTTGTCTTTTTGTGCCCGGCTTATTTCATTTAACATAATGACCTCCAGTTCCATCTATGTTGCTGTAAATGACAGAACTTCATTCTTTTTATTAAAATTTTTTATTTTAAGTTCAGGAATACAAGTGCAGGTTTGTTACTTAGGTAAACTTTTGTCATGGGGGTTTGTTGTACAGATTATTTCGTCACCCAGGTATTAAGCCCAGTACCCATTGGTTATTTTTTCCCGATCCTCTCCTTTCGCTCCTCCCTCTGAAAGGCCCCAGTGTGTGTTCTTCCCCTCTATGTGTCCATGTGTTCTCATCATTTAGCTCCCACTTATAAGTGAGAACGTGCAGTATTTGGCTTTCTGTTTCTGTGCTAGTGTGCTAAGGATAATGGCCTCCAGCTCCATCCATGTTCCTGCAAAGGACATGATCTCATTCTTTTTTATGGCTACCTAGTATTCATGGTGGATGGAATTTCGTTTCTTTTATGGCTGGATATTCCATCACTTTTGCCATTTTTTATTCATTAAGAGCAACTTACTAAGTCCAGTCCACACTCGGGGGAGGGGATTACCCAAGGGCATGAATAACAGGAGATAGGAACAACCGAGGGCCATGTCTGGAGCTCTACCACAGAGTACTACAGCCATTCTTACAAAATGGCTCTGTGAAAGCCTCACTTGGAGGTGGCCGAAAACTGAAGTTAATCTAGAGTCAAGGACACTGGGGATATCATTGTTTGTCTGCGTGGATAGTTGGCCAATCACAGGAGGAGAAGGTCTACCTCCTATCTTGACACTATGTCAATTTCTAGAGTCACGAGATAGCCCCAAGTGAGGGAAGGTCCTAAGAATGGCCACACTGAAGGGGAGGCATATCTGCAATTTTAATAGATGCTGGTAAATTGCCATCCAAAAAGGACGTAGCAATTTTTATATACAGAATTCAGAATCCTTCTTTATTTTTGTTCTTTTTACTGGAAAAAATGTTATGCAGATAACTGCTGAATACAATGAAGTAGAAGTAATAACAGTGAAAATGTTCATGTTCAGGCTAAGTCAATGAGAGATGAATCGTAGACAGATGATTCAAGAGCAAAATAATAGTTCTGAGATTCAATTTAGGGAAGCTCAAGGAGGGAGAACAACTTATCAAACAGTAAATGAAAGGCAGGTTGGGAAATGCTGAAGAAGATAAAGGAATAAAATTGACTAGAGGAAGAACTTTGAGTACAATATGGAGAAAAATTTCAACTCTGAAGCCCAAGCTCATCTAAACATTAGCCTAAACTGATTGTAGGGTTATGCATGCATTTATTCCTCCTTCCAATAAATATTTGTCATGCTTACTATGTGATAGGTGTTATGCTTGACAACTCCAAGTTTATAACAGTGAACTAGACCAGGAGTCAGAAAACTATGGCCAGTGGGCCAAATTTGGCCATTGCATGATCTTGTAAATAAAGTTTTATTGGAATACAGCCACCTTCATTTAATTGTGAATTGTCTCTGATTGTTTTTCCACCCCGACGGGAGAGTTGAGTAGTTGTGATAGAGATTGTATAGCCTGCAAAGCCTAAAATATTTATTATCTGATCCTTCACAGAAAAAAAGTTTGCTAACTTCTAGGCTAGGCCATCATGGTTCTTACTCTCATGACACTTGCCATTTATCAGGGAAGATGGATATTAATTTCCTAACTGTGATTAGTTTTCTGGAAAATTACATAATTGCTATGATAGGATGCATCATGGGGTCAATTTTGATGGGGTGTTCAGGGGATACGTCCTAGGAACATGGATATTTTGGGGCTCAATGGATGAGGAGCCAGCATGGAAAGAACTAGGGAAGAGGTTTCCAAACAGAGGAAAGAAAACATGGCAAGTCTCCTTGTTGGGAAATAGCTCACCTGTTCAATGCATGTTGCTGCAAAGCACATGATCTCATTCTTTTTTTATGGCTGCATAGTATTCGAGGGTGTATATTTACTGCATTTGAGGAATGAAGAGGCCAGTGTGGCTGACACATAGAGAGCATGATGAGACTCCCTTAGGGTCAGATCTTCAGGGCCTCCCTGGCCGTGGTCAGAAATCTGGATTTTGTTTGAAGTACAGTGTGAAGATACCAAAGGGTTTTAGGATAAGCTTTATGAATCTCAAAGACCAGACTGTCTTATTTAATTAGCTGATTTGAACAGAGATGAGATTGTAGAGATCTTTAGTATGCAGGCCCTCTCTCTTCTCTGTCTTGATGTTCAGAGCCCCAACCAGTGTGGTTGTGTGGATGGAAATAGAATGGTTTGTTCACTGACTGATGAGGTGTGTCAGGTGAGCCATAGAGACGAGAAGCTCATGAATGCTGCCAGAGGAGTGGAGCAGCACAGTCTGGCTCTGGTGGTGATTTTGCCAAATGTACCCATTAACAGAGAAGCACATTGCTTGGATGACACTTCCCCCAGCACTGACCCACAGGCCTGCCCCAGGAAATACTCCTCACAGGACTTTTGCAGTGAAGAAAGTAGATGATGATTTTAAACATTTCTAAGGCTGTAATTTTTATCACGTATAAATGAAGAAAGAGTCACAGACGATGCCCAATCTCCATGACAAACCCTTTTTCTCCACCTCCTGAGCACCATTTTTATTATAGTAACTTATCAGAGGTGTTAAAAATGTTCCTAGACTGACCTTGCCATTGTTGCTGAAAGTGTTTAGGCTTACAAAGAAACAGCTCAACAAACCAACTCCATGAGACCTTCCTTGACATCGAGCAAGGAATTAATTCACCCTTTCTAGACTGTACCTTATCTTAATGTCTTTCTAATCCCCTAGAAGAAACATAACAATTTAGTCTTGAGTTTGAAAACTCTAACCAACATCTTCCTGCAGTAGGTAGCTGTGTAATTGCATAAGCTTTCAAGGTGTCTCTCAGTTTTATTAAAAAGCTAGTATCCAAACCACTTAAAATAATTTTGGTACTCTTAAAAATCACTCTGCCAAGTAGTGAGAAAACCAAGAGGCAAGCTTCTTAGGATAAAATGTGTATTGGTGAATAATGCAGTGGTTGTTGAAGTCTTCAAGGTATGCAATTATACAAACGAAGTCTTGCAAACATTTTTTTCGAGGAGTTATCACATTTGACAAAAAATATATAATGTCATGTAAATAAATGTTGAAAAAATTCTTTATGGTTATTTTATAATCAAAAACAATATAAATTAACAGTTAATATAATTAACGACTATAAGACAATAGCATCATCATCACAGAGGGGTAAAGACAAATAAAAGAGCCAAACCACGGGTGGAGATTTTTTCATTCATCTGTAGGTTACAGATATGGTTTCACCCCCAGAAAAGGGGATAAAGAGGAAGACGGGGGTTACCGGGACCTAAAAGCTCAAAGGAAGGGCGGGAGTGTTGGTGTTGTAAGTGTTCAAGGAAGCTGGAGATTGAAGCCAAATGCTGCTGTTGGAACATATTGGTAAGAGTGGGAAAGCAGAAACTCCCACATCTGTTCCTACTGTTATCTCCTATTAGCAGAACTTAATAAGAAGTCAACTCGTAAGGGAGTCTGTGAAATTTGCTTTGTAGAGTCCAAAAATTAGCCAGGTGTGGTGGCAGGCACCTGTAATCCCAGCTACTCAGGAGGCTGAGGCAGAAGAATCGCTTGAAACTGGGAGGCGGAGGTTGCAGTGAGCTGAGACCGCGCCATTACACTCAAGCCTGGGGAAAAGAGCAAAACTCTGTCTCAAAAAAAATAAATAAATAAAAATAAAGAAAGAAATGTATCTGTTCATATCCTTTGCCCACTTTTTAATGGACCCCCATTAAACTTTGATAGCTTCCTTGATTTTGGCTCATCTTGTACATTTTATGCCCCAGACCTTAGGTCAGCCATTTCTGCAAAAAGCCTAGTCCTTTTATCAGGGAATAGTATTTAGAGATCAAAACCTGAGCATTATGGGTATTTATCTAAAACCTTCCTTTTAAGTAGGCATTGAACTGCAATCCCTATTGTGTGACCTACCACCAGTTAAGGCGTTTGCACAGGAGCCTCCTCTCTTTGTCTCACTGTCAAACTCTTGTGGGAAAAGATAATTCCAGGTTATTTTAAATTTCTGTCATAACTGTGCTTGTTTTCACTGGTTTCATGCTTAGTTTTCAAACTTCTAGCTTTTAAACCCTAAGACACATTCCAGGTTGACAATGTAACTTACAAGTTAGTATTCTGTAAAAAGGCACATGAAAAGTGACACTTAGCAGGGTGTGGTGGCTCACGCCTGTAATCCCAGCAGTTTGGGAGACTGAGGCAGGAGGATTGCTTGAGCTGAAGAATTCGAGACTAGCCTGGGCAACATGGCGAAACATCATCTCTACAAAAAACACAAACAATTAGCCAGGTGTGGTGGTGCATGCCTATAATTCCAGCTACTAGGAAGGATGATGTGGGAGGATCACTTGAGCCTGGGAGGCGGAGGTTACAGTGAGCCGAGATCATGCCACTGCACTCCAGCCTGGGTGACAGAGCAAGACCTTGTCTCAAAAAAATAGAAAAGTGACACTAAAATTTAGTGACACTTAGCTAGTAGCAATAGCTCATGCCTGTAATCCCAGCACTTTTGGAGGCCAGTGTGGAAGGATTGCTTGACGTCAGAAGTTTGAGATCAGCCTGGGCAATACAGTAAGACTCTAACTCCACAAAAAATTTTAAAAAATTAGCTGGGCATGCTAGTGTGTACCAATAGTCCTAGCTACTCAGGAGGCTGAGGCAGGAGGATCGCTTGAGCCCGGGAAGTCACGATTACAGTGAGCTATGATTGGACCACTGCACTCCAGCCTGGACAACAGCATGAAAACCTGTCTCAAAAAAAAAAAAAAAAAGTGACACTAAAAAGTTTTGCTATATTTGTGTTATTGAGACCTCAGTAATTATGGGAAATGGATGTAAATTGAGGAAATAAAATGTTGGCCCATGGTGAGGCATTTTGAAGCCTAGGGACGTTATTATGACCTTTGGTTTTCCTGTAGCCGCTATTCACTTTACTGCATCTTCACATTATATCCTAATAACTCAAAGCACCTAATTATCCAATGGCTTCTCTGCACATAAAAAGTTGTATGCTTCGCAACTTCACACATGAAAAACTTGTGAAATTTTGTAGGTTGGCCATAAAATTGGTCAACCCAGAAAAATGATCTCTTGTTAATTGTACTTGGGTATGCATAAAAGCTCAAAAATTCTAAAACATGTTTCTTAAATCTTTGAGTAAAGTGAGTGCTTCAGGAGGGTGCACCACAATTATTTTGACTTAAAAAATTTCCCCCCAAATCTCATCAAACACTCTGTTTCGAGATTTATTGGAGGAGAGGGATTCTGAATACTGCTCCTTCTACTATCCTGGTTCTAATCAGAAGCACAAGGATCTAGATAGAGAAAATAAAATATCATACTTATGACTAAGGCCCATTGGGTCCCAAAGAATGGGGTTCCCTGGTAAAAGAGGATTGGAGAACAAAGCTTGGATTGATGTCTCCTGTTGCCTTTCCCTGTATCTAGCTCTTGGATGATCCACTGACGGCGTTGGGTGGCAAAGTGGCCTCTGAGTATTCTCACCCAGCTGGCTCCATAGAGGATCACTCTTCATTTTAGTACCTTGGGGTCTTCATAGGATGGGGTCAGAGAAGACCTTGTGCCTGGTCTGGGGGAGCTGAATGGTGAGGAGCACAGAGCAGGCCTGGCTTTTGCATATCAGAGGTCCGTGGAGGCCACTGAAAGAGTGGGAGAAGCCCCTTTTCTTGTTCTTGATGCAAAGTGAGCCCACCACCCACCAGAAGGTGGGTCCCCAGGCATCTCACCAATCAGATTAGTTACTTTCCTCTCTGGGGGAGGATCAAGGGAAAAGGGGAGTTAGAGGTTGAAGCTATCTCTTTGGGGAGCTCCTCCAGAGGGTAGACATCTTGGAAAACACTCCTTTGGACATATGAGGACAGGGGAATAAAGGATCTTCCCCTTGGGAAGCAGGGATCACAGAGTCGATGGCCTTCAGGGACCAGGTAGAAAATGAGGTGAAGAACCCTGTCCCAAACCTGCAGTGTCTATTCAGGCCACGTGATGTTGACACCTGGGAAGAAGATGGACTTGGTGTTGCCAGGCCTTCTGATTTTTCAGGAGAAGCCAGGAATTCGATTTTTTTTTTTTGAGATGGAGTCTCGTTCTGTCACTCAGGCTGGAGTGCAGTGGCGTGATCTCGGCTCACTGCAACTTCCACCTCCCAGGTTCGAGGGATTCTCTTGCCTCAGCCTCCTGAATAGCTGGGATTACAGGCGTGTGCCACCATGCTCGGGTAATTTTTGTATTTTTAGTGGAGACGGGGTGGTTTCTCCATGTTGGCCAGGCTGGTCTCAAACTCCTGACCTTATGATCTGCCCTCCTTGACCTCCCAAAGTGCTGGGATTACAGGCGTGAGCCACTGCGCCTGGCCTGGAATTAGATTTTTAAATGATGAAATTTTCCAATTTTGAAATTTTGACAAGTAATCCAACTTTTTAAAAAATGCTGTGTAGGCCAAACAGAACACATCTATGTGCTGGACCTTGCCCAGGAGTCACTGATCTGTGATTTCTGGTTTGCAGCATCATCAGTTGAGACAATGAAACTTCGTTTTTTGTTTGTTTGTTTGTTTTTTTACCCCTGGTTAGGCTGCTGATAGGAGCTCTTATTTCTAAGAATTAGAAAAAGAAAAATCCCCAGCACTTTGGGAGGCTGAGGCGGGTGGATCACGAGATCAGGAGATCGACACCATGGTGAAACCCCGTCTCTACTAAAAAAAAATACAAAAAATTCACCAGGCGCAGTGGCGGGTACCTGTAGTCCCAGCTACTCGGAGGCTGAGGCAGGAGAATGGCATGAACCAGGGAGGCGGAGCTTGCAGTGAGCCGAGATCATGCCACTGCACTACAGCCTGGGCGACAGAGCGAGACTCCATCTCAAAAAAAAAAAAAAAAACTTGAACTTTTTGGTATTTAAGTTTTTGGTCTCTCTCCTCTCTCCCTGCCCTACCTTTGGCTTGAGACAGTCTCAGCCTTCCCCTCGTTCTACTTCTCTCATTTTTCAGTCTTGTGGTACTGGCATCACAGCATCAAATGCAGTGACTGCGGCTGAAGTTTGCTGCCAGCCTGATTAGCAGATAGGGGAACTGGGTGCTGTTCTCCTGGACAGATGAGACATGGCCCCATTTTCAGCCTGGAAAGGCCAAGTTTTCAACAAGCATCTGCACGAGTGCCGTTCTGCATTCTGGCAGGGCTGGAGCGAGTGTGTGTGACAGCTTTGGACAGAACCCATCTTTAGCATGTCAGTGTCTCTGTGCAACTGGCGATGGCTTTAAAATGCTAAGTGCAGTTTGAGGTTCCTCCTAAGTCCACCTGACAGTTTACGTCTGGCTTAGAACACTTTCTGGGTAGAGAAACTTCAGATATTCATTCGTCATTCAGCAAACATTTATTGAGTGCTTACTCTTTGCTGGCAACTGTTAGGCACTGGGCATTCAGCATCAAACAATAGAAACTTGGTCCCTGGTTTCACAGAACTTACATTCTAGCCAGAGGAGACAGGTAAGTAAATACCAGGTACGGTAGTGATGGAAACTGAGGTCTCTTTTCATTGGTGTGGCTAGGAGTTCTCCCTGGGGAGATGACATTTGAGTTGAGACCTGAATCATACATAATTAAAAAATTTTTTTTGACACAGGGTCTCACTGTGTCACACAGGCTGGAGTGCGGTGGCACAATCTCAGCCCATTGCAACCTCTGCCTCCCGGGTTCAAGCAATTCTCTTGCCTCTGCCTCCCAAGTAGCTGGGATTACAGGTGCACCCCACCATGCCCAGTTCATTTTTGTATTTTTAGTAGAGACGGAGTTTCACCATGTTGACCAGGCTGATCTAAAACTCCTGACCTCAAGTGATCTGCCTGCCTCGGTCTCCCAAAGTGTTGGGATTACAGGCGTGAGCCACTGCACTCTGCCCATACATACTTTTTAAGTGCCTATGTATTTTTTTGTACTAGATTCTAAGCCCTAGAGTTATTAAAGAAACAACAATATTACAATTAAATATGATTAAGGTCTAGAAATGGCATACACTAAGATCTGAATACTGGTTATTTTCTAGTGGTGCCATTCACATATTCATTTAACTTAAGAAGCATTTATTGAGCGCCTAATATAACCTGAGTACTGCACTAAGTGCTGGGAATGCAGTTGTGAACAAAACAAATGATTTTACATGGTTACAAATGTGAGGAGTATTCTGAGGGAAATGGTGTGCCATGGTAAAGAATAAAAAAGGGAAGCACCAAATTTCTAATAGTGGGGTCAGGTCAACCAAACCGAGACAGAGAAATGAGGATTCAGTTCTATGAAGAGTATTGGGGTTGGGGATTTGTAGGAGAGTTCTAGGTGATAAGAGCAACACATGCAAAGGCCCTGCGGCAGAAAGGAATTTGTTTTATTTGGAGAACTGAAAGAAAACTTGTTAGGATGGAGCAAAGGAGTTAAGAGTTAAGACTGGAGAGATCGGGAGCCACTGCGCCTAGCCTGGAATTCCTTTCCCCATTAAAAAGCAGGCAAAGGACACAAGCAAGAATCTTATCTTTTACTCCTTTTTTTTTGTAAGTTTGTTTAGCTTCCTTATAGATGCTAGATATTAGACCTTTGTCAGATGCATAGTTTGCAAAATTTTCGCTCATTCTATAGGTTTTCTGTTCACTTATAATTGAGAACTAAATAATAAGAATACATGGCCACACGTGGTGACTCACGCCTGTAATCCCAGCAGTTTGGGAGGCTGAGGTGGGTGGATCATGAGGTCAGGAGTTCAAGACCAGCCTGACCAACATTGTGAAACCCCGTCTCTACTAAAAATACAAAAACTAGCCGGGCATGTTGGCACGCACCTGTAATCCCAGCTACTCAGGAGGCTGAGGCAGGAGAATTGCTTGAACCTGGGAGGTGAAGGTTGCAGTGAGCCGAGATCATGCCACTGCACTCCAGCCTGGGCAACAGAGTGAGACTCCATCTCAAAAAAACAACAAAAAAAGAATACGTAGATACATAAAGGGGAACAATACACACCGGGCCCTATCGGAAGGTGGAGAGTGGGAGGAAGGAGAGGATCAGGAAAAATAACTAATGGGTACGAGGCCTAATACCCAGGTGACAAAATTATCTGCACAACGAACCCCCATGACACAAGTTTATTTATAAAACAACCTGCACATGTACCCCTGAACTTAAAATATAAGTTAAATAACAAAAACAAAAAAAAAAGACTAGAGAGATTTCGAGGCACCAGATAGACAAGCCCTGAGGTCACAGAAAGGAATTTAAATTTTATGTAAAGAGCAATGAGAAACTATTGAGGGGTTTTAAGCTGGAGAGTGATATGATTTGAGCTGTGTATTTTTCTGAAAGATCACTCTTGGTGGTTGCGTGAAAAGTGGATTGTTGGGGACAGAGTGGAAACAGGAAGATCTGTCAGGAAATTGTTGCATTCATCCTGGTGAGAGATGATGCTAGGTTGGAGTAGGGAATCAGAATTGATGATTATAGTCCTGCAAATTGATAATTGTACAGCTCCAGGGGACGTCATTCACCTATGCAACAATGAAAATAATGATTTCTGAAGTTAAGCAGTGGATTGGCCCCAAGTATGGGATAGGAGTAGCTGCAGAGAGAGATAGAGAGAAGTGGTTGGATTTAGGATGTGCTGATGGATTTGATAGTGAGGAGGGTAAGGAGGGAGAGACACTTAAAGATGACTCCTAGGTTACTGACTTGGGTAAGTTCAAGGATGTTGGTGGCATTTTCTCACATGAGGGAAGACTAGATATGAAACAATTTGGGGGTGAAAAAGCAAGAGATTTTTCTTAGATTCGTTAGCTGTGAGATATTGGGAGAGATCCAAGGAAAAATGTCAAGTAGATAGTTGGATATACAAATCTGGAATTCAGAGTGGGAGTCTAGGCCAGATAGAAAATATGGAGTAATCAGCATAAAGATATTTGAAGCCATGGGTGCAGAGGGAGAAGCAACAAAGTGCTGAGCCTGAGATTGAGGAACTGGCTAGGTAGGGTAAGAAGAGGAGGAGTTGACTAAGAAGACAGCAGAGGACCTCATGTGAAATGGGAGTAAATTAGAAGAGTGCAATATTAGAGACGAGACCTTGGTAATTTTTGTCCTACGGAGTCATTTTTAATTAAAATAATAGATACAAACCCATGCATTTTGGTCTCCGGTGATACAATTGCATTCATGTCATTTTTCCTTGTGTGTTGAGGGCTGAGCTGATTTCTCTCCACAAGGTGACCAGTTGCCTGTTTGGGCGGTGGTGGGTGTTGGTGAGATGTGATTCAGGGATGCAAGAGGGCTTAAATGCCAATTCCATTCTCAAGGAGTATCAGCATAGCTGAAGCCTGCCTGATGTAGGGCAGAAGTTCTCACTGGGGCAATTTTGTGCCCTGGGGAATTTGGCAATGTCTGGAGACATTTTCAATTGTCACAAATGAGTAGGTTAGTGGGACAAGGTAACTACTGGCATCTACTGGGTGATGCTAGGTATGCTACAGTGAACAGGATGGCACCACACAGCAAACATTATCCAGGCCCAAATGTCAACAGTGTTGTCTGAGCAACTCTTTGCAGTGAGTGCAAAGCTAATTTACTGGTTGAGATTTTATTGTTTCTTCCTGAAAGGCCTTTTTTGGGGAAAAGAGAAATCTGCCAAACCAAAGGGTTAGTGGTCCTTGTCTCCTAGGAAAGTCTATGCTCAGACATGGGAGTTGATTGAAATAACTCCTTAGCCTGATGTTTCACAGATAGGCATCTCAAGGTATCTCTGAGATGAATAGTTTCAGTAGCTTGGATATACAGTTTTTTTTTTTTTGGAGAGAGACAGAGAGATTGAATCTTTGTCTTGAAAAGATGATTATAAAGGCAGAAACATCAATGTTAGATTTAGTTTTAATTATTCAAAGTTTCCAAAATTGTTATCCTCCCTTGCTCTCAAAAATTCTCAAAAATGACACATTTTTTATTCTTGATCTCACATATGGATTCAAAGGTAATGCAGCATTTCTATATTATGTAATTTTTTCTTAATGAGCAGTTTGTGTTGGGGTGGACAGGGAAGGGCAATTGGGAAGGAGAGAAAATTATGTAGAACTCAGAATATTAGATCCTTAAAGAGCTTTAGAAATCACTGAATCTGATCTCTGTGTAATAGGATACTTTTTTTTTTTTTTTAAGACTACATCTTGCTCTGTCACCAAGGCTTGTGCAAAGTAGCATGGTCATAGTTCACTGCAGCCTCGATCTCCTGGGCTCAAAAGATCCTCATGACTCATCCTCCCAAATTGCTATGATTACAGGCATGAGCCAATATACCTGGCCCAGGATGCTTTCAATAAGGAAATCTTGACTAGCTTTATACTCCCCTTCCCCAACCTTGAGACAGTATAAGAGACTTATGAAAAACTTGAACAGTGATATAAAACTGGCCTGAAGAACTTTGCAGGCCTAAAGGAGATCAGAAGCTAATAGGTGTTTGCCAAGGAGGAAAGAGGAAGAGCATGCAGCATTGTGACATTAGAAAGGCTCCAAAATTATTAAC
The DNA here is from genome assembly GCF_000001405.40 of Homo sapiens. Classification (NCBI taxonomy): domain Eukaryota; kingdom Metazoa; phylum Chordata; class Mammalia; order Primates; family Hominidae; genus Homo; species Homo sapiens. The sequence continues at coordinate 13,742,075 of NC_000016.10, read as the reverse complement.
GAGTATGTTAGACAATTATTATTTGTCAATTAAGAAAAAAGTAAAAAAAAAGTTATGACAACTTTATTTCAACAATAAAGAAGCTGAAAAGGAGCTATCAGAGAGCTTGCACACTGTCTCTTTCCCTGCCATGTGGTAACACAGTGAGAAGGTGGCCTTCTGCAATCCAGGAAGAGAAACTGATCCTCTCTAGAAACTGACCATGCTGGCTTCTTGATCATGGATTTCTAGCCTCTGAAAGTGCAAGAAAATAAATTTCTGTTGTTTAATCCAAAAACAGAAAGGACTGTGTTAGCATCTAGATCCACACAAGAGTTAAGGTAAAGGTATACCGGGGAATTTTGTTCATCGTAGACTGAATCCTTTTTAATAGTGCCTGCACATAGTAGGCACTCAGTAAATTTCTGTTGAATGAAGGGCTCAAAGAAATTGGTGCAAAGGCAAATTTGATTGGTTTGTGAGGTTAAGAAACGGTAACATGCTCATTGAGAAACATGACATTACCTTTCCTATTCTTTGCCCAATGAGATGATTAACAGAAATAGATAATTAAGAGGGATAGTAATAGGAAATATTAGATAAGATTTGTATTCAGTTCATGAAACAAAATGTCTAAAAACTGTGATTTAAATAAGGAAAGGGTTTATTTTCCTTATGTATGAAATGTCTGAGACATTTAGGAAGTCCAGCGCTGGTGTGGCAACCCAGAGATGCCACTGGGGACCTGGGATCTTTCTATCTTTTTCTCCACCAACCATTCTTTGCTTATATCTTTGTTACAGTGGACACAAGATGGCTGTTCTAAGTCCAAGCCTTGTTTCCACAATACAGGCAGGAATAAAAGGGAAGGGCAAAATTTGTTGAGTCTATTCCATTGTTATCAGGAAAACAATGGCTTCTCCTAAAGTCCCACCCATAGACTTATACTTACATCTCATTGGCCAAAAGCATGTCACATACTCAATCCTAGCTGCAAGGGAGTCTGGGAAGAATGTTTGTCAGCCACCCTGAAGAAAATGTGTGTTCTGTTACTAAAGAAGAGGGCGAAGGTGGAGGATAGTTGGACAGCTGGCAGAGCCTACCACACATCCCTAATTCCACACTTGAGGGGAGCAAGGACCACATTAGGGAACTGACTTGCCCACTTCTTTCTGGTGTGAACCCAGTAAATCTGAGACAGGTCTCAGTTAATTTAGAAAGTTTATTTTGCCAATGTTGAGGACGCACCCATGTGTAGGGTCCAGCTGCACAGGGTCAGTGGGTTTTCTCCCCGTGTGCAGAGATGAGAGAGTGTAGAAATAAAGATACAAGACAAAGAGATAAAAGAAAAGACAGCTGGGCCCGGGGAACCACTACCAGCAGGACGCAGAGACTGGTAGTGGCCCCAAATTCCAGGCTGCGCTGATATTTATTGGATACAAGACAAAGAGGCAGGGTAAGGAGTGTGAGCCATCTCCAATGATAGGTAAGGTCACGTGAGTCACGTGTCCACTGGATGGGGACCCTTCCTTACCTAGCAGCCGAGGCAGAGAGAGAGAGGAGAGAGGGACAGCTTACACCATTATTTCTGCTTATCAGAGACTTTTAGTACTTTCACTAATTTGCTACTGCTATCTAAAAGGCAGAGCCAGGTGTACAGGATGGAACATGAAGGCAGACTAGCAGCGTGACCACTGAAGCACAGCATCACAGGCAGATGGTTAGGCTTCTGGATAACTGCGGGCGGGCCTGACTGATGTCAGGCTCTCCACAAGAGGTGGAGTAGTACAGTCTTCTGTAAACTCCCCCGGGGAAAGGGAGACTCCCTTTCCCAGTCTGCTAAGTAGCGGGTGTTTTTCCTTGACACTGATGCTACCGCTAGACCACGGTTCGCTTGGCAACAGGTGTCTTCCCAGATGCTGGCGTTACCGCTAGACCAAGGAGCCCTCTGGTGGCCCTGTCCAGGCATAACAGAAGGCTCGCACTCTTGTCTTCTGGTCAGTTCTCACTATGTCCCTTCAGCTCCTATCTCTGTGTGGCCTGGTTTTTCCTAGGTTATGATTGTAGAGCGAGGATTATTATAATATTGGAATAAAGAGTAACTGCTACTAACTATTGATGAATGATATTCATGTATAATCATATCTAAGATCAATATCTAGTATAACTATTCTTATTTTATGTATTTTATTATACTGGAATAGCTCGTGCCCTTGGTCTCTTGCCTCAGCACCTGGGTGGCTTGCCACCCACACCCGTGACACAGCCTCAGGAAGTCCTGATGACGTGTGCTGAAGGTGGTTGGGGCACAGCTTGGTTTTATAAATGAAGGAAGACATGAGGCATCAATCAATATATGTAAGAAGTACATTGGTTCTGTCTGGAAAGGTGGGAAAACTTGAAGCAGAGGCAAGAAGACTCTAAGCAGGGAGGGAGCTTCCAGGTCACAGATAGGTGATACAAAAATGGTTATGTTCTTTTGAGTTTCTGATTAGCCTTTCCAAAGGAGGCAAATCAGATATGCACCTATCTCAGTGAGTAGAGGAGTGACTCTGAATAGAATGGGGAGCAGGTTTGCCCTGTAGCAGTTCCCAACTTGAGTTTTCCTTAGGGATTTTGGGGGCCCAAGATATTTTCCTTTCACACTGGGAAACTCAGGTCAACAAGGGAGCCTCATTCCAGTCTGTCTGACTTGCTTGAAATCAGGATGTGAAGCAGCATGGAGCTTTGGTAAAACAACATCTGTTTGACACCAACTTGAAACTGGGCTTTGATCTCTACTAAAGGTCACATGATGGGAACGAGCATGCCCTCAGGAGCCTAGGAGATGTAGGCGCTAAGTGAGGCCAAATTAATACAGCTGTGTCTGCTTTTTTTTGTCGCTATGAGACCACTACCTACTGCAGACACCACATATGGCTGAAGAAAAATAAACCTGTGGCCTGGTGAGGTGGCTCACGCCTGTAATCTCAGCAATTTGGGAAGCTGAGGAGGGCAGACCGCTTGAGCCCAGGAGTTGGAGACCAGCCTGGGCAACATGGTGAAGCCGTATCTCTGCAAAAAATACAAAAAATTAGCCACATGTGGTGGTGTGCCCTAGTGGTCCCAGCTACTAGGGAGGGTAGGATGGAAGATTGCTTGAGCCCAGGAGGCTGCAGTGAGCCATGATCACACCACTGCACCCCAGCCTGGATGAAAGAGCAAGACCCTGCCTCAAAAAAAAGAAAATAAAAAAAAAGAAGAAGAAATAAACTTGAGCATCATGCTGCACGAACATGGAGCAATTTCAGATATGGGTGAGATTTTCTGAGTTCTGGAATGCAGCTGATCAAGCAAGAGAAATAGCACACAGTCAGCACTCAACAAATAGTAACTGTAGTTATTATTGTTTAATGGGTAATACAGATTAGAAGAGAAATCTGGTGGATTGTAGGATGGAATTACATTAGTGTAACCAAGAAGGATATAAAATATACTTAGGATGCTGGCTAAAGGATAATTACAGTTCTATATGCAAGGGGGGAGAATGGAGGAAAAGAACTGAGTTGGAGAGGATTTAGGATTCTTTTTCTAAGTGTGAAGGGAAAGCACTGGAGCTAGGAGAGGAGAGTGTGGAGAAGGGAAGTGATAAGATCAGATTTATGTTTTGAAAAGATCTCTCTGTAGTATTGAGCATGGGCAGTAGGGAGTGTGGGTGAAAGCAGGGAAGTGGAGGAGTTTATGTCAGCTATGTCAGTAGTGGGGTAAGAAGCAATGGTGGCTTGGTAGTGCTTGCGTTGGATGTAGGAAGAAGTGCTCTGATCGAAGATACATTCTGCAGGTAGAACAGACAGGACTAGCTGATGTCTTGTATATGGGTCTTGAGAGAAAGAGAGGAGGAAAAGATAACTCTCAAACAACTGTAATGATGGTGTTGTTATTTGTCTAGAGATTGACTGCAGAAGAAACAGGATTGGGAGCAGGTGGTGAAATCAACAGTTTTGGGCCGTCTTAAGTTTGAGATGCCTGTTGGATGCTCAAGTAGAGACTTAACTAGGTAATTGGAACTTTGAGTCTGAAGTTTGTAATTGAGGTTAGGGCTGGAGAATCACATTTTAAAGTCTTTATTGTATAGATGATATTAAAAGTCATGGATCTAGATGGGATCATTGAGAGAATAAGTATAAATAGAGAAGAGGTTCCATGACCAGATCCTGGGATAGACAGAAGGAACAGTGAGTGAAGAAGGGGGAAATCAGACAGTGTAGGATCTAGGAATCAAAGTGGAGAAAAAGCCCAAGAAAGAGGGGATGATCAACTTTGTCAAATGATTCTCAAAGCATGACTGCAAAGAGAACTGAGATTTCATTACTGCCCTGGCATTGTGGAGTCACTGGAGATGTTAGCAAGAGCAGTTTCATGGATGTGCGGGGGATGTAAGCCTGAGTAGAGTTCTAGTGTCTTCTCTAAGGTTTTGTAGGAGAGATCATGATTGTAATGTAAAGGGATTGGAACTTCATCATGAGGGAAATAGCATTTTAGCAGGAGAGGAGATGCATTCAGATTTGCATTATAGAAAGAGTACCCTGGATGTAAGATAGTAGAAGGAAAGTCAGCTTGAAAACTGTTGTTGAGGGCGATGGCCAGAGCCAAGGCTAGCAACAGTGGTGGTGGAGAGAATAACTTGATTTAAAAGAAATTAAGGAGATGGAATCCCCAGAACTTGAAGATGGATTGGAGGTGAGAGGTGGGAGAGAAGGAGGTGGGTTAAAATCCTGACTCTACTACTTGATAGCTCTCTTAATGTCTCTGTAAATCTGTAAAATGTAAATCTGTAATGTCTCTGTCATCTGTAAAATGAGGCTAATAACATATCTACTTCATAGGTAAATTGTAGGATTCAATGAGATAATGCATGTCAGATGCTTACCACAGGATCTGGCATATGGCAGCTATTGAAACCCATAAACAGAACCTTAAAACCTTTTAGATTTCCTTCACCCTTTATTAAGCACCCTCTTCTTTGAGACTGTTACCTCTTTATTTGGCAATAAGAGCTGACATCTTTTTTGAGGAAGGCATCATTAACCATTTGTAAGAATCCACAGCTCGGCCGACTTCTTTGCCAGGAAGATGACATGATTCATATTTAATACTAAGTGTTATATAATCTATATATTATTATTTCATATCATCAATGAGACTCAGATATCAAAAATCACTTTGACTAAAAGCCTTCACTCAGACGTGGATACAATTGGCTGTTTTTGTGATTGACATTCAGTGATAGTTAGGTTCACAGGGACAAAAAATTTTACATGTAGGTTGATTTGCTTATATCATGCCTTCAATTTGTCCACACAAATTGGGCACTTAGGTACACAATTACCCAATTAGTGGGAGTCATTTCCTAATCGCAGGGGCAAACATGATAATTGAGCCCTCAAATGGCTAAGCACACACAATTTGCTTCCTTTTAGGAAAGGTGGCACTTTTGAGTTTCATGTTGGAATTAAAAGCATCTAACAGCTAAGGATTCCTTTCCTAAATGAATGGTGGTGTCACTTCAGCACGGGCTGAGCATGGTGGTTAAGTAACTTAAGGAGCTATTAGTTCTAGAGTTTCCATGTGAGGATTGTGTTTTTTTTACTGGATATTTTGTTGAGATTTCTTGTCCTTGTGTGCACCACTGGACCACCAGGGAATTTTGTCAACAGATGCTGTTTGTCTCTGCCTACCTTGAGAGTCACCTTTGCCTGCATAGGGGTAACAGTGCCTTCCCTCTAGTTGTGTATGTCATTAAGTGGGAAGCTCTTGCTAGAAGGGCAGGAACATTCTCTTTCTCCATCCAGAATGCCCTTGCATGTGACTTCACTGTTTCTGACATTCAGATGGACCTAGGGAGGTTTCTATTTCTGTCCAATCAAAAAAGAACTCCCTGGTGGGACCAGCAATATAATATCGGGCTTGGAAGCTTGATTCTGGCTGAGATCCCAGTTTGATGGAAAGCCGCTGGAGAGCCACTTGTGGAGTTGCTTGATGAAAGCAGTCTTCCTTCCTGCTTATTAAAAGAAGCTCAATAAAATGGAGAACAAGACTTGGACAGAAGCTACTCAAAGGAAGAAACACAAATGGAAAATAAGCATAGGAAAAAATTCTAAGCATCGTTAGCCATCAGGTAGACGCAAATGAAAACAACAGTGAGACTGGGGCCTGTTGAGGGGTGGGGAGCAAGGGGAGGGAGAGCATTAGGACAAATACCTAATGCATGCGGGGCTTAAAACCTAGATGACAGGTTGATGGGTGCAGCAAACCACCATGGCACATGTATACCTATGTAACAAACCTGCACGTTCTGCACATGTATCCCAGAACTTAAAGTATAATAATAAAAAAAGATTGCAAGAATAAACAAAGTCCACATTATCTAAAAAAAAAGAAAAAAGAGAAAATAACAGTGAGATACCAATATACCCTCTAGAACGATCAGCAGCCCCAAATATTGGTGCAAATATGGGGCAACTGGAATTGTCTTACATTGCTGGCATGAGTGTAATAAGGTACATCTACTTTTAAATAAGGGTTTGGCAGTTTCTTAAAACATTAAAATACACCTAGCCTATGATTCAGGAATTCTACTTCTACGTTTTACCCAAGAAAAATGAAGACATAGTCTACATAGAAGCTTTATTCATAATAGCCCCAAACTGAGAACAGCCCAAATGTCTTTCAACAGGTGACTAAAAAAACAAATATGATATATGCATGCAATAAAATACTACTCAGCAACAAAGAGAAGTGAACTATTGATTTGTGCAACACACAGAAATACTGAAAGATTCTATTTCTTTCTTTCTTTTTTTTTTGAGACAGGTCTTGCTCTGTGTCCCAGGCTGCAGTGCAGTGGCACAATCTTGGCTCACTGCAACTTCTGCCTTCCAGCCTCAAGCAATCCACCTCCTTCAGCCTTCTGAGTAGCTGGGACTACAGGCACATGCTACTATGCCTGGCTAATTTTTAAATATTTTTTGGTAGAGTTGGGGTTTTGCCATGTTGCCCAGGCTGGTCTGAAACTCCTGACCCCAAGTGATCTGCTCACCTCGGCCTCCCAAATTGCTGAGATTATAGGCATGAGCCAGTGCTCCTGACCCTGAATGATTCTACTTCTCTGAAGTTCTAGAACAGGCAAAACTAGCTTCTCTGAAGAAGCAATATTGAACTGAAATCTAGAGGATAATTAGAATAATAATGTACGTGAAGGATCTTGGGGTTTGGCTGGAATTTTGAAGGCACTGCTGAAGATGACAGAAGATGAGGTGGAGAGACATGGTTAGCTACATGCAGAATATATTAGAGCTGCTAAAGCAGCATCATGAGAACAGAAATGTAAAAATCATGGTAATTTGGAAAGTGTGAAAAGCATACAGGTTTGTTCAGAATCATCATGGCCAAATGGGGTTATTATCTTGCCTTCCAATTTTGTGGTTTCTATGAAAGTGCTTTGATTTGTATACTAATAAAGGTAGTATTAGCTGCTGTAATGAATATATATATGTATGAGTGTATATATATATATAATTCTTTTTTTGAGACAGAGTCTTGCTCTGTCGCCTGGGCTGGAGTGCAGCTGCACCATCTCAGCTCACTGCAACCTCTGCCTCCCGGGTTTAAGCAACTCCTGTCTCAGCATCCCCAGTAGCTGGGACTACAGGCACATACCACCACACCTGGCTAATTTTTGTATTTTTGGCAGAGACGGGGTTTCACCATATTCGTCAGGCTGGTCTGTTGTAATGAATATTCCTTGAAATCTCAGAAGCTTCACCCACTAGAAATTTATTCCTTGCTCATCAGCAGAGCTTTGCAAGTGGGCAGCCTTCCATGAAGTCACTCCGGGACCCAAGCTCCTTTCTTCTTGTAGCTCTGTCTTCTTCTTGGGTCTCAGAATACTCTCTATCCTGCTGTTCAACGGGGAAAAAGGGGCCAGAGATGGCACACCTGCTTCTCATCTAATTGTGCTGGAGAAAATGAACATCACTTTTATCATATTTAATTGGTGAGAATGAGTTACATGACCCCACCTAATTGCAAGAGATGCTGGGATATGTAGTTCTGAGATAGGCAATACTTCCCAGCAATAATTCTATACTCTGCAAGGGAAGAACCAATGTTTTGTGGCCAAGTAGCCATTTGTATAACAATTTACACCTTTCAGTGAACCTCATTCTTTCTCTCCCATTTCTCACCCAATTGGAGCTCACTTCATTTGAGAGGATTGCGTGCCCTGAAGAAGTCCTATGGATGAAAACAAAAGTGCTGAGTTCCCCAGCCAGACAGACTCACCATGGGAGCCCTGAGGTTTATAAACCACAATTCAGAGGCCGTTCATCACCTGAAAAATGAGGAGGAAGGCTGCCAAGGCCCTGCTCATAAAACAGATGTTCTTTCAGTGGATAAGAGCAAAAGAGAAACAAAACTAGAGAAATTGAAGACCCAGGAAAGTAGCCATCTGCCTTGAATAAAAAGCAAAACATCCCTAAAGTAATTCACGTTCTCTTTTTTTCCTATGTCCTACCCTCCAGGGGGAAAGGAATATTTTTTTTTCTGTTTAATTATGTTTCATTTTAAACTGAATTAATAGTTGTTTTTCCAAGCCCAGAAAGGTGGGCATTAATTTTTTCCAGTGCAGGATGAATACAATGATACTGTACTGATGACTGCAGGTAAGATAGGCTCATGATACATGCTGCTCTGCCATCTTTATTAGATACCACACAGAATACATCAGCCTCATTTCATCTATAGCCATTTGTTCTTGTTAGGGAGCCACTGGTTGGCATGAAATATTAAATGACAAGGGTTAATTCTGTCCTCAGCAAAGAGCTCCTGTCTAATTTCCCATAAGGCTGCACAACAGGTCAGTGTGTTAGGCTTAAAATAATAGCCTGTTCTGGTCTTCTCCAGGCAGGTTTTGCACCATGGCTATGTTGATGAATCTTGATTTTGCAATAGGAAAACAAAGCCGATTCCTGCTGTTACCAGGAGGAATTGGGGGCATGATTGGTGCCAGGCTGTGCAACAATGGTCTTGATAATTTGCCCCTAGTAACTGATGCGTCATAATTTTCTGCTAGTACCCTGTGACTGATGGGAATTTCTGGGGTCCCTGTACTTTGCACGTTGGTGTCTCACTTGTAAGTCTCCCTGTTTGTTATCCAGTGATTGTTTGTGTAAAATGAAAAGGTTGCTGCTTTAAATTATGCTGATTTTTTATTAATATGTTAAACAACCATACTCAAGCTATATTCACTTATTACAGCACATTATGCAATGCATTAGTAATGAATAGAAGCACTTTACTTAAAAATCTGCCTATAAATCAGTCGAAAATGGAGAAAGAGAGTCACTGTTTATTTATGAGGTCTGGGAAAGAAATTATAGAGAGCAGACTTTACATATCCTCCTATTTTAAAAACATTATGAAACATTGATTATATGTTTGCCATTAAGTTTATGCTCCTGCTGCCTTTATATTCCTGATATATTATTAATCTTTCTTAAGAATTAAAACTCTTGGTCGGGTGCCGTGGCTCACGCCTGTAATCCCAGCACTTTGTGAGGCCAAGGCGGGCAGATCACAAGCTCAGGAGACTGAGACCATTCTGGCTAACACGGTGAAACCCCGTCTCTATTCAGAATACAAAAAATGAATTAGCCAGGCGTGGTGGTGGGTGCCTGTAGTCCCAGCTACTCGGGAGGCTGAGGCAGGAGAATGGCGTGAACCCGGGAGGTGGAGCTTGCAGTGAGCCGAGATTGCGCCACCGCATTCCAGCCTGGGTGGCACAGCAAGACTCCGTCCGCAAAAAAAAAAAAAGAAAAAAAGAATTAAAACTCTGAAATCTTTAGATATAAGAGTGGAAAGCTTTGGTGGTAGGCTCTAAAGTTTGCTTGGGCAGAAATTGGAGGTGGGTATTCTTTCTCTCACTATGTTGAAGGCTGAAGACACATAGGAAATGTCTTCAAAATGTGTCATCCTCAACGGGAGTGTTTTACCATTGCCCAGGGTCCACTAAAGACCTGCTTCCTAGTAAACACAAATTAACAAGCATTCACTGGGTGTTTAGTCTTAGAACCAATGATGGGACCACGGTGGTGTTTGAATGCATGAAATAAAAGGGCATTATGACCAGACAATTCTGGGAAACCCTTACCCATACCATAATAGTCCCTTTTAACAAGATTTCTGGAGTGAAATTGTCACATAAAATTATGACAAATAGGATAATGAGGTACTGTTTTATTGCTTGGCTGATATTCTGCTGAGAGCTGTGATTTTAGAATTTTCTGGTAAAGTAGGCTAAAATAAATATGTGGGCTTATATAAAAATCTATTGGGGCCTCTATTAACCTCTAAATCCTAAAATATTACTATCTGCTCTTAGAGGAAGTGATGAGGATGTCTTAAGATGTGCTTGAAGAAAAGAGCAAAGGGATCAGGATGACCTGACTCACTGCCCTATAGGATTTGGCTTCTCTGGTGGAGAATGATGCTGTCTGCTAGTAACCATAACCCAGTCATTGCCCTGGAACCTGGACAGCTATAGGAATAGTAGCTCCTCCTCTTGAGGAGGAGGAAGAAGAATTGAATAAAGAGCTCCTTTGAACCTTCTGTTCTTGCTGTACCTACTTTATGCTGGTTTTTTACTAAGTTGATGTACTTACAAAAGTAAATAATAATCAGTCCTCTGCTTAAAAACTGCTCGCAATCTAGCAGTGGAGGGGGACTTGTAAACAAATGTCTCAGCATACTGCAACAAAATGATAATAACAATAACAGCAACTTATTGAGCGCTTATCATGAGCACTAGGCTAGCTGCTTTATAAGTTTTTACAAGTTATAAAGATATCATAGAGAAGGGAGCAGTTAGTTTGTCATGACAGGCTCCTTGCTGGAGGAGACATTTGTGCTGTGGCTTAAAGAAGGAAGTGGTGTTCTTCAAGTGGAAATGAGGTGAAGGAAAATGAATTTGAGAATGGTGCAGGCCAGGCGCTGTGGTTCACGCCTGTAATCCCAGCACTCTGGGAGGCCGAGGCGGGTAGATTACCTGAGGTCAGGAATTTGAGACCAGCCTGACTAACATGATGAAGCCCTGTCTCTACCAAAAATACAAAAAAACTAGCCAGGCGTGGTGGCAGGTGCCTGTAATCCGAATTACTCGGGAGGGCCAAGGCAGGAGAATTCCTTGAACCTGGGAGGCAGAGGTTGCAGTGAGCTGAGATCGTGCCACTGCACTCCAGCCTGGGCAGTAGAGCGAGACTCCATCTCCAAAAAAACAAAAAAAAAAAGTGCAGAATACAAAACTAACATACAAATATTGCTTGCATTTCTATACACTAACAACAAGGTATCCAAAAAGGAAAACAATTCCCATTAACAATAATATCAAGAAGAATAAAATATTTAGGAATAAATTAAACCAAGGAGGTGAAAGACTTGTATACTGAAAACTATAAAACACTAATGAAAGTAATTAAAGCAGATACAAATAAATAGGAAGACATGTATTGTTTATGGATTAGGATAATTAATATTGTTAAAATGTTAATGCTATCCAAGGTGATCTACAGATTCAATGTAATCCCCATCAAAATTGTAATGGCTTTTTTTTTTTTTTTTTACAGAAATGGAAGAAAATAATTCTAAAATTTGTATGGAACCACAAAGACTGCTAATAGCCAAAGCTAGTTTGAACAAGAAGAACAAATCTGGAGGCCTCACACTTTCTGATTTCAAAATATATTACAAAGCTACAGTAGTAGCATAAAAACAGATGCATAAACCAATGGGTAGAATAGACAGCCCAGAAATAAGCCCACTTACATGTGGTCAGCTAAGTTTTAACAAGGGTGCTAAGAATACATAATAGGCAAATGATAGTCTCTTCAATCAAGTATGGAGAAAATTGGATATCTACATGCAAAATGATGAAACTGGACCATTTTCTTGCACCAAAAAATCAACTAAAATGGGCTAAAGGCTTAATTGTAAGACCTGCAATCATAAAACTCCTAGAAAAAAGCATAAGGGAAAAGCTTCTTGATATTGGCCTTGGCTATAATTTTATGAATGTGACACTAAAAGCACAGAGAACAAAGGCAAAATAGAAGACAGGGACTACAGCAAACTAAAAAGCTTCTGCACAGCAAAGGAAACAGTCAAGAAAATGAAAAAGCATCTAATGGAATGGGAGACAATATCGGCAAACCATACAACTGATAAAGGGTTAGTATTAAAAATACATAAAGAACGCCGACAGCTCAATAGCAAAAACCAAATCAAACCAAACCAAGCAAGCAACCAATCAAACCAAAAGCCCCAAATAACCCTTGGGCAAAGGAACTGAATAGACACTTTTCCAAAGAAGATATATAAGTGGCCAACAGGCGTATGAAAGTGTTCCACATCTCTCATCATCAGGAAAATTCAAATCAAGACCATAATGAGATATTGCCTCATCCCTGTTAGAATGGCTATTACAAAAAAACCCGGAAGATAGGTGTTGGCAAAGATTTGGGGAAAAGGAAATTCATATACACTGTCGGTGGGAATTGGTGCAGCCACCATGAAAAACAGTATGGAGGTTCCTCAAAAAATTAAAAGTAGAACTATCATATATATGATCTGGCAGTCCCTCTCCTGAGTATGTATTCAGAGGAATTGAAACAAGGATCTTGAAGAGATATCTGCCCTCCCACGGTAATTGCAGCATTACCTCAATAGCCAAGACACAGAAGCAACCTAAATGTCCATGGATGGATGAATGGATGAATAAAATGTGGTCTGTATGTACAATAAAATATTATTCAGTCTTAAAAAGGATGAAAATCCTGCTATTTGTGCCAGTATAAATGAACCTAAACTGAAGGGCACTATGCTAAGTGAAGCAAACCAGATAGAAGGACAAAAGCCATAGGATCCCACTTATAGGAGGAATTGAAAATAATGCAATTTGTAGAAGCTGAGAGTAGAATGGTGGTTGCCAAGGGCTGGTTTGGGGTGGGGGTGGGAAGACGGGGAGATATTAGTCAAAGGGTGTAAAGTTTCAGTTATGCAGGATGAATATGCTCTAGAGATCTACCAAACAGCATATTGCTTGTAGTAAATACTGTGTTGTATACTTCATAATTTGCTAAGTAGGTAGATCATATGTTAAGTGTTCTCTCTGTCTGTCTGTTTCTCTCTCTCTCTCTCACACACACACACATACACACACACGCACACAAACACACACAATGACAAAATGTGTGGAAGGAAACTTTTGGAAGTGATGTGTATGTTTCTGGCACAGATTGTGGTGATGGTTTAAGGGGTATATACTTACTTCTATAGTCATCAATATGTATTCATTACATACATATACCTTTGTGTATATCAATAATACCTCAATAAAGTGGCTTAAAATTGGAGGTGAAGTACATTTCAGATAAGTGAAACTGTGTGTTTAGAATAACATAATCCTGAAACAACGTGCTGTATTGGAGAAATGGTAAGTACCTTGGAATCTTCCAAGCATACATTGGGAGGATAAAGCCGGTGTGAAATGAGTTTAAAAATCGGATGGAGTGAAATTATAATGTACTTTTTATGTAAGGACCAAAAACTTGGGGTTTATTCTACAAATAGTAGTCAATCAGTTAAAGGATATATAAATAAAGGATAGAAAGGATTGAATTAACTCTTTGTAAAGCTCATTCTAGCTCCCATAGGGAAGATGGTCAGAGGAAATGAGAGAGGTGCCAGACAGGAGTCAACGAGTCTGAATTAAGTAAAGGGGATAATTGAGAGTGGAGGACAATTTGAAAAATATGTGAAAAGTAGAATTGATAACATGGGAGCTAATTGGACAGGAGGAGTGAAGGCGAGGAAATAGTTAAGCATGACTTTCATGTTCTATTAGGTGGCAGCCCTGGTACAAAGACTGGAGTCAAAATTAAACCCCACTCCTGGTACCAGTTTCTATTAGTTAGAGATTTTTTGGTTGATATCAAGACCAGTTTTCAATGGCTGCATTTTTCGTCCTGCCCCACTATAAAGCTATTCATTCAGTGTCTCTGGGAAGTTGTGTGTGGGAGTTGTCCTTATTGCCACCCTCAGTTCTCCTGTACCACATGTTGGAACTCATTTTTGTTTTTCTTTAAAAAGATTGGACTTTTACTTATTTATACTAGGGTAAATGTCACTGACAACACCTCAGTGGTACACATGCACTGAGAAATGCATGTTCATAAGGACTGAAGTCTGGAACTCAGTTTCTCAGTTCAAATCCTGATTCAGGTGTTTACCAGCTACACAACCTTAAGCAAGTCAGATAACCTTAGCTTCCTCATATGCAAAATGAGAATTAAAAGTACTCATCGCTGAATTGTTTTGAGGATTAGAAAAACATCTGGCATGCAGTAGAAATTCAATTAGTATTCATTTTTATTCTTCTAAATTAAACAAATAGGATTTTTAGTGGTGGAACTTCAGACACCAGAAATGGGAGTGGGTAGAGACTGTTGTGTTTTCAAGATCTGACAAATGACCTTGAGATTTTACATCTGTGGTGGTTACCATTCTGCTTATATGGTGGCTTCTTTGCTCTGTGCTTCATTTTCCCTTCCACTGAAACTTCTACTAAAAACAAGTGCAAATTCTTCTCTTGTATGCAATTGACACATATGACATGTGTTTTTATTACACATTTTAGGCAGGAGCATTCATAGAGGATAGTTCTTCGTCCATTATAAGATGGAAAAATTAGGTTGCAGCCAAAGAGTTCATGACAAGGGTAGAATCCTCCTAGCACAGGTAGCTGGAAGACTTGGAAAAAGAGAAAAACCAGTAGTGTGTTAACCTGAGGTGCCCTGAGTGATTATAACTATGAGACACTTGCAAAGTATGTAATGAAATGAGTGCTGCAGATACAGTCAAATTCCCCAGGAAGAGGAGAGAGAAAAATCTTTCTAGCACAGAGATTTTCATTTATTTCCATGTAAAGGGAGAAGATACAGGTTCACTTTGTGAATGTTTTTTTCTAATCTCATATAGGGCAGTGCTCAGAATACAAATCAGGAAATCTGAGCAATTCCTATGCCTTGTGTAATTCCAAGGGAAGATGTTACAGGGATCTGTCATAAATGGTCTGAAAATTGAGTGATGAACTATAGAGATGTTAGAAACATTGCCGTCCTTTGGATGTCTGGTGGATCCTGAGAAGCTTAACACTTGAAATTGGCATAAGTTCATGAGATGACTCCCCTTGTTATGTTCTCTGACAATAACATTCATTGCAATACTAATTTACCCCAGGAATTAAGGTGATCTTTTATTTTTAGTAGTGATGGGAAAGTCCTGATTTAGTTTTTTACAGGCTTTCCATCTTTCTATTCCTATGTGATAGAAATCCAGATTGGATTTCACCTGCAGTAACCTGAGGGGTTTAGGATGGGGAAGAGTTTACCTCAATCATTCCTAACTTACTTGATCTCTGAAGTCAGGCAAACTGGGTGTATATCTCAGCTCTATCACGTACTTGCCATGTAAACTTTGTCAACTTTATTTGAGCCTCAGTTTCCCTGCCTATAAAATGGGGGATATTATCTTCTCATAGAGATGTTGTAAAGATTACATGGCAGAATTAAGTTACGTGGTACAGAACGTGGCTTATATACATACTCAATAAATAAGCATTATTATTAACTTGATTCTGACAACAGGCTTTTTAAAAAGAATAATAGATATGTTGGCTGTAGGGACTATAGAAGACATAGTCAAAGAAGGATGTAGGGGCACCTAGTTTCTACCTCCACCTTAATCCTTACCCTTAGTCCCATTGTTACCAGAAAGGAGTCCTGATTCAGACCCCAAGAGAAGGTTCTTGAATCTCGCACAAGAAAGAATTTAGGATGCATCCATAGAGTAAAGTGAAAATAAGTTTATTAAATAAGTAAAAGAATAAAAGAATGGCTACTCCATAGGTAGAGCAGCAGCATGGGCAGCTCGACTAAGAGTACTTATAGTTATTTCTTGATTATAGGCTAATCAGGGGGTGGATTATTCATGAATTTTCCAGGAAAGCAGTGGGCAACTCGCTGAACTGAGGGTTCCTCCCCTTTTTAGACCATATAGGGTAACTTCCTGATGTTGCTATGGCATTTGTAAACTGTCATGGCGCTGGTAGGAGTGTCTTTTAGCATGCTAATGCGTTATAATTAGTGTATAATGAGCAGTGAGGATGATCAGAGGTCACTTTTATCGCCATCTTGGTTTTGTTGGGATTTGGTTGGCTTCTTTACTGCATGCTGGTTTATCGGCCAGGTCTTTGTGACCTGTATCTTGTGCCAACCTCCTATCTCATCCTGTGACTTAGAATTCTTAACCTCCTGGGAATGCAGCCGATTAAGCCTCAGCCTTATTTTACCCAGCCCCTACTCAAGATGGAGTCCCTCTGGTTTAAACGCCTCTGATACAAGGTCAGGGTATTGCAATGGCCTATGTGTTCTTCTTTGAGATACATGAGGACCATATTGGACTACTGCTGGGGTTCCATCTTCAGGAATGTGCCCTAAAAGGTATCACGTTGGATCTCAATGGTTATCTAAAAAGTGAGATGAGTTCCCCTCACAGTTTCATCCACAACTGTGGCTCAATCAGAAGCATCCCTCCCGGGCTGCTATCATCAGAACCTGTTCTTATCACCTTCCCACATCCTCCAAGGTCACTACTGAAGTACTGGGGGTTATTTTGCACAAGCTTTTAAAAAATCACTCCTAAGACCACTCAGTATAAGCTCAATGTCCATTTTTTAAAAAATTTCAATAGCTTTAGGGGTACAAGCGGTTTCTGGTTACATGGATGAATTGTATAGTGGTGAAGTCTGAGATTTTAGTGTACCCATCACCCACGTAGTCTACATTGTACCCAAATATGGTTTTTGATCCCTCATCCCTTTTCCACCCTCCCCATTTCTGAGTCTCCAATGTCCATTATATTACTCTGTATTCCTCCATGTACCCTACAGCTTAGCTTCCACTTATGAATGAGAACATATGGAATTTGGTTTTCCATTCCTGAGTCACTTCACTTAGGGTGATGGCCTCCAGCTCCAACCAAGTTTCGCAAAAGACATTATTTCATTCTTTTTTATACTGAAAAGTATTCCATAGTGTATGTGTACCACGTTTTCTTTATCCATTCATCAGTTGATGGGCACTTAGATTGGTTTCATATCTTTGCAATCGTGAATTGTGCTGCAGTAAACATATGCATGCAGGTGACTTTTTGATATAGTGATTTATTTTCCTTTGGGTAAATACCCAGTAGTGGGATTGGTGGATTGAATGGAAGATCTACTTTTAGTTCTTTGAGAAATCTCCGTAGTATTTCCCAAAGGGTTTGTACTAATTTCCATTCCCACCACCAGTGGATAAGCATTCCCTTTTCACCACATCCACACCAACATCTATTGGTTTTTGCCTTTTAAATAAGGACCTTAAAGTCCATTTTTAAAAATGGATGCAACTGTTTTTTGTTGCTTAAGGACAAAGTTCATTAACATCAGGAACTAAAGCATTCTGGCAGGCTGGTTGGCAGTAGCCAGTATATCATTGTTACTTTTTCCTTTCTTCTATTGCCACTGGGTTTACAATTAATAATAAAACTTGATTTTTCATCTTCTATCTCCGTATTCTATGGTATAATCATTACAAACAGAATTTTAAGAAATTTCCTCTTTAGGAGCTGTGTACACAAAACTAGAGGAGTGTTCCGATGAAGCTGGACTTCTTCTTCTGTTAAAGATGCTCCCTTTTCCTTCTGACTGAACTCCAGGATAGCTGCATTGGAGGACACTGGGGGTGGAGGGCGACTTTGAAATGAATGAGAGTAAGGCTACATTTGTTAATTTTAGATATGATTTTAACTCTTTATGAAGCTATCAGACATAACTATCTAAATGGCATTTGAAATAATGAAAATTAAGTCTAGCAAATATTTATTGGGAACTATTATGTGCAAGGCTCAATGGAAGACACAATTGAGGATAGAAAGATGAATGAGGCAGAGTACTTACCTCAAGTGTATTAAAATCTATTGAGGGGAGAGGCATAGTTAAGAAAGAGGCTCAAGACTAAGGTTTAAAGTAATGAAATCCTAAGCAGAGTTGGGCATTCTTTGACTCTAGCATGTAGAGGAAATTCTAAGAAATCTTGCAGACTTGCTTAGAATTCTAATTGGAGGCATGTTTACTTTTGTATAGAGCTATGCAAATTTTCCCCAAGTACTTTATTGAGGTATAATTTACATGAATAAAATGCACAAATCTTAAATGTACAATTTGGTTAAAATTTTACGTGTCTAAATACATTTATATGCACCATACAGATATAATCTGTATCTTTAGATCATTATGTAGTATATTTTCTTCAGCCCAGAAAGTTCCTTTTTGCCATTAATTCCCCTCCCTAGAGGTTACCTCTATTTTGCCTCCTATCATCATAGTTTAGTTTTGACTATTCTTGAAATTTATATAAATGGAGTGCTATAGTACCTATTCTTTTTCTTTCACTCAGCATAATGTTTTGAAATTCATCTGTTTTGGAATCATAGTTGGTTCCTTTTTGTTAGCCGGTTGTATTTTTATGTATTCCATGTGCTTTTTTTGTTTACCTTTTGATGGACATTCAAGTTGTTTGCAGGTTTTGCCTATTATAAATTAGGCTGCTATGAATACAGCTTGTGTACAAGTCCATGTGTAGACGTATGCATCCACTTCTCTTGGGTAAGGTGTGCAATGGCTAGGTCACAGGGTATGAGGATGTGTAGCTCCAGCAAATAGTCAAACTGTTTTCCAAAATGAACGTCCTGTGTTATGCCACCATTGACAGTATACGAGAATCCTTGCTGCTCTTTCTCAGGCTTTCTGATGTTCTCTGAAGACAGAAACCCTGGTTTAGATTCAGGATCTGTTCCTCAGTAGCTTTGTAATCTTGAGACAATAATTTCATTTCTATGAGCCTCAGTGTTCCACATCTACAAAATGGGGATAATGACCACCTTTCTCAGTGTTTTCAAAGACTGGAGACTACGTATGTAGAACTGGTATAGTGAATACTTCAGTATATGGTAGCTGCTATTAATAATATTATTAGCTACATATTCCCATCTTATTCACCAATTGGATAATTGAAGGCAATGTTTTCCAAGATGTGCAATGTGGTAGTACTTGACATTTACTTAAAGTGTTACATCCACCCAGCATTATAAAATACTGAATCACATAGTGAAAACATATTTCTATTCCAATTTTCTTTAATCCTAATTATATCAAACGCAGTCTCGGTTTGGTGTTAGTCTGTATTTAACACCTCTCCAACACTTGCAAATCTCCCTTTTTTAATAAGAGAGAACAGAACATGAGCTCTTAGTCTTTAGCAGGCAATAGTATCTATAAAGAATTCGATGTTGTTTTCTCTTTGTTGTTTTAAAATTTTCACTGTTAGTAGAATTGATGGCAAGTAATACTGGTAGTACTTAGGGCGATGATTTCATACTTTAATAAATTATTTAAATCCAAAAAAAAGTTGTCTGAAAGAAAAAACTTTAATAAATTATTTAAATCTAAAAGAATGACTTGTCTGAAAAAGAATGTTAAGAAAGTAATAGTGCAGGAGGAACCCAGATGTGGCAAAAATAGTGAAAGTGGTTTTCTTAATGACTGAAGTTTGGAAAACTCGGCCTCATAGGAGAGGCTCAACAGAGATTTTAAATCTCAATTTACAAATGATGGAACCGAGGCATTTGTATATGAACACTTACACATTGAGATCTGACATTGACGTCTCTCTAAGCCAATGAACAAGTCATAACCTTAGCTTGTGATACAATCAGTCTGTATTAGTCCGTTTTGACGCTGCTGATAAAGACATACTCGAGACTGGGTAATTTGTAAAGAAAAAGAAGTTTAATGGACTCACAGTTCCACGTGACTGGGAGGTTTAATGGACTCACAATTCCACATGGCAGCCTCACAATCATGGCAGAAACAAAAGCACGTCTTACATGGCGACAGACAAGAGAGAATCATGGACAAGTGGAAGGGGTTTCCCCTTTTAAAATCATCAGATCTCGTGAGACTTATTCACTACCATGAGAACAGCAGGGGAAAACCCATCCCCATGGTTCAGTTATCTCCCACCAGGTCCTTCCCACAACATATGGGTATTATGAGAGCTACAATTCAAGATGAGATTTGGGTGAGGACACAGCCAAACCACATCAGAGTCCTAGACCTCAGCCTCCTGACTCCTCTTCTTTCCAGGTTGTGATTCTGGAGAAAACTGGATGTATTTTCTCTCCTCCCTCACACAAGTAGCCTATGTCCATTGATGGAAAAAAAAAAAAAATAAAACATGCAGATAAACACAAAGAGAAAAGAATTCACCCCAAATCCCACCACCCAGAGATTATATTCTTGTTGGCATTTTGCCACATTCATTCATTCAGTTATCCATTCATTCATTCTATCTCAATTTACTCATTCATACATTCACCAATAAATCATTCATTTACTTGACAAATATTAATCAGCCATCTGTTACAGCATGTGCCCGGCACTAATTGATGTGCTGAAAATCTCAAGTGTCCAAAAAGGAAAAAATCCTTGCCCTCAAAATACTTTCCATCTTGTTCTTTTTCTATGCATATATATATATATATATATAAATATTCTATGTGTGTGTGTATATATATATATTCTATACATATATATGTGTATATATATTCTATACATATATATGTATATATATATTCTATACATATATATGTGTATATATATTCTATACATATATGTGTGTATATATATATTCTATACATATATATATGTATATATAGTGGAAAGTTTTCTTTAAAAAATCCCCAAATACTGCTACACTATTGTATTACTCACTTTCAAAGTGGGTGCATCGTAAGCAACTTTCTGGGTTAATATGTGGATCTACCTCATCCATTTCAATGTCTGTAGAGAGCATTTTAGGGACTATAATTGTGTAGAGGTAGAACTATTTACCAGTTTTCCATTGTTAGACTTAGGACTGTTTCTCTCCTTTCCTGTGTGAAGACAGACTCTGTGCAAGTGCAAAGACTTACCTCTCCCTCTCTTATCACCCTGATGTCCAATTCCACTTCTGTCGTTGACCACTGGTGTGGCCTTGGTCAAGCTATTTTTAACCACTTTGAACCTCTGTGTGCACATCTGTTAAATGGGGCCAATGCAGTAATCTATTTCATAGGATTTCTAAAGGAAGTAAACAGCTTGACCTATTGGCAAGGAAATATTAAGCACTGAAAAAGTACTGATAATATTAACCACGATGATGCGGCCAAAAATCATTTTCCCTTCCATTTTTATTAATTATGTCTCAATGAGTGTACTTAATTGTTTGGGTTTGATTCATGTTTATAGTGCTACCTTTGTCTCTGCCACAGTGCTTTCTATGAAGTATTAGCTTAATAAATATAATCATGAATATTGGATGAATGAATTATTAAGCACATGGAATGAATGATCGGGTAAATGAATGAAGTGACAAGCATCTGATTAGGAGCCAGGCTCAATTGACCTATATACTGTTACCCAGTACATAGGGACTGACTTCAGGCTCATTGCAGCCACAGGTGTTGTCCTGATCGGTCCAACAGTATCCAAGAGTGGTCAGAGGAGGTGCTGTTCCTTCCTCAGTTGACTTACCTCTTGGGGGCATCACATTCAACTTCATACTAACCTTCCCAACACACACAAATACAGTCATGTGAATGTGCAGGGACACACATTCTTCTTCCTTGGGGTCCAGGTCCCACAAAGAGCACTATGGGTTCTGATCGCTGAAGGTGGAGCTTAGGTGAACTAGATTGGGGCCAGCCAGGCAAGACAACAGTAGGGACAGCTTTGACCTTTAGGAAAAAGGGTAAACGGATGCTTAAGTAAACTTCTGTATTAGGCATCTTATTTACCAAGAAGTGATAGAGATAGTGCTAATGGTTTTAGGGTCAAGTAGAGTTGGGCTCAAATTGTGGTTTCGCAGATCCTATTAGTTGTGCAGTGTTGGGAAAATAATCTCTCGTGGCCTCAGTCGTCTTATTTGTAAAATGGGGATTCTAGTGCTTACCTGTTTGAGTTGCAGGGAATAAATGAGATAATACATGTGAACAGCCTCATGAATGGTTCCTGTTGCTTTGCTGATCTAGGGCGGAAGTTCAAGGTAGTAGAGTGTCTTCATTTGCCTTCGCTTTCCTGAGAATCAAGCATGACAACTTTTCTTGGCTGTTAAGACCGTGATTGCTTCTCATATACCCTACCCTACCAATATTCTCCTCTAAAATTTGCCATTGAAACCTATGGGTGCTGTGTCCCTTCCACTCAGGCCTCTGCTCTCCTACTAGAGAGAGTTAGGAATTAGTCCTTGTGAATGAAATAGTGTGTCTGAGTCCAGAATCTGATCTAGATGTTTATGTCTGAGCTCCGATAGATGCTTTGCACCTGCATTGATCACAGTTCTTGTGCCTTGTGCTTGAAGGAAGTTAAACTAGACTGTAAGTTTACCGAAGATAGGAACGATGCCTTGTTCACCTCTGAATCTACAGCACCCGGTACAAGATAGACGCTGAATAACCACTAGTCCAGTGATGCCCCGTGGCTTCATTTACTGTCTTAGTAGAATGTAAGGTCCTTGAAGGCTAGGTCAAGTGGACTTGCTCAGTGTTGAATCCTTAGTGCTGCGTGGGTGCTCAGTAACTACAGGCTGAATGAATGAATGAGACAAGGAGGAAGAGACGGTTTTACTTTTCGGGGTTTTACAACAGTATATGAACAGATAACCAGATCCACACAAAGGAGGCCCTAGCTCCTGGCCAGGTCTGTTAGCAGTTTGTCTGATTGCTCTCTTTGATGGCAAACCCTCTCTGACGGGCCCGACTTGAGTGTTCCCACCTTGATTGATCATCTTCTTTGTGATAAACAGGAAGGAAAATCATTATCGCACAAGCACGTTGTCATTCCACATGCCTCTGCCTATGATAGATATTCTCCATTTGTGGAGTCGTCCGCAGAAACCTAGAGGAAATGATTGCTATCCAGTCTTAACCCGGAGCAAGTTCATCATTAAACCACCCCTGTAATTTCCACTGCTCAGCATTCATCTCTTTCTTGCAGGGCTAAGGAAGAGCAGGTTTTTGACTTCAAGGCAGGGAAAGCTAATGGGTCTTTTTCTAATCTGCAGGTTTTTGTGAGAAGGTGGCCAAGAGGAATCACCATCCAAGGCACAAGTACTTGGAGCCACAGGACCTTTTAAACACTTCTGCTGTGAGTGTTTGGCATGATTTAGCGGAGTTGGTAATATACTTATTCAATAACCCAGCAACTAGAGTCTTAAATATTTATCCCAGAGAGCTGCATACATTTATGCCTCAGCATACTTATGCACAAAAGTTTGGAACACCATTGTTTATGGTAGCTCAGACGGTGAACCAAATTAAATATCCATCAACATAATGATATATTTTTTACAATGTGGAATATTTATACATTAAAATCTCAGGCCGGGCACGGTGGCTTATGCCTGTAATCCCAGCACTTTGGGAGGCCGAGGTGGGTGGATCACTTGAGGTCAGGAGTTTAAGACCATCCTGGCCAACATGGTAAAACCTTATCTCTACTAAAAATACAAAAATTAACTGGGCATGGGGGTGCATGCCTGTATCCCTCGAGAGGCTGAGGCAGGAGAATTGCTGGAACCTGGGAGGTGAAGGTGGCAGTGAGCCGAGATTGCGCCATTGCACTCCAGCCTGGGCAACAGAGTGAAACTCTGTCTCAAAAAAACAAAAAACAAAACAAAACAAAAATTAGAAAAAAAAAAAACCCCAAAACAGAGGCCGGGCGCGGTGGCTCACGCCTGTAATCCCAGCACTTTGGGAGGCCGAGGTGGGTGGATCACCTGAGGTCAGGAGTTTGAGACCAGCCTGGCCAACGTGGTAAAACCCATCTCTACTAAAAATACAAAACGTTAGCAGTACATGGTGGTGAGCGCCTGTAATCCCAGCTACTCGGGAGGCTGAGGCAGGAGACTCACTTGAACCTGGGAGGCAGGGGTTGCAGTGAGCAGAGATCGCACCCCTGCACTCCAGCCTGGGCAATGGAGCGAGACTCTGTCTAAAATAAATAAATAAATAAATAAAATATCATAAGGAAATGAAAATGAACTCTAATATATATAATGTTGAATAAAGAAACTGTACACAAAAGAGAACACACAGCATGATTCTGTTAATAAAAAATTGAAAAACAGGCAAAATGAAACATATTGTTTAGATATGTATACACAGGATGAAAAGCTATAAATATAAGAAAGTAAATAATTACAATAAAAGTTAAGATAGTGGTTACTTCCAGAGGGAGAGGGAGGCATTGGAATTCGGGAATGTTGGCCATATTCTGTTTCTTCACCTGGGTAGTGGTGATTTGCATAATTTAAAATATTTGCTAAACTGTGGCCTTATACAATTGTCTGTGTACCTGTAATGTTTTACAATAAAATATATTTTAAAACTTCAGCTTCCTAAAGACAATTTATAGATATTGAGCTGAAATTTATCCTAGTGTTTAGGCCAGTGTTTCCCAAACTTTCAAGATCTTAAAAATGACCTAGAACTTTTGTTACATATGCAAATTGTCAGGTGCCTAACGATTCTGTTTTCCTAAGTGTGGTACTGATGTAATTTTATTGATAGAAGAATTTTTTAAAAAGCTGGTTTAGGGCAACTTTCTTTTTTTTGCGTTAGAATAACCTGGGGAGCCTTAAAAATGACTAATGTCTGGATCTTACCTCCATAGCATCTAATTGGTTTGGGGTTCAGCCTGGGCATCTCTATTTTTTAAAGTTCTCTGCACGATTCTAGTATTCAGCCCAGTTGAGAACCACTGGTTTAGGTTAGTGCTTCTTAAATTGTAACATGCGTTTGGATTGGGTGAGAGTCTAGGGTGGGGCCTGAGAATCTGCATTTTTCTTTTTCTCATTTTTTTTTCCCCCTGAAACTCATTGTTTTGTAAAATTCTGGATTTCTCGCAGGCTCCTATGTGATGCAGAAGCTGCTGGTTCAGGGATCACACTTCGAATAGCAAAGGTTTAGAGAGTTTCAGCTCTGACACTAGATCACTGTTACTTGGAGGCAGAAACTAAACCTCGTTGAGCCTCAATTTACTCATCTATAAAATGGGATGATGATAATATCCCCCTTGTCAACCTAAATAACAAACAAACAGAGACTCTCTAAAAGAAAAGATATTTATTTGGGAACAGAGCATTGCAATGGGAATGAATATACTTGCCATAGTAAACTGTGCGCATTTTGAGGGAGGAAAAAGAATACAAAGATTTTTTTTTTTTTTTTTTTTGAGACAGGGTCTTACTCTGTTGCCCAAGATGGAGTGAGTGCAGTGGTGCAATCATGACTCACTGCAGTCTCCACCTCCCTGGGCTCAGGTGATCCTCCCACTTTAGCCTCCTGAGTAGCTGGGACTATAGGCACGTGCCACCATGCCCAGCTAACTTTTGTATTTTTTGTAGAGATGGGCTTTTGCCATGTTGCCTAGGCTGGTCTTGAACTCTTGGGCTCAAGCGATCTTCCCTTCTCAGTTTTCCAATGTGTCAGGAATACAGGTGAGAGCCATCTTGTCTGGCCACTAAGATTTTTAAAGGAAAAGTGAAGATAATTATGTAACTGTCTTGAAATAATTTATCCTTGGCAACAAAGATCAATAACAAAGGTGACACCAGTCTGATTTGAACAGTCAGTTTCTGGACAGATGTCCTTGCAGAAATATTTTTTGTTTAAGGTTGCCGTGGCTTTTGGGCAAGGTTAGGGTTTTTGTAGAATCTTTTTGTTTCTGTTGTTGTTATCAGGCATACAAGTGTGAGAATCCTGTCTTCGTGGCCTTTTCCAGTTCTGTTTACCAGGATTTTCTTAACATTAGTGACTCCATTTGATTCTGACAACTTTCACACTATCTTCTGGGTGGTTGTGAGGACCAAGGAAATTAAGCCAGGTGACACCGTAGTAAAGTGTCAGGAGAGAGCAAGTGTCAGGGAAGGCTGCCTCCTCCCTGCGGTCCCTGCCATGCTGAAGAGTGCCAGCTTTCCTGGAGACTGTTGGAGGTGGACACCCCACTCCAGAGTTTGCTCTGCTTCTTTATGGCCCTATGCCCCAAAGCCTGATAGTCTTCCCAGAGGACCAGATAGAAGGTCACATACCACCTGGTCCCCTTATTTAGCAGAAAACTGTAGTGAGGCCCGCAGAAAAGGGGGTAGGAGGGTAAAGTGGAGGCTTTGGACCAGACCTCCTATAATGGAAGAGGACAGAAGACAAGTCAGGAACCCTGAGGACAGAACTCCTTCATGTTAGGCTTCTTCTGATCTGCTGTTATTTTATATGTGTGTGTATACACACATATAGCCACATGCATATGCATATATACATATACATGTGTGTGTGAGGGTTTTATTTGTATTTTTCTATATAAGGTTACCAAAATCCTTCTGCAAAAATACTTTTGCTCAGCACCTACTATGTACGTATGTATATGCACATATGCATATACACACACATACATATGCACACACACACGCACATATGCATATACACACACATACATATGCACACACACACGCACATATGCATATACATATAGTAGGTGCTGAGCAAAAATTAGTTGAATGAATAAATAAATTATAGCTGGGAGACAAAAAGGCAAACTTACACAGATACGTATATACATACATATGAACACACATATATGATATAAACGGGTATACATATATGCACACATACACATATATGTATCACATGGATATGTATACATATATGCACAAGTTGCATACTGCAAAACTCCAGGAGTGCGAATCCCAGCACATCCATGTGAATGGGTGCCCCAGAGGTGCCAAGCCCAGCCTACTCAAACATACACATACACACTGATATGTGCACATATTAAGTGATTCTCCCGCTTCAGCCACCCGAGTAGCTGGGATTACAGGCACCCACCACCATGCCTGGCTAATTTTTGTATTTTTAGTAGAGAAGAGGTTTCGCCATGTTGGCCAGACTGGTCTCGAAACCCTGATCTCAAGTGAAGCACCCCGTCAGCCTCCCAAAGTGATGGGATTACAGGCATGGGCCACCGTGTGCATATCTACGTGATACGTATATGTGCATGTGTATCTATATGTGTGTATCTATGTATGCCTGTTTTTGTCTGTCTCCCCCGCTATGAATGAATAAGCCACATTAGGTACACATAATATATATAATATATGTACATAATACATATAATATAATATGTATGTATATGCGCGTGTGCATATATATATAGATATATGTGTATGTGCTTGTTTGTTGATGATCTCTTCAGCTATAAACACACATCTATTACATGTAATAATATATGTATATATAATCTCTATAATATATAATAATAATATACTAGTGCTCCTTGACTTATGATGAGTTACATCCCAATATACCCATTGTAAGTTGCAACTATCATAAGTCAGAAATGCGTTTAATGCACCTAACCTACTGAGCATCATAGCTTAGCCCAGCCTACCTTAAACATGCTCAGAACACATACATTAGCCCAAAGATGGGCAAAATCATCTAACACAAAGCCAATTTTATATTGAAGTATTGATCATCATATGTAATTTCCTGAATACTGTACTGAAGGTGAAAAATAGAATGGGCACGATGGCTCATGCCTGTAATTCTAGCAATTTGGGTGGCTGAGGTGGGTGGATAACCTGAGATCAGGAGTTCGAGACAAGCCTGGCCAACATGGTGAAACCCAGTGTCTACTAAAATACAAAAATTAGCCAGGCGTGGTGCGAGCGCCTATAATCCCAGCTACCTGGGAGACTGAGGCAGGAGAATCGCTTGAACCTGGGGGGTTGGGGTTGCAGTGAGCTGAGATCACACCACTTCACTCCAGCCTGGGCAAAAGAGTGAAACTCCATCTCAAACAAACAAACAAACAAACAAAAAATAGAATGGGTTGCATGGGTAGTCAGAGTACAGCTTCTATTGAGTACATATTACTTTCACACCATCATGAAGTCAAAAAATGAGCCAAACCATCATAAGTTGGGGACCATCTAGATATGTATGTGTGTGTGCATGTACCTGAGTGTGTTTGCCAGTTTGTGGTCTGTCTCTCCAGCTATAATTCATCCATTCAACCCATCTTTGGTGAGAGCATACTATATCAGGCACTTCTCTAGGCCCTGGGGACAGATTAGGGCATGAAACAGACAAAAAAATCCCTGCCTTTGTGGAGCTTATATTCTAGTGGTTCTGGGGCAGATGACAGACAGTAAATGAATTACATCATCATAAAACCATTTGGTATGCAAGAAACTGATAGGTGTCATGAAAGAAGAAACAGAGACGGGTATGGAGGGCTGGCAGGGGCTCTGTATGTGTGCATGCATGTGAGCGTGTGCCTGCATGTGTGTGTGTGTGCATACAGTTTTGAATAAGGTTGTCAGGGCATGCCCCATTGAGCAAATGATGTTTGAGCAAAGACTTGAAAGAAGTGAGGGAGACATACTGATGTCTGGGGAAGGAGCACTGCAGACCGGGGAAACTAGGGATAGGCCCCAGGGCAGCAGGAGAGTGCTTGGCAGGTGTGGGGCATAGGAAGGAGGCCAGGGTGGCCAGAGGAGAGGGCAAGGAAGAGAGGGGCAGAAGATGAAGTCAGATCGGCCATGGGAGGTTGGCTTTTTCTCTGAATCAAACTGGGAGCCACTGGAGGGTATGAACAGAGATATGATAGGATCTGTCTTATGTTTTTAACAGAACAAAGTCTTTTGTATTGAGGGCGGACAGTAGAGGGGCAGGGTAAAATCAGGGAGACCACATGGGAGGGTATAGCCATCATTCCTCTAGCCCAGGGTAGGAGTGGTGGAGGCGACTCAGGGTTGCTGTGTACAGTTGTGCAGGTTGGGGATAGCACATCTAGGGTACCCACTCACATGGATGTGATGGGATTGGCACTCTTAGAGTTTTGCAATGTGCAACATGCATAGCTGTGTGCAGTAACACTGCAGGAAGTGGGTACGATTCTACGAAGGCAGGGATTTTACTTTGCTTTATGATCTAACCCTAGTGCTTGAGAAGTGTCTGGCAGAGAGCAGGTACTCAATAAAAATATGTTGTGTGAATGATATGTCTGATTCCACCTCCTGCATTCTTGGAAATGCAGTGTTGGCAGGTGAGTCAGTGAAGGCTAAAGCCTATGTTGGCAGATTGTGCAAATGTCTCCATTTGTCTTTGATGGCCACTTTAAGTGTTTTGGTATGAAAGCCTCTTTGTACTTCA
This sequence comes from Homo sapiens, assembly GCF_000001405.40. Taxonomy (NCBI): domain Eukaryota; kingdom Metazoa; phylum Chordata; class Mammalia; order Primates; family Hominidae; genus Homo; species Homo sapiens. The sequence continues at coordinate 13,712,654 of NC_000016.10, read as the reverse complement.
GAACACTATCATTTCATGTCATCAAGAGCAAACCAGTGTTTATCAGCCTTCTTTGCCAAGAAGAAGGAAAAATAAACTGTGTTCTATTTTGTCATCCCCCTGCTCCGAAGCATCACGTCTGAGTCACGTCTCACTCTCTGATCTGTTCTGGTTGCAATTAAAGTTAAATCACCTTTGAGACCAGAACAGTCTCATCTTTATTTACAGCACCCGCAAATCAAGCAGCTCCTCCTAATTTTAACAGCTCCTTTAGTGACAAAAATCTCTTTTCCAAAGGAACAGGTGGAGAAGCGATAAAGAATGGTTATGAAAGATTTCCTTCTGGGGATAGAATGGAGAATGGGCCAGGAGAAAAGAGCCAATTTGTGCTGTGGCAGCGGGTGCCCCACACACTCTGGGTTCAAGTCTGGGTATTGCCTTTTATCAGCTGCATGACCTTGAACAGGTCATGGGAGCTTGCTGAGCCTCAGGCACCTTAACAATAATATGAGAGGTGGGGACAATTCCTGGTCGACCATTTCAGAGGACTAAATAAACCCAAAGAAGATCACATATGAGAAAGTTCTTGGCCGGGTGCAGTGGCTCATGCCTGTAATCCCAGCACTTTGGGAGGCCAAGGCGGGCAGATCATGAGGTGAAGAGATTGAGATCATCCTGGCCAACATGGTGAAACCCTGTCTCTACTAAAAATACAAAAATTAGTTGGGTGTGGTGGCACATGCCTGTAGTCCCAGCTACTTCGGAGGCTGAGGCAGGAGAATTGTTTGAACCTGGGAGGCAGAAGTTGCAGTGAGCCGAGATTGCACCACTGCACTCCAGCCTGGCGACAGAGCCAGACTCCTTCTCCAAAAAAAAAAAAAGAAAGAAAAGAAAAGTTCCTATAGATTTGGTAGTAGTAGGAGGTACTAAAGGGTGAGCAATCAATAATAAATATATTATTTTAATTATTAAGCTTATAGCATGCTTAGTTTTGAAACTCTTCTCTTCTCATATGTATATCATTGTGCTAAAATGCCTTTGCTTTTATCTCTGTCTCCCTATGCCTTTTTCCCCCTCCTCATTTTTATCAAATTCATTCAGCAATTATGATGACACATACTGAGACAGGGTGGTCACAGGAGAATAAAAATTCCAGACAGCAGTTTCACATGTCTAGAGGCTATGGGCCGAGAAGAGCCTGAAAAACTACATGTGGACCAAGCTGGCTATGACCGACTTGACCCCACATGGTGCTGGATTCCACCTAGGTTTCTCCCCGGACCTCGTTATATGCTCATTAATATCCTAAATCACACAGCCGTCAGCGTCAGCACAGTTCCAAGAATACCCTATTTGGTGTAAAAATGGGTGGCACCACAATTCTGAAAAATCTCCACCTTTTTCCTGGAATTTTCCTGAATATTTCACCCCTTAGGTAAAGAAACCCATTAAGGTATAGCATCTCCAAACCCCCTTAGGCATGGCTCTCTCTTGAGTATACCCACACTACTTTTTCTTGAGTGTGTACTTTTCCCTTTGCAATAAATCTCTGTACTTTCACTATTTTCTGACTCGTCCTTGAATTCCTTCTTACTAAGGCGTCAAGAGCCTGGACACTGGTCCCACCGGCACTTTGGGACTTCCACCAGTCCACTGGTATCACTACCACATGCTGGGCACTGAGTCTCTAGCAGGGTATGTGACAGATGTGGCTTCTGCCCTGAAGGAGCTGATAAGCTAATGAGAGAGAGGCCTGGAAAAATGTAACATCATATACATGACGCCGTGATGAGCATTGTGGTTCATTCTAGGAAGGGAAAATATTGGGAGCTATGAGAAGATATAATAGAGAAGCTAAATGAGACTGAAGGGCCAGAGAAACCTCCCTTAGGGAAGTGGTAAATTACCAGAGATGGGACGACTGGCTAAGAGTTAGCCAGATGAAGGAAGGGAATCATCTTCCAGGATGGTACAACAGCAGATGTGAAGATCTGGAGGCAGGACAAAACAGAAGGCTAGTGTGACTGGAAGAGAGCAAATGAAACGAGAGGTAAGAAAAGAGGATGGAAGGCCCAGTGCAGTGGCTCACACCTGTAATCCCAGCACTTTGGGAGGCCAAGGTGGGCAGATCACAGGGTCAGGAGTTCGAGACCAGCCTGGCCAATATAGTGAAACCCCGTCTCTACTAAAAATACAAAAATTAACTGGGCGTGGTAGTGGGCGCCTGTAGTCCCAGCTACTTGGGAGGCTGAGACAGGCGAATTGCTTGAACCCAGGAGGTGGAGGTTGTAGTGAGCCAAGATCATGTCACTGCACTCTAGCCTGGGAGACAGAGCGAGACTCTGTCTCAAAAAAAAAAAAAAAAAAAAAAGAGGATGGAAAAGTAGCTGGGGAAGTCAGGTAGGCAAATTAATCCAGGAGAGCAGTGGTGAGTTAACATAGCTCTTGATAACGGAGGCTGATGCGTGTTCTGATAGCGATAAAACAAAACTGTGTTAGTCCCTTCTCCCACTGCTGTAAATAAATACCAAGACTGGGTAATTTATAAAGAAAAGAGGTTTAACTGGCTCATGGTTCTGCAGGCTGTTCAGGAAGCATAGTGAGTTCTGCATCTGGGGAGGCCTTGGGAAGCTTCCAGTCATGGTGGAGGGTGAAGGGGAGCAGGCATGTCTTACATGGCTGCTGCAGGAGCAAGAGAGGAGTAGGGGGAGATGCTACACACTTTTAAACAACCAGATCTCATGAGAACTCACTCACTACTGGTAGAACAGTACCAAGGGGTAAATTCACCCCCATGATCCAATCACCTCCCACCAGGCCCCACCTCCAACATTGGGAATTATAATTCAACATGAGATTTGGGTGGGGACACGGATCCAAACCATATCAAGAAGCAAACCAAACCAAACTAAAAGAAAATGAGTAAACAAAAGACCAATAAACAATTCTGGTTCTGCTTTACTTGGTTCATTAGAAACATTTTCTTTTCTTTTTTTTTTTTTGAGATGGAGTCTCGCTCTATCGCCCAGGCTTGAGTGCAGTGGCACGATCTCTGCTCACTGCAAGCTCCGCCTCCCGGGTTCATGCCATTCTCTTGCCTCAGCCTCCTGAGTAGCTGAGACTACAGGTGCCCGCCACCATGCCCAGCTAATTTTTTGTATTTTTAGTAGAGACGGGGTTTCACCATGTTAGCCAGGATGGTCCCGATCTGCTGACCTCGTGATCTGCCTGCCTCGGCCTCCCAAAGTGCTGGGATTACAGGCATGAGTCATGAGCCACCGCGCCCGGCCAGAAACATTTTCTCTAAAAGCTGCAGGCTGGTATGTATCTTAAATCAATTTGCCAACTTAGAACTTGGTGTGTATCTGAGCATCTCCCTCTGAGAGGTTAGAGGATGAGGTTATTCCTTGCTCTTCTACCTCTAGAAGAAAGGTTAAGGGTACAGGAGAAGGCAAAGACAACTTCCAATTCAGTACCACATTAAGCTGCTCTTGTGAGTGAACAGAACTGCCAGCCACAGAAAGCCCTTGCTGTAGTTCACCCCCTTTAATCGCCTTCTGTGAATGATAGTCCTCTTTGGGAATCCCTATCAATCACCCTGAAAAATTGTTCTAATAAACAGAAGCCCCCCACTAGCTGGACTCCAGCAGCCAGAAGGCTTTGCCTTCTAGGGGGCTGGTGGCTTTTTCCTGTTACCATGAAAAGCTCATTATCAAGCCCAGGCAATCACATTTACATTGCTAATTGAAGAAGAAAGCTACAGTAAGCAATAGAGTGAGAATTATTAGGCAGTACCAAGAGAGAACTTCTGAGCTCCCTTGGGGGTGTTGGTGTCAGCAGCCACAACAGGCTGCTGTGCCTGATGCTAATAAAAGAGAAACTTATAATGGGCACCAAGGAAAATCAAGAGACCCCAGAGATGGCCAGTGATTACCTCTGATGTGGAATTTTGAGACATTTTGATGCAACGAGGCTTAGTTGCAGCAGAGCAGGGAGCAGGCAAACAGGACTCATTTCTTTCATGGATTCTCATGGGACCAGTAGGGATATCCAACCCAGCTAGTTCCACCGGTATTCAAATGGCTAGTTTGGCTCAGGAAAATGCACTGGTTGCCCTTCAGCAGATCCTGCTCCTTCACTGTGACCATGATTTGACCTGTGATCCTATGGGAAGGTCAGATTACTCATTTATATGTCATGAGGGATATTAGAGCAGGGATGACAACAACAGGCTACTCTCCTCCCCCATGGCAAGCACAACAAAAGAGAAAAACATCTCCTTCTCCCGATGACATAAAAACAAACTCTGACTTTCATGTTGATAACAGCGTATGCATATGTTTTGATAAATGCTCCTTGCACCCAATGAAGGGTCAAGTACAAAGTCTTCAATGTGAGGGTGTCTGCAAAAAATTAGCTGGTTGACACTGAGGGAGGATGGGCAAACAGGACCAATCTTGCCGTCAGAATCAAGGGTTTTTTTTTTGTTTGTTTGTTTTGAGATGGAGTTTTGCTCCTGTTGCCCAGGCTGGAGTGCAGTGGCGTGATCTAGGCTCACTACGACTTCCGCCTCCCGGATTCAAGTGATTCTCCTGCCTCAGCCTCTCGAGTAGCTGGGATTACAGGCGTTGGCAACCACACCCAGCTAATTTCTTGTATTTTTAGTAGAGACAGGGTTTCACCATGTTGGCCAGGCTGGTCTCAAATTCCTGACCTCATGATCCACCCACCTCGGCCTCCCAAAGCGCTGGGATTACAGGCATGAGCCACCGCTCCCAGCCAGGTTTTGTGTTTTGAGCAAGGTAGGTTTTCATGACTCTTGACTATTTAAATTAATTTGTACTTCATAGAGCAGTGGTCCCCAACCTTTTTGGCACCAGGGACCTGTTTCATGGAAAACAATTTTTCCATGGACCAGGAAGCGGGGAAGGTTTCAGGATGATTCAAGCACATTACATTTATTGTGAACTTTATTGTAATTTATAATGAAATAATTATACAACTCATCATCATGTAGAATAAGTGGGAGCGCTGAGCCTGTTTCCCCACAACTAGACGGTCCCTTCTGGGGGTGATGGGAGAGAATGACAGATCATCAGGTATTAGATTCTTGTAAGGAGTACACAACCCAGATCCCTCACATGGGCAGCTCACAGTAGGGTTCTCACTCCTATGTCCTATGAAAATCTAATGCTGCTACTGATGTGACAGAAGGCAGAGCTGTGGTGTTGATGTGAAAGATGGTGAGTGGCTGTAAATACAGATGAAGCTTGGCCTGCTCACCTGCCGCTCACCTCCTGCTGGGTGGCCCAGTTCCTAAGAGGCCACAGACTGATACCGGCCTATGGCCCAGGGGCTGGGGACCTATGTCATAGAATGCTAGAAGTTAATTGAAATTAGTCCAAATGGGTACTATTGGAGAGATGGGAGCAAATAAATATACCTGTGATCTCCAGCTTCATTTTAACTTGAAGCAACCCTTTTCATTTCTTTTAAGAGCTTTTAATGATGGAAACTCTTTAACATAAACATTTCAACAAAGTGTGATAAAGCTCACATATTCATTTTCCAGCTCCAACAATGATCAACCCTTGGCCAGTCTTGTTTCATCAGCACACCTGCTTGCATTGCCCCCTTCCTTGAGAATAAATATGTTGAAGCTAACCCAAGATAGAATTTCATTAGTAAAAAACATTTCAGTAAGATCTGAAAGATATTAAGAACTATTTTAGATAACATAATAACAATACCATGATTACACCCCAAAATTAGCAATGGTTTTCTAATACCATCAAGTATCCCAGCCATTGATCAAATGTTTCTTGTTGTCTCATGATTTTTTTTTTTGTATTAAGCTTATTTGCATGAAGACTAAGTGGGCCGGACACGGTGGCTCACGCCTGTTATCCCAGCGCTTTGGGAGGCCGAGGTGGGCGGATTACCTGAGGCCAGGAGTTCCAGACCAGCCTGGCCAGCATGGCAAAACCCCGTCTCTACTAAAAATACAAAAATTAGCCAGGCACAGTGGTGGGTGCCTACAATCCCAGCTCCTTAGGAGGCTGACACATGAGAATCACTTGAACCTGGGAGGCAGAGGTTGCACTGAGCCAAGATTGAGCCACTGCACTCCAGCCTGGGTGACAGGGTGAGACCTTGCTGCAAAAAAAAAAAAAAAAGTCAGAATGAGGACAAAATGATTCATTTTTAAAAATTATTTTTTAAATTTATAAACAGTAATATTTTTTGTTGGTGTAAAGGTTAACACATGTATAAGTAGATTAATGTAACCATTACCATAATCAGGGCACAGAACTGTTCTGTTATTGCAGAAGACACCTTCTTACTGGCCTGCAGCAGCCAAGCCCTCCTCCTCTTCCTAACCCCTGACAACCACTTATCTCTTCTTCATCATCATAGTTTGCCTATCTCAGAATATCAAATGAATGAAATCACGCAGATATAGCCTCTTGAAACTTCAGGTGCCATAATCCATTTGAGATTCGATAGTTTATTCCTTTTCATGACTAAATAGTATTCCAACATATGGATGTATCATAATTTATCTTTCACCTTTCTATTGTAGTTGTCGCATGTATTATGTCTACATAAAAACCTCTCAGAAAAAAAATTTAAACTTTGGTTTCAACTGTCAAACATCAAACATATTTTAAAGAACTTGAGCAGAAAAAACAGTCTATTATATTTACCCAAATGTTTATGATTTCTGTTGCTCTTTCTCCAATTTTCCATCTGGTATTAGCATTTTGTTTACAGACGGTCTACTAGCAATGAATTGTCTTAGTTTTCCTTCATCTGACAATGTCTTTTAACAATAATTTTAATTCCTGAAGAATATTTTCACTTAACATAGAATTCTGTTTTGAGGTTAAAATAATTATTTTTTATAGCATTTGAAGAATGTTGTGCTACTTATTATGGTTTCTGATGAGAAATCCACAGGCATTCAGATTGTGGTTTCTCTGTAAATAATGATTGGTTTTTTTCTGGCTGCTTTCAAGTTATTTTCTTTGTCCTTAGTTTTCAGCAGTTTCATTATTACATTTGCGGACATGGATTTGTACAGGTTTAGGGATCCATGTTTGGAGGAGCTGAAATTTCTTAACTATAAAAACTTGCCAAATTGTGAAGTTTTCAGTCATTATTTCTTCAAAAATATTTCTGCACCACACTTTCTCCTCTCCTTCTGAGAATCTGATGAAATAAACATTAGACCTTTTGGGGTTGTCTGATTGACTCTGAGTCTATTCATTCTTTTAATCAATAGTTTTTCTCCTTTTTGTTCACGTTGGACCATTTCTATTGGTCTTTCTTCAAGTTCACTGACTTTTTCTTTGTTACATTCGTTCTACTATTGAGTCCTTCTAGTGAATTTTTTGTTTTTGGTGGTAGATTTTTCAGTTCTTAAATTTCCACTGGTTTCTTTGTTTAGATTATTTATTTTCCTACTGAGACTTTCTGTTTAAGTATGTCCCTGCTTACTTCTTGCAGCATAGATAAATAGTTGCTTTAAAGTATTTGATAATTCTGACATTCAGCATCTGTGTTATTGAGGGTTAGCATCTGTTAATTGCCTCTTCACTTGCAAGCTATTGAAATTTTATTGGCTCTTCATGTATCAAGTAATTTTGAATTCTATTCTGGACATTTTGAATACTGCGTTATAAGACTCTGGGTCTTGTTTAATTCCTGACAAAGCATTGATTAAAACAAAAAGTACAGCTGGGCGTGGTGGCTCATGCCTGTAATCCCAGCACTTTGGGAGGCTGAGGTGGGCAGATCACGAGGTCTAGAGTTTGAGACCAGCCTGGTCAACATGGCTAAACCCCATCTCTACTAAAAATAGAAAAGTTAGCCGGGTGTGTTGGCGGGCACCTGTAGTCCCAGCTACTTGGGAGGCTGAGGCAGAAGAATCGCTTGAACCTAGAGGCGGAGGTTGCAGTGAGCCAAGATCATGCCACTGGACTCCAGCCTGGGCGACAAAGCGAGACTTCATCTAAAAAAAACCCCAAAAAACAAAAAACAGAAAACACAAGCAGTTAACCCAGGTGGATTCAGGCTGCAAGTTCTGACCTAGTTCATACGGGCTTCAGTTCTAACGTCCTTCAGTTTTCAGTGGGCTCTATGCACTACTCAGATCTGTTCTGTGTATATAATACCCCTTGGCCTGTCTGACACCTGCGGGATGGGCTGCCTCATCTGTCAGTTTTCAAAGTCTTTGGTATGTTGTTTAGGGACATATTTATGCATGCACAGCTTGGAAATGATTTTAGGAATCCATATACAGCTTTAAGAAATCACTATTTTTTTGCTGTTTCCTCTCTGCAATTTCCCTAACACTTTCTGGCTCCCATAGACCCTTTGCACCTTCTTTCACTTCTGGCTAGAAATCCATCCAGAGCTTTATTTTTCCCTCTTCTCTGCACTTCCCATGACTTTGTCCCAAGACAAAGAGGCAGGAGGATAGAAATAGTAAAAGAGCAGTGCAGATCCTTTCCATGCTCTTGAAGCCATAGTTCCTTTGGTCAGAGAGAAGAGTCTTCCTTCTTCAAAGTTTTAGGCACTTCCCCAGCTGCTGCTGCCATCACCATTGCCACTGCTGTTGTAGGATGGCTTGTGAGCTGGGCAGGAGAGTGTGGAGAAAGCGTAAGTAGAGGAAATTACTTCCCACCCATGACCCTTAGGGGTACCCCTCTCATTTCTTAGACTAGAAAGAGAGGGTTCTCTTGGAGTTCTTAACAGTCTGCACCCAGTGCCAAATTCTGGGCTTTAGCATGCTTTCCGATTCAGGCTGCGGATACTGGCAGAAGAAAAAAAAGACTAGAAAACTCATTGCTGGATTGTCTTGCTTTAAGTTCTGTTTTCTTTTGTTCCCAATCAGCTGGCTACAATTTCCTTTTCAGAGTCCTCAGGTGCTGTAACATTCTTTTTCTTTTTCCTTTTCTTTTTTTTTTTTCAGACAGAGTCTCACTGTGTTGCCAGGCTGGAGTGCAGTGGTGTGATCTCGGCTCACTGCAACCTCCGCTTCCCGGGTTAAAGTGACTCTCCTGCCTCAGCCTCCCAAGTAGCTGAGACTACAGGCGCATGCTACCACACCCAGCTAATTTTAGTATTTTTAGTAGAGATGGGGTTTCACCATGTTGGCCAGGATGGTCTCGATCTCTTGACCTCATGATCCACCTGCCTCGGCCTCTGAAAGTGCTGGGATTACAGGCATGAGCCACCGTGCCCGGTCACACGCATTATTTCCAGAGTTTTTAGTTGTCATCTATGGGAGAGACAAAGTGGGTTACGCTTTCTCTACCTTACCCAGAACTGGAACCCAAATGATTTATTATTAAAAGATCTATCTTATTTATTGGGCTTAAGTTCCATGTTTTTAAAAGTTAGTTTAATCAAAGTATAATTTACATATGGTCAAATATAGACATATTAAATATACATTCAGTGGACTGTGACCAAAGTATATTCCCCTATAAATATCACCCCAATCAAAATGTGGAAGATTTCCTTCATCTTAGAAAGTTCTATTATAGTCCTCCTGCTTAAAAAAAAAGTTTGGAAATCTCTGGAACCAAGGATATCATTTACTGTTGATTTTGAAAAAAAGCAAAATCTTCAGTTTCCCAAACCCTCAACTCCACATGGGAGGCAAAAAACCCAGCGAGATTCTGAACTCTTAAATAAGGCAGCACCATGGGTGATTCCGGACACAGGACAGAGAAGGTGAGAAGGTAAGAAAGCAGCCCCTTGCAGGAGGAAATGTGCTCCTCTTGGCTCAGGCAGGCAGGCCTCTTGGCAGAACCTGCTGGCCAGCCATCCAGACTGCAATTCCCCGGGAGCCTTGGCATTCTGTGAGCCTGCCAACAAAACAAACGCAGTCAGAGACAGAAAGCATATTTCTTAAAAGTCAACTTGATCCACCTCCTGGAGGGGAGGCTACATGTCCATGTGCCAGTCACATTAGAGTAGTCAGTTTCCTGCCAGGAGTAGCTGGAAAATAAAACCCACATGGGCTTTGAGAGGGCACCCTACCTGCTGACACAATGAAGGAAAGGTATGTTACCCTGCCTAAAATGCACATAGCCTCCTAAAAAACAGTCTGTTTCTTACTTGCCCAGGACAAATGTGGACTTAGAAGAACATGCTATTGGCTTCATTTGTTTTTCCATGGGTGTAACTTCTCCAGGTGTGATCACGCTGGAAACCTATGTGCGTGGGCTGATGGATCTTTGGGATTTTTAGCTGGTCTAATGTTTCTCTGCCTGTTTAGAAACAAATGGTTGCTCCTGGAAACAGCTTTCAGCTTGAAAATAGTAAGTTATGAATATATGCAATCCTTCATATTTGAGTTCGTGGAAAGTGTTACTTGCCTTTAATAATGGTAGATAATTTATCGCTGCTAGTACTGTAGGGTGTTACTAAAACCTCATAACTAAACCCTTAAGAGTAGAAGGGAGTGATGCCCCAGTTTATTATTAAACAATCTCAATAGTAGCAAAAGTGACACACATATGGTCCAAAGAATGTAAAAAAAACAAAACCTCTCCAAGTTATATCTTAAACAATGCAAAGGCCATTGACAACTGGCATGGGTGAGAAGTGGTTCCTCTTTTCTTCTCAGCTTATTGAGTCTCAACAGAGATGAGTCCTTTAAGATTGGTGCAAGTGTCTTCTTCACGGTTACTATAGAACTAAACTCTTCACTTTTGACTCTTTTTTTTTTTTTTTTTTTCTGAGATGGAGTCTCACTCTGTCACCCAGGCTTGAGTGCAGTGATGAGATCTTGGTTCGCTGCAACCTCTGCCTCCCAGGTTCAAGCGATTCTCCTGCCTCAGCCTCCCGAGTAGCTGGGATTACAGGCACGTACCACCACACTCGGCTAGTTTTTGTATTTGTAGTAGAGACAGGGTTTCACCATGTTGGCCAGGCTGGTCTCGAACTCCTGACCTCAAGTGATCCGCCTGCCTTGGCTTCCCAAAATACAGGGATTACAGGCGTGAGCCACCATGCCCGGCCTGACTCTTTTTTGTTCAAAACCATTTGCCTCTCCCTCTACCGCCTTCATGATCCTGCCTCTTCTGTTCAGTGTTTAAACTTGGGCTGTTGGTTGCTCAGCCACATCTGGTTCTGCTGAAAATAAGCCCAGGGAAGGTGTGGCTAGGTTGAAAGAAGATGGTGATTTCAGACCATGTGGGCAGAGCATCTACCCTCCTGAAAAATTAAACCATTTATCCTGCCATGATGTTTCTCCTCTTGGCTCCTGTGCGTTATTACGCTAATGGCTCCTCTTGGCTCATATGCTTGGCATTATTATGTTAAAAGAATATCTATCATTTTGCCCCCACTTTGATTACATTACCAAATATGCCCTGGCCCCATTTGTTAAACTATCTTTGGAACATCCAGGCCCAGGAGAAGGGGTAAGGAGAAGAAAAACTACCCATGCAAACCACATTAACATTAGCCAAAAACATTTTGGCTAGTGTCAGGATAACGAAGGCAGTAGAGGGAGAGGCAAAAAGGTTTTGAACAAAAAAGTCAGTCCAGGCATCGTGGCTCATGCCTGTAATCCCTGTATTTTGGGAGGCCAAGGCGGGCAGATCACTTGAGGTCAGGAGTTTGAGACCAGCCTGGCCAACATGATGAAACCCTGTCTCTACAAAAAATACAAAAACTAGCTGGGCGTGGTGGTGCTCACCTGTAATCCCAGCTACCTGGGAGGCTGAGGCAGGAGAATCGCTTGAACCTGGGAGGCAGAGGTTGCAGTGAACCGAGATCCCACCATTGCACTCCAGCCTGGGCAACAGAGTGAGACTCCATCTAGGAAAAAAAAAGAGCCAAAAGTGAAGAGTTTAGTTCTATAGTAACCATGAAGGAGGCCCTTGAACCAATCCTAGAGGACCCATCCCTGTTGAGATGCTGGCAACAAGCTGAGAAGGAAAGAGGAACCACTTCTCACCCATGCCAGTTGTCAATGGCCTTTGCATTGTTTAAGATATAACTTGGAAAACGTATGTTTTTTTTTTTTACATTCTTCGGACCATGTGTGTATCCCTTTTAAAATTACAAAAGCACAAGAATATTTTAATGGATGAAGAGGATCATGTTTTGTTTTTTAACAAAACACAGGGATTTTTAGATGCAATGGTTTCTTCAACAACTTAAGAGTCTGTTACAAAATACGATTTGGGGAACCATCCCTAGTTCCGCAATAGTAGGGTCTCTGGAAGCAACACCGAAGTAGCTACATTTTCCTCAAGTTCACTGGGTGATTCTTATAAGACTCAGGAACCACAGCTGTGGAGAGCTCACCTGCTTCCCAAATGAGAAAGAAGAAAACAAACCGCTCTATCCAAGAAATGGGTAAGTAAGAAGGTGCATGGAACAGTGAATGAGAATAATTATATTCCCCAAAGACTTAATGAGAAGAGACAAGCTGATTACAATGGGTGAAGTGAGGAACGTTGCATTAGCAACAGAATGTGATAATTAATTAGTTATTTAAGGCAATTGGATTGTTTGATGCTGGATTCAGAATTTTTGGAGGCAAGGAAAGCCATATCAATTTGCAGAATAAAAAGCTAAGAAAACAACATTCAGAGCAGTGAAGATTTCCCAAATGGGCAAAAATGACAAGAAGGTATTTTCTAGTGAGTCCAAACAGAACATAATATTAGTTGTTTCTAGTAATAGAGACATATTTCTGCTGATTAGAGGCTTAATTCCTTCAAATTTTAGGCTTTATGTAGACAAAATTCTTGGTGATTATTGCAAAATAGACATAGACTTCTACTACTTTGTGGAGTGCTAGAGAATGGAAACTTCCATTGTTCAAAAGTGGAAGGTAATCATTTATCAATCAATCATTTATTTGTTCACAATAGTTATTGAATGCCTGCCACACGTTAGGCATGATGTTAGGCCTCTTTACAGACTGGTGGACAATCCTAATTTTTTGGTATTTGTTTTTGAAGACTGACTGCCTGTATTAGTTTTCTATTTTTATGTATCAAAGTATCCCCAAACTTAGTTTGAAATATTGAACCTTTATTATTTCACAGTTTCTTTGGGTCAGGAATTCAAGAGCATCTTAGCTGGGCGGTTCTGTTTCAGGGTCTTTGATGAGATTGAAATCAAGATGTTCGCTGAGGATGTGGTCATCTGAAAGTTTGATTGGGATTGAGGGATCCACTTTCAGGATGGCTCACTCGCATGGCTGTTGGCAGGAGTCCTCAGCTCCTTGCTGTGTGGGCCTCTCCATAGGGCATTTGAGAGGAGGCTACAACGTGGTGGCTGACTTTTCCCAGAGTGAGTGATTCAGGAAAGAGCAAGGAGGAATGCTTTCTGTACAATGTTTTCTATGACCTAATCTTAGAAGTTACATACTGTGACTTCTGCCACTTTCTGTCCCTAAGTCCAGCCCACACTCAAGAGGTGGAGTTAGGCCCCACTTTTTTAATGGAGAAATATCAAAGAACTTGTGGACATCTCTCTATACCGCTGCCCCTCAATTTATCCAAAGGACTTTGTTACTTGGACTATGGATAGGATGAAATGCAGACTTAAGGATAATGTATAAGCAGGCTGACCTAACCATCTAACTACTCTCAGGTGTTAATTATATGATGATGATTACAGCAATTGTTGACCACGGCCACACACGACCAATGTAGATATTAGAATAACTGGTGATGGGGAAGCTATTAAAAATACTGGTACCTGGATCCTATCTCTAGAAATCCTAACTCAAATAGTATGAAATGGAGTATGGATATTAGTAAAATCCAGTGGAGTGTGTTGGCAGAAGACTTCACTTCCTTGCTGTTGGAGCGTCCACGGCAGTTCAAATGACCCTATAACATGACAGCTGACTTTTTCCAGAGTGAGTGATAATGGTGTATAAATATGAAGCTTCTGAAAAGCTCCCCAGGTGAGGAACCACTGCCCCAATAAAGTGAAATATTGACTCATAAGCATTTAAATAACTGTCTATTGAATGGCATCTTTGTCTTTATTTAATTACATAAATTGGTGAGCTCTCCAAGTATTTTGATGGCCTTTGTCACCATTTTTATTCTTTTTATGCACGTTCTGGTTTCGTTTTCATATTTATTTTGGAACTAGGTTCTCAACTATATTAGAGTTTGACATATTGATATTTCCTTACAGTTTCATCATGCATTCACACATCTAAAGGAATAATCTTAACTCCAGCAAAATTGGCTTGAAGCATGTGTGTGCTATGTAAAAATGTCAGGAATGCTATAATTACATTTTATCAGGTGAAGTTTAACATTTTAATAGGCGGTGTCTAAGACTGATCTGACAGGGTGTTTTTGGATGATGAAATGGATGCTCAAAATAAGAAAACACCACTCAAAACTAAATGAGTCACTTCTGCCAGACAAGTAGGTTTGAAATTTATTCTGAAGGGCCTGTGTAATTTTTCTGAAGTGCTGTCCTCTTTTAATGTATGTTCATTTAATCTGATTTTGAAGGTTGAAAAAATAACCCCTCTGTGACTTCTTAATCACTACAGAAGAAGAGTGAATATTTGGCAAAGTTCCGAGAGAAGTCCTTAGCTTGGTATTTATTTCACCTTACCATGGATGTAATTCACCAAAATAGCAAGATTTTAAGCAACTGCATCAGCTACACAGCTCCATCCATCCCTTTATATGTTGAGACATAATATCAACCAAATAAGACAAATGGTCACACTATTTGTTATCACTATTCTTTCATGGGAGTGAATTTAATTTACTTGGGTTATTCTTCTGATGTGTGTTGTCCTTGTTTTTATTTATAAACAGGACAGTAATGAGTCCCTTCTTTTGAGTTAGATTCTTGATTGGAATCACAATTTTGTACATTAGCTGGTAAATAGATGAGCTAGGCATTTTACATAAGTGTAGCACTGCCAGTTCTTTTGATATTTTAATCTCTAAGAAAGATTGCTTTTTTTCCCTGGAGTGCTAAAAAGATTCCTCTTTGGGTAGGTGGGTGATCAGGCTGCAAAATCTGCCTTCCTGGAACTGCCAGGTTTGACTCAGCTGATCTGACTGCTAGCTTTCTTCTTTCTTAAAGGCATTCTACGGGAAATAAAGGTTAAGGGAATGAGTTGGAAGTTAGATCTGGATATGAGTCCCATCTTGACAGCTCACTGAATGCCCTTTGGCAAACTACCTCTCTGCCTTCCATAGAAATTTGTGAGGATTAAATCAGTACATAGATAATGCCTATTTCTGTTTGCCCTACATATTTCTTTTCTATTTCTTATACTGTTCCTAGCCCCTGTTTTCTTTGGAAAACTTTCATTCTGTAGTGCCCAACCCTCCACAGGGATGGAAATTTGGTCAAAGAAAGTCTAAAAGTATTTTGTCAATGGGAATTTGTTTTAGCACTTCCAAGATGTTATTCCATTGTCTTTTGACTTTCATTGTTACTGTTGAGAAGTCATCAATAATTCTTATTGTTGTTTTTTTGAAGGTAAACCTAATTTTTCCTGTGGCTGCTTTTAAAACTTTCTCATTGCCGTTAGATTTTAGAAGCTCTACCATGATGTGCCTAGGAAGTTTGTTTGTTCAGTTTTTGTATTATTCCTACTTGAGGTTCATAGAGTTTCTTGCCTCTATGGTTTGCTAGTTTGTCAGTTTGGGAAATTTTTCTTAAAAAATTGCTTCTTCTATTCTGTACCAGTACATTTCTCCTCTCCTACTAGATATCTCATTACATGAATGTTAGAGTTTTTCAAGTAGTCTCCTATATCTTTTATACATTTGTATGCATGTCTCATCATTTCATTTATTTCTGTGTTGCATTAATGACACGTTCTACTGACATATCTTCAGATAGACTAATTTTCTGTCCTCTGTGCCTACTCTGGTATCTTAAATATTTATTTAATTCTTAATTTTGGTTTTTGCATTTTATTTTAGTTTTAGAATTTACATTTGATTATTTGATGTAGGTGACAGTTCTTTGATTAAATTCTCCATATTTTCATCTGTTTTTTTGGATATATCAGTTATTTTAAAATCTCTATTTGATAAGCAAGTATACTGATTTTCCTCTTCTTGTTCCATCTCTTGATGTGTCTGATAACTTCACTAAATGCCAGACAAATGTGTAAAACACTGTAGAAACTCTGGATGATATCTTTCTCTAGGAAGGATTGTTAAAATTATTTGGGAGACTATTAGGTTAAGGTGCTCTAGCACCCTGGGTTCCTACATAAGCAAACTGAAACTCAACTCATTCTAAAGAGTAAAACAAATCTTAAGCCTAACCAATCAGAAATCACCATCTAACCTTTAACTAGGGACTTTCCACTGGAATGATCTAAATAAGGCTATTGCTCCAATTTAACCAATCAATATTTTCTTTTTGCCAATATTTTCTATTTGCCTTGCCTTTGCAGTCACCCTATAAGCCTTCCTTTCATGCTCCTGCAATGGAGCCCTGAATCACATGTAGTCTGGCACTATCCAATTCATGAATCACCTTCTGCTCAAAGTCTTAAAAAATTTAATGTGCCTAAGTTAATCTTTTAACTGGGCATACTTTTGATTTTTGGAAGTCAGTTAAACTAGAGACAAATTGATTTTATCCAGTATGACACTGATTTGATTGGAAGCTAGGTTTATTTCTGTAAGGGATGGTCCATATCAATTTTGCCCTTGATTCCAGACTGGAGTCCTTCAGAAGCTCAGTCAAAACCTTGGGGGTGTTTACCAGAGCCTCTTACTTTTGGCTAGTTGCAAACTTCAATTTTTGTCTCCCCACCATTGTGAGATGACTATAAATGTTGTTTAGCTTCTCAGGATTTTAGTTTCTGCTTTCTGCTTGGTTTTTTAGCCTCTAAGCCACTGGGCAAAAATTTTTTTAAGTGCTTCAAGAGGAAATGCAGAAGCCAACTGTAAAGCTTACTCCAGTCTTTGTGGTGAGCTTGGCCCCTCAAGTTTTACTGCTTATTAGCTATGATTTCTACTTTTATCCAGCACCCTGGGACATCTGAAAGAGTGGCTTATCTTTTTAACCCTTTAGTCATCACTTTCTGATTAGCTTCTCACTTTTCTGTTGCTTTAGAATTGGCAAATGCCTCAAATGGAAAATTGGTAAAAAAAAAAATTGGGCTTTTCTCATATCCTGCCTACTTTGGTAGCCCTTCAATGGCTTCAAAAATATATTTTAAAATGTCTAGATTTAGTAATCATTCTTGTTGGGACTATTGGTCAGATACAAACTAGACCATTCTATAATAGAAGGAACACTATCTCCTGGAAATTTTATTTTTAGTCTAAGCTTAAAAATGGAAAAGCCAATGGTAATTTCTAGGGACCCAATTCTGGGGCCTCTACTACTGAGATCTCTTATGATGCCCTGGTTACAGTACTTGCCTGGGGTTGATTGCTTCTACCTTCCTTTGAATCTGTGACCCACCTAGTGTATTTCCAGTAAAAACCCTCCTCTTTTTCCTTAGTCTGATTTTCCATATTTGCAAACCATAAACATAAAATATCTGTCAGTTGGCTCATCAGAATAAGAACAGCAACTTGTATTTATGCAAGAGTATAGTTGTGTAGTGTTCTTCAGAGTCAAATGACCTGGTGTTTAGTATATTTTGAAAACAACTCTGTCACTAGACTGCTTGACTGCTTGGTGACCTTGGAGAAGTCATCCCCTGTGTCTCATGTTTCTCATTTGTAAAATTTTGTTTTTGCATGAGATTACCTCTGAAATTCCTTCAAGCTGTAAATCCTATGATTCTGATTTGGAGCTAGTTGGCCCACACAGGAATTGAATCCACAAACTTGACCTTTTAAATCTATGGTCTTACCCATTTATCACACTAGCATTCTACATAAAGTGTACCTTGTAAAAAACAAAAAAAGCTAGCTATAAAACTTCTTGCCCATATAAACTGAGTCATACCTGAACAAGAATAATTCTTGTCTGGATAGTATTGTTCAAGAGGTAGATTTATTTGGAAAAGTGTCTTTGATAGTGAATGCAAATGGTTCTACCTGACATAAATGACACCATGTCACAACACCTGAAAATGTTGTTTTTAACCTGAGCACTGTACAAAGACATACACAAAAAACCCCTCAATTAACTGGGAAGATCTGTCCTCACATTTATGAATAACTGTATAGAGTTACTTATTATTAGCTTAAACATATATACCCATAAATTTACACCTATATAAATATATGCAATTGTATACAGCAGTATCTTTGACTTTTACAGGAGGATGTTAATTTCTAACTATACCTCTAGCTCCAGAGAAAACTATATATGTCACCATTGGGTCTGTGGACATAATATCCCAGTTCCTGGTAGATAATTTCAATCTAAACTCTAGGCCTTCTCAAAAGCTCAGTTATGAGAGACGTTTGTGAAGTATTACCAATCTACTTTTCAGATTCTCTAAACTTTAGACTCGTTGAAACCAGTTTATTGGAGAGCTATGTGCTTGGCACATGCCCTTTGGCTTTTGAGGACACTCACTTTGGCTCTGTGGTAATCAACAACATCAAATATACCCCCTTCCTTCCATTTTATTGTCACTATAGGCAAAACTGCTATCATGTCTCATCTGGATTATTACAACACCTATCCTCAACTCGCTGCGCATTGGCCTTCCCTTATTCTCTGTGGGTCCCATACAACCAATTATCCCTCAGATGCCAAGTGATCTTTTCAAATGAAAGTCTGATTGTGTCATTCACTTGCTGAAAAACCCTTCAGGAGCTTCCTGTTGGTCTTAGGAAACATGCTGCATTGTTTGACTCTTGCTTACACCAGCCTCTTCCACCAAACTCCACCCCCATTTCAGCCAGAGTGGTTCAAATGCCACTCAAATGTCAAAAGACTGCCCCCACTATACCAGCCTTCTTCTGTGGGGCAGTCTCACATGTTGTACCTTCTGTTTGGAACACCCTGCCCTCCCTTTTGCATAAGAAAAACCTACTCAACCTTCAGATCTTGAGTCAATCAGGCCTTCTTCAGGGAAAGAATTTCCTAACCCCCTGGTCCAAGTTAAATTATCTGTTATAGGCTTTCATGTTTGAATGTATCTCTGTTTCACTGCACTTACATTTAGTCTTGTGCTTTATTGGCTCTGTCTGCTTCTGTCTTTAGAAGATAAAATCCATGACAGCAGGAACTTAATATATATCTATTCACCATTGTTTTTCTTCCCCATATTACAGCACAGTGCTGGGAACTTAGTAGGTGCATAATAAATATTTTCTGAGAAGTGTCTGTTCATGTTCTTTGCTCATATTTTAATGGGGTTATTTTTTGCTTGTTTGTTGGGAGCTGAAAGGCTGAGGGTCGTGACCAACTCAGCATTCCACTGGAGGCTATTTGGTCAAACAGAAAACTGTTGATCATGAATGCAGGATGAGGGTAAACTCACATCTGCGCCTGCCACCAGAAGGTATTCTGAGGGCAATCACTCCCTGGCACCATGCTCCTTGAGGTTATCTACTGGAACATCTGGAGCCTACTGTTCTAAGAAAGCAGCCATGCAGGCCTGCACTAAATCAAGCAGCTGACTGACAACCACCCCCTTTCTCTCTATCTCTTTTACTCAATAAATATGAAGGGCTGTAGAAGCTCAGGGCCCTTGTTCACTAGAAGCAAGGAGCCCCCTACCCCTTCTTCCAAACATATTCTTTTATCTTTGTCTTTATTCCCGCATTTGTCCTCCTTTGTTCAGTCCACCAGGGTCTGCAACACTTGTTAATTTGTTTGTTTCCTATAGATTCTGGATATTAGACCTTTGTTGGATGCATAGTTTGCAAATATTTTCCCCCGTTCTGTAGGTTGTCTATTTACTCTGTTGATAGTTTATTTTGCTGTGAAGAAGCTCTTTAGTTCAGTTAGGTCCCATTTGTCAATTGTTGTTTTTGTTTCAATTGCTTTTGGAGCCTTGGTCATGAAATTTTTGCCAAGGCCTATGTCCAGAATGGTATTTCCTAGGTTTTCTTCTAGGGTTTTTATAGTTTTAGGTTTTCCGTTTAAGTCTTTAATCCATCTTGAGTTGATTTTTGTGTATGGTGAAAGAAAGGGGTCCAGTTTCAATCTCCTGCATATGGTTAGCCAGTTATCCCATCACTATTTATTGAATAGGGAGTACTTTTCCCATTGCTTGTTATCATCGACTTTGTTGAAGATTACATGGTTGTAGATGTGGAGCTTTATGTCTGGGTTCTCTGTCCTGTTTTATTGGTCTATATGTCTGTTTTTATACAAGTACAATGGCTGTTTTGGTTATTATAGCCTTGTAGTACAGTCTGAAATTGGGTAATGTGATGCCTCTGGCTTTGTTCCTTTTGCTCAGGATGGCTTTGGCTACCTGGGGCTTTTCTTTGGTTCCATATGAATTTTAGAATAGTTTGATAGGAATAATGTTAAATCTGTAGAATGCTTTGGGCAGTATGGCCATTTAAAAATATTCATTCTTCCAATTCATAAGCATAGAAAGTTTTTTAATTTGTTTGTATCATCTATGATTTCTTTTAGCAGTGTTTTTTATTTCTCGTTGTGGAGATCTTTCACCTCCTTGATTACATGTATTCCTAGGTATTTTTGTGTCTGTGGCTATTGTAAATAGGATTGATTTCTTGATTTGGCTCACAGCTTGAACTTTGTTGGTGGTGTCTAGAAATGCTACTGATTTTTGTACATTGATTTTATATCCTGAAACTTTACTGAAGTCGTTTGTCAGTTTTAGGAGGCTTTTGGTGGAGTCTGTAGGAGTTTCCAGGTGTAGAATCATATCATCTGTGAAGAGAGATAATTTGACTTCCTCTTTTCCTATTTGGATGCCCTTTATTTCTTTCTCTTTCCTAATTGCCCTGGCTAGGACATCCAGTACTATGCTGAATAAGAATGGTGACAGTGGGTATCCTTGTCTTATTCCAGTTCTCAAGGGGACTGCCTTCAGCTTTTGCCTGTTCAGTTTGACGTTGGCTGTGGGTTTGTCATAGATGGCTCTTATTATTTTGAAGTATGTTCCTTTGATGCCTAATTTATTGAGGGTTTTTAACATGAACAGATGTTAAATTTTATCAAAAGCCCTTTTCTGCATCTATTGAGGTGATTATATGGTTTTTGTTTATAACTCTGCTTACATGGTGAATCACATTTATTGATTTGCATATGTTGAACCAACCTTGCATCCCAAGAATACTGCCTACTTAATGATGGTAAATTGACTTCTTTACGTACTGCTGGATTCGGTTTGCTAGTGTTTTGTTGAGGATATTTGCATCTATTTTCATCAGGGATACTGGCCTAAAGTTTTCTTTCTTCATTTTGTCTCTGCCATATTTTGACATATATAATAAGTTAGAAAAGAGTCCCTCCTCCTCAATTTTTTGAAATAATTTCAGTAGGATTGGTACTAGCTAGTTCTTCATTCTATGTCTGGTACAATTTGTCTGCAAATCTGTCTAGGTCGGGGCTTGTTATGATTGGTAGGGTTTTTATTACTGATTCAATTTTGGAACTTGTTATTGGTCTGTTTAGGGTTTCAATTTCTTCCTGGTTCAATTTTGTGAGATTATGTGTTTCCACAAATTTATGTATTTCTTCTAGGTTTTCTCCAAAAAGTTTTTAAGGATGGGAGGCATTTTTACCTTAAGAAAAAACAATTATTATTGACTATAATGTGGAGACAGCATATATTTGTTTTTAGAGCCTTAATATTTTGTAAACCTTTACCTTTATCTCTGTAATACTGTTTTTGACCAGATTCCCTAGAACCAGAGCTTAAGATGAGAGTTCTTTTTTAAGTGGTTTATTGAGAATGCTCTTAGGAGAAGGGGAGTGAAAGCGCAGGGGAAAAGAACTCAGCCAGGGTGGGTCAGCTGGAGACTGGCTTCCACCTGATCTCAAGGTGAACTCTGGAACCTATGCTGCATCACAGTTAATCCCACCTTGAGGCAAGGGAAACCACAGGGGTCAACTGTGAGCCTTCAGCAGCCAGTACTCATGACACATATGGGCACACTGGCCTGTTAAAGATCTGAGTGGGGTAACAACAGTGTCAATGGCAAGGGCTTTATTTACCTTGCCTTGAATTGGAAGAGAATTTCTTTTTCTTATTAGAGATGGGGTCTCGCCATGTTGCCCAGGCTGGAACTCCTGGGGTCAAGCTATCCTCCCACCTCTGCCTCCCAAAGTGCTGGGATTACAGGCATAAGCCACCGTGCCCAGCCTGGAAGAGACTTAGTTCGTGTATATTTATGTATTTATTTTATTAGTAAGAAATGCATGTGGTTAAAAAGACAACTAAAAAGGTGTGCAATCCGTCTCCAATTTTCTTCCCCAGAGACAGTCACTCTTAAGCATTTCTTGTATATCCTTTCAAGGGTAGTCTATATGTATTTTTCTCTTCCTTTTTGTAAACCAAATTATAGCATTATGCTCTGCATGTTGTTCTCGTGACTGAATGAGGAAAGTTGGAGAATATTCTATATCAAAATATAGAGGGCTGTGTCATCATTTTTAATGGCTGTAGAGCATAGCACTGTTTCTATAAACCACAGTATATTCACCTTGATTTTTTTGCAGTTAATTTTCCTTTTATGGCTTTACTATGCACATGTATATAAACCACTTTAAATAGTTGAAATAGTCTAGAAGATAAATTACTAAAACTAACACGTAGGATCTCATGTCCTATAAGAGTTCACCTGGAAGACCAATAACAGGACCTGGAAATAGCACATTCCAAGAGAAAAATCATACGTTTTTCCTATATGACCCTGTGGAGTACAACCAGTGATGGGTATAAGTTGGGGAGCTTTGGCTGAAACTCTTGTCACTTCATCTGAGCACGGCAGAAATCCCAAGCCAATTTCAGAGCAATTTCAGAGCACTTCGTAGGTTTCTGAGGAATCCATTGACTATATCCAAAGCTCTCCAAACTTTGGTCCAAACTTTCTTTATTGATTTAATGTAAAGCCTAATAAAATTCTGTGGCTTTAAAATAAACCAGCCTAAACTAGATTTGGGTTTAAAAGCCGCCGCGACGGTACATTTGTATATCTGTATCTTTATCTGTGGAAATTTAATTGTCTTTTCTAAGTCATGGTTTAATGGAGCAAAGGTCTGAAACAGTCCCTGCTTGGTTGTGTTGCAAAATGAACAGTTGACATTCTTACAAGATGAAAAGCTGCTTCAGAAGCTAAAGACAGAAGCTTGGCTTCTCCCTTGGGGAAGCCTGGGTAGCCATGATTCACACACAGCAGGTACCAACATGGAGCTCAGTTAGGGTAAGGGTGTTGGTGCTTCCACAAGCAGAGTCTCCCTAGGTTCTTTTTTTTTTCTTTTTTCTTTTTTTTTTTTTAAATTTCAAAGGACAGATGCCCCATGGCCAGATTCCATGAGTAAAAAACTTGGCCCAAAATTTAATGTGGCTTTGTAATTCCTGTTTCATTGTATATGAAACCATGTGGATGGAACTTAGATGTCTGCCATTTCTTAGATAAGCATGTTTCACCAGAGACAACTAACACCTAGAATTAGATTAAAATGTCTGTTGAGTAGTCCTCTATTGTGTATAAGTACTGCATTTTCTTTCATTTTTTTAATCATCCTGGTGTTTTTTAATTTTTTGACGGAGACTCACTCTGCTGCCAGGCTGGAGTACAGTGGCACAATCTTGGCTCACTGCAACCTCCACCTCCCAGGTTCAAGCGATTCTCCTGCCTCAGCCTCCTGAGTAGCTGGGACTACAGGCGCACACCACCATGCCCAGCTAATTTTTCTATTTTTAGTTGAGACGGGGTTTCACCATGTTGACAAGGATGGTCTCGATCTCTTGACCTTGTGATCCACCTGACTTGGCCTCCCACAGTGCTGAGATTACAGGTGTGAGCCGCTGCGCCCGGCCTCTTTTTTTTTTTTTAACTTTTATTTTAAATTCAGGAGTACAAGTGCAGGTTTGTTACATAGGTAAACTTGTTTCATGGGGGTTTGTTGTATAGATTATTTCATCATCCATGTATTAAACCTAGTACTCATTAGTTATTTTTCCTGATCCTAACTAAAAGAGTATAATTGGATTGTTAGTAACACAAAAGATGAATGCTTGAGGGAAGGGGGACTCCATTTTCCATGATGTGATTATTATGCATTGCATGCCTGTATCAGAACAGCCAGTGTACCCTATAAATATATATACCTACTGTCCCCCACAAAAACTAAAATAAAAAATAAAAATAATAAACATAACACCAAAAAAATAAAATAAAATGTCTGTTAATAGATACCAATAAGACATAGTATTTTACATTGTCCGGTGTCCAGCTTAGAATGAAGGTACTGTTGAAAGGCTTGGAATAAGACTTTCATTGTCTGAGGATTAGTAGTGAAGGTCAGGTGTTTTGGTACCTTGTAGAAATTAAAAATAACTCAGGTGTGTTTCCTTTCTCTCCCTCTTTGGAAGAGGTGAAAGTGATGGGCAAATGTCAACTACTTTATCCAACACTGCTCAGTGAAGGTGTTGAATAAGATACTCATTAATAGCAGAACTGAATTTTTAATTGGCAAAATGTCACCTTGATGGATTTTATATGTAGGTGGGTTATTTCTTCTTTTCAGCTTATATCGTTGACAGCCTGCTGGGTACTGGAACCCTTCCAAGGCAAAGTGCCTCATAGTACCCCACTAATCCCCAGATTCTTCATAGTTAAAACAGTCCTGATATCGTTATAAGGATTCTGTGAGATAATTTATGTAAAATTCTTAGTACAATATTTGGTACATAGTAATGATTCATTCAATATATTTTCAATAAATATTTATTGAGTGCCCTGCATGCACTGTTCAAGGTGCTGAAGACACAGACAAAAACCACGGTGCTTATATTCTAATTTGGGAAGATGAATAGACAAGTAATATAGAGACATTGAGATAATAATGAGTGCTATGAAAATAGCCAAACAAAATTATATTATTAACATTGAGTAGGAGAGAGGAGATAGAAAGGTAAAATGGTATGGTATACTGGTCCTGGGCTGTTTGCCCTCAGATCTATCTTTTCTATTACCTGTTGTAAACTATATAGTCAGGGTATGTAGGTGTGGTGGGATGTTTTCCAAATCTCCTATATTAGCTGTTTCCAAGTGGGTTTAGGTAGTGGAGGCACTGGTGGGAGATTAGAGAATGGAAGGAAGGGAGAAGGTAGGGTATTTTTCTCACCCTTCCTGTGCTCATCGGGTTCTTGAGGGTGGCTGTGTTTCTTCTGTGGGTCTCGCTTCTGCTGGACAGGTCTAAAGCTTCCCCCAGATTTCATCTGGTGACCTTGGCTCATGGGATCTGGTAATACCACTTTTCCGTTAGTTTTCCTGCTGCTGTAAATATCTGTGTTGTCCTTCCTTATTTGACTTTGAAGGTTATCCATCCCATGTATGACTTATCGCCCATATTAAATTCCCTCTGTTCTGTATACTTAGAAAGATTTCTGCTTTCCTTGGATCCTGACTTGAACAAGGATTTACAGAAGGTCTTTCTCAGAAGATGCCACTTGAGATAAAAGCTGAATGACAGGAAGTTAATCGTGTGCTCTGGAGGAAGAACATTCCAGCCAGAGAGAACAGCAAGAGCAAAGGCACGGAAGTGAGGGCAAACTTAGAGTATTTAAGGAACAGAGAGAAACCCACTGTGGTTGGAGTATAGTGTGTGGGAAGGAGAGGGTAAGAGATGGGTATAGAGAGGAAAGTGGGGGTTAGTTTATGGGAGATCTAGCTAACCAGAGTAAGAAGAACTTTGGATTATATTACAATTGTGATTGGAAGCCACTGGAATGTTTTAATAGGAGAGGAAGGGCTGGACACAGTGGCTCATGCCTGTGATCCCAGCACTTTGAGGCTACTTGAGGCAATGAGTTTGAGATCAGACTGTGCAACATAGAGAGACATCATATCTACATACAAAACAAAATTATCCGGGTGTGGTGGTGCATGTCTGTAGTCCCAGCTGCTTGAGAAGCTGAAAGAGGAGGCTCGAGCCGAGGAGTTTGAGGCTGTAGTGAGCTATGATCCTGTCATTGCATTATAGTCTGCGTGACAGAGCAAGACTCTGTCTCAATTAAAAATAAAAATAATAATAATAATAATAATAATAATAATAATAAAGAGAAGAAAGGCTGGGCGCTGTGGCTCATGCCTATAATCTCGGCATTTCGGGAGGCCGAGATGGGTGGATCACAAGGTCAGGAGTTCTAAACCAGCCTGACCAACATGGTGAAACCCCGTCTCCACTAAAAATACAAAAATTAGCTGGGCGTGGTGGCATGTGCCTGTAATCCCAGCTACTCAGGAAGCTGAGGCAGGAGAATTACTTGAACCTCGGAGATGGAGGTTGCAGTGAGCCGAGATCACACCATTGCACCCCAGCCTGGGCAACAGAGCGAGACTCTGTCTCAAAAAAAAAAAAAAAGAAAAAAAAGAAAAAAAAAAAGAAAAGAAAAGGAAAGAAAAGAAAAAAGAGGAGAGAGAAGGAAAGGAATGAACACATAAGTAATATGATCTATGCTTGAAAGAGATCGTTCTGGCTGCTTTAAATAAACTATAATAGAAAGAGTGTTAAAGGGTTGTAAGAGTGGGTCAATGGCCAATTAAGTGCCTATTGTTAATAATTTGAGCAAGAAATGATGTTAGCTTGGGCGAAGATGAAAGCCAAGAAGAGAAATGGGAAGATTTCTAATATGTTTTGGAAGAAGAGGCTACAGAACTTACTGGTAAGAGGCGTAAGGAAAAAGAAGAATCAAAAGTGACTCCTAGACCTTTTGATCTTGAAGTTTTTGTTGAGAGACAGAACTAAAGGAGTGGCAGGCACTTGCCAGAAAAAGCAAATGTTTAATTTTGAACCTCTTAGAGAGGCTTATTTGATAAGTAGATAGAGTTATCATGTAAATAGCTGTAGTTCATGTCTGCAGCTCAAGGGAGAAGTCATAAGTAGAATTATAGATGTGGAAGTCAACTGCACACATCCATGGGGATGGGAAAATTACCAAAATGGAAGATCTAGGCATACAGCAACTATTATTATTATTGCCTTATAACAAGCTTTTGTATTTCCTCAAAATGAAAACTTTGACCAAAGCTTGAGACTTGCTAAGTTGGTTTAAGGAAATGATGAAAATGAGCAGCCAAATGATCACTTTGCCTGAACATTTGTTAGATATTCTTATCCTTTTCTCTGTAGACCAGATGGGCTAGCTGGGTAAATAGTAAGAGTGATGGATTATCTGGGGCTGTGAGCATTACCTCCATGTGCAAGTTTTCTGGAGAGAGGCCCAGGCCAGTTCATTATAGACTAGTGAATCAATATGCTTCCTATTCTCTCTGATAACTGAAGCATCCATACCAAATTCCCTCACATATGAATGTTTTATCAAGAACAAGACAAGTTGTGATGAGTACCTTTGGGCGTGCAATGACTTAGCCTGTTTGGTTTTAAAAATGAAACTTGAAACTATTTTTTTAAGGCCAGACCAGCTCTTTTGAGAAAATACTCCAGAGTAAGACTAAGAAAATATTGATGTATTCCAAGGCAAGAGTTAAGCAAGAAACAGTGAGCGCATCCATGACCTCCTTATTCTTAGGTTATCGCCCAGTGAGTCCCCAGGAATGTAATTTACCGGCTGCTGCTGTTATGCAATGCCTCTTAGGCAGGTATGGGGAAACTTTGATAAGAGAAAATGTTTTGGATATTCACAGAAGATGAAATTAGGAGTGACCTTGGTGTTACCACATAGAAGTCAAATGTACCCAAGGATAACACCAACAGCGGAGTCTGTAAGATGTTGTTTGTTTCACTCTTCAGCCAAGTCTTATTTTCAGGCACCTTGGAAGTAAGTGTGCATGTTTTGTAAAAAATAATTTCTTAGGCTGTCCATTTTTTAAACAGATAGACTATCCTGGGCTCTATTAAGTACAATCTGGGAACACAGTGCTGCCTGATGAATAACAGCAACAAGATGATCCAGGCTATATTTTATCTTCTCCAGTGCCAAATTCAGAGATTCCAGCCTTGGGAGCGGTTTGGAAGTCTCCACAATCTGGGTGATAAACTAATTTTTCCACATGCCTTAATTAGGCTCATCAAGCCTGTCATATTTCTGAACATCGAGATTTTAATGCTGCCAGGAAGGCTGGATATGCCCTCACTCTTGCCTTTGACAGTGTCAGATAGAAGCCTTCATAGTAATTTCATTCTGTTATTTTACCCGTGAATGCTGTTTCTCTTTAGACCTCTCATTTTTTTCTCCTATTTTTATCTAAGTGGACTTGGTACATGATAAATCTATGAATTCATAATAGCTGCATATTTATGTGGTGGGGTAGGATGATGAGGGAGACCACACATAAATAAATGCAAGGCAAAGAAAATCTAACAATGAAGCACAAATGTCTGCCAGTTTTCTTTCTCTTTTTGTTTGTTTGTTTTTTTCAATATGGAGGTTCTAGGTGAATTCTCTAGTTAGTTCTCACCATTTGGCACTTCGTTGTAAATTTCAGTGCTGCTCTCATATCTCAAGACTTGTTATAAATCTACGATAGTAAATTGGTGTTGTACTGGCATAGCTATAGGCAAAGAGACCATTGGAATAGAAAGAAGAGCCCATATAAAAGAAGTGGCATTGCAGATCAGTGGAGAAAAGGTGGATGTTTCAAGGCATGGTGCTGAGACATTCGTTATCTATATGGAAAATCATGGAATTGGACCCCACGTTACACTATACGCAAAAATGAATCCCAAGGGTATTAAACACCTATATGTAAAAGGGTAAACTCTAAAACTTTAGGAGAGAACATAGGTGGATATCTTCATGAACTTAAAACATGAAAAGTTTTCTTAAACAACACACAAAAAAGTGCAATCCATAGAGAACATGATTGATAAATTTAACCACATGAAAACTAAGCATATGTATTTATCAAAAGACATCATATGAAGAGTGAAAATGAAAAATTTGGTGCTAACTTACTTTGATTCTCCTTGGGAATTTTGGTATATTAAGATCTTCCAAGCTATAAAATGTAGAAAAATGGCAGGGCTGCTCAGATGTGACAACTTATGCTGACCTAATCTCTGTCATCTGTGCCCCTGTCCCTCCTGTCGAAGTAATTGTCTGAAAGGATAAATGTAGCTTATTACTGATGTTCCTGGCTTTTTCTCTGGTGTGTTAAGGTACTTTTGAACTATTCTTGTTAGAAATATGCTTTGTGGCATCTCTCATTGTTGCCAAAATAACACAATTTCTTCAAAGAACTGGAGTTTGTAACTCAAAAATGTATGTCTATATGTTTGTGTTTGAGAAGTTCAAGGAATATTGAAAGTGAGTTTTTACCCCAGGATTTAAATGTAACATATGCTCATTAAAGAGAAAATTCGCAATGCAGAAAAATAAAAAAAAAGAATCTTAAATCACTCAGAATCCTCCTACCATCCATAGTCAACTATTATTAATATTTTGATGTCTTTTTAAAAATGTGGATTGCATTGTAGTTACAGTATTAAATTCTGATTGAGTCACTTAGGATCATAACACAAACTTCCTACGCATGTACTTACAAATTTGGGGCAAACATTATTTTTAGTTGCTGATCATGGGAAGCAGCATACCACAGCATTAGGATCACAGGCTGCAGGGTCATATTGCTTAGATTTGAATACTGAATCCACTACTTATTAGCTGTGTGATCACGGACAAACTACTGAATGTCTCTTTTCTCAGTTTCCCCATCTGTAATATAAACCAATACCAGTATCCACCTTGTAGGAAGGGCTGTTGTGAAGATGCAATTTGATACCTGTAAAACGATTGGAATTATGCTTGGCAAGTAATAAATGATAGTTATTATTATTGTGTGTGTAAAGGAGTGAGCTTCACCACCCTCCAGTCCCACTCAAGTGCCAGTGCTGGCGCTTTTGTTTGTATCTTCTCATTTTCCTCTGCATAGAAAGGACACTATAGTCTGAGTCGAAAGACTCATGACTGTCCCAAAAGGCATTAGTCCATATAGAGTAGTTTGGCGGTCTTCAGAGGCTTAGGGCATAGGTGGTTGTCCTCCTGCTAGATGATTGGGAGATCTCCAGGTAACCTTTCCTCGGAGCCTCTCATGGACAGAAGTGGGAATTGCTCACTGGGGTTCTCAGTATCTGCCCCAAGATGGGCTTCCTTGAATAGACGGGGTTAGCCTGTCTCTTGATGCTGATTCTCTTCATGTGGTCTCTCAGATCCATTCCCCATTCTGCTAGTGTTTGGCAGCATCTGCCCTCCAAGACCCTGGCATATCTCTTTTCCCAGCCAGGAATGGAGATGGCAGGCATGATTGCCTACTCTTTTCTTTCTAGCCAATTATTGTTGCATAAACTCCGTCAGTCAACTTTCCCCCAAAGCCATTCTTTGTAATGATCAAGGCTTATTTTGGAAGTTAAAAAGACTGAATATTGACTATCTCTTTCTTTCCATTCCTGCCATAACAATTTGAATTTCCTTTGAATGCCTCTGATTAACTAGGAGAAGGGTCATGTATAACAGATTACAGGAAAGAAAAGCACAAATATTAATATTTCATGATGTTATCTCATTATAAATGAATGTATCATAATTGACTTTATTACTCTCCTATTGCTGGACATTTAGATTATTTTTGATTTTAGCTATTAGAATGACACATTGATTAACATTGCTAAAAATGCTTTCCTATTTTGGAAGACTTAGGACGAATTACCAGAAATGGAAATTCTAGGCCAAACCATATAAAAAAAATACTTTAAGAATTGTTTTCTTGTGCCAGTTTAGAATATATTGCTTTATTAGGTTCATAGAAAATTAAGCATAAAAACAGGTCAGATCTTTAAAAATATTGCCATGTATTTAATTGTCTGAATGTTTGTAATATCCGTTTGTGTTGACTAAAAAGACTCTCAGCAGCTTGTTGATGTCTTAATTTCTTTGGCTAATGGCTTTGTTCTCCTGTTAAACTATTAATACCCTTAGGAGTAGTAAAAGTTTAAAACAGTACACCAAGAGAAAGACTTCATTTTCTGGGATCCTTAACTAAGAACAGATTAGTGGGCATAGCATGACTAGTAGGACAAGGATAACAGGATTGCTTACCAGCAGGTAGGTGCTACTGGCCGTGGCATATGGCATTGGAATGGATTCCAGGAGGTACCAATGGCCAATTTTCAATATGCTTGGTCTTTAAAGGGAAATGAATAGGAGAGTGAATTGGATGGGGTATCAAGATCACTACTACATTCCATCCCCATTATAATATTTTCAAACAAGTGATAGCAGATCAAAATAAACACTGAGAGCAAGGCTATCCCGGATGTACTTTTGCAATGGAAGGACAGCACTGTTTATTCTGACTTGACAATGCAAGGAAGGAAGAATTCTGCAAAAGGTGCCATCAACCTGAGCCTTCCACAGACATCAGAATCTTGAATGAGATGGGGTTTTATCCATCTATAACATAAACTCTACAAAAGCAAAGAAAAAGTATTCATTGAGAACAAATGATGTAATGGAATATTATGTACAATTTTATTATACACTCGGCACAAGCATAGTTATATATAAGAAACTACAAAGGCAGTACGATAGGATTTGCAATTAATAACCAATTGATCCCACTAGAAATTGCTAAAAAGCTTTAGCCGGTGATTCTGGTCTCATTTGATCTGAATTTCTCTCCCTTTTAATAAAATCTTTAAGATCTGTAAATTATTTTCTGCATATCTCATGCTCTTCTTGCCTTATGTGGACCTCTGCTGGAATGCTTGCTTTCCTGAATTAGAGAACTTAATATCAAAAATTACAGAAAATCCTCACTCTGGAAGTATAAAAGCTCAACATTTAGTTTAAATATGGAGCCATCATAAACTGAGTTGCCATGGAGAGTCTTCCTCCCACGTGCTCTACAATGTCTGCTGCCAATTATCCAGAAATAACTTCTCTATTTCTATGTAATCTTCTGTATATCACCTACTGCTGCTTCTATGTTCTGTTTGAGCTTTGGTGAAAGGAGGACTTCTCATTTCTATTCCTTGGAGGTGGGAAAGATAATCTTCAGCATGTCCAAGCTGAAAAGGATCCCCCACTGTGTCACTTCCTGTGTAACACTATTAAGCATCCCTCTCAGCTGCAGCAGATAAAGGTTAACTTTTTATCCATTTAATATTCACAATAGACTAGATTACCACCTTGGTGGCTGTGGTGGGATAGGTACTATTGGCCAATTTTAATTTTATGCTGTAATAGACTCTCTGATCTTTTTTTCCCCCAACAGTTGTTTGATGAGTCATTGTTTTCTCACATGAGCTGCCATTCAGAGTCACTCCACTGAGCAGTAAGGGGTTGAAGATGGAAATCTGCCTGCCTCTGTATTTTGATTTGGATCATCCATGCTTAGGAACTAAAGAGTGTTCCTTGAACTGAGTCAATATCATGTGGGCAGATGTGAAAGCACTCAGTCATATACTAGATTTACACAGCAGCAGAATTTCAACTGTTCAAATCCCTAGCTTTGTTCTTCTCTCTGAAGGCCAGCAGCCTCTGATGCTACAGGAGCCTGTTTTACCTGCTGCTGCTTGCTGAAAATTGATGATCTTTTTGTGGTTGATCATTCCTTCTCATAGGATCAACCAAGTGGTGTTCCAAGAACAGCACAGTTTCACAGAAGACTTCCACTGCATCATATAGGCTCACTTTTAGAGAGTAGTTTAGTGAACACAGATTTGTTTTGAAGTGCTAAGTTTATTGCATGTGTAGCAGGAATGAAGAAATCAGAAAAGATCTTTGATCATTTGCCCAACTTAAAGGTGTATGCTCAAAAAGAAATGAAAGGTTTGTCTGCCCCTTTTCCCGAATTTTCACTGCCTACTGAGAGGCTGCAGGAAGAATGTAATCAAAAAGGCTTGGATAACACCATGGAACAAATCTAAAAGTATCACTAGCTGGATCTGACAATAAGAGATGGATAGTAGGGGAAGGTAATGAGACACTGCCCAGCATCATACTATTTATAGGTCAATTTCCAACTTTCAGGCAAGCAGGTTTCAAATCTTTCAAATAATTAAAGCTTCCCTGGATTACAATTCCCAGAGAAGCTGTATATAATGGGCTGATAAATATAATCATTGAGCTCCTATTCTGTGTCTCTGGTAAACACTATGACTGCTCATCCTCCTTGGTCGTTTGGTAGAAGAGAAATCATCATGACTCTTGAGCATCACATAAACGGTTTTCTTCTTTTCCCCCCAAACTTTGTACCTAAAGCTATTATAAATGAACAGTTTGAGTTGTAGAGAGACACCACTAGACAGTGCTGAGGAGATGACAATCTGTTAAAAAGTAGCCAAAAAGCAGGAGAATGGCATGAACCCGGGAGGCGGAGCTTGCAGTGAGCCGAGATGGCGCCGCTTCACTCCAGCCTGGGCGACAGAGCAAGACTCCGTCTCAAAAAAAAAAGAAAGAAAGAAAAAAGGAAAAACAAAGTAGTCAAAAAGTGTTATTGTAGGGTCAAAAGAAACGTACATTTCAAATTGTGATCTTGCCAAATAATATTTTAAGGATTTTGTCTTTCAAAAAGTCACATTAGTGCGCAAAGCTGTGTGAATAGAAATGTTTACTGAAGCATTGTTTGTCTTAATAAAAAGTGGCATTTAGGTAGTCCTAACCAGTGCAATCAGGCAAAAGAAGGAAACAAAGGGCATCCAAATTGGAAAAGAGGAACTGAAACCATTTGCCAATGGTATGCTTGTATACCTAGAAAATCCTAGATTCCTCCAAAAGACTCCTTGATTTGATAATGAATTCAGTAAAGTCTCAGGTTACAAAATCAATGTTCACAAACCAGTGGCACTACTCTACATCAACTACTACTATACATCTAGGGTCTAGAAAACGCTAGACTCCTCCAAAAGACTTCTTGATTTGATCATGAATTCAGTAAAGTCTCAGATTACAAAATCAATGTACACAAACCAGTGGTACTACTATACACCAACAATGACCAAGCTAAGAATCAAATCAAAAACCAAATCCCACCAATCCCCTGAGCCCTATGCAAGTCAGACACCACCTCCTTCAGCCTCTATATATACACCTGGCTGGTTTCTGCACCACTTGAGGTTCCACCTCTAGGCTTTGAAGCCCCCTCCCTCTGTCTCTGTAAAGGGAAGCTTCTTCCTTCTCCCTTCCTTCTTGCTGCTTTTCCCCTATTAAACTCTCTGCTCCAAAAAAAAAAAAAAAAAATCCCCTTTTCAATAGCTGCAACAAACACACACACACCAAAATACCTAGGAATATAATTAACTAAGGAGGTGAAAGACCTCTGCAAGGAGAATTACAAAACACTGCTGAAAGAAATCATAGATGACACAAACAAATGAAAATACATCCCATGCTCATGGATTGGAAGAATCAATATCATGAAAATGACCATACTGCCCAAAGCAACCTACAGATTCAATCCAATTTCTATCAAAACACCAACATCATTTTTCACAGAACTAGAAAAAACAATCCTAAAATTCATATAAAACCAGAAAAGAGCCTGAATAGCCACAGCAATCTTAAAAAGAACAAATCTGGAGGCCATTACATTACTTTACTTCAAATTATTCTACAAGGCTATAGCAATCCAGACAGCATGGTACTGGTATAAAAGTAGCTACATAGACCAATGGAACAACATACATAACCCAGAAATAAAGCCATACTTAAAACCAACTGATCTTTGACAAGTCTTAAGAACACATAAATTGGGAAAAGACACTCTATTCAATAAATGGTCCTGGGAAACTGGAGACCCACATGAATGAAACTGGATCCCTGTGTCTTACTGTGTACAAAAATCAACTCAAGATGGATTAAAGACTTAAATTGAAGACTTGAAACCATAAAAATTCTAGAGGAAAAGCTAGAAAAAACTTTTCTGGGCATTGGGTTAGGCAAAGAATTTATGACTAAGACCACAAAAGCAAATGCAACAAACACAAAAATAAATAAAGGGGACCCAATTAAACTGAAAGGTTCCGCACAGCAAAAGAAATACCATCAGAGTAAACCAACAACCCACAGAATGGGAGAGAATATTTGCAAACTCTGCATCTGCCAGAAGACTAATATCCAGAATCTACAATGAACTCAAACAAAACAGCAAGAAAAAAACATCCCAGCAAAAAGTGGGCAAAAGACATGAATAGACATTTCTCAAAAGAAGCTAGACAAATGGTCAAAAATATGAAAAAAAATGCTCAACATCACTAATAATCAGGGATATGCAAACTACCACCTTACCCCTGCCAGAATGGACATTATTAAAAAGTTAAAAAAAATACATGTTGGCATGGATGTGGTGAAAAGGGAACTTTAATGCACTACTCGTGGGAATGTAAATTAGTACAACCTCTATGGAAAACAGTAGATTTCTCAAAGAAATAAAAATAGATCTACCATTCAATCCAGCAATCCCTCTACTGGGTATCTACCCAAGGGAAAATAAATCACTATATCAAAAAGATAACTGCTCATGTATGTTTATCACAGTGCAGTTCACAATTGCAAAGATATGGAATCAACCTAAGTGTGCATCAACTGATGAGTGGATAAAGAAACTGGTATATATACATCATGGAATGTTACTCAGCCATAAAAATGGAATAAAATAATGTCTGTTGCAGCAACTTGGATGGAGCTGGAGGCCATTTTTCTAAGTGAAGTAACTCAGGAATGGAAAACCAAATACTGTATGTTCTCACTTGTAAGTGGGAGTTAAGCTATGGGTATACAAAGGCATACAGAGTGGTTTGATGAACATTGCGGAGAATCAGAAGGGAAGAGGGGAGTGAGGGATAAAAAAACTACATATTACTCCTATTATTCCTTTCATTTTGACCTTGGAGAATCTGATGATTATGTGTCTTTGGGATGACAAGATTATGTGTCTTCTTGGGAGTGTCTTGCTGGGGTTCTCTGTATTTTCTGAATTTGAATGTTGGCCCTCTAGCTAGATTGAGGAAGTCTCATGAATGATTTCAGAAATATGTTTTCCAAGTTGGTTCCATTCTCCCATCTCTTTCAGGTACAGCAATCAGTTCTAGATTTAGTCTTTTTACATAATCCCACATTTCTCAGTTTTTTTTTTTGTTCATTTCATTTCATTCTTTTTTCTCTACTCTTGTCTTCCTGTCTGATTTCAAGTCTTCAAGCTCTGAGATTCTTTCCTCTGCTTGGTCTATGGACACATGCACACATATGCTCATTGCAGCATTATTCACAATAGCATAGACATGGAATCAACCTAAATGTCCCTCAATGATAGACTGGATAAAGAAAATGTGGTACATATACAACATGGAATACTATGCAGCCACAAAAAGAGTGAGATTATACCCTTTACAGGGATGGAGCTGGAAGCCATTGTCTTAGAAACTAACAAAGGAACAGAAAACTAAATACCACATGTTCTTATTTATAAATGGGAGCTAAATGATGAAAACACATGGACACATAGAGGGAAAGAACACACACTGGGGCCTTTCGGAGGGTCGGGGGTGGGAGGAGCTAGAGGAGGAAAAATAACTAATGAGTACTAGGCTTAATACCTGGGTAATGAAATAATCTGTACAGCAAACCCCCATGACACAAGTTTACCTGTGTTACAAACCTGCACTTGTACCCCTGAACTTAAAAAATAGAAGTTAAAAAAAACCCGCAATACAATCCATCCTTCTAACCAAAAACCACTTGTACCCCGAAAGCTATTGAAATAAAAAAATTAAATTATAATCTTCTGCAAAAGGCAGTCAATGAAGATCTAATATTGAAAATTCAAGGAAAACAAACAGTATACTATGTGATATTTAGTAATATGAACATAAATACCAAAAGAAATAATTAAAAGGTTTAAAACAGTTGCCTCTGAGGCATGACAATTGGAAGATAGGAATGCTGGGACATGGGACTGCCATTTTTTATTATGGCATTATTTGATTTTTATATGTATTATTTTGATGAAAGTGAAAATTCAGAAAAGAATATAAATGAAACTCAAACAACTGAAAAACAAAAAAAAAACCCACAAAAATAA
Source organism: Homo sapiens (assembly GCF_000001405.40). NCBI lineage: Eukaryota > Metazoa > Chordata > Mammalia > Primates > Hominidae > Homo > Homo sapiens. The sequence goes on along the minus strand of NC_000016.10, from coordinate 13,675,515 downwards.
ATCATGTGATTTAAAAATGAGTAAATTAAATGAATAATTATCTCTCAAAAGAAGACATACAAATGGCCAAAAGATATATGAAAAAATGCTCAACATCACAAATCCTCATGGAAATGTAAACCTTCAGTGAGATGTCATCTCACTTGTTAGAAAGGCAATCATTAGAAAGACAAAAAGCAAATGCAGGTGAAGATGCAGAGGAAGGGGACTGCTTATACACTGTTGGTGGCAATGTAAATTAGTATCGCCATTATGGAAAATAAATATTGAAGTACTATATGATCCAGCAATCCAACTGCTGGTTATATATCCAAAAAAATGGAAGTTTGAATATTGAAGTGAGACCTGCACTCCCAGGTTCATTGCAGCATTATTCACAATAGCTAAAATATGGAATCAACCTAAGTGTCCATCAGCAGATGAATGGATAAAGAAAATGTGGCCTGTTCACACAATGGAATATTATTCAGCCATTAAGAGAATGAAATTCTGTCATTTGAAGCAACATGAATGAAATTGGAGGCCATTATATTAAGTGAAATAAGCCAGGCAAAGAAAGATAAGTACCACATGTTCTCCCTCTTATGTGAAAGCTAAAAAAGTTGATCTCATAGATGTAGAAAGTAGAAGAGTGGTTATGAGAGGCTGGGAATAGCACAGAGAAAGGAGGTAAGTGGAGGTTTCTTAACAAACAAAAAAGTAGAGGTAGATAGAAGAAAGAAACTTTAGTGTTTATAGCATAGTAGGGTGACTATCGTTAACAATTTATTGTATATTGTGTATTAACAAGTGGCTAGAAAAGAGGATTTTCTTTCTTTCTTTTAATAAGTAAAGATGGGGTTTCACCATGTTGGTCAGGCTGGTCTCAAACTCTTAACCTCAAGTGATTCACCTGCCTTGGGCATGAGCCACCACACCTGGCCTAGAAGAGAGGATTTTCAATGTTACCAACACAAAAAAAGTGACAAATGTCTGAGATGACAAATTTGCTAATTGTCCTAATTTGCTCATTACACATTGTATGCATGCACTGAAATATCACACTGTATCCCATAAATATGTATTGTTATTATGTGTCAATTTAAAAGAAATGAGAAAAATATACCTTCTAATTAGAAAGGATGCTATTGTTACATATTAAAAATAAACCAACATAGAGCCTAGGAATGAATATCATTTTTCTTTGAAATAGTGTATTTCCTAAGAATGCATTTACATTAAGTTGTGCCAATACTGATGTATTTGATTATATTTCTTTTTTTTTGATTGGAATGGATAGACTTATACATAGAAGAATATAATTTGGAATTTGGATCTCTAAAAATCATTTTAAAATGGTATTTAGTTGTCTTAATTGTCTAATAGAGTGTGTAATAAAAGAGGATTGGCTAAACAAATGATAGTATATTCATATAATGTAACATCATGTCTGCCTTATATAAATAGAGTAGAGCTTTAAAGTGTGATTTTTTATGAGACTATGGCAATGTATGTATGAGCCTAAAAAGAAATCTGGAAGGCCATGAAATAATCTGTTAACAGTGGTTAGCAATGGACAGTCATTTTAAATGGAGGAGATTTTTACTCCCTACTTTATAGATATAGATATCTAACTTACGTAATAAAATATTTTTTAAATGTTTTGGAAAAATCAACTCTCTCTCATAATTGTTTGCCTTTAGAATCCAAATCATGGATGAAGTTGACGTCAATAGCAAACTCCCACGAATGTCCTCAGATATGCACAGTTATTAGTTCCCAAGTGATAGCTCTACTCCACCTATTCAAGAGAGCACTCACAATGACTTGAGTCAAGGTAATGTGATTACAGGGATAACCTTAAATATCCTCCAATTTACTTTTTATTGTTTTTTCCTGACAGGGTCTCACTCTGATGTGCAGGCGGGGGTGCAGTGGCACAATCACAGCTCACTGCAGCCTCGACTTGCTGGGTTCAGGTGATCCTCTCACCTCAGCTTCCCAAATAGCTGGGATCACAGGTATGCACCACCATGCCCAGCTAATTTTTGTATTTTTTGTAGAAACGGGGTTTTGCCATGTTGCCCAGGCTGGTCTCGAACTCCTGGGATCAAGCAATCCTGTCGCCTTGGCTTTCCAAAGTCCTGGAATTACAGGCATGAGTCACTGTGCCCAGTCTTCTAATTTACTTTTAAAGGCATCTATAAACTATATGTTTTTATTGAAAACAAATTATTTGAAACACTATGTGTTGAAACAACAAGGCTGAGAGTCACTGATATTGATGAGCATTCATTGAGCTCAGGTGAGATGTTTTTCAAAGTGTTGTGGGCAATAAATACCAAGATCAAAGTGCTATCTTTGCCTTCAAGCTGTTTGATGTAGGGTAGAAGGGAGGTATATAACACAAGATACCTCATGATGAGTTAATCTGCGAACCTCGATATTCTGGGGACAGCTTCAGCTGGGAGACCAAGGGAAGTCTTCATGAAGGAAATATCTCAACAACATAGTATGATGAAAAGACTTGGAGATATGTGTAGGTGGGCTAAAGTCAAGGAGAAATGTTAAAGTCAAGGAGAAAGGCAAAGATTGTCTTTAAAGAATACTGCAGGCTGGACATGGTGGCTCATGCCTGTCATCCCAGCAGTTTGGGAGGCCAAGAGGGGTGGATCATTTGAGGTCAGGGTTCGAAACCAGCCTGGCCAGCATGGTGAAACCCCGTCTGTACTAAAAATACAAAAATTAGCCAGGCGTGGTGGCAGGTGCCTGTAATCCCAGCAACTTGGGAGGCTGAGGCAGGAGAATTGCTTGAACCTGGGAGGGGGATGTTGCAGTGAGCCGAGATTATGCCATTGGACTCCAGCCTGGGTGACAGAGCGAAACTCAGTCTCAAAACAAAACAAAACAAAACAAAAAAAGAATATTGCAACCTGCATGAAGACAAGGGATTTGTTTTATTTGCCGCTGTACTCCTCCTGTCTACAGCCAAACAGAGGAAAAATGCCCAATAATGGTCATTGCATAAATAACAAGTCAAAGTTTGTATCAGTGATATAACATTCTAGTATGGGAAACAGCCTGTGAATCCCAGTGCCTTGCTGGTAGAACAATAGCTCTTCTGTGTTTTCCTGATGTGTTAGCTCTCCAGGCATGCTGATGAAGTAAGTATTTCAACAATAGCCTTGGAAGATTGATTGTTTCTTGGGTCCAGGGCCTTTTACTGATTGTTGAGTAGAAGACAAAGACAAGATCTCTCCCACTAAGCATTTTACTGACTTCTCTGTGTGACTAGCTTTTAATAAATTGCACACCTCCGTAGCTCCAGACGCTGTGTGTTCATGGGACCCTCACACTAATTCCAAGTGATGATGGATAGCTTGAATTATGATTCCCTTTTTACAACTGCTTGGATCCAGAAATGAAGTAGAGGGACTTGTTGCTGGTGTCATAGCCCAGGAGTTGCAGAGAAAATCAATGCCTTTCAACCTTGTTGCGGTTGTCTTTCTACTCACACAGGCTGGATCCCTTTGAGACCTCCATGAGCAACCTGATAAATCTTAGGAAGTAGTGCTTGATGCTATAATTAAGGTGTACATATTAGGTTTATGCTTCTCTGGGAAAAAGGAAAAAACAAAACAAAGTAAACAACATCTAAGGCTCTCCTGCTTTGTGCATTGACTTGAGGGTTCAAAGTGTACTGAGGCTTATGTGAGTTAAGGTCTGCTTTGTTTGAGTTTTTGGAAACACTAGAAATAAAATTTGCATTTTTTTCTACCCTTGATTGGAATTCTTGTTGAATTTCTTCTGTTTTGTTCTTCTGAATACGGCCTTCTTTAATTTACAGGGAGTAAAACCCATTATTTCATGTCTACATCTCTAATGTTTTCTTCTCCAAATAGTCTCAGACATTTGGACAAATATACCTTGGATTGTTTAGGTTATGCTGAGATGTAAGGGCAAGGCTCACCCTTGGAAAAGTATTATGTTTGAGCTAGTGCAATTTTGCAACAACTTAATATGAAGTGTTTGTCCATGCTTTGATTCTCCCTTTCCATTTTCATCCTCCTATTAAAGTACTTACTTCCCTTATCTTTCCCTCCCTTTCCATACATAAATATGTCCTCTTACTCCAGCAATGCATGTGAGAATAAAATTGGATATCTCTTCATGCAACGATATTCACTGTGGGCTTCGTAAGTGCCAGGTACTTTGCTATTTGTATCAGCTATCTACTGGTGTGTGACAAATTGCCACAAACTAAGTGGTTTAAAACGCACATTTGTTATCTCACACTTTCTTTAGGTCAAGAGTCCAGGTGCAGCTTAGCAGGGTCCTCTGCTTAGTGTCTCCTCAGGCTGAAATCTAGGTGTTCATCAAGCTGCAGTCTCACCTGGTGCTCAGTGGGCTCTTCCAAGCTCACAGGATTTTGGCAGAATCCATTTCTCTGTGGTTATATCACTGAGATTCCCCAGTATTTGACAGCTGTTAGCTGGAGACCACTCTCAGCTCCCAGAGGTCACCCTCAGGTCCTTGCCGCCTGTACTCTTACTCTCACATGAGAGCTAACTTCTTCAAGACACTGGACAAACATTTGTTGCTGCTGCTGATCTCTCTCGCTTGACTTAAAGACTCACCAGATTAGTCAGTCCACCTAGGGTAATGCCTCAGTTAATGAACTCAAAGTCTACTGATTAGGGACCTTAATTACACATACAAAATGGCTTCATCTTTCCCATAAAATATATCCTCATCATGAAAGTGAAATATCATTCTTGCTCATAAATCCTTTGTACATTCAAGAGAGGGAGTTATAAAGGGTGTATACCATGAGGGGAAGGAATGTTGGGGGCTGTCTTAGAAATCTGCCTACTAAAGCTATGTAGTGGAGAGATAACTGTGAATAAAACATGCATCGTCCTTTCCCCAAAAACACTGAACATTTGCTAGAAGAGCAGAAAATTATAAATAGATATTTTTAATTTGTAATAAGTGCTCTGAAAAACCCAGAGTCCTATAAAATATACTAATTCAGGGGTGATAGTCAGGTGGAATAACACTTATACAAAGCAATATGAAAGATAAAGAGAAGCCACCCCCATAGAAATCTGGAGAAAGAGCATTTCATGAAGACTGACCAGCATGTCCAAAAGCATGGAGATGAGACAGACTGTAGTTTTTGAAGAACAAAACAGGAGGCTAGGGTATGGGAGCAGGGTGAAGGAAAAAATGAGGCTTGAGAGGTAGGCAGGGGCCAGATTACCCAGTGACTCAGAAGCCATGGTAAGAAACGTTGGAGATGAAAGCTAAAGAGTAATTTCAATGAGGGGAGAAAGACAAAAAAAAAAATCACTATGTGTGGAAACTGGATCATACACATTCAGAGGAGGAAGCAGGGAGGCCAGATTGGAAACAACTGGACAAGAGAGCCCAGCAAAGAGATGATGATGGGCAGACTGGAGTGGTGGTGGAGATGAAAAGAAGGAAGAGGAGTTGTAATTTATTTTGGAGATAGGACAGGAGTTGCTGATGGATGGAGTATGGTGCCTAGCAGGGGCATTTCAATTTTAAAAGGTTAATCATCTCTTTAAGGTCACGTAGTTAATAAACCACAGAGGCAGGTTGCAGACACAAGCAGTCTAGCTCCAAATCTGCTGTTCTCTCTCTATCCCTCTAATCCTTTAGTGGAAGAACGATGTGAACCAGGCAGTGGACAACATTAATTGAGAATGCTGAAAATATACTATCAGTCAACCAGTACTTTTCTGTTAAAAATTACAAGTAGAGGTAGTGGGGAGTTGCCCAATAAACCTGGCTCAGTTCTATCTTTATTGCAAACTAGAGTAGGATGATGCTTGGAGACATGGTCTGCCAGAGTGAAATTGGAATGGGAAAATCACCTAAGTCAACCTGTGACACAACTTCAAGGAGAAGACAAGCTTTTCCTGGAGGTTTTCCAAAGGAACCCATCATGGGGTTTTGAGTACTAGCTGGTCATCGCCTTGTTGTAAGAACAACATTGCATAATGAGCAAGGGAAAAAGGCAAGCAGGGAATTATTGTACTAGATTTGGGGGGTAATTTATGATTTTGATGTTTTAATTTGGAAATCAGGTTTGACAGCTAAAATGACCCAGACAGCCAGTCAAATGATCATAAACACAAGTTCTCCCTCACCATCTGCCCTCCTGACCACCTTGTCCACCCTGTCCAGAGGAAGACAAAAGCATTTGCATAAGCACCAGGCTAAATGATTGGGCGTCTATTAATCTACATGCTAGAGATAATAGTTTTGTTTTTTAAATGGCCATAAGTTATATTAACACAGACAGGGCTAGTGAGAAATTAATGGTCTTAAAATGTTGGAGCTAAATCAACAAACTTAAATGAGTATTTGTGCCACAGTTTTGGGGGTTTTCTTTTCTTTGTTTGTTTGTTTCTGTTTTCTAAATTTCAGGATCACTAAAAAGCCTCTGATTTCCATGAAAAACAATGAGATATTTCTCTAAAGATCAGGTACCCAGGAGAAGGACTGGCCTTTTCTGAGCAATAGTTGGGAAGAGGCTATGCAGTATGAGTGTCATTGATAATGTGATTCGAAGTCCTCCAGTTTTTTGGAGGGGACCAAACAGCTAGTTCTAGGAAAATCCACTATCGCAGTTACAATTCATAATAATAATAATAATAATAATAATAATAACATGTAAGAGCTAAGAGCTATGGAAGATGAATCATGGGCTAGGCATTATGTTAATTGTTTTAGATGAATTATCTCATTTAATTTTTACAATAATCTTGTCTTGCAGATAATAGTATTATTTCATTTAAAGGCAATAGAGGCTTAGAGAGGTTAAGGAAATTTTCTAAGAATTAATGGATAGTGAATGGCAGAGCTAGAAATTCTAACCCAAATATATCTTACTCTGGATTTAGTGCTTTTAAACATAAAATATAAATTTGTATTTAAGATTACTGCCTTCGGTGCCAAACCTTAGAAACTGTCAAGTTAATCCAATTGTGTCTTCTCCCCACCAAATTGTGTCTTAGAGAGGCGAGGTGACTTGCCCAAGGTCACTTACTTACCCAAGTATTTCTTGAGCTAGAAGACCTTGAGTGATTTAATTGGTTAGGAGGGATTCTGAATATCACAGACATTCTGTAGGTCTTCTTGATAGGAAAATTAAAGACTATGGCAGAAGAAAAAGTCTTTTGGATACCTGAAAAAGATACAGTAAGACTGTGGCCCTGTTTGTTTGTAGGTGATTTTAGTCTTGAAGCACAGAAATTCTGGTTTACTTGAAGAAAGTGTCCTATTGAAATCTGAGGAAAAATAGGGTTAAATTAAGCAGTCATTGAAAATCAATAGGAAATTTTTTTTAAGTTGCTTAGTAACACTTAAGAGTTTACATTGTATCTTATTAAAAAATATAATTACAATAGTCCCTTTTTAGAATACGTGATCTGAGATGTTCATTTATAAATGATTCAGATTTGGAAATTCTACCATGTAAAATTTTTTTTCCATAAAACTTCTATGTATTGGCAAAAGTTATCATTTTCTTAATCTTCTTCACAATATTTCCTTTCAGATCAGCATTAGCAATTGGATTTTTTGGAAGAGGTATTACATTTTATCTTTGCAAATAAAATTTTTTCATACTTTACAGGAATTACTGGATCCTTATGACTAACAGACAATAGTATTTGGTGGTCAACTAAATCCACTTAGTAGTTACCCCTCACAGAGGCATATTGGCCTTACAGTTGTTCCTTCAAATCAATGGAGACTCCCCCTTTGTCTTCAGCTATGACTGAAAGTTTCCTGAAGCCTCCTCAGAAGCCAAACAAATGCCAACATCATGCTTCCTGTACAGTCTGCAGAACCATGAGCCAATTAAATGTCTTTTCTTTATAAATTACTAAGTCTCAGGTATTTCTTTATAGCAATGTGAGAATGGACTAATAGAGGGAATTTCCAGGTTAAAGGAAGGGATTTTCAGGATGCTTAAGACCTGTGCAGTAGGTCTTAACAATTTTAGATGATAGTTGGGGAAAGAAGGAGTCCTGCAGAATTGTCTTCAATAAAAAGAGTAAAATATCAAAGAGATATCTGCAGTCCCATGTTTATTGCAGCTCTGTTCACAATAGCCAAGATTTGGAAGCAACCAAAGTGTCCGTCAACAGATGAATGGGTAAAGAAAATGTGGTACCTATATATAGTGGAGTACTATTCAGCCACAAAAGTGAATGAGATTCAGTCATTTGCAACAACATGGATGGAACTGGAAGGTCATTACGTTAAATTAAAACATCCAGGCACAGAAAAAAATCAAACATTCTCACTTATTTGTGGGATCAAAAAATCAAAACAATTGAACCCATGGAAATAGTAGAAGGATGGTTACCAGAGGCTGGGAAGGGTAGTCGGGGTTGGGGGGAGGTGGGGATGGTTATTGGATACAAAAGATAGAAAGAATGAATAAGGCCTAGTAGTTAATAGCACAACAGGATGACTATAATCAATAATAATTTAATTGTACATTTTAAAATAACTGAAAGAGTATAATTGGATTGTTTGTAAAACAAAGGATGTGTTTGAGGGGATGGATACCCTATTCTCCATGATGTGACTATTATGAATTGCATGCCTGTATCAAAACATCTCACGTACCCCATAAATACATATACCTACTATATACTCCCCAAATTAAAAGTAATCAAATAAAGTAGCTCTAAATGTTTCTCATTTGGATCCTTGCCCCCTCTCTTTCCTCCTCCACTGGATATGACTAAATTGGTATAGCTCAGGAATTCTGAACCTGGTTGATACATTTTCCCCTACATTATAGATTGAGAAACCAAGGGCACAGGGAGCTAAAAATGTTATTATTTCAAGTATCCTGATCCATGGGCTCCCAGTGAACTGCCCACTCCAGAGATCTAAAGTTAAAACATGATATTAAAATAACTCTTCCCTGCTAAATGCAACAGGAATTAGAAACATCCCTTATTCATTTAAAGTATTATAGAAGATCAAGAGCTGGACTCTTGAGAATCAATGAGTGGATTTGGGATTATACTGGATTTAAATCTGAAGCTATAACTAACAGAGCTTTAGAAAAAATAAATCTAATCAACACCACGAATTTTGAGGAATAAAAGAGAAGAAAGCTAAAACATATTGGTCACCATTAATATATGCCAAGTCTTGTGCTCAGCACGTAAACTCAATGGAACCTTAGTATGTTTTTGTAAAAGTAATGGAAAGATTTGGGAGAACTTTTCCCCAAATGGTTGTATTTCTGTTATTTCATTGGTTTTCCCAGTTCCAGAGGTATTGATTCACCCTTTGCTAGGAATTTGGAACCATGATAGAAAAGAAGCAGTGGTGGGAGAGAAAGGATGTGGTGAAATGGAGAAGACAAGTCAGAGAGATGACCAGGGAGATCATAGTTTCCCTGGGAAGCTGTGGAACATGAGCCTTTTCTTTCCTCTATTGTTTTTATGAGCTCTCCTTTTCCTCTTCCTCCTTCTCCTTCCTCCCCCTCGTTTTTCTCCTCCCCCTCCTCTTCTTCCTCTTCCTGTTCCCCTCTTCCTCTTCTTCCTCTTCCTTTTTCTCCCCCTTCTCTCTCTTCCTCCTCCTTTTTCTTCTTTGTACAGCTGAGACAACTGGCACAGAGATGTTAAGTCACTGCCCAAGTTTGTGTATATTTTAAGTTCTGGAGCCTGGATTTGATTATATGTGATTAAAGGGCCTGCACTTTGCTTACTATAATAAATAATTATATAGTTCTTATAACTCTGAAAGTACTGGCCCCTCCATAGTTTCTTTCTTTTCTTTTCTTTTCTTTCTTTCTTTTCTTTTCTTTTTTTTTTTTTTTTGAGACAGGATTTCCTTCTGTTGCCTGGGCTGGAGTGCAGTGGTGCAATCACAGCTTAGCACAGCCTCAACCTCCTGGGCTCAAGCGATCCTCTCACCTCAGCCTCCTGAGTAGCTGGGACTACAGGTACATGCCACCATGCCTGACTAAGTTTTGAATTTTTTGTAGAGTCAGGGTCTCTCTATGTTGCCTAGGCTGATTTCACACTCCTGGGCTCAAGCAATCCTCCCGCCTCAGCCTCCCAAAGTGTTGGGATTATACTTGTGAGCCACTGTGCCTGGCCCATAATTTCTTTATTAGCTCTGTTTTTTTATGAAGCAGAACAATCATATTATCCCTGAACCGCCAACCTCTAAACCTTTACGTGAGAGAGAAATGAAACTCTTTAGTTTAAACCATTGATAGTTGGGGCTTCTGTTACTCATCATCCAAACTAAGTTAAGTCCTTTGTTCATAGAATTTTCCTTCTTTCAGAAGATCTTTATTAAGAGCTTCCTATATGCCTAGCACTGTGCTACTTGCTGCGTACTGAATGGTGAGAAATAATAAACACATTTAGTGGAACACCATTGAGAACTATAGAAGAAAGAGCCATTTGTTTTTCAAGGTAGTTAGAACATTAGTTCATTAACCAACAAATAAATGTGATTTTAATTAAATTATTTATTTATGTATTTTTTGAGATGGAGTCTTGCTCTGTCACCCAGGCTAGAGTGCAGTGGTGCGATCTTGGCTCACTGCAACCTCCGCCTCCTGAGCTCAAGTGATTCTATTGCCTCGGGCTCCCAAGTAGCTGGGACTACAGGCAAGTGCCACCACATCCGGCTAATTTTTTGTATTTTTAGTGGAGATAGGGTTTCATCATGTTGGCCAGGCTGGTCTCAAACTCCTGACCTCAGGTGATCTGCCCACCTTGGCTTCCCAAACGGCTGGGATTATAGGTGTGAGCCACCTTGATTTTTAAATGTGATTTTTAAAAATCAGATTAAAAAAATGAAAGCTGGGGCACTTTGGGAGTGAGATACAGGGTAGAGAAATGAGATTTGAATGTGGGGGAGCCCTAGATGTTTGTGAGACCAGTGAAGGCTGAAGGTATTAAGGCAAGGTGGAATAGGATAGTTGTTTTTTTTTAAAAAAAATTATTTCTTTTCAATTTTGCCTCAGTCTTTGGGTCCACGGAGGTGGGTACCCAATGCTGCTGTGACTGGAGCTGCACCTGGACACATGGCCCTCTCTCTTTGACCTTGTCTGACACACTTCGGAATGGAAGAGAAGGCTTGTTTCTTAGTGCCCCTCAAACAACCAGCCTATTATATGTTTCTGGGAGGGCCTGTGGATCTCATCTTTGACTGCTAACTAGATGAGATATTACAGGTTTAAAATAACTTTGTGTCACAAGGGTCACTTCAGATGTTTTCAGCCAAGAGCTGCCATTCATCCTAGAGGAACAAAACCCCACAAAGCTATTAGTAGCACAAGAATAAAGACAGATGGAGAGAGGGAAAGAATACAATACCCAGCATCTTCAGCCAAAAATATCCACTGTGAGGATATTGTTCAAATGGCTATAACTTCAGGAAGGGAAGGAAATGGAGTCAGCAGAAAGGTGAAATGGGGCAGGTGCAAACAAGACCCAGAGCTCCTCAAGCTCTTCGGGATGCTGGCGCTTATTTAGTCTGTCAGCCATTCTACAAATATTTGTTGAGCACCTATTATATGCCTATTGAGCACCTATTATGCACCAGGCACTGAGGATCCAATGATGGAAAAAACAAAAAACAAACAAATAAAAAAACAAAAAACATGATCCCTGCCCCTGTGAGTCTCACAAAGAAGCAGAATGTGAAAGGTTCCAGAGAGTCTTCAGAAGGAGAGCAGTTACAGGAAAAGGCAAAAAAAAAAAAAAAAAAAAAAAAAAGAGGCTATTTTTTGAATGCTTGCATTCCTCTTAGTTAATCTCCCACAAAACTGTGAAAGATATTATCATTGTCATCATCTTCACTTTCGAGAAGGAGGTCAGGGCTCAAAAAGTTTAGGTAATTGCCCAAAATTGCCTGCTAAGTAGCAAAAAACAGAAACAGAACTCTAACCTAGGTTAGTGTGACTCTGTTACTTAAATAATTGGTGGTCGGATAAATGTCACATATCCATTTTTTTGGTCTATTACAAGTAAGGGTCTATCCTGGGTTGACATTCCTCTGAAACACAGCACACGCATAAGCCACTCAAGTATTCTTGGGAATAAAAACTTATTTTTATATTAACTACAGTCAACTTGTATGAGGAGGGTAAATCTGCCACTATATATTAAAACTTGGAACTCAAAGTCATATTGAAATAGCATTAGAAATATTTGGGTTATGCCTTTGCTAACTTAATTAGGCTGCATTTTACGGCCATGGCTTTGATGTTGGCAAATGACTGTTAAGAATCTTTGCTACTCATCGTCCATAATTTGAATTTCTGAATTCTTTTCCTGACTGCAAAGTAATGGAACAGATTTTCATACTTCAGTCAAATCATACATATCAATAATAATAGATAAAACCAGAATATTACATTCTAGCTATTTCTAAGTGTTTTCCCTGTGTAATATTTATAATATACATGTCACCTCATTTAATCCTCCCAGCATCCCTCTGAAATCGTTCTTGTTAACATCATTCCCATCTTTACAGATGAAGAAGTTTTGGCTCAGTGAGGTTGAGTAACTTCCTCCAGACCACACAGCTGATAAATGACAGAGTCAAGATTTGAACCTAAGCAATACCCATACTGAGCTGCATTAGTCAGGGTTCTCTAAAGGGACAGAACTAATAGGCTATAAGCATATATGAAAGGGAGTTTATTAAGAAGAATTGAGTCACACCATCACAAGGTGAAGTCCAACGATAGGCCGTCTGCAAGTTGAGGACCAAGGAAGCCAGTAGTGGCTCAGTGTGAGTCCTAAGACGTCAAAAGTAGGAAAGCCAAAAGTGCAGCCTTCAGTCTGTGGCCAAAGGCTTGAGAGCCCCTGGCAAACCACTGGTCTAATAGTCCAAAAGCTGAAGAACTCCGAGTCTGATGTTCCAGGGCAGGAAGCATCCAGCATGGGATAAAGATGAAGGCCAGAATACTCGGCAAGTCAGCTTCTTCCACCTTCTTCTGCCGGCTTTTTCTAGCCGCACTTGCAGCCAAATGGATGGTGCCCACCCACATTGTGGGCGGGTTTTCCTGAGGGTGGGTCTTCTTCTCCTGGGTCAACTGACTCAAATGTGAATCTCTTCTGACAACCCCCAGATACACCCAGAAACAATACTTTGCATCCTTCAATCCAATCAAGTTGACATTTAATATTAACCATCACTTGAGCTTAGTAACTTTTCTGCCTTCCTCCCATGGAAAGGAGAATCTTAATCTGCCTTTGGTCTGATTAAGTTAACCAGGAATTAACAAGTATTTGCAGAAGCCTGTACTGTGTGGAAGTAAAGTAAAAGATCATTTCCTCTCTTGTCCTATCACTGTCATCTTCAGACTGGACTACCTCAGTGGGAATTGAGACCACAATCTGGGTGGAGGTGGGAGACCTTCAGTCCAGGGCATCCGAGAGGAATCCCTGTGGAGTGCTGGTTGACTAGAAATTTGCCATAAAAATCAGCAGGATAGTGGCTTCCTGAGGGAGACTCTGGCTCCGTCCTGTGCCGCTGAAATGTTGCGACGTACCTGGTGGGAATGGCTGACTGCTCCTCACTCAGGCTTGTAGGATCCATTGTTTTTTTTTGGATTATCTTTCCAAAGGCCAGAAATGATTTTCCCCATGTGTCATGAATAGGTCCAAGCCGATCTAAGACATTTTACTTCAATTTGAGCCTTCCCCAACATACTTCACTTGTTGATTCCAAGAAATGCCCTAGAACAAAGAAACTCTCGAGGAGGAATACGACTGCATGGCTGTGTTTGAGATATAAGGTCTGTTAGACATATGAGAAATAGGGTTTTGCAAGTCTTGCAAACAGATTTGCTCCAACTATGGCCTGGCTGCCCTTAAATATTTTCTGGGGGAAGATTAAGAAAATGAGTTTGGACTAAGTGAAGAGTGAGAGGAGCCACTGCTGGGAAGGTGAAGATTTTTTTTTGAAACTAGATGTCATCGAGGAAAAGAAAAGTCTGGCCCTTTTCAGTCATTGAGTAAAAAATTCAAGCTTTCTGCAGACAAAAAAAAGTAAAGGTATCTTTGTATTTTGCTGGGAAGATGTCTGAAAAAGGTACAAAGAGAACAAAAGAGTAAGAAAAGGGTGAAAAAGAAAAGCTGAGGAAAGGGTGAGGGAGGAAGAGAGAGACAGAGAAAAATTATAAATATGAATGAATACAAGAAAGTCAGCTCTTAACATATCAGAAGCAATTATTTTATTTTCCTTTTTGTATTAGTCTGTTCTCACACTGCTGTAAGGAAATACCCGAGGCTGGGTAATTTGAAAGGAAAGAGGTTTAATTGACTCAGTTTTGCATAGGTGGGGAGGCCTCAGGAAACTTAAAATCATGGCAGAAGGCAAAGGGGAAGCAAGCTTGGACCTTCTCGCATGGTGGCAGGAGAGAGAAGTGCAAGCCGGGAAATGCCAGATGCTTATAAAACCATCAGATCTCTTGAGAACTCACTCACTATCGCGAGAACAGCATGGAGGAACCCACCCCGCCCCATGATCCAATCACCGCCCATCAGGTTCCTCCCTCGACACACGGAGGTTATGGGGATTACAATTCAAGATGAGATTTGGGTGGGGACACAGCCAAACCATATCATGTTTTTCTGTCTCTCTTGCTACCTCCTAGGCTGCTTATGGCTATTCATGAAGGTGTCCCACCCACCCTTATTTTAAATGTTTTAATTGCCAAAGAAAAATTGTACATTTTATGACAAACAACATAATGTGATATACGTAGACATATGGCTAACTCAAATTAATTCACATATGCATTACCTCACATAGTTATTCTTACTTTGTGCTGAGAAAACCTCAAATCTACGCCCTTAGCAATTTTCAAGTACGTAATACACTGTAATTAACTGTGGTCACCATGCTGTACCATCCACACTTATTCCACCTGGGAACCTCCCAGTGTTCTTCATTGCTTCTACCTCTATACCCCTCACTTGAACCAATGCCTGCTGGTCCTGATGGTGTACAAATAGAATAAAATGCCTTGGGAGTCAGGAACTGTTGCTTCAAATCCCAAACCTGCTTTGCCTAGGTTGTGTGACCTTGGGCAAGCCATTTCCCTTTGCTGGGACTCAGTTTTCCCATCAATAAAATGAAGGGATGGGATTAATCTGAATCTACCATTCTTTCTTGCTGTAAGATTCTGTGGTACTCTTTGAATAGACATCTATTTGCCACAGGTCCCTTCCCTTGTTGAATGGAGTGAACGTGCAAGTTTTCCTAGCTTCTGTGAGTATTAGAATCACTTGAGATGCTTATTGAAAATACAAATTCCCAGGCACTATCCCAATCCGCTGCTTTGGAATCCCCAGGGCAGGGGCCTGGGAAGTGGGGAGTGATATCAAGTGCCCCAAGTGATTTTTATCTTCAGGGGAGTTTTGAAAACAAGACCTTAAGCTAATTGGATTTCATGGCTGGTATGGTTTGATGTGCCAAACACTTAACTTCTCCATGACTTAGTTTCCCTGTCTATAATACACAGAATATAATAGCACCTCTTTTGGTTCTTGTGAAGATTATATAAGTTTAGCACAATGGCTGGAACATGGTAAGCACTCAACACATATTCTTTCCAATGGACCCAAGGACAAATACACTATTATTTCTATTTTGCAAATCTGGAAATTAGATTCATGTGTGTCAAATTCACTGCCAAGGTGTATTTTCTAGGTAATTTGTCAGTGATGCAAGTGTGTTTGAACTCAAGTCTACACCGACCCCAATATTTTTGTTCCTCTGTCTATCCCATGTAGTTGCCTGCTACAGTTGAGCACAAAGGGAGCCAACCCTGGCTTAGTCAGATAACCGGTCGATTCGGAAATCTCTTTGGTCAAAGTGGTGGTTGAACTTAATTGGATGATCCATCTCTGTTGGCAGAATAGCCTTTGGGTAGCATACTCCTCAGGCTCTTGAATAGTGCAAGTTCTTCCTTCATTGTCATGGTTTCCCTCAAGGGAGTTGTGCAGCCTTTACTCTTCTCTTGAAGGATTTATAATTTACCATATTTCTTTCCTGGCCGGCCCAGCTCAGGCTGCATCAGGTTTGATGTGCACTTCTAGTTTGATCTCTTATTTATGAGAGGCAGTTTTCACAAACAGAGAAGCAGAGTTTTCCTTCCCAGATGCAAATGTTTGATTTGCTTCCTAAGCCTGAAACAGGGAGTGATAGTTTGGTTTCTCTGCATCTGTATCTGTGTCCAGGTGCATAATTTGCATATTGCATGGACATTTAACTCATTCTCATACTTTGTATCCATGCCAGCTGGTTTGTATACCTGTCAGGCTCAGCTGTGACAATTCACATTTATAGAGATTACTATGAGCTGAAAGTTTGTGGCCACCCCACCCCCTACCAACCAAATTTTTATGTTGAAGTTCTAACCTCCAATGTAATGGTATTTGGATATAGGGCCTTGGTAGAAGTAATTAAGGCTAAACGAGGTCCCAAGAGTGGAGCTCTGATATGATAGAATTAATGTCCTTATAAGAAGAAAAAGAGAGACGAGAGACCTCCCTGTTTCTCTTTCCATAATGTGAGCATGCAGTGAGAAGGTGGCAGTCTGCAAGCCAGGGAGAGAGCCCTCACTAGAACCCAACCCTACTGGCTCCCTGATTTCAGACTTTTATCCTTAAGAACTGTAAGAACCCAACTTCTGTTGTTTAAGCCTCTCGGTTTATGGTATTTTGTTATGGCAACCTGAGCTGACTAAGAAAGAGAGCTATTCCACTCTGTCCAGATAAGCCAAATCAGACGTACAGATCCACTTAGACCTTGCAAAGGTGGGTGTGCAGTTATTGACTTGAGAAAAGCAGAAGAAATAAAGCAGTAGATGATTTGAGGTGGCTACAACATATTTGGGTTTGGAGGGTTTGAAAAGATAACTTTGAAGGAAAGGAAAATCAGGGGAACTGGTGTCTCCCCACCTGCCCAGCTGTGCTTATTATATTTCAAGTCAGAGGCGCTCAATTTGTTTTAAAGTTAGTCCTCTTTAAAACTGTATGCTTTAAAATGGTTTAAATGGTGAATTTTATGTTCTGTGAATTTTACCTTAAAAAATTTTAAACTGTATTGACATATCACATCAAAGTAAGGATATGAATAAATAAAACATGATTTTTATAGAACACGGTATAGCAGTGATGATAAATGGTGAGATCAGTATGTATAAACATGAATAGATCTTCAAAGATAATGTCATGGAAAAATGGATGTTGCGGAAAGATACCATTAGGTAGATAAAATACACAAAACAATATATGCTTTGTTTATAGATATTACACAGGGATTTAGTGATATCCAGAATAAAAACAAAGCTTAGAAAATGCTCACCTGATAAAGATAACAGTTGTCTGGAAAGGGTTGATAGGATTGGGAAGAAGTTAAAAGGGAGATTTTTTTTAACACCATTGAGTGATTTTTAAAAAAGTTAAATACAATATGACTCAAATGTAATTGAACATTCACCTTTATTCATTGTAGATGGTGAGTATATAGGTGTTGTTTACATTATTTTCTATACTTTCCCATATATTTATTCTTGTCATCTAGAATAATGCTTGGCTATACATTGAAAATTTCTGGAAAAGTCACAAGAAATTGGTTACACTGCTTGTTATAGGAACAGAAATTGGTAGACTTGGGTGCATTTTTGGAAGTAAGAAGGATACTCATTTCAGCTATGTGAACTTGGGGAAGTTACTTAAAGTTTCCCACTTCATATGTTAAAAGGTAGTAATAATAGAATCTACCTATAGGGATGTAGTGAGAAGTGAATGAATTCATGCATGAAAAGTGCTCAGAACAGTCCCGGGAATATAATTTGTGCTTAATAATAATTATTAGCTATTATTTGTATTTCTAATATTGCATATAGTATACTCTCTTATACTGTTTGATTTTTTAATAATGTCTGCTTGACTTATATTTTTAGAAGGTTATTTAAAAGAACAATTAATAAAAACTCTTCCAACTTTTGGTTGTGTTTGAAAAATAAAAAAAAGACTGGCATTACAATTGCATTTATTGACCTTATAAAAGTTCTCAACTTGTACATATATTTGCAGATAGCTATATACAAAAATTTTATGAATATGTGTGTCTGATGTATATAGTACTTTCCAAAGAAATGTAAATTTTCTAGAATAAGTTGGCCATTCCATATCATGTGAAGAATGGAATACAGCTGGCCTGTGTTCCATGCTCTTGAACACAGGATTCTAGAGCTCTTAACTTTTTAGGTGAGGAATCAGAAAAGGGCTTAAGTAAGAGGTACATTTGACAGTAGCATGAAGTAGAGCAGAGGTCTTAAACTGGAAACTAGGGGGCTGAACTAGCCTACAGATGTGTGCTTTGTTTGACCTGCACCTTGTTTTAAATATTTTTTTGATCAATTAAAAAAATTCCTAAATGGCATTTCACTTTGGACAAGTTATTTCACTTCTCAGAGCTTCAGTTTCCTTGTCCGTAAAATTGGGGTTAAAATGCTTGCAAATTTATTATGAGCACTATATGACATCACAAATGAAAGCACACAGTGCAAAGCATGGCATATCCTAGGTGTGTAGGAAATGGTAGCTTCTATTAATGAATATAGTAAATGCAATGATGAATGTGTTTTCCACCATAGAGTGTGTCAGAGCCTTTCACTTGGCTACCTCACAGTGAATCACTTTTCAATTTGATCAGTTGTGAAATGTTGCTGATGGCTTAGCCAATCTACCTAACAGTCAAGTAACAGCCCAGTATATCTAGCCACTGGCTGCCATTATGGCTTGATGTTTACCAAATGTCCTTTGTAGAAGCTGCTCCTTCTCTGAGTGACAGTCCAATAGCTGTGATGAATCTCTTTGGAGAATCTTGGCTTGCCCACCACTCTCTGCATTGGCCCATACCTGGTCTCTAAGGGTTGACTATCTTTGGATTTCAGAAAGTATTTGCAAGACTGGCAAGAGGCTCATAGCTCAAATTCTTTGAGAGTAGGAAAGACAACCGTAAGTGGAACATCAGAAGGAATGCGTAGCTTGCTGAAGTCCTCGCTGTGGGAACTGTCATTGCTGTGCACCTGTATACTAATGATCTCTTCATATCTTGGACTCCTATACACCAACCTAAGTCTCTTGAGGTTAGAATCCACAGGTTGCTCACATTTGAATTTCTAATTCTAGCACAAGACGAGGCACAGAGACAGGGCTCAGTAAGGGTTATTTGGATGGATCTCTGAATAACTGTTATATTTAATTTTTAGTATATTTTTATAGAAAATTTCAAACATACACAAAATAGGGTGACTATATAATCACCTCGCTTCAACAATCATTAATATTTGCCAATCTTTGTTTATCTATTCTTGCTGAATTGTTTTTGTGGTTGAATAATAGTGATTTTCACGTCAAATAATTTTTTTTAATTGTTAACTGTAATTCTCCTGTGGGGGGAAAAACCCTGTTTGTTGACTCTAAAATATCATCGATTCACAAAAAGCAGAAGAGATGCTTAATTTCTATTCTTTTAATTATCAATTTAGAATAATGAGTTGGTGCCTTACCAACTGCCAAAGGGTCCAGTTGCTTTTTAGGTTTGTTATAATTAAGAACTCATGAATTTTATGTAGTTGTTGTGCTCAATCCTTTGTGATCATTTTTTTAATGCTCAGATTGTCTTATTTTTGGCCAATGGAAGTCCCTTCAGGCTAACCTTTGTGTCATTTTGATGCAAACATTTATTTTGATAGCTTCTTTGCTTTCAGGCTCACATGCACACAAACAAACAGAGAGACAGAGACAGAGAGAGAGAATGTCTCAAGCTCTTATTTTTTATTTCGTATCTTAGTTCTACAGTCAACCATTTCCTCAGGTGGCCCTACTTTCTTCTTATGGACAATGGTATGTAGAGACCACAGTCTGGGCCTAGGGTGCTAACTGCTAATGGACTGAAAATGCCTTTTTAGTATTCAGCACTAAGAAATGTGTATTTTTTTTGGAAGAAAAAATAAATCGAGTTCATACTGATATTCTCAATTTAAATAAAAATTATTATTGTAACTTACCTGTTGTGATTTTTACATTTGCATCTATTTTCTCATGCTGCTAATCTAGACACAAAATAACATTCACATACATATTTCATACATTTTATATTTATGCATGTGTATGCATAATTCAAAATAAAAAATGACAATAGTATTATTAATGCTAAGACTACTGGAAACAGTTTAAGTTCTTTTTGTTTTTAAGATTATGCCACTTGGAATACAAGTCAGAATATTTTGTGTGAAATTCACTTAAAATAACTCCCTGTGTGATTATGCCAACAACTTCGCAAGGTTCCTTTGTTTGAGTTTGCATTCTGCAATCAACTCTATGACACCAACTTGATATCCTACAGTTCAATTCAATACAATTCTAACTACCCAAAGTTAGCATCAGATCCCACAAGTTAAAGGTTAGGGTCTGCAACGAGACTACACTTAGTTCAGATACCAACCACACATGGTGTCTCCAGACTACCTGACCTTCTGCTCAGCTGACCACACTTTTAGGGCTTCCCACAACCCACTCACATTCGATCACTTGCTAGAATGGCTCCCAGAATTCAGGAAAGTGACATAGTTATGATTATCATTTTAATATAAAGGACCCAAATAAACAGTCAGATGAAGAGATATATAGGGTGGCAAGATTTGGAAGAGTCCTGAGTGCTGAAACTTCTGTCTCTGTGAAGTCAGAGTGTGTCTACTTCCTGATATAGCAATATGTTCACCAATCAGGGAGCCCCTTTGAGCCACAGTGTTCAGAGTTTTTATTGAGATCTCTTTACATAGGCATGATTGACTACATCACTGACCACCTGATTGAATTAGAGCTGCAGGCTCCTTCCTCTCCTCAGAGGTCTGGTGGCTAAAAGTTCCAGACCTCTAATCACATGGTTGGTTTTTCTGGTAACCAGCTCCCATCCTGAAGCTTTCTAGAGGCCCTCCATAAATTGCTTTATTATCATAACGTATTAGTCTGTTCTCACGCTGCTAATAAAGACATACCTGAGACTGGGTAATTTATGGAACTGACTCACAGTTCCACATGGCTGGGGAGGCCTCACAGTCATGGGGGAAGGCAAAGAAGGAGCAAAGTCATGTTTTACATGGTGGCAGGCAAGAGAGCAAGTGCAGGGAAACTCCCCTTTATAAAACCATCAGCTCTCATGAGACTTATTCACTATCATGAGAACAGCATGGGAAAGGCCCGCCCCCATGGTTCAATTACCTCCCACTTCATCCCTCTGATGATACATGGGAATTATGGGAGCTACAATTTGAGATTTGGGTGGGGACACAGCCAAAGCATATCACATAACCATGACATTTCTGTCATCTAAGAAAATGCAAGGATTTTTGAAACTCTATGCCAGTAATCAGGAACAAAGACCTGATATGTGTGTGTGTATATATATATGTACACACACACACACACATATATGTATATATGCATATATATAATATCACGTGGTTTATTCTCAATGTAATGCTATTTTTAATAGTGAATATTGCTATTATGACAGTGTCCTAATATAGGTATAAAGAATAGTATTTTGCACGTCAAAAGTGCTCTACTACCTATTTGTGTTTTGATTGTAGTCTCTGAGACTTATGATAAGCATGTTGCTTCATATTCCTGGTGCAGGAGTTTCATACATGTATACTTTTTCTTTCACTTTGCTTCTTTTCAAGATTAGGATGACTCCATTTCTCCTCATTTACAATAAATCAGTGTTTCTGCAGCTGGACTTGATAAATGAATAATGGATCAAAGGGAAAAATTTAGGAAAACTCTGAGGATATAAAAGTGTGAGATGTTAGGAAACAGTATAATAAAAACTATTTCTTTCATTTATTAGTAATTTTAATATGTGATTTCCCAGGAAAACCTCACATCAGCTTCACATGTGCTGTTTTGTTTCCATCAGTGATTCTCAAGGCTAGAGGCATATTTCAATTACCTGGCGATTTTTCAAACAATTACCAAAGCCTGGGCTCTACTCCTTCCTCCATCTGCCTAGATTCAAATTTAATTGTTTCTAATTCAGTTGAGCTGGGCTAGACTTTGGGTATTGCTATTATTAAAAATATGCTGAGGTATTAGTATGAACTCATGTTTAACTTACTATAGGTGCATATGGTTACATATAGAAGTATTTATAGATGAGCTGTGCATTTCCTCAGTTAAAATACATAATACATACATGTATTTCCTTCTCTGTCAATTGAGTGGGCCTAGGAGCAATGACACCCCAGTGGCAACAAGCACTCCTAGAGCCCATATCCAGTTTCTAATATTATTGTCAAGTAAATACCATTCTCCAACAAAAGGAACCAGCGTTCCTGGGAGAGATGACTCATTCTAAGACTGGGGCAAAAAATATACAAGATAAACTTGGAGCATCTTGTAGTGCCAAGAAGTAAGGAAGTGCTCAAAAACATAACAACAAAATGAAAAACAAAACATCCACAATGAGAAGGGTATGTCGAAGGCATACAGGAGTCCAGTGAAAGAGCTCCCAATGGGCAAAGCTGGAACAATTTGAGTATTAAGAGAATAAAGTAGGCCATGCACGGTGGGTCATGCCTGTAATCCCAGCACTTTGGGAGGCTAAACTGGGAGGATAGTTTGAGTCCAGGAGTTCGAAACCAGCCAGGGCAACATAGTAAGACCTTGTCTCTACAAAAGATACAAAATTAGCCGGGTGTGGTGGTGTGTGTCTGTAGTCCCAGCTACTCGGGAAGCTAAGGTGGGAGGATTGCTTGAGCCTGGGAGGTTAAGCAGGTGCGGTGAACTGAGATCGCACCACTACACTCCAGCCTGGGAGACAAAGCAAAACCTTGTCTCAGAAAAAAAAAAAAAAAAAAAAAAAGAATAAAGTAGATTTGGATTCTAGCCCAAAGCCTAAAACAAATATCCATGAGTCTATGCCAATTTAAGTAAACCATTTAATAAGCAAGTAAATGGGGGAGAACAAACAAATCTCCCCTGCAGAAGAATTCCAAATAATGTATGTGGATACTGCCTCTTCAAGGAGAGGGAACATTCATCCTCACTCCTTAAGTGTAGGCTACAGGTAACTCCTTCCAAAGAAAGAGTACAGCATGTAAAGGGAGAGAAACAGTAAATTTACAGTGGAGAAACCTGGAAAACACCACTCAGCCTGTCATTAAGGTGAACACCAACAGTGATGAGTCGTGTTGATAGCATGGAATCTTGATATGATTGCCGTTTACCACAATGTTCTTCCTCCTGTAAACCCATAATCCAAGTGATATGGTTTCGCTGTGGCCCCACCCAAATATCATCTTGAATTATAGATCCCATAATTCCCGTAAGTTGTGGGAGGGACCCAGTGGGAGATAAATGAATCTTGGTGGTGGTTTTCCCCATACTGTTCTCATGATAGAGAATAAGTCTCATGAGATCTGGTGGTTTTATAAAGGGGAGTTCCCCTACACATTCTCTCTTTGCCTGTTGCCATCCATGTAGTGTGGTCAGTACCATGTGTTATCAGTGAGGAACAGAGCTCCTGGCATGCAGTTATCATATCTCCAATGTCTGGCATGATTCTGAAAGCTACCATAGCAGGTCCTCAGAAAAAGTAGGTAAGACTGAATTAAGTTATTGATATAGTTTGACTGTGTCCCTACCCAAATCTCATCTTGAATTGTAGCTCCCATAACTCCCACATGTTGTGAGAGGGAGCCGGTGGGAGAAATTGAATCATGGTGGCAATTTCTCCCATGCTGTTCTTGTGGTAGCGAATAAGTCTCACGAGATCTGATGGTTTTATAAGGGGTTTCCCTTTGCACCTGGCTCTCATTCTGTCTCTTGCCTGCCACCATGAAAGACATGACTTTGCTCCTCCTTGCCTTCTACCATGATTGTGAGGCCTCCCCAGCCATGTGGAACTGTGAGTTCATTAAACCTCTGTTCTTTATAAATTACCCAGTATTGGGTATGTCTGTATTAGCAGCATGAAAACAGACTAATACACTAAGCCTAATCAAGAGAAAAACGTGAGACATATCCCAATGGAGGGACATTCTGCAAAAAACTTGAGGAGTTCTTCTCCAGCTCTTAAGGTGACCACAACCAAGTCAACTCTGAGAAACTCCCACAGCCAAGAGGAGCCTAAGGATGGAGACAGGATGAGTAAATATAATGTGGTCTCCCAGATGGGATCCTGAAACAGAAAAGGAATATTACTAAAGAGTAGGGGAATCTGAATAAACTGTGGACCATAGTTTATAATAATGTGCTGATATTGGTTCATTAATTATGACTGATGCACCATATCAATTTAAGATGTTAATAGAAAGACCGGGGTGTGCGGTATTCAGGGACTCTGTCCTATCTGCACAATTTTTCTGTAAATCCAAAATTATTTTAAAATGGGAAACTTATTTTAAAAAAATCTACCCAGCTGTTTTCATGCCTCTTCTTCTTTGCAATATCCCAGAATAAAGGAGAAGAAGAAAATGATTCATTCTACCACAGCTGCAGTACCCTTTCAGTATGCTTCACAAGTGTAAATTGGATTATATAACTGTTAAAGCTAAGGTGTGACTTTCTAATAGGCTTAACATTTTCAGGTGGTATTTACATTTTAAAAGAGGCTCTTATTTACTCAAATCTCCAAATATAATACCCAGGAGATATTTCTGAGCAGAGCTTTTTTTGATGTTTTGTATCTGTGACTTTCGTAAGCAAGCCACAAAAATAAGAGCAACAGAAAAATTGATTCACAGACTTCCCAACAGCCTTCTGAAGTCTGAGTAGACAAAGTTAATGGCTTTTGACCTAAATATTTGATTAAAAATTTAAAAGACCAAACAAGTAGAGACAAAGCATGGCGTAATGAAAATACCTTGGCCATGGATGTCAGACAGATCTGTGCTCTAATTATGATGCCAGCACTTTTAATTTGCAGACCTCGGCCATGGTACTTAACTTCTCTTGTCCCTAATTTCCTTACTTTAAATAAGAATAATCGAAGATGCACTGTGGTGGCTGAGTGATATAATACATATAGAATACCACATATAGTTCCTAGCACACTGGAGAGTTTTTGAAAAGAAGGTTATTAATAAGGTGTCATCATCACCATCATCTCCAAGGGATCCTCTGTTTTCAAACTGTGTAAGCTGTGACAACTTACTCAATATCCCCCACCTCATTTTGCTTATGTAAAATGGAAATAAAAATTCATATTCCATACTTTTACACTGCTGGTGGGAAAGCTAATTAGTTCAGCCATTGTGGAAGAAAATTTGGTGATTTCTGAAAGAACATAAAACAGAATTACCATTTGACCCAGCAATCCCATTACTGGGTATAAACTCAAAGATATATAAATGTTTCTACCATAAAGACACATGCATGCATATGTTTATTGCAGCACTATTCACAATAGCAAAGACATGGAATCACCCTAAATGCCCATCAGTGGTAGACTGGATAAATAAAATGTGGTACTTGTACACCATGGAATACTACGCAGCTATAGAAAAGAACAAAATCATGTCCTTTGCAGCAACATGGATAGAGCTGGAGGCCATTATTCTAAGCAAACAAACACAGGAGCAGAAAACCAAATACCACATGTTCTCACTTATAAGTGGGAACAAAACATTGACTACATATGGACACAAAGAAGGGAACAACAGACACCAGGACCTAGTTGAGGGAAGAGGTTGGGAGGAGGGTGAGGATTGGAAAACTACCTGTCAGGTACTATGCTTATTACTTGGATGATGAAATAATCTGTGCACCAAAACCCTGTGGCCTGCAATTTACCTATATAACAACCTTGCACAGGTACCCTTGAATTTAAAATAAAAGTTAAGGCCGGGTGCGGTGGCTCATGCCTGTAATCCCAGCACTTTGGGAGGCCAAGTCAGGTGGATCACCAGAGGTCAGGAGTTCAAGACCAGCCGGGCCAACATGGTGAAACCCCGTCTCTACTAAAAATACAAAAAATTAGACAGGCATGGTGGCAGATGCCTGTAATCCCAGCTACTCAGGAGGCTGAGGCAGGAGAATCGCTTGAACCCAGGAGGCTGAGGTTGTAGTGAGCCGAGATCGCCCCATTGCAGTCCAGCCTGGGCAACAGGAGTGAAACTCCGTCTCAAAAAAATAAAATAAAAGTTAATGAATTCATGTCTTTTGCAGGGACATAGATGAAGCTGGAAACCATCATCCTGAGCAACCTAACACAGGAACAGAAAACCAAACACCACATGTTCTCACTCATAAGTAGGAGCTGAACAATGAGAACGCATGGACACAGGGAGGGGAACATCACACACTGGGGCCTGTTGGGGGGTGAGGGGAAAGGGGAGGGAGAGTATTAGGACAAATACCTAATGCATGCGGAGCTTAAAACCTAGATGATGGGTTGATGGGTGCAGCAAAGCACTATGGCACATGTATACCTGTGTAACAAACCTGCACGTTCAGCAAATGTATCCCAGAACTTAAATTTTTAAAGAAAGTTAAAAAATACATAAATAAATTTAAAATGTTTGGGAAAAAATGTATGTTCCATATACAGTTGTTATGAAAACTAATGGAGCAATGTTTTTACTATGTGTTTTCTCTTGTGTGAACACATCTGTTTGTATCTACCTATCTCTATCCATGTACCACGAATAACTATTTAGCTATGTGCCTAATTTTCCTATCTATCTATCTATCTATCTATCTATCTATCTATCTATCTATCATCTGTCTTTATCATTTAAACAAGCAGAGTCCAATTACCCTTGAACTTGTTTAACAACATAGAGCTAGAAAATTTTCTGTACAGAAACTTGTAATTGTTTTAAACAGTGAGAAGGAATGTGTTTTGAAAAAGCTCAAAGGCCTTCTTTGATATTCATGTGTTCCAGATAAAACTCTCAAATAATGCATATAAATGAGGGAAGCTTTAATCTGCAATAATTAAAGGGAAAACCATTAGCTTTAAATGATACTGAAATTGTGGGCTTATTGCATTCTCAACATCTTGAATTTAGAGTAGAAAATAAAGCCAAGTCCAGGGAAGCTGTCTCTACTTCATGGCTGCCTCTAAATAATAATTTATGAATTGAAAAATTAGTGTTTTCTTACTGGTGTCACTGAGGCCAGCTGAGAAATCATTGATAATTCTGGATGCTTTGAAGCCCAGAGTCAGGAATACGGCTTTTATTTCTCAATATAGCTGCCCATATTGCAGGATCCTTGCAAGTAGTTTGGCAATAAATATTCAAAACTTTATGATCACACTGAGATAAGCCATGCAGCAGTTAAATATCCTTTGCTCTTCTGGTCATCCCACTTTCCACTGGCACCTGCCTAAGACCCAGAGACCCATTTTCTTCTCATATTCCAGCCGGTAAACAGACAGACACAACGGGTTATGTTGTCTGGTGGAGTCTGACTCTGAGATCTTTTGGATTCATCAGGAATCTAGCATGGAAAATGAAGGGAAGGGAAGGACCCGGGGAAGTGGCCCAGGATTGAACGCTGAACAATTCCACCTTTTGGAGTCAAGTAGAAGAGGAAGAGCAGCAGATAGATGCAAAGGCAGGGTCGGGGAGGTTGGGACTCAGTTTCCTCGTGTGCAAAATGAGGAAGATAATAATAGGACCTACTCAATACTGTTGTGATAATGATTAAATGGATTAATCCCTATTAGCACTTAAAGAAATGCTGGACTCAGAGTAAATGTCACTAGCCGTTAGCTGTTATTACATGCCTATGTTCTTCAATAAAAATAAGTGCAAACTCTTTAGACTCTAGTAACTTTAAAAAACAATGAAATTTCAGCCTCATTGCAGCTATCAAGGAATTCTGATTTCCTTTCCAGGAACTGTTCCTGGGCAGTTTGGAAATCTCTCTTGCTCATTTCACTGAACACTTAATGATCCCAGGTGACCGCATGAGTTCCTTAGTTCTTCTTGCTGAGCTGTACTACAACTTTTAAAATACATATGCAAAATAGTCATTAAGTCCTGATTATGTAGATATGCAATTGTTTTTCCAGATATATTCTGTTTCCCTCTTTCTTGGCTTCTGGTTGTCTCTGGCCTCTGTGTATCTTTGTCTTTATTTCTGACTCCTGTCTATTTCTGCCTTTATTTTTATTTTATTTTATTTTATTTTTTGAGACGGAGTCTCGCTGTTTCGCCCAGGCCAGACTGCAGTGGCGCGATCTTGGCTCACTGCAAGCTCCGCCTCCCGGGTTCACGCCATTCTCCCGCTTCAGCCTCCCGAGTAGCTGGGACTACAGGCGCCCGCCATCGCGCCCGGCTAATTTTTTGTATTTTTAGTAGAGACGGGGTTTCACCGTGTTAGCCAGGATGGTCTCGATCTCCTGACCTAGTGATCCGCACGCCTCGGCCTCCCAATTCTGTGCTTCTTTGTCTGCCTCTTTTCTGTCTTTGTCTTTCTCTCTCTCTCTCTCATGTACATAAAAACAATACACATGGGGGGGGTGTATACGTAAGTATTTTTTTAGACATGACTTGGCTTCTTGTTATACCAACACTCCTCCCTCTATGTTATGAGGAACTGGGATTTGAACACACACACACACACACACACACACACACCCCCACACCCATTGACCTGTTCACATGAGCCTCCCTTGAATTGGGTCTAGTGGAAGATGCAGGCCCCCCGAATGATTCCTTGCCGGTAAGTAAGCACTGTAAAAATGCCAGCGTTTATTTGTAAAAGTGTTCCATTTGCGAGGATTTTGCCCCCTTGAAAACCTACTTAAAATTACCCATTTGTGTTTCACCCTTGGTCTCCTTCTGCAGCTTAGCCCTACCCAGGGTTAGTCACCTTTCCTTTCTGGTTATCAATTATCTTTGGTGGTTTCATTCCCATCCACAACTTTAGTTGCTACCTAGCATTTTAAATCAGGGTGTTCGGCTTCTGAGATTTTCGAGAGAATAGCACGTCTGATAATAAGCATTGGTTGACAGGCCCCATGTTCTGTCTACATTGTTTAATGGTGGGAAGAATGAAATATAAACAGCAAGCTAAATCATAGTATCTTCTTTCAGGTAATTCTTCTATTAATTCCACAGAGAGGGGAAAGCCTGTGGTCTTCATCTGAGGAAAGGACATCTGATGCCAGTGTTTTTTATCAAATTTGTCCAGAGTAGATTGGAAGCTGATTTTCAAGATATCAAACCAATATACAAGAAACTGTCATGGTTGGGTTTGTTTTTGTGGGTTAAAAAAAAAATAGCCCAACAACTCTTTGACCTATACAATCTGTCTTTGAAAAATGATTTCCACATGTGTGACATATTTGGACTGCCTTGTAAAAACACAATTTTTATTTGACAGTTTTAATATTTCGAACACTCCATGTTGACGTTTTTATCAGATGCATTGTTTTTGTTGGCAGTGGGAGTTTGCAAACTGATGAAGAAAATCAGGAAGGAAATTAGCTTGAAGCTGCTGAATATTTGCGACCAGAAGGTAAACGAAGGAGGTACCAAGTCTAGAAATAATTACCATCACTGCCACAATCCTCCATTAGTGCTGGCAAAAGACCCAGGGTCTGACAGTTAAATTAAAGCTTGCAACCCAGTGAAAAATTAGCAGAAGAAAGCTTGAATTCTGGCAACATCACATCGCATGCCATTTACTGTAGAACCTGACAACTTTGCTCCATTCATAAGATTCACTGGGAGATAAGACCGCTTAAAAAATGTAGAAAACAAATTCATCTATGGCAGGCAGTGTTTACAAAGCAATGGCTCAACCTGTTTGCCATTAAACTAGAAGCTTGCTCAATGGAATTTTTCTTTTATTATGCAGCATTGAATGATGACTGGACTTGAATGTAAAGCCCAGCTGCAACACGTATTAGCTGTGTGTCCTTGGACTAGTGACTTAACCTTTCTGAGACTTAGTTTCCTTACCTTCAAAATATATATAACAATATCACCTACCTAAATCAGGTTATTGAAGAGAAAATAAAATAATGCATTTAATGTGCGTTAACACGATGCCCAGCACATCACAGTGATAACTGTTGAAGTTGTTCTTATTGTTGTTCAAGCGATGGTGGAAGAAGAGATTAATTGCCATAGAGAGATTTGGGAGCCTTCTTAGAAAACGTGGAATCTGAGCTTTGTCTTGAACTAAGCGTGACATGTGCATTTGGGTTGGGAGAAGAATGGCAACCTAGGAAGAGGAGAATGTTTGAGCAGATCTGAGGTGGGAGAGTTTATGGCTTATTCAGTGAGATGGAGAAGGGCAGAAAACAGGGAATGTGGCCAGGCATGGTGGCTCACACTTTGGGAGGCCAAGACAGGTGGATTACCTGAGGTCAGGAGCTTGAGACCAGCCTGGCCAACATGGTGAAGCCCCATCTCTACTAAAAATATAAAAATTAGCCGGGCGTGGTGGCCAGTGGCTGTAATCCCAGCTACTTGGGAGGCTGAGGCAGGCGAATCGCTTGAACCCGGGAGGCACAGGTTGCAGTGAGCAGAGATAGCACCACTGCACTCCAGCCTGGGCAACAGGGTGAGACTCCATCAAAAAACAAAAACAAACAAACAAACAAAAACAGGGAATGGCTTTGAGTTAGTATAGTTTCAGGACCACTTTTCTCTGTGACTCTTCTGGCATAGGGGGTTGCTTTCCTGAGTAGTCAGGTGACATGCTTAAAACTAGGTTCTCGAGCCAGGCACAATGGCTCACACCTGTAATTGCAGCTACTCAGGAGGCTGAGGCAGGAGCATCACTTTAGCCCAGGAGTTCTAGGCTGCAGTAAGCTATGATCATGCCACTGCCCTCTGGCCTGGGTGACTGAGACTCCCTCTCAAAAGAAAAAATAAATAAATAAATAAAAATAAAATAAGCAAGAGTACTAGTACTAGCATGTTTATTGCAATATTATTGAGAATGGCTAAGAAAAGCAACAAGCAAACCCTATGTTTTTCCCCAATCAAGATAGTTGAATGGAGACATTTTCTCATTCTGTGGAATATTTTACCGCTTTTATAGTAATTATTAATAGTTACAACCTATAATCTGAGCAAGTTGCATTATATTTAACCTGGGCAAGTTGTATACTGTAATGAGACCAGTATAGTCCATTTTTTAAAAAAAGTAGGGAAAAAACCCTTTATTTATATGACCATATGTGTTTTCATATAGTTGTATAAACATAGAGAAAGATCACACATAACAGCCTTGTTTCTTTGGTGAATGAGTGTCAGGGATTGAGCAAGGAGGGAGAAACTTGCCTTTTTCTTTGTAAACCTCTGTTTTTGACTTGTTGCCACAAGCAGGCATTTTGTAGCTTGGAATAAAAATCCAATAAAGTATATAAAAAAGGTACTTTCCTGCTGAAGAAGGATACAGTAAAAGAAGGGGAGAGTGAAATTGAAGGAAAATTGTTGGAGCCTTAAGCATAGAAGAGGAGAATGACAGAAGCTTTTGTTCATTTATGTGCTGTACTGGCTTAAATTCCGCTAAGGGGAAATTTTTCCTCCTTCTTGTGCAGTGAACAGGGGTATTACAAAGTCAATTTATGTGTCTTAGCTTGGCATGGAAACTCCCTTGCATGATGAGGTGGTCCCTGCCCACGGGTCCAGCCTCATCAACCACCTTCTCCTTATGTATTGGTATTGTTGAGCTGCTTGCCTGGCAACCCTCTCACTGCCCTCCCCACAGGCATGCACACACAGGCACACACACACAAGCATGCACACACTGCCATGCACATACAGTCATGCACACACAGGTATGCACACACAGCCATGCACACACAGCCATGCACACAGAGTCATGCACACAGGCATGCACACACAGGCATGCACACACAGGCATGCACACATAGCCGTGCACACACAGGTATTCACGCACAGCCATGCACACAGAGGCATGCACACATAGGCACATGCATAGGCATGCACACACAGCCATGCACACACAGGCACGCACACAGGCATGCCCACACATGCACATTCATGTGTGTGCTTCATGCCATTCCTCACCTCTCTGTTCTTCCTTTATTCCACAACACTCTTCCCACTCCTTATTGTCTGATTAATTTTCATTCTCTAACATTCAACTTGGGAAATACTCCCTCACCCAAGATTGGGATAAGCACCCTTATATATGCTTCCTTAAAATCCTGGGCAGTCTAGCCCAGCTGTTCCGTGTGCCCTTGAAATAATTTGTACAGGTACTGTCTGCCCCTCAAGATGAATTTCGTCTCCATCTCTTGCTGGAATCATTTTAATTGGGTTTATGTCCCTTACAAACAAGAATTGTCATATAATTCCTCCCAAAATGCTGGAATTTCGGTGAATTTTATTTAGCTTTTGTTTCAGAGGAGGAAACAGAGGCTCAGAACAATTGAGTGAACTGCTCAAGGTCACATGGTGAGGGATGGATAGAATCAAACCTCAAACCCCTGTCTTTAACCTCCTACCTTGAGACTTCTCTGTCCATATTGTAAATTGCAGAAATAGACACAATCCCGATGACATTAACTGCCGACTCTGCTACTAGTATCTAGGTGTGCTTCGTGTTGGAGTACAGGTTGCCTCAAAAACTGTCAGTTGCTGTATATCCTGATAACTGGATCTCAGTCAGACTATAATATTCTAATGACCATATGTATGAGTGACGACGTTTTCAACTGCAATTAACAAGAAAATCTAACGTCAACATATATAGTTATCCCTCGGTATACAGAAGGGACCTTTCAATTGACAAACTTGTCAATACTCCTATCCACCTGGGGCCCAAAAGGCTTTGAAAAAGGAGCCTGATCTGACCTTCTCCCGTGATTGATATTTCTGTAAGATAAAGTCAAAAAATAACACAGTAGAAACCCAAGAGAGGGCTTCCTTAGGGCCCATTTCCCTCTATCAGCCACGCCTCCAACTGCCTGGAGTCCCAACCAACTCGCTCTGACTTATACATTGCTTCTAGAGATACAAGATCCCAATCAAAATAATTTTTAACAAGAATCATATTAAATTATTGAGTATTATTATGTATGAGGTATTGTGCAAGGCGATGTATCCATGATCTCATTTAAATTCTCAAAACTATCATGTGAGGTAGGTTTTGTTAATAATTTTTGGTATATACATGAAGAAGTTGAGGCTCAGAGAGGTGAAGTAACTTGCCCATAGTCGCACAGACCGTAAGTGGTATAGTCAGACCTGGAAGCTTCTTAGTAAGGATCTGGAGCCATCGAGCCACACTCCCATGAGAGATCCTATAGGTTGGAGGAAGGACTTTACCTCAGAAGCAATGGGAAGCCACCGAAGGATTTTGAGCAGAGAATACCATGATCATTCTGAAGTGACATTTGAGTAAGATGAGAAGGCTCTAAACTATACAGTGAGTAGGCTTGTCCAGGCTACTACAGGAGTTTCTCTGAGAGCCACCTTGAATGCACCCTTGGTTCAACCAAAGAAGCATCCCTTTAATCTGCTTCATACCTTGGATTTCATGCAGTATTTCATTTGAATGAATGAAACATTTCATCATTTTTAGAAGAAAAAATTAGGAAACCATTAATCTAAATCAGGGTTGAAAAACTACAGTCTGTGAGCCAATTTCAGGATGCTGCCTGTTTTTGTAAATATGGTTTTGTTGAGACACAGCCTTGATCATTCATGTATATGTTATCCATCGTTCCTTTTGCTGTAAGTAGCAAACCCTGAAATATTTACTCTCTTGCTCTCTCCAGAAAAAGTTTGTAGACCACTGATCTAGATTAGGGTTTCTCATTCCCAGCATTATTGGTATTTTGGGGTGGATAATTCTTGGTTGTCCGAGTCTGATCCGTGTGTTGTCGTATTAGTCTGTTCTCACACTGCTGTAAAGACATACCTGAGACTGGATAATTTATAAACAAAGGAGGTTTCACTCACAATTCTGTAGGCTTAACAGGAAGCATGACTAGGAGGCCTCAGGAAACTTACAATTGTGGCAGAAGGGGAAGGGGAAGAAAGGCACATCTTCACAAGGCAGCAGGAGAGAGAGAAAGAAAGAAGGGAAAAGCACCAATTACCAAACAACCAGATCTCGTGAGAACTCACTCACTGTCACAAGAACAGCATGGGGGAAACCGTCCCCATGATCCAGTCACCTCCCACCAAGTTCCTCCCTTGACATATGAGGATTACAATTAGAATTGAGATTTGGGTGGGGACACAGCCAAACCATATCAGATGTTTAGCAGCAAGCAGCATCCCTGGCCTCTACCCACTAGATGCCAGTAGCACCTCCCACAGCTGTGACAGCTGACACCCCCAGTTGAGAACCATTGGTCTAGACATTTGTGTTCTTTCCACATCTGGCATTCTAGACATTTATGGCTTTTTGTACTCATTTTAGTGCATGTGGTAGTGTTTACTCATTAGTTTTCATTGTGCACCTACTGTGTGCCATTATGGCATTATCATTTTCTCTGAACAGATCTTGTTTGCTCTTCAAGCAACTCCAAATATGTCATCTCAGTAATGGGTTTTTAAAACAACCCCCTCTCTTGCTGGGTGCAGTAGCTCACACCTGTAATCCCAGCACTTTGGGAGGTTGAGGCAGGTGGATCACCTGAGGTCAGGAGTTCAAGACCAGCCTGGCCAACATGGCAAAACCCAGTCTCTACTAAAAATACAAAAATATACCAGGCATGGTGGAGCATGCCTGCAGTCCCAGCTACTCAGGGGACTAAGGCAGGAGAATCACTTGAACCCAGGAGGTGGAGGTTGCAGTAAGCCTAGATTGTGCCATTGCACTCCAGCGTGGGCAACAGGAGTGAAACTCCATCTCAAAACAACAAAAAACAAAAAAATCCCCTCTCATTTTTAGAGAGTACATGCTCATTGCAGAACATGTTTTTGGCCTCATTTAAGGTGGTGGACAGTGACCTGGGGCATGGGAAAGAGGAGGAGGCTTGGTATTGAGGTACCAGTTCAGCTGCTTTGACAACTTGGCATTAATTGGACAAGTCAATTAACTTTCTCTGAACTTCAGTTTTCTCATCTCTAAAATGGGTAAAAGAATAGCTCAGTGAGTGGTCGTGACAATCAAATGAGATAACATCATAGGAAGAGTGGAAATATAAAACATTTCATGGATATTATTTTTATATTTACCCCCAAAGTGTTTAGCAACATTTGAGCAAAAACGTCATCCTGATAGAAATGCGATTGTACATGCAGAATAGGAGAGATAGCTCTCTGAAGCACCGAAGTTCTGAGCAAAGTTTATGAAACAAATGACAACATTTTCTCAAGTCTCTTTCTGGTAAAGAAATATCACTATGTGACTAATGCATACAGGGGTATCGAGTAAAAGAAAGTTGAAATTATTCTACATTTTATGACTTGGTTATTATATAAACTCTTGGGAGCTGGAATATTACTGTGGGGTTAGACAAGAAAATGATGCTTGATTATGGTATTTCTAGGCCTGTCGTGTCAGTACAATAATTAAGAAAAAAAGTGCAAGTTGAGACTGTAATACTTTCCATTTTCACAATTTCTTTTGTAAATTCTATGAATTTAGAGATCTTCTGTACCTGTAACATTATCAAGTATGAAAATCCTTGTCTCGAAATCTATTTTATTGTACTAATAGCTATAGAGTTGTCTACAGTTTAGATATTTCCTTGTAGCCCAAAGATTTCACACTGATGTAATCAGGGAGGTATGTAAGCTAATTATGTATCGTTGAATTTTGATTCAGAATCAGCTTTCTAGCCCGGTGTGGTAGCAGGCACTTGTAGTCCCAGCTACTCAGGAGGTTGAGGTGGGAAAACAGCTTGAACCCGGGAGGCGGAGGTTGTAATGAGCCGAGACTGCACCATTGCACTCCAGCCTGGGCCACAGAGGGAGATTCTGTCTCAGATTTTAAAAAAAGAATCAGCTTTTTTTTTTGAAATGGAGTCTAGCTCCGTCTCCAGGCTGGAGTTCAGTGGCGCGATCTCAGCTCACTGCAACCTCCACCTCCCAGGTTCAAGGGATTCTCCTGCCTCAGCCTCCCGAGTAGCTGGGATTACAGGCATACGCCGTCACGCCCAGTTAACTTTTGTATTTTTAGTAGAGATGTGGTTTCACCTTGTTGGCCAGGCTGGTCTCAGTCTCCTGACCTCCTGATCTGCCCACCTCGGCCTCCCAAAGTGCTGGGATTACAGGCGTGAGCCACCATGCCCAGCCAAGAATCAGCTTTCTAATGAGAGCTTTTTTTGTGACTCTATGTGGGTAGAACTTTTTCTTATGTGTATATTTATGCATGTGCACACATGGAGATGTGAAGGGTGTTATATGTGAGAGATTTCCAGGGAAAATGTGAAAGTTCTCCATCTGAATGCTGAAACTAGGCCGGGCGTGGTGGCTCACGCCGGTAATTCCAACACTTTGGGAGGCTGAGGTGGGTGGATCGCCTGAGGTCAGGAGTTTGAGACCAGCCTAACCAACATGGAGAAACCCCGTCTCTACTAAAAATACAAAATTAGCCAGGCATAGTGGCACATGCTTGTAATCCCAGCTACTTGGGAAGACTGAGGCAGGAGAATTGCTTGAACTCGGAAGGTGGAGGTTGCGGTGAGCCAAGATTGCGCCATTGTACTCCAGCCTGGTCAACAAGAGCAAAACCTCATCTGAAAAAAAAAAAAAAAATGCTGAAACTATCAAAAACCTTTCTAACCAGTGTGTATATCCTGGCTGGAAGTCAAAAGTCGAGGTTGCAGTCTACTTTTTCCAATCACCCTCTCTGTGCCTTTGAGAGAGTTACTCCTCTCTGGGCCTCAGTTTTCCCACCTGTAAAATGAGCCCATTGGATAGAACTGAGATCCCTACTCTTCTCCATCTAGTTCTTCCTTCTTCTCTGGCCTCCAGCCCCACTTGAGTTTAGGCCAATTCCACATGTTCAACTCTTAAACACTTTCTCTTTCGCCTCTCCCATACTAACCCATCATTTCCTGCTGACATTGCTTTTAACGGCATCACCTCTGTTATAGGAAAATTTTTCCAAAGAAGTCAAATCATGACTCCCATTCTGATATAAAGTAAACATGTGTATAGTGGTTTGAAGAGTGGTCCCCCCAAATGTGTGTCCACCTGAAACCTGTGAATGTGACCTTATTTAGGGATAGGGTTGCTGCAGATGTAATCAGATTACAAGATGAGGTCTTACCAGATTATGGTGGGCCTTAAATCCAATATTCTTTTGGAGACAGACCCATAGAATGCCATGTGAAGATGGAGGCAGAAATGAGAGAGGTGTGTCTACAAGCCAAAAATTGCTGGCAACCTCCAGAAGTGAGGAAAATGCAAGGCAGAAGGAGGCTCTGTAGAGCCTTTAGAGAGCATGGTTCTGCAGATACTTGGGTTTCAGACCTGCAGATACCTGGATTTTATCCTCCAGAATTGCAACATTAATACATTTCTATTGTCTTAGGCCACCCACCTTTTCGTAATTTGTTACGGCAGCCTCAGCAAACTAATATGTATGTTAAAGATTTTATTTAACCCATGAATTAAATGAGGAAACCAAGCAATAAACAGTTCAAAGGAAAAGCCAAAGAAACACAGATTTATAAAAAGGAAAGGAAGGTTGAAGTGAATGTACAAATAGATACAAAACTGTTTTTTTCATGGTGAGAGGGAGAAGTTCTTCCTTTATGGACGTAATTCATTTGCATATCTATGGATCAGAATTACTTCTATTGACATTGGTTATTTACAACTGACACAGTTGTAAAATAACTCCTATAAAATCAAATAACCAGGAAGAAGAGATCTTGAAAGCCTGCAGTTTTCCATTGCAGCACAAATGTTACTTTCTCCATTTTCTGGTAATTCAGGCTTAGAAGCTTGGGGTCGTTTTTCACTTCCCTTCTCTGCAGTGCTTCTTCTTTTTTTCGTTGTTTTTTTGAGATGGAGTCTCTCTCTGTCCCCCAGGCTGGAGTGCAGTGGTGCGATCTCGTCTCACTGCAACCTCTGCCTCCCGGGTTCACGCCATTCTCCTGCCTCAGCCTCCCAAGTAGCTGGGACTACAGGCGCCTGCCACCACACCCGGCTAATTTTTTGTATTTTTAGTAGAGACACGGTTTCACCATGTTAGCCAGGATGGTCTCGATCTCCTGACCTCATTATCCGTCTGCCTTGGCCTCTCAAAGTGCTGGGATTACAGGCGTGAACCACCACACCTGGCCTTTTTTTTTTTGATATGGAGTCTTGCTCTGTCACCCAGGCTGGAGTGCAGTGGCACCATCTCGGCTCACTGCAACCTCCACCTCCCAGGTTCAAGCAATTCTCCTGCCTCAGCCTCCTGAGTAGCTGGGATTACAGGCACACACCACCTCGCCTGGCTAATTTTTGTATTTTTAGTAGAGATGGGGTTTCACCATGTTGGTCAGGCTCGTCTTGAATTCCTGACCTCATGGTCCGCCCCCCTCAGCCTCCCAAAGTGCTGGGATTACAGGCGTGAGCCACCGCACCCGGATCTGCAGTGCTTCTTACCCAACCCTTGCTTCTTTTCCCTCCTCTGCTTCTCTCCTAGTTTAGCTTTTTAGTGCCTCTTCCTGGATCATTCCTTGAGTGCCTCCAATCCCAACCTTCCATTGAGCCCCAGAATTGACCCAAGACTCCTGTCACTTTGAGGAAGAGGGGAGTGTGATGGGGCTGAATTATGTCTCTCCAAAATTGGTATCTACCCAGAACTCTAGCATGTGACCTTATTTGGAAGTAGGGTCTTTGAAGACGTAATTAGTTAACGATCTTGAGATAAAGTTCTGGATTTAGGGTGGGCCTAAATCCAATGGCTTATTTCCTTATAAAACTAGGAGAGGACATGGAGAAACACAGAGAGGAGATGGTCATGTGAAGACAGAGGCAGAGATGGGAGTGATGCTGTCACAAGCCATAGAACTCCAGGAGCCACCGAAGCTAGAAAAGGTAAAAAAAGGATTCTGCCCTGGAGCCTCAGAGGGAGCACAGCCCTATGGACACCTTGGTTTTGACTCAGTGAAATTTGATTTTGAACCATCTGGCCTCCAGAACTGTAAGACAATAAGCTTCTGTTATTTCTAGCCACTAAGTTAGACGTCATTAGTTACAGCAGCCATTGGACATGAACACAGGGGAGAGGGCAGTGGAAAATAACTGTATTAGTCTGTTCTCATGCTGTTGATAAAGACATACATGAGACTGGGTAATTTATAAAGAAAAAGAGGTTTAACGGACTCACAGTTTCACGCAGCTGGGAAGGCCTCACAATCATGGTGGAAGGCAAGGGAAGAGCAAAGTCACGTCTTTCATGGTGGCAGGCAAGAGAGAGAATGTGAGCTAGGCAAAAGGGGAAAC
The DNA here is from genome assembly GCF_000001405.40 of Homo sapiens. Lineage (NCBI taxonomy): Eukaryota > Metazoa > Chordata > Mammalia > Primates > Hominidae > Homo > Homo sapiens. The sequence goes on along the minus strand of NC_000016.10, from coordinate 13,636,076 downwards.
CTCTTATAAAACCATCAGATCTTGTGAGACTTATTCACTACCACAAGAACAGTAGGAGGGAAACTGCCCCAGGGATTTGATTATCTCCCACTAGGTCCCTCCCACAACATGTGGCAATTATGGGAGGTACAATTCAAGATGAGATTTGGGTGGGGACACAGCCAAACTTTATCAATAACTTAATTCATTCTTACCTACTTTTTCTGAGGACCTGCTATGGTGGCTTCTAGTATCATGGCAGGCGTTGGAGATATGGTAACTATAGACCAGGAGCTCCATGCCCCATTGATAACACATGGTACTGACCACACTATATGGGCTGATTTGCTTTTTTTTTTTAGGCTTCTAAATATATCCTTCTTTCCTTTACATTGTTTGGGTTTTATCATTGTATTGGATCCCTCTTGAAGACCACTGTACATCCTCCCAACCCCACTTCTTATTCCAGATGTTCTTTCAGTGACCAGTTCAGAGCAAGGCCAACCATCTTCAGCTGGGCATCCTCCACCCTGGACCCTCGGGTATATCTCCGGCTTCCCACCTCAGGGCTTCTCTGACACCATGATGGTAATGGGGGTGGACTGCTGGAACTGACTTTCACCTGGGACCCAGGAATGTGTGTGTGTGTGTGTGTGTGTGTTTGTGTGTGTGTGTGTTCCATGTACTACTCATGGACAATGGGGCTGAGCAGGTAAATGCCTCAGGCAAAGAGTTCTGAGATGCATTTACTCACATTTGCATTTCCACAAATGCAATTCATTAACATTTGCAAACTGAGCGCCTGTCACCCTGGGCAGTGACCCCTCATTGTACATGTATGGACTGCTTTCTCTTTTCCCTTGTTCTGCTTCCCTGGAATCTCTCACTCTAACTCGCTACAGTCACGTCTTTAATGAACTACTGCATGCAGGCCTTTGTCATGGACACTGCTCTCAGGAGACCCACGCTAAACCAATGTGCCACCTCACCCTGTAATGCTTTCCTCCATGAAATCACCCTTCCATGAAACCTCAGGCCTGACTTGCCTTGTGCAGATTTTTCCTTCTTTGCTTGACTAGTGTTGGAGGATTTGCCTTCTTGGGCTGCTCACGCTCTGTGCCAGGCCACGTTTTTATTCTTTTAATAATAATGGATAAGGCCAGGTGCGGTGGCTCACACCTGTAATTCTAGCACTTTAGGAGGCCGAGGCAGGCGGATCACCTGAGGTCAGGAGTAGGAGACCAGCCTGGCCAACATGGTGAAACCCCGTCTCTACTAAACATATAAAAAATTACCTGGGTATAGTGGTGGGTGCCTGTAGTCCCAGCTACTTGGGAGGCTGAGGCAGAAGAATCACTTGAATCCAGGAGGCAGAGTTTGCACTGAGCCAAAAGCGCACCACTGCACTCCAGCCTGGGCAACAGACGAGCCTCCATCTCAAAAAAAAAAAAAAATAAATAATAATAATAATAATAATGGATTGAAAATAGAAACCATAAAGAGATTGGAGCCAGTGGAAGGATTTTTTAGACATTTATTTCATAGTTGTATGAAAGGCATTATTAGACATTTATTTCCAATATCTGTCTATTAGAAATTATTTATTTCTAATTTCTAATAAATAATTTTTTGAGTTTCTAATAAATTAATAATTATTTCTAATTTCTAATAAATAATTTCTAATGGATAGATATTAGAAATAAATGGCTAATAAAGCCTTTCTAATAATTTCTAATAATTTGTTTCTCTAGACAGTAGAATGAGGTCTTCACTGTAGGTCAGATCCTTCAGGTGCCTTTGGGGACCTGTTCCCAGACCAAACAGAGAAGGTCCGGCTGCTTATTCTCACGGCCCAGTAATGAGATGCATGCAGATGAACTGGGAAAGGAGGGAGTTTCTATTTCTGTAACCAGTTACAGAGAATAGGCCTGGAAAATACTGCCAGACCAACTCAAAATTACAAAGTTTTCCAGAGCTTATATACGTACTAAGCTATGTCCATGTGTAAGTGTATATTCATCTAGAGACCTAAGTGATTAGTTTATTCTAGTCTAAGGTCTGAGTCCTGAAGACCTTCCTCTGGAGCTTCAGTAAATTTACTTAATCTAAATGGGTCCAGGTGCTGGGGTGATTACCCTTATCTTGTCTGCTGCTAAATCATGGAGGTTTGGGGAGTCCCTTCAGACTCCCAATAAACTTGTTTGTGGAGGCCTGGGGAGTTTCTTCACACCGCCAGTAAAACTTGTTGAATCCTAAATGGGTCCTGTTAAGAATTCCTTCGTTATCTTGTCATGCTTCAAGGCCCAGGGAAGGCCTGGGCACAACTCTGGGTGGGCTTTTGTCACATTCCAGCCTTTGTATAAGGGCACTGGTTCTCTCAGCTTTTAATATTTAACTTAACCACTCAGTCAGTGCTGAACAGGCCACTAAGGCCTGCCTGTTCAGCCGTTAGGGAAACCTGGCCTGCCACAGGCCTGTGGTAGGAAAGTGGTGGTGGTGGCTGTTAGGGGGCATTTTTACCTTTTTATTGTTTCTTTTGGGCAGAAATAAGAGGCCTTAATGACTCCAATTATAGGGCTAGATTAGTTTTCTATTGCTGCTGCAAAGGATGACCGCAAGTTAATGACTCAAAACAACACTACGTATTACCTTACAGTTCTGGAGGTCAGGAGTCCTTCAGCTGAGACGCTGGCAGGGCTACATTCCTTTTGGAGGCTCTAGAGGAGGGTGGATTTCCTTGCTTTTCCCAGCTTCTAGGAGGCTGCCTGTACTCCTTGGCTTGGGGCCCCTTCCTCCATCTGCAAAGTACATCGCTCCAATCTCTGCTCCTGTTGCCACATCTCTTCTGATTCTGGTCTCTACCTCCCTTTTATAAGGATCCTTTTTGCTTACGCTGGGCCAAAACATATAATGCAGGCTGATCTCTGTAATTTAATCCCATCTTAAAAGTACCTTTTGCCAAGTGAGGTAACATATTCACAGGTTCTGGGAATTACGATGTAGATGCCTTTGGAGGAGGTTATTAGCCCCTCACAAGTGTTCTTTAACCTTATTTTTGACATTGGTGGTAGATATCTATCTATCTATCTATCTATCTATCTATCTATCTATCTATCTATCATCTATCTATTTATCTTGAGTAGGGGCTGGGTAAAATAAGGCTGAGATCCGCTGGGCTGCATTCCCAGGAAGTTAAGGCATTCTGAGTCACAGGATGAGATAGGAGGTCGGCACAAGACACAGGTCACAAAGACCTTGCTGATAAAACAGGTTGCAGTGAAGAAGCCGGCTAAAATCCACCAAACCAAGATGGCAACGAGAGTGATCTCTGGGCATCCTCACTGCTACACTCCCACCAGCGCCATGACAGTTTACAAATGCCATGGCAACGTCAGGAAATTACCCTATATGGTCTTCAAAGGAGAGGCATGAATAATCCATTTCCTGTTTAGCATATCATCAAGAAATTACCATAAAAACGGGCAACCAGCAACCCTTGGGATTGCTCTGTCTATGGAGTAGCCATTCTTTATTCCTTTGCTTTCCTAATCAACTTGCTTTCACTTTACAGACTCACCCTGAATTCTTTCTTTCTTGTGTGAGATCCAAGAACCTTCTCTTGGGGTCTGGATAGGGACCCCTTTCTGGTAACGTATCTATTATGAATCCCAAATAGCTGAGGCAGGTCTCAGTCAATTTAGGAAGTTTATTTTGCTAAGTTAAGGAAGCGTCTGTGACACAGCGTCAGGAGGTCCTGATGACATGTGCCCAAGGTGGTTGGTATACAGCTCGCTTTTATACATTTTAGGGAGACATGAGACATCAGTCAATATGTGTAAGGTATATAATACACATATTGTACAACTCCAAGTGGGGGCTTCCAGATTAGAAGTAGATAAGAGACAAAAGGTTGGATTCTTTTGAGTCCTTGACCAGCCTTCCACCGAATACACAGTTTAGTGTGGCTCAGTGAGTCTGCATTTTTACATAAACAGTAGGGCAGAGGAAGCAATTGGATATGCATTTGTCTCAGGTGAGTCTCGGGGGACGACTTTGAGTTCTGTCTGTCCTTTGTCCACAAGGAATTTCCTGTGGACAAATGGTGAGGGAGGTACATAGCTTCATATCTTTGTAGCTATCTTGTTTTGGAATAAAATGGGAGGCAGTTTCACCCTAAGCAGTTCCCAGCTTGATTTTTCCCTTTGGCTTAGTGATTTGGGGGTCTCAAGATTTATTTTTCCTCTCTCTCTCCATCTATCTGTTTATCTACCTACTTACCTATCTCAATTGAGAAAAATGACAAAACAATCTCAATCATTTTAGGAGTTGCCAAAGTTAAGGACATGCACCCAGGAGACAGGTCTATGCCTTTCTCTGAAGATGATTTTGAGGGCTCCAAATTTAAAGGGGGAAAGGGCAGGATATTGAGAAGTACACAATTTTTGTGTAAGAAGGGAGTGGGGAAAAATAGTTACTTATGCCTTTGTCTGGCTCTGTGAATCTGCGTTTTTTAAAAAATAAGATGACATAGACAAAAATGGGGTGGAGGAAAAATACAGAGTCTACATTTTTTACATAAGATAACAGACAAAATGGGGCAAGGGAACAATCAGATAGGCATTTGTGTCTGGGGCAGGGGGTGACTGTCCCTCTAAAGATAAGCTATCAATTTACATTGCCATGGTTACATTTTAACAGAAACAATTCAGAGTAAAGATCTGGGAGCTCACTAGGTGTTTCCTTGTGGGCAAAATATGGGGAGGCATGTAGCTTTCATCTTGTAGCCGTCTTATTGAGGAAGCAAAAGGGGAGGCAAGTGACCCAGTTCCCAGCTTGACATTTCCCTTGAGCTGAGTGATGTTGGGAACCCAAGATTTATTTTCCTTTCACACCTACATACTTACCCATTTTACTGACTAAGATTCTTAAATAATGAGGGACTTTTGTACCTGCAACAATTACCCAGAAAAATGAAACATTAAGCAAAGAACCTTCAGACAATGAAAAATTCTTCCTTATTACAGAGGAGCCAGATAATCTTAGAAATAACACATAGACTCTGGAGCACCCTGTTCAAAAGTAATGTTCTCTCCAGGAGGAAATAGTATTATACGGGGGTCTCAGGGAATCTCTGGACCTCACAAGATCAATTGCTGCTCATCAAATTGGGTCAAACATGAAGCTTCTGTTCAAAGATACTGGCCTCATCTAACTCCTGTTCAGCCGCTAATTGATAAAATTAGGTTGAGATCTTAATATTTAGCCTTTTTCTTTTCCAGTCTTGTGGGTAGGCATTTTCCTTTTTTGTGTCTGCCAAAAGCAAAAAGTCACGTTTATAATCACCTGTGACTTAAGAGGAGATTTAGTATTTCCTACCAAAGAACACTTGCTCTCACAGAACACCATGCACACCCACTGCATTTTGTGGAAATCTCTGTACACGATCAGATTCCCATCCTACAGTTCCTTTTCGTTCTGTTGAATTGTCCCAATAATTATATGCAAGACGATGATCTCAGTAGCTTGTGTTCTGTAGGTGGTGTGATGTAGAGACCTCAGATTTTTTTCCTGTGCTTCAGTGCTATAGTTTCTAGAGAAAGTGAAAGTATTTTTTATTCGATATGTCCTCTGGCCCTGTGGCCACTTATTTACTAATCAGCCTGAGTATGTTATATAATTAATTTTTCAAATGATAGATAGAAGCAAGGGGATGGTGAAGACAGACAGGGCTACTCTTCTCCAAGCAGGGATAAGGTGGAGATTGCCACATTCATGGATGTCTTATGGTGATAAGAAAGGCAGGATGTTAAGATTATAGCCAAGAGGCCAGGCATGGTGGCACATGCCTGTAATCCTAGCACTTTGGGAGGCTAAGGAGGGCAGATGGCTTCAGCCCAAGGGTTCTAGACCAGCCTGGCCAACATAGTAAAATCCCTTCTCTACAAAACATAGAAAAATTAGCCAGATGTGGTGGCATGCACCTGAGGTCCCAGGTACTTGGGAGGCTGAGCCTGGGAGGTCGAGGCTGCAGTGAGCTGTAATCACACCACTGCATTCCACCCTGGGCAACAGAGTGAAACCCTGTCTCAAAAAAAAGATTATAGCCAAGGAACAGAAAGTTGTGGAGGGAACTCACTCCTGTCCTCTGGTGTTTGCTGCAACTGTATCTTTTTGGACTGAGTGTACCAGGACAAACCAGGATAAAGGTCAGTTACTAGGGGAAGGAATATTGCAAATGCGTACTCCTAGGACTTAGTCCAGCAGATGCTAAGGGTTTGTGTCTATGTATGCACATGTCAACTAAGCATTTGAAAAAGGCAGTCAATTGAAGCAGAAATTTTGATTTTGGCAACAAGCTACTTCCAAACCCTAGCTGGTCTTGCACATGCCCCAGCTGGTCTTAATGGCTCATCTTCTCTATCCTGGATATTGTACAGAAAAATGGCCCTGTCTCTTCCAATCTTTCTACTTCCACACTGGATAGATCTACTCTTCGTGTCATCCCCTTGATCCGAAACATTAAATAACTCCTCAATTCTTACATCTCCTATTGAATAGGGCTTAGCCTTCTTAAGTAGGACTTTATTTCTTGTTTTTGCTCCTACTTTTGCCCTGAAAGTTTCAGCTGTTGAGGACGACTTTTCTTTTCCTGTCTCCACGACTCTGGTTAAACCTCTCCCCACCTTTTTTTTTTTTTTTTTTTTTTTTTAACTGAGAACTTGACTTTTCATAATTTGTCTGTAAATTCCTACCTGTTCTATAAAGGACATTTCAGTGCTTTCTGCTTCTAAAAGTCTCCCAGAATTTTTATCAGCCAGACTAAGCCTTTTTCTCCTTAAAACTTTTCTTCTTAGACATTGTTTCTGAGAAATGTTTGACCTATCACAGACTGTAACTTTTTAAAAACTGATTCGTTCACATGTCATAGGCTCCTTAAAGGATTGACTTACTATGAATAACTTCAATTTTATAATTTTGTATGTCAGAATCAGCAATTCGTAGTCCACTTAGAACAATTCAATTAGCTACAATGACCTATTGTGTAGAAAAAAAAAACTGTAGCAGTTCCTAAAAAAATTTTTTTTTAAAAAAACTCATTTAAACCATGGACTTGTGCTCCCTGACAAATTAAGAAACAAAACTTCAGAGAATTTTGCCTCATCATATTTCAGAATGTGCTTAGATCTGTGAGGTCCATCCATGGGCTACCACCCTCATTTGCCCAACATTAAGAACTCTGCTTCAATAGGTTAATCATCTTGCATCTTACATTATTTGAAGTGAACTATATTTAGTATTGCCAATAGAAGACTGCCAATGGAATTAATATGAAACTTGATTCAGTAACTGTATTTTTAAATGGATCTGCTGTCAGAAAGAAAAGGGGCTATCTGTGGGCCTTGAAAAGGATATTATAAATGTCATTTTGCTTGGATGCAAGTGAAATATGCATTTAGGCTCTGTACTGACCAGAAATGCTTAAATCCAAGTCACCCAAGGTTTGAACTACTCTCTTTTGATGGCATAAAAATAAATTCCCTGGATCAGTAGTGAACCATTTAGTGTATCAGACTCAATGCACTGATAAATACCTTCTAGCCTCATTTGGTCTATTTCTTATTAAACAAGACCAAGCTTGTAGCTACTCAATATCAAATCAGCTGTCTGGGGGTTTCTTTGTGGTTGTTTCATAAAGCTGTTAACACAGCTGTGGACCAAGTAACTAATTAATCGACAAAATTAACTGATCTAATTGGTCATTATTATGCGAGAGAAAGCAATCCACATGCAAGCAATAGAGGTTTACATAATAGCGGTCCTCAGGACTTTGGTTTATAAAGCTGAACTCACTCTCTCCCTTGAATCTCAGTCTGTGGCCTCTCTTTTCTGCTACGCTACATTCTGTTGACTCATACACTGTAATTTTCTTTGTCATTTCCATCTCTAACATTGCTACCCATGGCCTCAAACCTAGACAATTACAATAGTTTCCAATTAAGCTTCCACCTTCGAGTTTCTCCTCCATGCAAACAAATTTCTTTTAAAAATGATTACTTTTTGTTTACATAAATAATGCATACTCTCGTTATTAAAAGTAAAACCCTTATGGATGTGGTTAAAAATCCCTTTGACAGCCTTCTTATCCTTAAAATACTATTTCTTTCTCCACTTCTCCAAAGGCAGCACTTGTGTATGTGAACTTCCAGACGTGATTCTTTTTTTTTTTTTTCTTTTTTTTTTTTTTTTAGCAGAGTCTAACTCTTGTCACCCAGGCTGGAGTGCAAAGGCACAATCTTGGCTCACTGCAACCTCCGCCTCCTGGGTTCAAGCAATTCTCCTGCCTCAGCCTCCAGAGGAGCTGGGATTACACGCACGTGCCACCATGCCTGACTAATTTTTGTATTTTTAGTAAGAGAGATGGGGTTTCGCCATGTTAGCCAGGCTGGTCTCGAACTCCTGACCTCAGGTGATCCGCCTGCCTCGGCCTCCCAAAGTGCTGAGATTACAGGCATGAGCCACCATGCCCGGCCGATTCTTTGTATTTGTAAAAACACTTGCCAATCGAAAATATGTAGAATAGAAAATGTGTTGAAATGTGTGTGCCTGCATGTGTGTACATGTAAATAGTATCATGATTTATTTATTTAGCAACACGCTTTTAAAAAAAATATTTTACTGTGATAAGAGCACTCAACATGAGATCTCTTAAAAAATGTCGAAGCACACAGGATTGTTGGTTGTGTACGGTGTCGTACAGCAGATCTCTAGAACGTATTCATTCCGCTTAACTGAAACTTTACGATTGCTTATGAACAACTCTCCATTTCCCTTTCCCTCATCCCCTAGCAGCCACCATTCCACTTTTTAACTCAGTGATTTTACTATTTTATTTTATTATTATTATTATCATTATTTTTAAAATTTTGAGACAGAGTCTCACTCTGTTGCCCAGGCTGGAGTGCAATGGTGTGATCTTGGCTTACCGCAGCCTCTGCGCCTACAGGGTTCAAGCGATTCTCCTGCTTCAGCCTCCTGAGTAGCTGGGATTACAGGCACGTGCCATCACGCTCGAGTAATTTTTGTATTTTTAGTAGAGATGGGGTTTTGCCATGTTGGCCAGACTGGTCTTAGACTCCTGATCTCAGGTGATCCTACCCCCTCTGCCTCTCGAAGTGCTGGGATTAGAGGTGTGAGCCACCACGCTCGGCCACTGTTTTAAATATTTCATATATATAAGATCTTGCAGTATGTGTCCTTCTGTGACTGGCTTATTTCACTTAGCATAATGTCCTCAAGGTTCAGTTCATGGTGTTACATATTGCAGAATTTCTTTGCCTTTGAAGGCTGAGTAATATTTCATTGTTCTGTATCCATTCATCTGCTGATGGACACTTAGCTTGTCTGTCTTCATTTTGGCTATTGTGAATAGTGCTGCAATAAACACGAGAGTGCTAACATCGCTTCAAGATCCTGATTTCAATTCTTTTGGAAGAAACTCCTGAAAGAATAAGTGGGGGAAAAGCTTCATGACATTGATCTTGGCAATGATTTTGTGGATTTGACAACAATAGCATAGGCAACAAAAGCAAAAATAGACAAATAAGTCTACAACAAACTAAAAAACTTCTGTACAGCAAAGGAAATTTCCACAGAGTAGAAAAAACAACTTCAGGAAAGTGAGAAAATATCTGCAAAACATATATCTGATAAACGGTTGACTTCTGAAATCTATAAGGAGCTCCTACACTCCATAGCAAGAAATAAAAAATTAATCATCCCGTTTAAAATGGTCTAGAGACCTGAATAGACATTTCTCCAAAGAAAACATAAAAGTAGCCAACAAGTATATGAAAAAATGCTCCAAGCCACTAGTCATCAGGGAAATGGAAATCAAAACCACAATGAGATATGACCTAAAACCTGTAAAAATAACTATTATTAAAAAATTTTTAAAAACAAAAGACAGGCCGGGCATGGTGCCTCATGCCTGTAATCCCAGCACTTTGCGAGGCCGAGGCGGGTGGATCACCTGAGGTCAGGAGTTTAAGACCAGCCTGGCCAACATGGTGAAACCCCATCTCTATTAAAAATACAAAAATTAGCCCAGCGTGGTGGCCAGCGCCTGTAATCCCAGCTCCTTGGGAGCCTAAGGCAGGAGAATCGCTTGAGCACGGGAGGCGGAGGTTGCAGCGAGCCGAGATCATGCCACCACACTCCAGCCTGTGTGACAGAGTGAGACTCCGTCTCCAAAAAATAAAAAAAAGAAGAAAACAAACAAACAAACAAAAAAACACCCATAAAAGACAAAAAGTGTTAGTGAAGATTTAGAGAAATAGGAACCCTGATACACTGTTGGTATAAGGATTTGTCTTTGCTTTTTAATGCTTGATTCAGTTCATTCATCTTTTCCTTATGGTACTATGTCTATTGCACCACAGTAAACATTTCTATCACCTATACTTTTGTCTAGGTAAATGGTTTGATTAAGATGGTTTGACAATATTTTTAGCGAGGTTTGGGGCTAGAGTTGGCTCAATGTGAAATGGTGTGGTCACTATGGAAAACAGCATGATGGTTCTTCAAAAAATTAAAAACAAAACGATGACGTGGCAACATGCCTTTTTCACTCAACATTTTGCCTTGAAGATCTTTCCATATTCTTTCATATAGACTGACTTCATTCTTTTTATCTGCTGCACAGTACTCCATAGTAGAAAATTTTCAAAGCTTCTTAGGCCATTTTCCTGCTGATGGGCACTTAAGATATTTCAATTATTAAAAGCAATGCAATTTATTTTGGCATCTTCTAAAATGTCCCTCAAGGAACACTGCTTTATAAAATTTTTGGGGGCTTGCACTATGAAGATCATATGGCATTCGAGAGGAGTTGTCTCTGATCTGGGCCTCATCTTTTTTTTTTTATTTCTCACTGCTTCCCAACACATCTACCACACTACATGACCACTGCCAGGCCCGTGTTTCCAGCCGTTAAATACTCCTTGAGCTATGGCTCATTCTGTATGAACCTCAATCTTTTTATTGTGATCCTATCCTCATCATTATCATCAATTACCTCTAAAAAGTACTTATCACATCCCAGTCTAAGTGTTTTACAAGTATCCAATTTTTCCTACCACTCTATGCTTGTTTCCATTTCACAGATAATGAAACCAAGGCACAGAGAGGTTACACAACTTGCCCCAAATCACCTACCTTATGAGTGACACCGCCAGGATTCAAATTCAGAACGTCTGGTTCTAGAGTCAGTGTTCTCAATCATTCATCTGCACATTCTGTCTTCTAAAAATTGTATGCCGGCTGGGCACGATAGCTCACGCCTGTAATCCCAGCACTTTGGGAGCCCAAGGCAGGTGGATAAGGAGTTCAAGACCAGCCTGGCCAACATGGTGAAACCCCGTCTCTACTAACAATACAAAAATTAGCTGGGCTTGGTGGTGCATGGCTGTAATCCCAGATACTCAGGAGGCTGAGGCAGGAGAATTGCTTGAACCCAGGAGGCGGAGGCTGCAGTGAGTGGAGATTGCACCACTGTACTCTAGCCTGGGCGACAGAGTGAGACTCCAGCTCAAAATAATAATAATTGTAATAATAACAATAAATAAATACAAATCAGCCTTCCCTGATCACCACTCCAGATCTTTACGTTTATCCTCCAATTCAACAAATATTTTAGGGTCCCCCACTATGTGTCACACTTTATGTTAGTTTCTGGGGATATATTAATGAATGAAATGGTGTAGTTCATGAAATGGTGTAGTTTGTTAGCCTTGTCAGGCTAATAAATATAACCTTCTGATGCACTGCCATCCGCATCCTCAGAGGCCCCAGATGCATGCTAGTTTATCTTCTTACGCATGTGTTTTGCATCCTTATATAAACTATAGATGCCTTTGGGGGAATGGTTGTTTTTGCTCTTGGGTATCTCTTTTAACCTTTAGCTCATTATAGTTGCTTAATTAGCATTTAATGATGGTGATGCTTAATAGACTTTGTCCTGTGTTGACTATTTAAGTGTTACCCACAAGATAATTTATTTGAGATATGGTGCCAGGTACAGCTAAGGCTACAGACTTGTCCTTGAATCTAACTCCCACCTCCATGTCCAGAGAACCACTTGATTTACTGCTAATACCCACTTTTTGAAGACTTTGATGTCCGCACTGAGGAAGTAGGACTTCAGTATCTAAAGACCATTTGAAGGACCTCATCTGAGGCCTTAAGTTCTTTCAAAGCAGATGAATGAGTCTTGGGGGGGGATGAACTGATATAATATGGCTTCAGGGAGCACGAGGGCTTTAGAGAAGTGTGCAGGGCCAGCCAGTTCTGGCTCTTAGACGTGGAGCATCTCACACGAAAGAGAGGAAGATTAAAAGAGTGCCTGCTCATCAGAGGAGCCATGTGTCTACCCACTTTGCCTTCTGTAAGACTGTTCTTGCTAAACTCACATTTCTATTGCCCACATTTAGTATTTAATGCCCTCGTATATCCTAAGTAAAAATATTTGTATCTTTAGGATGCATGGCTTGGAAAAGCATTCTCCTACGTTGCAACATCCCTGTTACCAGTTACCAGGTACTGTATTTTTATTTTCTCTCTTTCACCTAACAGATACTTAGAAGAGAATCAGAGAGAATCAAGTAGAAATAACAGTAACAACATCAAGAACAGAAATGACCAAGGAAGTAGAAAGACTTAAGTTTGAGGTTCGGAATTATATGTTCCACATCTTTGGCCATAAAGGGCAGGAAATATAACATGGGAATGAATTTGTTAAAATTGTGTCTTGTTAGTTTACACATGAGACAATACCTTCATCAGTTTTTTGTTCCTTTTGCCTCAATTCAGTTCCAGCACTGAGACCTAAATACAGCACATTTACTTGTTCTGAAAAGTTTTATTTTTCTTTAACTGGAGTATTCTTCTTTTATAGGCTTGTCCTACATCATTACTCAGAGAAGACAATCTTCTCTGATTCCAGTATGCTGTATTTGTACAGTATTGGGAGGGTATAAACACATCCTTGTCAGATTTCATAGTCTCTACTTTACAGATAAAGGAACAGAAAATCAGGAAAACTGATTGCTTAAGTTAGCAATAGAATTAATATTAAAATATGGGTCTTCAAACCCTTGTGTAATCATCAGTTTTCTGCCACAATGCTTTCCTTCTCTGCATTGGGGATATCTTTAAAAATTAATATCAACATAACCAGAGAGGTCTGTATACTATTTAATATCATATCCCACCAGTTCCACATAGGCTGGACTCTAATAATACCAAACACCTCTTGGTTTCCCGAAACATTTGGTGGTCTTTCTGCCTCCTAGTTTTGCATATGTGGTTCTCTCTTTCCTTCCTACTTAGCCTAACATGTGTGGTGAGAACCTCTTCCTTCCAGACTCAGTTTAAATGTCACTTCCTCTGGGAAGCCTTCCATGCTTTCATTGGCAACTCCAGATTTTTTAGATAATTATGTCCTTAAATATTAATCTAAAATGTATAGATTTTCCAAAATAGTAGATTTTAGATGCTCCTAACACACACACACACACACACACACACACACACACACACACACACACACACAGTAACTGTTTGAGATGATGGATATATTAATTGGCTTGATGTAGTACCTATTTCACCATGTATATGTACATCAAAACATGTTGTACACCTTTAATACATACAATACAAAAATAAATTTTTTAAAAAGAAAAAAAAATGTATAGAGCTCCAATCCAATAGGTGGCTGGAAATCCAGTACCTTTGTCCTGTATCTGCAGGGATTTTTCCCAGAACCTGGGGTGGGAGGAGCTTACACTCTCCTGGTTGTCTCTTGCTTTGAGTCACTGCCTTGGATGAATTTCTTACCTCTTGCTTCTTACCTCCTACAAACTGCTCTCTTCTCTCCACTCCCCTGACCCAGACTGGAATGGTCTTCAAAGTACTGCTGACTGACACAGCGTGTCCTGTCTAGCAGATATTTATTTACTTATTTAACTAGATAATTTTTGCTAATAGTTGGAGGTGACACATGAAGCCAAGTAGGCAAGAACTTGTGATGAAATATTAGACATCGTTATCCCAACAATTCATCAAACATTTCCTGGCACTGGGAATTTCTTACTAGCTCTATCTGTGCTGAAGATTTAGCTTTCTCCATCTTCCCCACCTCCCTGGATGTCTCCTATCCTCTTCATTTGCCAGCCTTGAACTCCTAGCATTCTTGTGCCTTTCAAATGCAGAGTGTTCTAAATTTCCACTCTCCCCAAACTAGTAACCCAAACTAATCCCTACACTACTTTACATATCCAAATATTTCATTCAGGTGGCCTGCTGAAAAAGGGTTCCCCACTCCAGGTCTGTCTCCTTAGCACCACAATGCATCTGATGTGTGGGCATTATTTTTTTTTATTTTTATTTTTTGAGATGGAGTCTCGCTGTGTCATCCAGGCTGGAGTGCAGTGGCAGGATCTCAGCTCACTGCAACCTCTGCCCCCCGAGTTCAAGCTATTCTCCTGCCTCAGCTTCCCAAGTAGCTGGGATTACAGGCACCTGCCACCATGCCTGACTAATTTTTGTATTTTTAGTAGAGACAAGGTTTCACCATGTTGGCCAGGCTGGTCTAGAACTCCTGACCTCAAGTGTTCCACCCCCCTGGGTCTCCCAAAGTGCTGAGATTACAGACGGGAGCCACCACGCCCAGCCTGCATTATTGGTTTTT